>NC_000001.11:192559587-193184587 GCF_000001405.40 Homo sapiens | reverse complement strand
AAAGCCAAATGATAAAAACTGAGTGTGTACTGAACAGCATTTTACAGTAACATTCTCCCCATGAACTTCATCCACAAGCTATAAATACACATTAATAATGTGAAGATATCAAAAAAGAAGAGATAAACCAAAGCTATTTCTCTTCTAAAAATGTAAAAGTGCAGAACTATTTTGCATACTACTGAACTTTCTTGTTTTGCTCTCTCTTTTTAAGAATTAAAATACAACAGGCAATAACTGGAGAATAATTTTATCATTTAATAAAAAGCAGGCATGGTTATTTTAATTTTATATTCTTTTTAACAAAAAAATTTATAAGACCTGAGAATCTTTTAATAAGGAATTTTTTAAAGGCTAGACACATGCACTTCATTTATCAATGGGAGATTTATAGTTATATATGGATTTAATATCTCAACAGCTTAACATCTAAAACATACAAATACCATGAAGTCTAAATTAAGATGCATCTCTATCACATACTGTTACAAAATCATATTAGGACCAAAACTATGTATTTATGCTACATTACAATATGCAATAATTTGCTGTTTTCTGTAATACTAAAATACTTTAGAGACATCTTCAGGTATATTGTTCTTATAAAAGCAACATAAATTATGATTATTTTCCATCATTTATTTACTCAGTCCTTTAACTCAAACATCCATTCAAACATCTGACCTTATTGTTTACTCCTTCTTACACCATCAAATTTACACTTTAAAAAAAATCTGTATAATTGGACTTCAACCAGATTCCAAGTATTATCATATCAGCAGAAAACAGATAACTTATCTTTGTAACACTTAGAACAGATTATCAAATAAATTTTAAAAGCAACTTTTGTTTCTTTTGAATTTACATACATAACCCTTATATCTACTGATATCCTTATGAAGTGGAGCGGAGAGTCATTATTATTTACCAAATATGTCATTTGGAAATAAAAGCTTAAAAATAGTTCCCTGGTCTAAAAAGAATGGCCAGCTATTTAAAAGTACAAGAAGGAAAACACTGAGTTTCTAAATCAGAATGCTCAGCTCTATTATTTTCAGCTTAGCTTACAGCAGAACTATGTTTTGTTGGTACAGTGAATAGCCTTGGTTTTCATTACACTAATGCTGAGTTTAAATTCATATAAACAAATTCTAACAAATAGCATACTAGATGATTTGCTTTTAAAATTCCAAACTTAAAAAAATTGTTCACATCTTTCAAAATGCTTAATTTTTTTACATTTTAGAAATATTATAACTTCTAAAAGTACTCTGTAATCTCAGAAACTAGAAATTTCAAACGCTGGTGCCTATATGGTTGGACCTTAGATATTTGTTCAAATTCCCACCTACTTGCTCCTCCTAGTGGCTGCTACTATAATAGCACTTTCATTCATTTACATCTAACACTTTCAATCAATATTTTCAAAGTACTTAACGTTATGTATGTGAATTTTACTTTATAACTATTCAATTACATGAGGATTTCCATGTAAATTCTATTTCCTAGAAGTAATTAAATTTATGCCAAGGTTAAACAAATTTAATATTAACCATGACTCTCTCATTATCACAGGCTAAATACATACATGTATTTATGCATACACTGTAATTTCAAATAAATGCTCCTGTATTAAAACTTTTTAATTGATTTCTTTTGCTTAAAGAAGTAATTTTCATAATAAAAAGTTGGAAAAATTAAAATTACATATTCATCACTCCTTGTCAAAAAGTTTTCTCCTGTTTTAATGGAATTCAAACTATACCTCTTTGCCCACCTCTACTCCCTCGACATATTGGTCCCCAAAAACTAAAAACAACAACAAAAACACTAAGAACAAATGTGAACAAATCTGTGCTATGCACTGAAAACCTTGTTGCAAGATAACATAACCAGTTCTTAATATATGCCATCATGAACCTCACATATTGCCATCTCATAACCTTTTTAAAATATAGGGCTCTAACTGTGCTAATGACAAGTTCTAAAAGTTTAACAAATTATCTGCATGTAAATTTAGAATAAAGCACAACTCAAGGATATTTAAAAATATATTGTGTGAAATTCAGAATTTTAAACAGTTGGTTTCAAAGTAGCTCTTTTAATTCTAACATGGAGACTCAACCAAGATATGTAACAGTGTTCTGCCAAAGCCATAGATAATCAAAGACACTTACATGCTGTATTTTAAAATTAATCTTAAGTCTAAGAACAATTATATCATGAATACTTCATATTTACAAAGAAAAGTTAAAATTTTTGAAAGTGTTAATCATTTATTACTGTCTAAAAATCCTACACTGAAGTTACTAGACCCTGAAAATTAATTTTGACAGGTGCATCTTCTCATTGACTTTCTCAACACAGTAGGGGCCAATGGAAACATGCCAAGCAGTGTACTGTGACTAACAGAACTCTGCCATAATCAACCTTGCACCGTCTGTCCCACAACTGATACATGACCATTTTACAAAAAAGGCCTCTGACTGTGCACCATACCACCAATAGTATGTCAAATCAATTTTAATTAATGCCAATAAATTTTCCATCTGCTCTTAAGGCGTTTTTACACAACCCTTCTCAGAAATCTAGTAACATTTTTCTCGAATACATTCAACTTTTAAATCTTTAACTTGGGTCAAAAGTACAAATGACCAGTGTAACAAGACAATGAAATGAATCCATCACCTCATCTCTTTAAAATGCTCACTGTGCTACAAAGGTATATTTTTAAATAAATTAATCTTGTTCTCAGTGATGTTATGTTGCCAAGGGGAAATAAATTACAAGCTTCGTTCCTGGGTTATATTTTCACAGCTTAAGACATTCCTATTTGCCCTGATCATATTAGTACCCAAAGTCCCTTTCAGGCAGTTCTGTAAACTTTTGTGCTTCATTTTTATAGAATGACTACAAGAGAGACAATGTGACTGAATTAGAAAATGATTGCCAAAGAATAGTATTAAGGAGAAGAAAACATTTTTGGTCACCAATCTCTCATATACCACTACTGGATATTTACAACATGCTTCAGTGGAGGAGAAGACACTGCTGCTTTGCAAAGATGACCTGGAATGCCAAAAGGTCTCTGTTCCGCACTCATCTTATTGGAGTACTTTCTCTAGTGTTTCTTTTTGCTATGTTTTTGTTTTTCAATCATCATGACTGGCTGCCAGGCAGAGCTGGATTCAAAGAAAACCCTGTGACATACACTTTCCGAGGATTTCGGTCAACAAAAAGTGAGACAAACCACAGCTCCCTTCGGAACATTTGGAAAGAAACAGTCCCTCAAACCCTGAGGCCTCAAACAGCAACTAACTCTAATAACACAGACCTGTCACCACAAGGAGTTACAGGCCTGGAGAATACACTTAGTGCCAATGGAAGTATTTACAATGAAAAAGGTACTGGACATCCAAATTCTTACCATTTCAAATATATTATTAATGAGCCTGAAAAATGCCAAGAGAAAAGTCCTTTTTTAATACTACTAATAGCTGCAGAGCCTGGACAAATAGAAGCTAGAAGAGCTATTCGGCAAACTTGGGGCAATGAAAGTCTAGCACCTGGTATTCAAATCACAAGAATATTTTTGTTGGGCTTAAGTATTAAGCTAAATGGCTACCTTCAACGTGCAATACTGGAAGAAAGCAGACAATATCATGATATAATTCAACAGGAATACTTAGATACGTACTATAATTTGACCATTAAAACACTAATGGGCATGAACTGGGTTGCAACATACTGTCCACATATTCCATATGTTATGAAAACTGACAGTGACATGTTTGTCAACACTGAATATTTAATCAATAAGTTACTGAAGCCAGATCTGCCTCCCAGACATAACTATTTCACTGGTTACCTAATGCGAGGATATGCACCCAATCGAAACAAAGATAGCAAGTGGTACATGCCACCAGACCTCTACCCAAGTGAGCGTTATCCTGTCTTCTGTTCTGGAACTGGTTATGTTTTTTCTGGAGATCTGGCAGAAAAGATTTTTAAAGTTTCTTTAGGTATCCGCCGTTTGCACTTGGAAGATGTATATGTAGGGATCTGTCTTGCCAAGTTGAGAATTGATCCTGTACCCCCTCCCAATGAGTTTGTGTTCAATCACTGGCGAGTCTCTTATTCGAGCTGTAAATACAGCCACCTAATTACCTCTCATCAGTTCCAGCCTAGTGAACTGATAAAATACTGGAACCATTTACAACAAAATAAGCACAATGCCTGTGCCAACGCAGCAAAAGAAAAGGCAGGCAGGTATCGCCACCGTAAACTACATTAGAAAAGACAATTTTTTTTCAAATGTGCAATTTGTAAATATTGCTAAAAGCATGTATAGTTAGAACTGATTACATCCGTAGGACAAGTTTTAGTTAAAACTCATCACATAAAGAAATTCAAGAAGTATTTTTTTAATTTCTGAAGAAGTTAATTCTTAAAACTATAACATTATATAACAAAAAAGGTTTCCCAAAACAATCTATTTAAAAAACTGTATAAGGAGATTCTGTGTATTAACATGCAATAACAAGCATGCATAAATCAATGGTTCAAGTCTTCTGTTAGGGGCCAATAAAATGTATCTGCATATGTTTTCCACATAAATTTTAATTCAAGAAATGACAGTCAAAAGATCCTTCATTTTAGATTAAGCTTTTCATTTTAATATATAATTTAATGTAAATAAAACATCACTATCAATTTTAAGGAAACTTTTTAATTGTGCAAAGGATAAATTTTTTGACCTATTTTAGGGTTCTAAATGCAATAAGATTTAGTTGAGTTATTCCACAAACACATTATAAAGTTCAGATGTTTCATCAATGCAGTTCTCACGAAAGTATTTACTTTTTAAAAATAACTGAGATATTATTTTAAATTTCTTTTATTAATACTTTCTTTTATTAATATATGGGGGAAAATTATTTTGACATGACGTGGTAAAATGTGAAAAACTAATGTGTCTCAGGCTCAAGTTTTTATAGTTATTAAATGTTTCAAAATAGACAAGTTTTGTTTCCTCATTGATGTTAAGAACCAAACTCCTATTTCAATGAGTTATTGGATTAGACCAATTACTGCACTCTTAAACAGCACCACCATTTAATTTCATGTATATCTAACTTCGAATATATCTGTAAAGATAATCGAAGCAAAAGTAATCACTTAAAGGCACAAATAGGATGTACTGTTGAAAAAGATAAAGAGTGCAGGTGCAGTTTCATTCAACACATTTTTAAGATGCATGTCTGCCAAAATGCAACATACGGGAAGTTTATTTCCTGACAGCAGGTGTACACATGCCAACACTTAATCATTTTATGGCACCTATTTCTTTCTTGGAGTGCCAAGTTTGCAAACCTGCAGTTTTTAATTTGGTAGATGACAAATATTCTGAATCACCAATTAAAAACCTTTTTGGGAGGGATGGGGAAAACTACAAACGTTTGACAAACACAATTCTAGGATGAACAATGTATACAATGCACTTTTATGAAGTTTTTAAAAATAAAGGAAAACAAAAAACTTTACTGAGTGTTATAAGTATTTTCACAATAATTTTGTTTGACTCCATCATGAATTTTAAAATCAAGAAATACCAACCTACTAACTAAAATAGTGTTTTTATTCCATACAAGTATGTAAATCTGTCAATCTTAATTTAGTCAGAATGTTTCTTAATTCTAATAACAATCATTTTTACCTCTTATTCTATTATTAAGGGATAAATCACCAGAAGAGAATTGTAACATTTGTGAAACTTGAAAACACTAAAACTGTTTAAGTGCTTATCTCCATTTCAAATCAGTAGCCTAAGTGTTCTACTCTAAATCAAGTGATTCTGAGAGCTGATCTATGTAACACACCCCAGCTCTTGGATCAAGCCTGTCTTTCACTTAATTTATTCTATATGACTACAGAAATACCAGAATTACTTAATAAAAGTCACACATAAGGGGATAATACCAAATCAGATCAGCATGTTTGACAGAAGACAAAAGGAATCCTTCCCTCAGTGTAGAATAATGCTGATTTATGCTTCAAAAGTTTTAAAAACAGTGTGTGTGTGTGCATACACAGGTGTGTACATAGAAAGAGAACTCAAGTTCTATTTGTCCAAATTATGACTATTTTGCAGGATCTTTAAAAGATAGTAATTTCCATCTGGAAAAAGTTTTTTAAAAAATGACTCATGAAAAACAGATAACAGACACCTAAATTCTTCCTATCTCAAGTTTCAATTTAAAATCTATAAAATTTATAAAATCTATGTAAATTTCTATATTCCTAACATTATCTTGAAAAACGATAGTAATCTGATATCAGACACTGTGAGCTCTCAAAGGCGACTGGATCAAACAGTAAAGTGTCTTTGTACTGTTGAAAATCCTTACTTTAAAATAAATATTCTATTAATTTACTTTTGACTTTTCCGCAACAATACTCAAGTCGTTTTCTTAAGCAAAATAAGCTGATAGTGTATATAAACATCTCACCACTTGTTAACTGTGTCTTCTTCATCCCGACACTATGTGATTTTTATATACATAAAAATATAATTTTAAATGACAGCTTTGCTTTTGGTCAAAGGGTACACAAATAACTAATCTTTATGTTCAAAGTGTTAATAGGTACTTAAGAAGATGAAAACACCAAAACTTTCAATACTTAGAATACTTATTTATTTTGATCAAGTATATAAGTGGTGAAATTCTAATTCAACCAAATAATTGAGATTTCTCCTCACACCTCTTTGTATACAGCATAATCACATATAATCTCAACTGCAATTTTATTAATGTGCTATTTCCAGCAAATTCTACAAAAATAATACCAGTAACAGCAGTAGAAACTATTTACTGATTGTACAAGCAGTATGCTTGGTACTGTGTTAAAGCACTTTACATACATGATCTCATACAACCCTCAGGAACAACACTAAGACAGGAAGGACTCGTGTAAGAGGTTAAATACCTAAGATCACACAGCTAGTAAAGCAGCAGATTTCCATTTCAAGGATCATGTTCTTTTTTTTTTTTTTTTTTTAGACAGAGTCTTGCTCTGTCGCCCAGGCTGGAGTGCAGTGGCCCGATCTCGGCTCACTGCAAGCTCCGCCTCCCGGGTTCACGCCATTCTCCTGCCTCAGCCTCCCGAATAGCTGGGACTACAGGTGCCTGCCACCGCGCCCGGCTGATTTTTTTTTTTTTTTTTTTTTTGTATTTTTAGTAGAGATGGGGTTTCACCGTGTTAGCCAGGACGGTCTCGATCTCCTGACCTCGTGATTCGGCCTCCCAAAGTGCTGGGATTACAGGCTTGAGCCACCGCGCCCGGCCGAGGATCATGTTCTTAATCATTACACTGTTCTGCTATTATTTCACATATGACAGCTGATTAAAAAAAAAAGTCTAGAGCTGAGCAAAAATGGTCTGTCCCTTTATATTCCCATTCTCTGTTCTTCATCCTTTGCCAGGCCTCCAGGCTTCATACCATTTTCACACACTGGAGGGGCACCTGATATTAGGAACAATAAAGACAAGAGAAAAGAGAGTATATCTGATCCCCCAATTATTTTCCCTTCTTTCCAGTTGTTGTTTAATGGTGACAAGAACCATTGCAAAACATACACATTACTGCTTATCTCTTGCTTCTTTGGGCCCTGAGGCACAAATGCAAACAGCAGGCAGGTGGCACTTAGAAATTATAAAATTTGCTTCTTTTTAAAGAACAACTGCTAATTTTTAATAGATAAAAGTAGAACTGCATTTACCCATCCTACTGTTTGGTCACCTACCATTTTGTCATGAGAAGGTAAAACCAGTTCATCCAGACTATTTGGATAAATTTTCTATTTTTTACTGTTTAACTAGGAAATTTCACTATGAGATTAACATAGCCTTAAAAAGTAGAAAAAAAATTCCTATTGACAGACATTTCTAAGGCATCTCCAAGAATTTCAATGTATCATTTAGACATTAATCCCAGAAGGCAGATGATGTATATTAAATACTAAAATGGGATAGAAAACCCACTACCACCAAATTTTACAGTAATAAAATTGTTTGCTGCTCCTATGATGATTCTTTAATGCTCTGTAAGACAATGTCCTCTGTCTGCTATGCCACCTAAACAAATCCTTGGCAAATGGATCCAAGGACAACTTCTCCTAAAGAGGACATGCTGAAGATTTTTTGTCTGTTCATAATCAGTATCCATGACCAAGCCTCAAAAAAGCAAAACAGTTCTTGTGTATACAACATAATGGAGTTGATGCTATGTTGCAATAAATGCCTTATTACTGGGAAAAGATCAGGGAAACGGTTTAGGGGCCTATGTTCCTAGGGTCACACCACCATGAGGGAGGGCCAACACAGCCCCAAAAGTAACCACAAAAACTGACTGCCTGGGCCTGATACAATGCAAAATGTTGTCTGAGCCTAGAAATTAATGAACAAAGAAAACTAGCCCAATGTTTCACATTTGCTTAACATTTAAAATTTGTTTTAAAAATGTGTTTAAAATTTTATTCCCTTATCAGGGATCTGTTTGTCTTCTGAAAAGGTTAATGAAAAAAAAATAACTACAATCTTCTTCCTAACAGATTCATGCAAGAGAGGGAAGAGAATGACTCCTATATACTTCAGAGAGAAAGCTAATAACTGAGCAAAAAAAAGACAAGTAAACTTGATTTTTACAAAAGTAAAGTTTTAATCAAAGGTCATAAGCAAAACCTCTAATTTAGAGTACAATTATACCTCTGTATCTGTGGGGAATTGGCTCCAGGACTCTCTGCAGACACCAAAATCCACAGATGCTCAAGTCCCTTTTATAAAATGGCATACTGTTTGCATATAAAATATGCACATCCTCCTGCATACTTTAAGTAATCTCTAGATTACTTATGATACCTAATACAATTTAAATGCTATGTAAATAGTTGTTATGCTGTATTGTTTAAGAAAAAAATAACTCACACAAAAGTCTATACATGTTCAGCACAGGCGTTCTGGGTTTGGTTTTTTTGTTTTTTGTTTTTAATATTTTCGATCGGCAGTTGGTTAAATCTACGGATGTGGAACCCACGGATATGAAGTGCCAACTGTGTCTGTATGTCTGTAAGTCATGTACACTTAATATGAACTAAAACCTAAGTTATCTTCTATCATCACCTTTGCCACTTCTTTCTCTTGCTATTGCCCATATCCATTTAACCCAAAGACTTACTTGGATCCCTACTGGAATCCATCTACTTTTCTTCATCTTGCCCCTATTTAAAACAGCATCACTCATTTTTTAACTACTGCAATACCTTTATAGCCAGTTTCCTCATATCCACATAATCTGTTGCCAATATTACAGCCATAATGTTACTTTCAAAACACAAAGCTAGGCATGCCATCCCACTGCTTCAATGGCTTCTCAAGGTACTATATACCAAAATCCCTAAAACCCTTGGCCAGCTACAAGGCCCATAAATGATTCTCTTCCTTGCTAAAGCTAATCCCTCTACCCAATCTTTTGATCCCATTCATACCTTCTATCTCACTGTAAATTATTCTCTCTCCCTCGAGACTTATTTAAAAGAAAAAAACAAAAAATTCCTGGATAAGGAATAGTGAATTACAACTTGACTCAATGAAACAGTCTCACTCTTTTCGTTTAAAGCATTTTCATTTCATTTAAAGGAAAATGTTTTACAGTATCAAATCAAGTTTTCTCTATAGTGAGAAAGGGTAGTAGTGACATGGAGAGAAGGAATTCCAGAGATGTCAGCAAGTAAGGTCTACAGGCCTTCATGATGGCTGGATACTAGAGATGAGAGAGGAGTAAGTGACAAGGATGATGCCTAGAACACTGGCCTGAACACTGACAGTGCCATTTACTGAGAAAGAAAACACTGTATAAAGAATCTGATTCGCCAGGAACAATGTAATAAAGAATCACCAAGCAATGTATGAAAGGATTGTCAAGTGGCACTTGAGGGCCTATATATTACAAAGCATCATTAACAGTAATAATGAATTACAATTACCACTCTACACCCATATGAAAGTATGGAAAATAACTAAAAATATAATGTATAACATAGGCTTCAGATTCATTTGAAAATACTTTTCAAGCAACATTTACATGCAAAATACTCTGTTCTCAGTACTGGAGATATAGTGGAAGGCAAGAAAGACATAGTTTCTACCTTCAAATTCATATATTTAAAGAAAGATTATCAAAGGAAACAAATGAACAACAAGATAACTAGAAGAAAAAGGGTCCTGAAAAAGTTGCTGATGAACTGAGATCTGAATTATGAGAAGGAATCAGTCTTATTAAGAGCAAGAGGAAGAATGTTCCAGACAAACAACTGGAAGGAGAAAGGCTAAGAGGTAAAGAACTTGTCAAGTTGTTGAAAAACTTAGAAAAAGCCACCGAGAAGACTTGTAGCCAAGACCTTTCTTAATATGTACTGCCCCTTTAGAGCATGGAATTGTGGATAGAATTCAGAAGAAACGTAATGGGAAAAAAATTTACAATTTTATTTTCATTAATCTCTTAATGAAATTAAGACTTTCTTCAGGAATGCAGATAAACCACAGTATTATTATTATAAATGGTTACAACTTTGTCACCAACAAAAATCAGATTTTTTCATAACATATTAGAATAAAGATATCCCAAAATTACATATGCTCATTAGACTTCTAAAATCTGGTATTTATCAAATTTGCCACTAGATCATGTTACATAATGCATTAGTAAAGAAGCACAAATCATGTCATAAATGTGTTTTTAAAAAATATCTTGATTTTACTTTAAATACAATTGGTTTTATCTTATGTATTTTCTTTTATGCCTTAAAAATATATTCAGAAAGAGGATTCACAGGATTTCCAGTCTGCCAAATGCACCAATGGCACAAAAAAATTATGAACTACAGCAAAAGATACTTGAGATTCCTAACAACTAAACGCAATTTATGGTGCTTGTTTGGGTCTTATTTCCAACAAACGAATTACAAAAAGACAATTTTCAGGAAATCGAAACTGTAAAATGAACTGTGTGTTAGGATTACATCAATATTATTTATTTTGTTGTATACAATGGCACTGTGGCTATGTAAAAGATGTCCATATGTTTAAGAGAGGCAAAGTGTGCAGGAACAAAATCACAGTGTTTAGATTTTGCATTTAAATACTTTAGAAAAAAAAGGAAGAGGTGGAACAGATAAGGAGAGCCTTTAAAAATGGTAATTATACAATCTGTGTGATGGGAAGATGGAAGATCACGTGCTATTTTCTCTCATTATATTTACGTTAGAAATGTTTTATAATTAAGTAATTAAGAAAACCAAGAAAAAGAAATAGAATAAGGCATACCCTTTTAACAGCTGCTTCACAATAAGGAGCCTCTCTAAAGGAAAAAGATCACAAAAAAGCACAACCTGCAGAGAGCAAACCAGAGAACAAGACTCCTTTCTCTAGGCTTATGTTGCCCTAGGCCAGGTTGCCTGACTTGATGAGTGTGCAATGTAACCAGGGATTTTCCTCTTTTCTCCACCACTGTGCTCAGGAAGACTGCAAGAATCCCTAAAACTTGCTATAGTATTCATATTTTTTGACTATGTACTCTATCTTAAGGCACTCATGCACTCATTTCAAAGAAAAAATAAACCTAAATCCATTATGTCAGTTGTCTGGGCCTAGAAAATTAAGTCTTTGATCAAACTGGTACATCTTGGTATTAGATACAGCAATGGTTTAGGAACAATAATCTTATAGTCTTAAGTTACCAAGTAACAATCAAGTTTAGGCCTTCTATTTAGGTGGACCTGACAATTCAGAACACAGGATGGCAAAAGGAAGAGGGAAAAAGGATGCAGTGCCAGGTAACTGTAGTCTTCACAACTGATAGAAAGCAAAACGTCTGAATGGAAGAGTGATGGAATGCTTGACTTAGGCAAGTGGGCCATACAAGATGGTTCCCGGGTTGTCAAAAAAATGACAAGAACTGAAAGAGAACTCTTCATTTATGTTAACTGGGATGAACTATCCATCTCTCGGATCTTAGCATATTTAAGGTAGGAACACATAAAAGGCTCTATAACCTGCAGGAAGGTTGGCTCACTAATTCTCTCTTCTTCCCTAATCTATTTATACTGTCCTGCTCTCCTAATCTGTCATCAAACTCAGCAGTCTCTCACCAATCAACTGCTTATCTTTCCACTGCAAATCAATACAAAAAAAAGAAACCTCATAACTTTATCATATGCTGTTATAAATCAGTTGGATATCTTAGCATAAATATTACTCATTTTAAGTAATTTTCTTAAAAAAAAAAAAAAAAAAGGTACCAAAAATCAGCCAGGCGCAGTGGCTCACGCCTGTAATCCCAACACTTTGGGAGGCCGAGGTGGGTGAATCACTTGAGGTCAGACATTTGAGACCAACCTAGCCAACACGGTGAAACCCCATCCAAACTAAAAATACAAATATTAGCCAGGTGTGGTGGCGCACACCTGTAGTCCCAGCTACTGGGTAGGCTGACGCAGGAAAATCACTTGAATCCAGGAGACAGAGGTTGCAGTGAGCTGAGATGCCACTGCACTCCAGCCTGGGCGACAGAGAAAGACTCTGTCTCAAAACAAACAAAAATCAACTCTGTTTAACATTAAGCAACCAAAAATTCATAAAATTTTTATTCTTCCAACACTAACAAATACATCTTTTTTTCATTTATTAAAAAATATTGATTGAGTGTGGTGGTATGCAGAACAATGGTTCTCCAAAGATTTCCATTCGCCCTAGCCCCCAGAACCTGTGAATATTTTAACATTACATGGCAAAGTTACTTTGCAGATAACTTTAAAATAGGGAGATTTTCCTGATTGGCCCAGTATAATCACATGGACCCTTAAGAGGAAGGGAGAAGAGTTAGAGAGAAACACAGCAGAAGAGAAGAAGAACAAGGGAGAGTCAAAGCATGAGAGGGACTGTATCCACCAATGCTGACTTTCAAGATGAAGGAGGCCATGAACCAAGTGGCCTCCTGAAGGTTGAACTAGCCCTCAGTTTACATCCAGCAAACAATCAGGGACCTCAGTCTTAAAATCACAAGGAACTGAATTCAATCAACAACCCGAAGGAACTTGGAAGTGGGTCCTTCCCCTAAGTTTCCCAAAAGGAACACATTGCTGTTGACACCTTGACTTCAGTCTATGAGACTCTAAGTGGAGGCCTCTCCCTAAGCCACGATATACCTGAACCTTGGATTTACAGAACTGTAAGAGAATGTTTTAAGCTGCCAAACTTCTAGTAATTTATTACTGTGACAATAGAAAATGAACAGAGGTATCTACTTTGTCCCAAGAACTCTGCCAGGTACTGGGAATATCGCTGGGACCTAGACAGATTGATACCCTGATAGCTGGGACACAGACTCAACCATGTGCAGTGTTCAGCAGAGGCTAATTCTTTCTTGATCCTGTTTGCCAATAGTTCCTAAAGCAATTTGCTTGCCAGTGTGTGCCTCAGTCTCCACAGTTGAAAGACAGCAGTTATCACACAGGGCTTTTCTCTGGAGGGGTAAACACTTGTGAGTTATCCATATAGTCCTTGGATAACCTGTGCAGACTTAACTGCCTCCTGATGCTGAAATGCATCTCCCACAAAATGTGGCTGTGCCCCCTTTGCTCACAGATGTGTTTTAGAAAGATGTTGCCTCCAGTTCAGGGTGTAGCACTTACTTGATGGGATAATTAGACATCAAAAGTAACTCAACAAAAGCAAAAGATGACAAATAGGATCTAAGCAAAAGAGATTCTGCACAGCAAAAGAAACTATCAACAGAGTAAAAAGAAAACCAACAAAATATGGGAAAATTTTTGCAAACTATGCATCCAACAAAGGTCAAATATCCAGCATCTATATGGAACTTAAACAAATAAACAACAACAACAACAAAAATCATTAAAAAGTAGGCAAAGGGCATGATCACTTTTCCAAAGAAGACATACATCACCAACAATCATATGAAAACAAGCTCAACATCACTAATCATTAGAGAAATGGAAATCAAAACCACAGTAAAGATACCATCTCACGCCAGTCAGAACGGCTATCAAAAAACAAGATGCTGGCAAAGTTGTGTAGAAAAAGGTAGGCTTACACATTGTTGATGAAAGTGTAAATTAATTCAACTATTGTGAAAGAAACTGTGGTGATTCCTCAAAGACCTAAAGAGAGAAATACCACTGAACCCAGCAATCTCATTACTGGTTATATACTCAAAGGAATATAAATCATTCTATTATAAAGACACATGCATGCGTATATTCACTGCAGCACTAGTCAAAGTAGCAAAGACATGGAATCAACCTAAATACCCATCAATGATAGACTGGATAAAGAAAATGTTACATATACACCATGGAATACTATGCAGTGATAAAAAAGAATGAGATCATATCCTTTGCAGGGACATGGATGGAGCTAGAGACCATTATCCTTAGCAAACTAACACAGGAAAAAAAAACAAATACCACATGTTCTCACGTATAAGTGGCAGCTAAATGATGATAATACACAGATACATAGAGGGGAATCACACATACTGGGGCCTGTCGGAGGGTGGAGAGCAGAGAGAGAGGATCAGAAAAAATAACTAATGGGTATTAGGCTTAATACCTGGGTGATGAAATAATCTGTACAACAAACCCCCATGACACAAGTTTACATGTGTAACAAACCTGCACATGTACCCCTGAACTTAAAAGTTAAAAAAAAAAGAAATAAAATTACAAAAGGGATCACACTAAGAAAAAATATTTGTCAGGATTTTATTTTCAAAAACTCATTTGGAAATACATCTTACAGCATTGCCTCTTATTGCTTTATAAAATCCAAATTCATCATTAACAAGTTTCATTTAATATTCTTGCATCTCATAAGATAAACAGGAAAGTAATTTTATCTACAGTACATAGGCATCAGCCATTATGCAACTGCCTCCATTCTTACAAATTTATTTTTTATTTTTTTTTGAGACAGAGTCTTGCTATGTCGCCCAGGCTGGGGTGCAGTGATGTGATCTTGGCTCACTGTGACCTCTGGTTCCTGGGCTCAAGTGATCCTCCTACCTCAGCCTCTTTAGCAGCTGGGATCATAGGCATGTGCCACCACGCCCAGCTAATTTTTGTATTTTTAGTAGAGACAGGATTTCACCATGTTGGCCAGGCTGGTCTCGAACTCCTGGCCTCAAGTGATACACCGGCCTTGGCCTCCCCAAGTGCTAGGATTACAGGTGTGAGCCACCATACCCAGCATCATTCTCACAAATTTAATGTTAAAGTTCATATTTTTACTTAATGCATATGCCAGGTATGGGTGTGTTTAAATAGCATCCTTCTTAAAATTCATCTAAACATCAATTTCTAAAGACATAAAATGAGACAAGTACTAATTACTTGAATTAGAAATAAACAGTTGCCTCCATATCCACTGATAAAAATTTAAGTCAAGAGTAAGCAAAATACAGCAGTGAGCCAAATCCAGGCTGCTACTTGTTTTTGTATGGCACACAGGCCAAGACTGGTTTTTACACTTTAAATGGTTGAAAAAAAAATCTAGATAATCAAAAGTATTATTTAAAATGTAAAAATTACACGAAATTCAAATTGTAGCATCTATAAAGATTTACTGTAATGCAACCAAACTCATTCATTTACCTATTGTCGATGACTGCCTTTAAAACAGCAGAGGTCAGCCAGACGCTGTGGCTCACGCGTGTAATCCCAGCACTTTGGGAGGCTGAGGCGGGTGGATCACCTGACGTCAGGTGTTTTGAGACCAGCCTGGCCAACTTGGTGAAACCCCGTCTCTACTAAAAATACAAAAATTAGCCAGCCATGGTGGCAGGCGCCTGTAATCCCAGCTACTCAGGAGGCTGGGCCAGAGAACTGCTTGAACCCGGGAAATGGAGGGTGCAGTGAGGCAAGATTGCGCTACTGCATTCCATCTGGGTGACAGAGAGAGACTCTGTCTCAAAAAAAAAAAAAGGCAGAGTTAAACATGGACAACAGAAACCTTATGTGGTACTCTCAGGTTTAGTTAGCACTGCCAGTTGGCACAATACAAATCACAAAAAATGCAATTATATTGCTTTACCTTACTTTAATCCTCCAAAAAGCATGTAACACTAAATTTTGTTTGTCCTCCCTCCTATTTATATCCCCAGGGCCTACAATACTGCCTAGCATACAGCAGGCACACAGCAAACATTTCCTGGATGAATGCAAAACACAGCATTTTGTGTGCCAAGCATTTTGTCACATAAGGACATCTGAATTTTATTTTTTTAATTACTGGTACCTACACCACATTAAAACAAAAAGAGGCTGGTACCTACTCATCACATTAAAACAAAAAGAGGCCAGGCACAGTGGCTCACACCTGTAATCCCAGCACTCAGAGGTGGAGGCGGGCAGATCACTTGAGGTCAGGAGTTTGGGACCAGCCTGGCCAACATGGTGAAACCCTGTCTCTATTAAAAATACAAAAATTAGCCAGTCGTGGTGGCAGGCATCTGTAATCCCAGCTACTCAGGAGGCTGAGGCAGGAGAACTGCTTGAACCCGGGAGGCAGAGGTTGCAGTAAGCCAAGATTGCACCACTGTACTGAAGACTGGGCAACAGAGTGAGATTCCATCTCAAAAAAACAACAAAAAAACACAAGAAAAGTAGTATGCTCTTTAATGTACAATAAAATCAGATGGCAAAGCACTGTTTACCATCTAATGCAATGACACTACAACTGTGCTAAAAGAATACAATATAAATATTACCAGACTAAGCCCTCATTGCAACATTCCCAACTCAGATGAAAGGAATGGTCAGAAAACACAAAATTTCTTTACAAAAATTAAAAAATTAAAATTAGGCTGTGAAGCAAATTTGAGAGGTTCCTTGTTAGCCAGGGAAGGAAAATGGTTAATCTATGGTTAATTAATTAAATTTGATTTGATTAAAGCAGTCAAAAATGTATTCAGAGGAAATAAATTTGTTTTAGACTATTAGCCTTTCACTACTGCTTAATGAGTTGAGGTCATGGTGTAGCAACATCAATTGTCAATCAGAAGTCAAGGCAAATGACTGAGTGGTTTTCTTTGGCGCTTGTTAACATGTTACTAATACCACTCAGTTATGGTTTATTCGAGGAGTCCAAATCATGTTTTGAAGTGGCTGAGGAATTAGCCTCTATGAGTAGCCTACATAAAAAAACTACAGGCAGGAGTAATTTCAAAGTAGTTCAGAAAACACTAATGAAGTACAACCTGAAGGGGAATCTATTAAGATGCTGATGCTACCAAACAAATGGTAGTTAAAACTATGTGTGGAGCTGAAAACAGCTCAGATGGGCAAATTTAGTCCATCTAAGAATTCTACTACACTATTTTCTTGATTATTTGCAGATTTATCACTGCCAAAGGAGGGTTATGTGGAAGTTCCCCAATTACATAGTTAATGAATTTTGAAATAATACATAAAATCTCATTATAAACCAGCATTGATGAATTTGCAATCAATTTTGGTCATAGAGAACACTAACTTGGAACTTCAATTAAGCAAAATGTTCCCTCACACCCAAAAAGAAATTCCATTATTCTCATTATCAAATCAGTATTGCACATTATTATCATGCATTGTACTTGTCATTAAAAATTTGTGACCAGCCTGACCAACACGGAGAAACCCCGTCTCTGCTAAAAATACAAAATAGCCGGGCGTGGTGGCGCATAACTGTAATCCCAGCTACTCGGGAAGGCTGAGGCAGGACAATCGCTTGAACCTGGTATGCAGAGGTTGTGGTGAGCCAAGATAGCTCCACTGTACTCCAGGGGCAACAAGAGCAAAACTCGGTCTCAAAAAAAAAAAAAAAGAAAAAAAGTGTGAAAATTTGATTTATCTCTTGTTACATAAGCACCTACATAATTTCCGTGGTTTTGTCTATCGGCCTGTAAGCCTAAAGTACTTAGTTTCTGGCCCTTTAAAGAAGAGGTTTGTCAATCCCCAACTTAAATCATTACATTTAAACCATTTTAAATCACTGTAGACTAAAAAATGTAAGGCAATAATGAAAACACACTTAAGGCTGGGCGCAGTGGCTCACACCTGTAATCTCTGCACTTTGAGAAGCCAAAGCAGGAGGATCGTTAGAGACCAGCCCGGGCAACACAGTGAACCGTGTCTCTACAAAATATACCAAAATTAGCTGGGCATTGCAGTGCATGCCTGTGGTCCCAGCTGAGGTGGGAGCAGTGATTGAGCCCAGGAAATAAAGGCTGCAATGAGCTCTAACTGTACAACTACATTCCAGCCTGGGTGACAGAGCAAGACCCTGTTTCCAAAAAGAAAGAAAGAAAAAAAAATGCACTTAAACTATACAAACTCCTGCTATATTACTTACTTTTGCTCATACCTGACTCTTCATTTTTATATTATCATTAAAAATAATTTCACATTAAAGTTTCTAAGAGTTCAGCTTAGATAACAAACACTGGTTTTGGAAACTAGGTTTTATGACTAACTTGATAATTGTTTTTTAACAAAGTCAACCTAAAATTACAAGGCATAACAGAACTTACATGTAAAACTCATAGTGAAAGGATGGCTGGCTTATTTTTATGGGCAAACACCAAATATCAATACAGTGTAAGTAAATAAGGGCACATATAAAAATGGTAGGTTGTTCCTTACAGACCAAATGTTAGCATGCTCAGCTTAAGTGTACCAGTGGAGACCTCAACCACATTTTGATCAATTTTATGCATATGTGGGAGGGAGAGAGAGATACGAATGCATGTGCATGCATCCATGTGTGAAAGAGAGAAAAAGACTAATTATTTTCTTCTATTACTGAAAATGGTTCTGGTAATTTCACTAAATACATTTTATGTAAATACAATCAAATGAGTAAAATGTAAACAAAACTTTTACACAATCCACCAATTATGAAAAATATTTCATGCTTTGCATTTATGCTGTATGTATCTTCACGTCTTTCAAATATGTCACAGCAGAATTTTTTAATGTGTCCATCCTGAGACTGTGTAAAACGTTCATCCCAACATATAATTATTACTTATCTACTGATACATAAAGTCTTCTTTATACTTCTCTATTTGTACTTTACAATGATACTACTTTATTTGCACTTTAACCATATTTGATTTTTTACTCATATTGACTGCATTCTGAATCTTAAGTACTTTTATACAATGCTAAGAAACACTTAAATTGTAATGTCTTTGCAGCACTGAAATTACTAATTGGGAGGGTGAGGTTTAAGGAGCCTCATTAATTTGACTATCAACCTGTAATAAGTGAAAGGTAGAGAAAGTGATTTCCATGCTGAGGAAAGTGGCATACACCTGCAATCTCAGGTACTTAAGGCAGGAGGATGGCTTGAGCCCAGAGTTCAAGTCCAACCTGGGCAACGTAGTGAGACCTCATCTCTTTAAAAAGAAAGAAAGATTTCCAAAACCCAGCAGGAAATCCCTGCTCTTCTCTCCCCTTCCAAATCAACAAAGCTAAATGTGACTAATCCTAAATTTACAGCTCAAACGTGCAGAAAGGTCAGTCTATCGCTCCTCACCTCTCCTGTGATAAATCAGATCCTTTGGATATCTACATTATAAATCCCAAATTCAAAAGAGCTAGTTCCCTCACCAACACTTTTTAACAAATCAAATAGAATGGAATGAAACACAGTCCTAAAGTTGACTCAGTAATCTATACATCTAAAGAAATAACACATCATATCCATCTGGCAAGGGATTAGTCAGACACAACAAGGAATAGAAATCACAATGGCAAATCAAAACCTATCTAAGCAGTGCCCAAGGGGAAAGGTACCCTGGACTTGCAACAAGTCCTTTTTTTTAATGAAGAGTTAAAAATAACAGACTACTTTAATACCACTAAACATTTGAAGGATATAATTTATTATATGCTCATTGCACAGTACACTGTGATTTCCAATGTAGCTTTACACAGAGAACATGTTATGTGCTAGAGGTGAGAATCCAGTGCCCTTGTTAATTACATTTATCACTGCAAATTAATAAATCAGCATTTGATTTCAAATGCTACTCTCATAAGCTTAATTAAAATGAATCAGTTTCTCATGGTATACTAACATTACTTAGTTTCTCAGCCTTTCTCTGGGCTACAGCAAATTACTAACATAATGCCACCCTATGAGACAACTCAGGATTCAGGCAGCTGATCAACCATAGGCAACAAAACCTCCACACTGCTGTTCATCACCAGCAGTTATTTCTCCTTTGATCTGTTACACAGAAAATATGTTGACTGAAATTATTCAGTCACTTAGAACCAGTTACTATGTACTATGGACTAGTCTTCGATGATCTACAAGAGGTTTCTAATATAAAATGTAAATGTAATACTGCCAGTATGACACAATGAAGCATAGTTTTGTAAAATCTACTATACTGGGCTGGGCATGGTGGCTCATGCTTGCAATCCCAGCACTTTGGGAGGCCACCGATCACTTGAGGTCAGGAGTTCAAGGCCAGCCTGGCCAACATGGCGAAACCCCATCTACTAAAAAGTACAAAAATTAGCTGGGTGTGGTGGCGGGCACCTGTAATACCAGCTACTCAGAAGACTGAGGCAGGAGAACAGCTTGAACCTGGGAAGCGGAGGTTGCAGTTGATCCAGATCACGCCACTGCACTCCAGCCTGGGTGACAAGAGTGAGACTCCATCTCAAAAAACAAAAAAATCTACTATACTATAGCCTTTTTACACTGATGTTTAAAGCTTTAAAAGTTATACAAACTTTTCAAAAATATTAATGATGACTCAGAAAGTTAGAAATAATACAAATGTCTATCACAGGTGCCCCAAAATTGGTACCTATCAATTTATTAGAAAGTATTAGATGATTTATGTCTACTGCAGTTAACCTAGGTAAAGAAAAATATTTTCCAATATCAAGTTATTTAAATAGTTACGTTCTTGAAGTTTCTTCTTAAAGTAACTTCTTTTTTTGGGGGGCGGGCAGGGTCTCATTCTGT
Organism: Homo sapiens; assembly: GCF_000001405.40. NCBI lineage: Eukaryota > Metazoa > Chordata > Mammalia > Primates > Hominidae > Homo > Homo sapiens. The sequence continues at coordinate 193,163,486 of NC_000001.11, read as the reverse complement.
TGCCCACGCTGGAGTGTGGTGGCGCAATCATGGCTCACTACAGCCTTGACCTCCTGGGCTTAATCAATCTACCTGCCTCAGCCTCCTGAGTACCTGAGACTACAGGCACATACCACTACGCTCGGCTAATTTTTGAATATTTTTGTAGAGGCGGGATTTTGCCAAATTGCCCAAGCTGGTCTCGAACTTCTGGGCTCAAGGAATCCACCCGCCTCAGCCTCCCAAAGTGCAGGGATTACAGGCATGAGCCACTGCGCCCAGCCTGTTAACTTTTCTAGGAGGGGGAAAAAAAAAATATACACACACACCCACACACACACACACACACACACACAACCCCACAAAGTTCTTGATGAATTATAATGTACCTACAAATTTACTATCAGAATAATTGGTAATTATTCTGTCACTCTAAAACTCAGTAATTCCTAAGGATATTGTGAAATACCTTGTGTAGCTAGATAAGTTACTAAAATATTATAATCCTATCAGAAGCTGAATGGGGTGTTATTTTCTAAAAGCCATCTATAGAACACAAGTAAGAATTCAGTAACTTCTGAAAGATCAAAAAGCTGCTTTATTTTAGTTCTCAAGTTTGGTATAATGAAATATATTAGGAATTCAATTCCAGAATATTTATGGCACCACACATAAGACAGAAATGACAAAAAGACACTGTAGAAAAACTGGAGCATCTCTCCAAAAATACCAAATTTGGGGAGGTAAATGATTACAGGATTGATAATGTCCAGAATTCACTGTAGAGGATGATAAAAGACTGAATCAATTTTAATTGTAATGTGTAAAAATGTTAAACTGGCGGGGTGTGGTGGCTCACGCCTGTAATCCCAGCACTTTGGAAGCCTGAGGTGGGCAGATTACTTGAGGTCAGGAGTTCGAGACCAGCATGGCCAACATGGTGAAATCTCTACTAAAAATACAAAAAATTGCCAGGCCGTGGTGGTGCACGCCTGTAGTCTCAGCTACTCAGGAGGCTGAGGCAGGAGGATTGCTTGAACCTGGGAGGCAGAGGCTGCAGTGAGCTGAGATCATGCCACTGCACTCCAGCCTGAGCGACAGAGTGAGACTCTGTCTTCATATGTGTATATATATATATACACTATATATAATATATATGTATATATAATATATAGTATATAGTATATATGATATATAATATATAGTATATATAATATATCATATATACTATATATTATCTATTATATATACTATATTTATTATATATTATATACAATATAATAGATAATATATAATATATATTATATACAATATAATAGATAATATATAATATATATTATATACAATATAATAGATAATATATAATATATATTATATACAATATAATAGATAATATATGATATATATTATATACAATATAATATGATATATATTATATACAATATAATATGATATATATTATATACAATATAATATGATATATATTATATACAATATAATATGATATATATTATATACAATATAATATGATATATATTATATACAATATAATATGATATATATTATATACAATATAATATGATATATATTATATACAATATAATATGATATATATTATATACAATATAATATGATATATATTATATACAATATAATATGATATATATTATATACAATATAATATGATATATATTATATACAATATAATATGATATATATTATATACAATATAATATGATATATATTATATACAATATAATATGATATATATTATATATTATATATATTATATTATATGATAGATATATAATATATTATATATTATATATATTATATGATAGATATATAATATATTATATATTATATAATATATTATATATCTATCATATAATATATATTATCTATTATATATTATCTATTATATATTATATAATAATATATATATGCGTGTGTATAAATAAAGTTAAATTGACTTGATTTCAAAATAAAACTCTAATTTGATCTTATATAGTTTCAAAAATCTAAATGTAAAAATAAAAGCTTTTTCAATGACACCCATAAAATATGACAAGTTCAACAGTGAGTTATCTGAGTTCTATGGTATGACTTTTGTCTCTAATTAAAACAAAAGTAAGATCTTAAAATTTTTCATTTCTAAGCATTTCAAGTGAATATGTCTTCAATGGATTCAGTGCAAAGCACCATTCTGAAATTTCAAATAAGAACTTAGTTTCTAAATAGCAAGATTTGTCCAGTCCAGAAGCAAGTAAGAGTTTAAAAACAGGTATTTAAAAAAAACATGGGAACAGTCACTCACAGAGGAACATGAGAAGCAGGAAAGACAAGAAGAACAACACTAAAAGAAACATCCATCAAGAAAAAGACCTGGAAAAGAAACCAAAACTTAGAATTAAAGATCAAATGAGGTTTGGTAGGATGGGGGAGGGGAAAGGGGATGAACTAACTAGACACTTCAATGAATACTAAGACAAAAATACTGAGACAATTAATTTAAAAAATTTGAATGCAGGAATTATATAAAAGATTAAAAAGTCACTCAAAAATCTAAATCAATTTACAAAGACCGAGAAATTGATCCAACAAACTAATGTTCAGCCAGCAATAGCCAATGGAAAAGTTCCCATCAAGGACATACCCAAACACCCAAATATAGCATGTTATTAAATATACTAGGTTTTTTTCATATAAACCAATTGATTTAAAACATCTGTCATAAAGTTAAAAGGGACATTAAAGATTAATATTTGTTCAAAATAATAAAGAGAAATACAGAAAATAAAAGCATTTGTATGTTAAAGAACAGTGGTTAATCTAAAAATACAAGGAGTAGTAGGAAATTAAAAGTTATAAAATATGTTTAACACTGACAATAATTTTGTTAAAATTGAATTAAAGTTACACTGATGCAGGTAAATAGAAAGTGGAATAAAAAGCTCTATTAAGCTGAAAGAAAACTAAAATCTTTGTGCAATTCTGAAAGTCATCTATAACTACAGCATTATATACTAAACTATAAGAGAATATATGTAACCAAAACTATGTTTCATAGTATAAATTTTTGTTATTTAACAAAATATATTTCCAAACTGGTTTCTGTGTTTCCTATTCTTACAACGATCAATATTACAGCATTTTAAAACAAAGTGATGTTAAATTTATTACTAAAAATTATTAGTAATCTTGATTTCAAGATTACTCTGATATACGTGGCAACAATAACTTTTCTTTCTTTCTAAAATAAATCTCAAGTGTTTTGTGATTGTGGCATTAACTCCATAGTCATCGGCAGAATAATTTTAAAAGTTATGTTACAGATATTAACTAAAACCTCTAATATGTTTTGGGTAAACTAATAGTTATTCTTTAACAAAATGCAAAGCTAAATTGAGTTGAATTGTACAGGCTTACACAAAATGTATCAACCAGTGTGCAATGGATTTTCAATAAATCTCAGTTAAGATATATAAACTAAACCACATAAAAATAATATTCGCTTTATATGTATTAAAATTCCCTGACATGAATATGTTGTTGCTGTAATTCATTTTTCTTGAAGTACATTAGCACCAAAATGCTAATAATGCTGGCAAAATATTAAGGTTAAATCAGATTCTAACACCTCTTACTACAAGGAAGGCATGAAATGATTTAATATTTACCCATCTAAATAAGTGTTCAGTCTAAATACTAGCCAATTAGAGAAAAAGAGTATATCTGTATTATTCAGTATAAAACGTTTACAAAATATTATATATGTTTAATATAAAAACATTTATGCAATAACTACAATTAATTCCATACTGCAATCAAAAAGCAGTGAAAGGAGGCCGGGCACGGTGGCTCACGCCTGTAATCCAAGCACTTTGGGAGGCTGACGCAGGCAGATCGCTTGAGGTCAGGAGTTCGCAACCAGCCTGGCCAATACAGTCTCTACTAAAAATACAAAAAATTAGCCAGGCATGGTGGTGCACGCCTGTAATCCCAGCTACTTGGGAGGCTGAGGCAGGAGAATCACCTGAACCCAGGAGACGGATGTTGCACTGAGCTGAGATCACGCTACCGCACTCCAGCCTGGGTGAGACAGTGAAACTCCATCTCAAAAACAGTAATAAAAAAACAAAATAAACTTTTAAAGAAGCAGTGAAAAGGGCAATGCTAAACAAGGTGTAACTGGATACAGTTAAACCTCAAAACAAATCCCTAAGGAAGTTATACCACCTTTCTGATGAGAAAACTGAAGCTTAATTTGCTGTAACAAACAGGCCAACAAATCATAATATAAAGTTCTCTCTTTTATCTCCCTTATATTAAGACTTGGTCCAAATCTATAACCAGAACATTATCTGCCCCCGTCAAAAAAAGTTGGAAAAAATCACAAGGGGGAAAATTATTATAAAAGGGATATAAAGGATTTTTTACAAGTACCATTTGTTGAGCTTCTTTGTGCTAAAAGAGAAAAAAATATTGCCTATTCACTTACGTGATGGCTTCTTAGAAAAGTCTATGAAAAATGCATATCTAACAAAAAACTGTATACAACAGATAATATGTTAATACGGATATATGTTCCGTAACACATAATATGTTCATGTAACAGGTAACAAGTATATAAAATAAACTTTCAAAACTTAAGGGATACAATGGACTATTATATACATACTATCTTAATTTTTACATTTTGTAAACAGTTTTTACATATATATAAAAAATAGTGTTTCATTTAAGGGGTACACCTTTATACTGCTAGGCGGACACATGATAGAACCACTCTGTTTCCTGAAATATCAAGACAAGCAACAAGTTTTGAAAATTGTTTAAAGTGTAATATAATATTCTCAAATAGAATAATATGCCAGTCTAAACACAGAGTACAGAAAAAACATTTTATAAAAGTAATATTCCTACTTATAATTATGTAACTACATATTAAAATCCTGAACACTTTATATAATTTTCAGATGAAAGTTACTTAATTTTTTTTTTTATTTTTAGAGACAGGGTCTCGCTGCTTTGCACAGGCTGGTCTCAAACTCCTGGCCTCAAGCTACCCTCCTGCCTCAGCCTCCCAAAGTTCTAGGATTATAGCTGTGAGCCACCATCCTGTCCAGAAAATCAGTAACTTAAAACTAAAAGAAATTACATTTCTTTCTAAGTATGAGTCCTAACAGATGGATGGAAAAGGCCAACCTAGTTATTACCCTCTTTAAACAACTTATTTGCAGCTACTTTCTCTCAAATGCAAAAGATCTCTGCTATAAGATAAACATACATAGTTGTTGCAAAAACACCCCAATTACTTGAAAGAAAAAGACTATCATAATATTTATATAAACTAGTCTTTATAACTTTGAATGAAAATTATATCATTAACAATACTAAATACATATATTAATAAATATAATAAATTATAAGTACAATAAAGCTATATAGTTGCCTACATTTACACATACATCTAATTAAGTTTACAGAATCATAAATTAATAATACAAGTAGCTACCATTTGTTAAGCCTCTTTGTACTAAGCATTTTATACAGTGTCTCCTTTAATCTTCAACAATACTATGATGTAAGTTCTATTATATATATTATAAAATAAAAACAAAATCACTGATAGAAAGGTTAAATAACCTCCTCAACTTCACAAGCAGGAGAATGAATGGTAGAACTGAAAATCAAAGCCAGCACTGACTTCAAAGCCTTATATTTGTTGTATTTCCAACTGATTAACTTATCTTTAACAAACTGGTGCTGCCTCTAGAGCAGGGATTTCAAACTAGACGGCCAAAACAGTCTATAGATGTAGCAGAAATAAGTAAAGAAGGCTAAATAAAAGATAACAGAGTAATGAGGCCTGTGGCAATCTAGAGAAAACCTCTTATCTAAAGGAGGTAGCTCCTGCTCAGGTGGATGTGGCTGTTGCCATGTGAGACTACAGACCCAGTACGCAGTCATGCCAGATAGATTTTAAGGAAGCTGGAAATCCAGACTGTTTATGTGACAAGCTCTAATTTTTAAATGGTGGTGAATAAGATAAAAACTTAAATTATAATGGATGCCTAATAAAACATATCTGTGGCCACATTTAGATTGGCACAATGAATGACTCCATCAGAAGCATGCTAAAAGAGACATATGATCTACCTTACCATCTTCTTCTTCCTGACTGTTCATAAACGTTAGTGCAATGTAATGTAATAATCCACTAACATTTACGAACAGGCAGGAAGAAGAAAAACAAACTTTCCTACAAGCATCCTTAAAATATATACAATAACCAGTCTTCTTTCAAATCTTTCTACTCCCCACTCTCTCCCCATCACAGGGCTTTTACTACTGCTTTTTGTTCACTGCTCCTAAAATGTGTTTTCCTGTCATCATCACCAAGTTAAATCCTACATAAACTTCTGATCTTATTCAAGAATTACCTCCTAAATGAAGTATTCTGACTCCTGCAACAAATCCCCCAATTTTAGGCTCTTGTTGCACAACGTACCTTTAACACTTGTCATAGTCACAATTTTATAGTGTGACTAATGTGTCCCTCCCCAATCAGATCATAAAGTCCGTATGAACACGTCTGGTTTTGTTCATCTTTGATGTCCCAGCACTCAGCACACTGCCAGGCACACAGCATGCACTCAACAAATATTTGCTAAAGGAAAGAGGAAGAAAAGGAAATAGAACCCCAAGGAAAACAGCTTTTAAGAGAGTCTCCATTATCTGCAGAGCTGAACTCTACACTCAACTCCAGAACATTACTGCTACTATAGCACTCCCGTAACACTTCAAGCAGAGATGAACAACAAATTAATCAATAACCAAATGGGAATGAAGGAAGCTTTATAAAACAGTGGTGGGGTGGGGAGAGTGCTATGTATGTGTTCCTGCTTTTAAGAATCTAACCTGGTTGACAGACTGAGATTCTGGATCCTCCTGAGAATTGATGGTGATATTATCACACCTCTAACAAATTATATAAAGCTACCTAAGTTTACTTACTGTCAAAAAAAATCGTTCCCCAAAACACACTTAGTGTAAGAACTATGATGACTGTTGGAATAAATTCAAGCAAAGATCTTAAAGGAAAGCTTTTAATCTCTATAATTGCAGGGTGTGAGATGCTTCCGCAAAAATGAAGACAGTAAAGGTAATCAAGAGTCAATGATACTCACTAAGAACAAATAGAGGTTAGAGTCTGTAACCCTTCCAGTTAAATATGAACAGGCTAGACAGGTTAAAATGAAGTTGTTCTCAAGGCAACTACCAAATCCTCACTAATAAGAGTGAACTGTGATCACCATCTGATTATTTCTCCAGTGGAACCATAAATTGGTTCCTTGCAAACTAACAAAAACAGACCTTCATTATATCCTCTTATTTACTATACAATAAACTTTATCAAGTGACATTCTTTGTCTAATATGACCCTATCACAAAATGAAACCATGAAAATATATTGTTATTTCCCCCACTGAATGGTTTCTACTTCTAACACATAATTCTGAGATAGCTTTACTTAACCTGATTCTATGAAACACTAGTCCTTTCAAAGAATATTCCCTAGGTGTTAGGGTAGGGGCAAACTCAGGGGGTTAAATAAGCTTGAGAAAGACTGAATATTCTTCCAATTTAGATACTCATACATTAAAAACAATGAGATTCCTGAACCACAAAATCTGTTTAATCTAGTGGGGTTTTTTGTTTGTTTTTGAGACAGAGTCTCACTCTGTCACCCAGACTGGAGTGCAGTGGCATAATCCTGGCTCACTGCAGCCTCCTCCTCCTGGGTTCAAACAATTCTCCTGCCTCAGCCTCGGGAGTAGCTGGGATTACATGCACACGTCATCACATCCTGGCTAATTTTTGTATTTTTAGTAGATGGGGTTTTGCCATGTTAACCGAGCTGGTCTTGAACTCCTGGCTTCAAGTGATCTGCCCACCTTGGCCTCTCAAAGTGCTGGGATTACAGGCATGAGCCACTGCGCCTGGCCTAACCTAGTGTTTCTTAAACATTATAGAACCCAAGCAACAAATTTGGGGGAAAAGCTCCAAACTTGGAAAAGTTATCTATCAAATCAACAATTTCATGGCTTGGGCCTCTGGAATCTTTACTGTGAAACGTATTTCATGGCCTAAGTCAAAAGTTAACCAGAAACCCAACTATACAAACTTGTAACTTTAAAGATACCTGGGTTTCTGTTGCTATAAGTTTGAATAATTCTTACTTTCATAAAATATTATCAAAGCACTCTCCCTGGGGCCTTTACTTCTATAAAAACTTTCACTAACCCATGATTCTTATGAAATGTGATTATCAAAACATATCCTTCTCTACAACATATATATATAGGAAATTATCTGTATAAAAATATTCTAGCCGTCTGCATAATTTAGTCTTGCATATAACAGAAATCTGATGTTTAACTTAAAAGATACATAGACTGATCCTAATTTTATTAACTATGTACATCAACCAGGCATATCAAAACCTTGGAGAACAATGGCTGCAAAAATGAACTATACATAAATTAGGAAGGAAGTTACATCTGGGCAGCAAAGCCTTTTAACATACATTTAACATCACTGTATGTCTGGGTGGATATTATAAAGGAGAAACTTTCTTGACTGGAGAATAAGGTAGAAAGTTGGTGCAACTCACAAGCTCACAAATAGGTAGTAATTCCAAAGCAGAAAAGAAGAGAAAAAAATATTAAATTGAAAACGTAAGTCTGAGACACAACTAAAAAATAATTATCTGAGAACTTCAAAGCTTTCAAGTTCAAATTTCTCTATGTATTAATTCTAACAACTGCATAAATCAGATCACAAGCAACACAGAGATTCAAACTGGGTATTAATATAACTATCAGCAATTTAACCATTTTTAGTCTTTCTGTTGCATTCCTACACAATGCCTTTTTCATGACTATTCTTTAAAAATCACACAGCATAAATTTGCTTAAGTTCACCTCTCTTTTCAGTATACTTCAGTATATTGCTTAAATTCACCTCTTTCAGTATATTTAGAACAGTCTCTGATGATGCCGCAGAATCACATCATTCTCATACTGATCAATAAAGAAGCTATCCTTAAATTTTAGAAAAACTGCTCTGTACAAAGCATCACTGTAAAACCCATCACAGATTTTACTACTTGCAAAGAAGCTCAGATAATAAAACCATTTCATGGCATTTCAGAGGTACAGGGATGGATGAGAAAAGTAAAAACAACAATCACAAAAATAACAAAAAACTTACTTTGATGGCTCCCCAAGGGTAACAACTTCATTCTACGACTAATTCACTCAGGGAATGATCAGCGGGCAAGTTCTGTCGCACTTAGGGAAATGATTAGTAGGCAAGTTCTGTTCCCAAGATGTCAATAACCAAATCACATAAGAATTTAAACTAAATCTTCAGCCATGAATTATATATTGAAGTCAGGAAGAACCAGGCAGATCGCATAAGATGGGAGTATCTAATCCCTGATGACTTTTCCCTTAGTTCTCCAAACTCTAGCAACACTGGCCTCCTTGCTGTTGCTCTACTGGACCTCAGTCTTGATCCCTGCCTTGACGTAGAGGAATGCTATCCAAGTCTCTCTGCTCAACTGTTACCTCCTGAGAGAAGTATCTCTGACTTCTCTCTCTAAACAAGGCTCATCTGTCTTATTCACAGCTGTATGACCAGCAACAAGAACAGGATCTGACACAAATGCTCAATAAGTACTTGTTGAATGAATTCATTAATCTACACATAATTTAATAATACAAAAACAAATCTGATGACAATTTAAAAACAAGTATATTAACAAAATATCTGATATCCAATCCCAATTTGAAGTCCAGAAAAAAACAAACTTAAAATCAGATCTCTATACTTGCTATTTGCTTTTGGAAATGAGTGAGTAAAACACGTAAAAGCCCACGTAGATATAAAGTTATATGTTAATTCTGAGAAACCACAGCACATATATAATGATTCCATGTTATATAGAGTCCGTAAAGATCTGATGATTCACAAGCAAAGACAAAAGTTTGGTATTAGTGTCTTAAGTATACTCTATTTAATACACATGCATAGTATTTTAAAAGTATAATAATCTAGAATATAAATAAAAGTATAAAAGGTAGAATGGTCTAGAATATAAATATGCAAAATGAGGTTAACAGAATTCCTGTTCTACATCACCAAGTCCGATCATTAAATAAAAATTTAAAATGTTAAATATGGCTTGGTCAGAATATATAGAAATAACCATTTTTAGGTTAAAAAAAGAAAGTTTGCTAAACATGAACCAAAGGCTTATATTCACAGATACCCAAGTATTTAGTTCTGTTAATTACATACTTTGTAAGCATTATAATCACTATAATCCATCTCTTTAAAGAGCGAAAGACATTACATTGTTAAAAACAAGGCTGGGCACGGTGGCTCACACTTGTAATCCCAGCACTTCAGGAGGCTGAGGCGGGCGATCACGAGGTCAGGAGATCCAGACCACAGCGAAACCCCGTCTCTACTAAAAATACAAGAAAATTAGCTGGGCATGGTGGTGGGCACCTGTAGTCCCAGCTACTCGCAGAGGCTGAGGCAGGAGAATGGCGTGAACCCGGGAGGCGGAGGTTGCAGTGAGCCGAGATCGCACCACTGCACTCCAGCCTGGGCGACAGAGCGAGACTCTGTCTCAAAAAAATAAATAAATAAATAAAAATAAAAACAAAAGATATTATGCGAAAAAGCTCTCCCAAACTGACCTCATAACTTAAAGGCTTTAAATACTGACCAGGTGGCATTGCCCTACTTGCAAGTTAATCAAATCAGCTTTTATTTACATATATTCAACTTAATTTGAAGGAAAAGAAAAATGAAACAGGATACCCATGAATCAAATAATACACCACACAGATCAATCAGCACAAGTGATCAATAAAGAAAAATGTTTGAAATAAAAAATATGAGAGACTAAAGATTTACTTCAACATGTGCTACTCACATAAAATCCCTGGAACAAAAGAACATCTACAGCCAAATTAACTTACCGTTACAGATTTCAGTGTCATACCATGGTAGGTTCCCATAGTGTCAATTTTGAAGCCTTCCGTTTCTACGAAAAAAAAGAGGCTTATTGTTAAGATTTTATAGATCATGTATCTTATGACCTATAACAAATCTAAAGTAATAATCTACATTGAATGTGATGGTTCAATAATATACAAAGCCTTGAATCTACTATGTAAAATTAAATTACGTACTTGTGAAGATAAAAACTTTAAAAAGGACTCTAGGTTAAAAAATATTAATATATTAAATACAGACCAGCAAGCCTATTGTATAGAAGCTGGTTAAGACTATCTCTGCAATTATGTTCAAAAATTAAGATTGAATACTTTATAACCCCAAATTACTTACTACTAATACTCAATGATAGTACCACTAAAAGCATCTAATACCATGAAAAGACCCAAAGTTATAAAAAGTAGTGTTCCAAAGTTTCAGTCATAAGGCATATACTTATTTTTATATACATACATACATATATATTTTTTCTTTTGAGACAGGGTCTCACTCTGTCACCTAGGCTGGAGTACAGTGGCACTGCAGTTCACTGCAACCTCTTCTCCCATCCCCCCTCCACAGGTTCAAGCAATCCTCCCACCTCAGCCTCCCGAGTAGCTAGGACCACTGGCATGCACCACCACACCCAGGTATTTTTTTGTATTTTTAGTAGAGATGCGGTTTTGCCATGTTGCTCAGGCTGGTCACAAAGTACTGAACTCAAGCAATCCTCCTGCCTCCACCTCCAAAAGTGCTGGGATTACAGGTGTGAGCTACAGCAATCAACCATATTACATATTTTATAGAAAGCAATGTTGTAAATAATGATTGGAGTGCCAGGACAGAATCCCAATATGCCTTTCTGTAAAGGCAAATATTTTAACACATTGCAAGCCTTAAAATCTGTCACAACTGCCCAATTCTGTATTTTAGTGCAAAAGCAGAATAAACAATATATGTGATCAATTGGGGGCAACCCAATTTGGCCCATGGAGGGTGATATTTAGTTTGGGGGCTGTAATTTATCAACCTCTGCTTTATATAATTCATTCCTCAAGAAAAACATTGAATATTATAATGAAAGAATGGACGTAGTCTTTCTATGGCACATATCCAGTGCATGCCTTTAACAACTGAATGAAGTCAGCACACAAAATTCATTGCATCAAGGCAACATATCATTTAAAAAAAACTTAAATGAAGATTTCAGATTATGCTTAAAAATATCATTAACTTCCAGTTGCTTCTACCTAATATTTTCATGAATCAAGTCATGATGAATGAAGATCCCAAGAGGAAGTTACACTGACATTAGTCTCACCTCACAACTGCAGAAATGGTGTTATTGCATTAGCCAGAATACCACGTAGACTATCACAAAGTAAGTCCTCCCATCATTGCTCAAAATTTGTTTCCAAGTTCTCAATGTACATACACATTTATAACTTGGGAAAAATGACTTAACATATAGAATCTCTACTTTAAATTATATAAAAACAAAAGCAGTATGAATAACAGCAAACATTTATAGATAATTTACTTACATATCAGATACTATTCTGGGAATTCAATATTTATTAACCAGTCCAATACTCACAATAATGGTAAGAGACAGGCACTATAATAACATTTTAATTATACACAGGAGAAAACTAAGGCAGAATGCAGTTAAAGTAACATTAAAATTCACACAAAAAGTTACTACGACATAAGCTATCTGGATCCAGAATCCATGCTATTAACCAGGGGTTGGCCAACTTTTTTTCTGTAAAGGGCCAGATAATATTTTTAGGCTTTGTAGGCTACACAGTCTCTACTGAAACAATTCAATACTGATGTCACAAAGCCAAAGCAGCCATATATAAAATACATAAATGAATGAGTGTGGTTGTGTCCCAACAAAATGTTATTTAAGAAAAATTGCAGTGGGTAAGATCTGGTCTGTAGACATTACTTTGCCAACCCTTACCCTTAAACATCAGGCCACACTGCCTCTCAAGTTCAACACAACCACACTAAGGGGAAGATAAGAATTAAGCAACTTGCCTTCTTTTCCTTTGAATCTTTCCTGATCGTATCTGTTATAGGCAGCTGGGATAGGCTGTTTGGTGCGCAAAGTGGGATCCTGTAAAAAAATTAATTATGAGTTACTTGTTAATATTTTTAAATGTCACTTATTTAATGTGCTGGAGTGCAGTAGCATGACCATGGCTCACTGCAGCCAAGACCTCCTGGGCCCAAGTGATCCTCCCACCTCAGCCTTCCAAGTAGCTGGGACCACAGGCATGCACCACCACACTCAGCTAATTTTTTTTTTTTTATAAAGACAAAGTTTCACCATGCTGCTCAAGCTGGTTTTGAATCCCAGCCTCAGGTGATCGACCTCAGTCTCGCAAAGTGCTAAGATTACAGGCATGAGCCACCATACCTGGCTAAAGTACCTTTACGACATAATACTCTTCCCTGCAATTATGATTGTTTTAACAAAACAAAAAAACCCAAATTATTAATCCTTAAATAAACATGAAAGCCATGATGATTAATCCATTATAAACAGAGTAAGACTGAAGACGTATTTTTTTTAAATAATTAGAAAAGGCTGTCAGTCTAATGATGCATTATTTAATCACAAATACTTTATCAAAACTCACAATGTTTAACAAACTAAAAACACATATTTAGGAATATTCCCAAAGCTACTTGGAAAATTCATGAAGACTGAAATACTTTTCATTTTATTATGATAGGATTCTATATCAAATATTATGCCAAATAAAATATACTTATCAATACCTATCAAGAATGATAAGTATATGCTTACTTCACACTAGGCATATACTTCTATAGTCAAATGCCAAACATTAAAACCTTCAAGTATTCTAACGATTATATAAATATACAGAAAGAATAATCAGTCACAAATGGTAAAACTGTTTTAAGGTTTGACATGTTTCCTATCAACAGCTATTCAAAATGTCAACAAATTCATAATTCTAAGTACCTTGTGCTTTGCCATCATAGCTCTTACTCCACTACTTTAAAAAAAAAAAAACATCTAATAAGTAGGGAACTGCTGAGAGATCTAGGTTACATGGTCGTTTGAGAATCTAACTAAACCCTGAGGATCTGAGGTGGAACAGTTTCATTCCAAAAACCTCCCCCTGGTCCATGAAAAAACTGTCTTCTACGAAACTGGTCCCTGGTGCCAAAAAGGTTGGGGACTGCTGTATTAGACTATAAGCTCAAAGAAAGTAGGGACTATAATCTTTCTCACTATTGTATCTCAAGATCATTAGCAGACTTCCTAATAGAAGGCACTTAAGTACTTGATGGAGAGTCAACTAAAAGTATTTATCTAATTATCAACAAAAGCCTACCATCTTTAAAAGTTAAATTCCAACAATTTCATGAGCAAATAAAACTACTACAAAGTAGTTGCAAAGGCTGTATTAGTACTCTAATACATTTCAATGTGCCTTTTAAAACTTGAAACAGAGTTTTAAAAATATAGAAGGTTTTCTGGAAGGCCGAGGTGGGCAGATCACCTGAGGTCAGAAGTTCAAGACCGGCCTGGTCTTGAACAGGACGAAACCCCATCTCTACTAAAAATACAAAAATTAGCTGGGTGGGGTGGCATGCGCCTGTAATCCTGGCTACTTGGGAGGCTGAGGCAGAAGAATCGCTTGAACCCAGGAGGCGGAGGTTGCAGTGAGCCAAGATCGTGCCACTGACTCCAGCCTGGGCAACAGAGTGAGACTGTCTCAAAAAAAAAAAAAAAAAAAAAAAAAATTATAAATTTTCTATTTATAGAATCTTCTATTTTCTATTGCAGAAAATAGAAACAATTTCATTTGTATGTTTTATTCCTTTGTTGAATCATATGAAAATAGCTGGAAGGATTTTCAACAAAATTAGAGGATGTTTGAATTTAAATATAGGCTATATGTCATACGTGAAATTTACTTTGGGAGGGTCTTAAGTGGCACTTCAAAGAGAAGGCAGTCAACTCTCAGAGCAGCTGAAATGGAGGTACAATTAAAGGACAGCATGGCTGGTGATCAAGAGAAATACATTCACCAAGATGTAATAGATACAATGCCAAAAAGAACCCCAAACTGGGAGTTAACAGGGATTTATGTTATTAACAATGGTTAGCAATTGTCCCAAGCAACAATGAGTAGGCCAGCCACAGTTTACCTAAAATAAATAGAGGGCTTTCCCTAATTAACCTTTTTCAGACTCTGACCCAGGTATATTAAGAATTACTGCTCCAGTTAAGAATTACTGCTGAAGTAAGTAACTTTTAATGTTGGGGAGGGCTTTCACATCTTTCAGATATGCTAAAGGAGCAAAAGGTTTAGAATCCACTGATTTTAAAATGTGAAGATGTCTTCAACGTTACTACACTGCAATATAAGTGGCAACTTCATTAAATCTACTGTAAAGCAGTAAAGCATTCTTACCACAGGTGCTGCATTTGGGGCAGGTCGCTGTTCAGGTGCACGCCCTTCTTCTCTGGCTTTTACAGATTGAAGAATTGCAAAAATGTTCTTGGAAAAATTCTAAAATATAAATGGATTTTAATTAAGCCCACTTTAAATATACAATAGTAAATTTAGTTGATAATTTAAGACTAAGTTATCTTACTATCGATTCTTCCCTACTACATATGTCATAAGGTATCATTATTATACACATATGTAAAAACCAACCACTACTAAGATATTGATCCAGAGACTGATTATTGTAAATCCCATGGTATTCATTTCATCATTTTCATTTTACTTAAACTGCTACATTCGGGAGGCCAAGGCAGGCAGATCACGAGGTCAGGAGATGGAGACCACCCTGGCTAACACAGGTGAAACCCCGTCTCTACTAAAAATACAAAAAATTGGCTGGGCGTGGTGGCAGGTGCCTGTAGTCCCAGCTACTCGGGAGGCTGAGGCAGGAATATGGTGTGAACACGGGAGGCGGAGTTTGCAGTGAGCCAAGATCATGCCACTGCACTCCAGCCTGGGCAATAGAACGAGACTCCATCTCAAAAAAAAAAAAGAAAAAAAAAACTGCTACAAATGTATTCATATTCTGCATCTGTTCAAATATATAACCAGAAAGCAAGTTAAAATCTAAATAAGGCCGGGCACGGTGGCTCGTGACTGTAATCCCAGCACTTTGGGAGGCAGAGGCAGGTGGATCATGAGGTCAGGAGATTGAGGCCATTCTGGCTAATACGGTGAAATCCCGTCTCTACCAAAACTACAAAAAATTAGCTGGGCGTGGTGGTGGACACCTATAGTGTCAGCTACTTGGGAGGCTGAGGCAGGAGAATGGCGTGAATCCAGCAGGTGGAGCTTGCAGTGAGCCGTGATAGCGCCACTGCACTCCACCCTGGGAGACAGAGCAAGAATCCGTCTAAAAAAAAAAATCTAAATAAAATATAAATACATTTGTCAAAAGAGGCTTCTAGTTCAGAAAAAAAAATAATCAACTACTACATCCTCCTGTTAAACTCCAGTGCTAATTTCAGATTGCTACATATGAGTTTTGAGATACTATCAGAAGTCAATGTACACTTTTCAAAGATGTGTAAGTTGGAAAGTACAAGTACAAATGCTCTTCAACTCACAATGCAATTACATGCTGATCAAAAGTCAACACAGCTAACTAATCTGACGACTCTTTCCTTCATGAAATATTCTTCCTTCATGCTATGGATTGAATGTCTCCTCTAAAACCCATGTTGAAATTTTATTCCATTCTAATAGTATTAGGAGGTGGAGCCTTTAGGAGGTGATTAGGTAGGTCATAGGGCTCCACCCTTACGAATGGATTAATGTTGTTATTGCAAAAGTGGGCTCGGATTCCCGAAAGAGTAAGTTTGGCCCCATTTCTCTCTGTGTCTCATTTGCTTGCTTGCTTGCTTGCTTGCTTGCTTGCTTGCTTGCTTGCTTCTGCCTTCTGCCATGAAATGACCCTCACCAGATGCCACTGCTATGCTCTTGGATTTCCCAGCCTACAGAAATATGAGAAATAAATTTCTTGTCTTCATAAATTACCCAGTCTGTGATATCCACAGCAGCACAAAACAGACAAAGATACTTGGCCTCTGAGATGCTACTCTCTCTTGGTTTTACCCCTAATGTCTGACAGTTCCTTTGGGGCTCTTCTTATGCTGCCTATCAATCACTTAACATTTGAAGGAATATGTAGTAAGAATCTACTCTAAGCCAAACACCTTGCTTGGCACTTGGGTACAATGATGATCAAAAAAGACATGGTCGCTGCCCTCATGAACCTCAAATACAACATAATTTCTCTTCTTTAAACAAGGCATTCTGTTTCCTTGGCTGGGACCACTCTTCCCACCTTACCCCTCTCACCTCCCTCACTAGTTTTTGTTCTTTAGGTATCACTCCTCTTTACTCTCAACTAAGTTAACTGCCCTTGCTGGGTGTCTGCCCTATAATGTACGTAATAATTACCGCTTATTTAATATTGACTTCTGCTGAAGAGTATAACTTCTGTGAGAGCTAGGACCAATGCACCTCTGGTCAGTGTTTAGCACTTGCCTAGTTTGTAGATGTTAAATAAATACTATACAAATAAATATGTATATAAAATGAGAGGCTGCTTGAAACATAACTATTATCACTATACCAGTTGCAGTGCTAACTAGTTCCTATAATTCTCTGGAGCAGCAAATATAAGTCTCAGGACCCCTTTGCACTCTTACAAATTACTGAGCACCCCAAAGAGCTTTAAGTTTGTGTGAACTACAGTATCTATTGAATTAAAGATTAAAATTGAAAAAAATTTAAATTCTTTTAAAAATAAGAAAACAAGATTCCATGTAAACATAATAGCATATTTCATGAAAAATCACTTTTCAAAATGCATAAAAGTAATGACAAGAAAGAGTGGCAGGTTTTAAATTTTTGCAAATTTCCTTAATCTCTGGCTTAATAGAAGACAGCTGTATTCTCAGATCAGCTTCTACATTCGACATTTATTGTGCTTTCTTATTTGGTCATAAATGTGCTATCTTATTTGGTCAAAGAATACCGAGAGAATCTATCCTCACACAAACAGCTGGAAAAGGTTTTTCAGGTAACTGTGGATAGTCTTCTTTGATATCATACCAAAATGCAATAAATGGTTCTTAAAGGTTAATGCAACATGGAAACCACATCCATAAACTTTTTGCATAGGTACTTTAAAATCCATCAGTCTCCTTGCACTTTAAATGAACTTTCTACCCATGCATGATTTGTGACAGCATTCACTGGTCATCTGGAAAATATCAATCACTGAATTATGCACATTTTCCAAATATTAACATGGTTAATTATACAGTATCAACAAATTATACTTGTTAATATTATTTGTAAAAGACTCACTAGAAGACTTTAAGAATTAGAAAATTGCTTGTTTCTTTACTTATGGGTGGAAAAAGAATTAGAAAAGTGTTATGGTGACAGCAGCATAAAGAAACTTCCCAAAATTCTAATTTTCTCACGAAAGCTGTCATTTTATCATTGGCAACAAATACTATCAGTTGCTTTCCTTCAAGGAACAAATTTATTTCCTTCATTTAAAAAAAAAAAAAAAAAGTCTGCCAAATAACCAAGTCTGAATAACAGTTACTTAAATAAAAAAATGTTGATTCAGTTCATACTTCACACAACGGCACAAGTCTCTTGATGAGAATAACCATCATGTTTGCAGAAGTGCTTCTACATTCCAATTTCGTCACACAAAATAATAAAAAGACACACTTGAGGGTCAAGATTTAACAAAATTCATAAATTTTAAAAACGTCATCAAGGACATTCGTGAGTAAAGAACACAATGGCTAAGTGCCATTGCCTTGATTCACACCATGACCAGCAGTTTTACCAACCATTGATTGTGTACCATCACTGCAAAGGTCAATACAATGAAAAATGCACATAAAATCTTAGTCTTATTATAAAAAATAGTTGAAAATATATGAAAAGCAAATCTCACTACTTTAAAAATAAAGAAGAATTAATCAATATTATCATCAATCTACTATGCAGCAGAATTACAGGTGATTAACATCTTCCTTCTAGTGATCTCCTTTTTATTAGTTTTTCAATGATGAACATATACTAATTTATATAAGTTTATACATGTTTCTCTTCAGATCGTATAAACCTTTCACCTAATTTATGTAAGTTTAAAGGTGTGTTTTCTAAACGGCATTATAAAATCAAGTTGCTTTATTTGGGGTCCTTGCAAAAATAATAACATATTTATACCTCTCATGAAATTTTTTTTTTTTTTTTTTTTGGTGAGACAGAGTCTCACTCTGTCACCCAGGCTAGAGTGCAATGGCACAATCTTAGCTCACAACAACCTCCACCTCACAGGTTCAAGCAATTCTCCTCACTCAGCCTCCCAGGTAGCTGTGATTACAAGCGCATGCCACCATGCCCCACTAATTTTTGTATTTTTAGTAGAGACAGGGTTTCACCATGTTGGCCAGGCTGGAATCTAACTCCTGACCTCAACTGGTCCACCCACCTCGACTTCCCAAAGTGCTGGGATTACTGGCATGAGCCGCTGCACCCAGCCTCTCATGAATCTTGAACCTGACTTTTGTTCCTGAAACTCAAAAAATAAGAAAGCCCTGATAACTAGTAATAATGAAGGTCTATCTAAAACCCACAGGGCTTTAAGTACCTAAGGGTATTTTTTTATTCTCACCTGCCTAAGAGTATTTTTAGAGTTTACCAGATAAAAACAATACACAGAAAGACTATCAAAGTATTTTTTATTTTTTAATACTAATAATACTCAGGCAAGCCTAGCTACAAAACAATTCTTTTATTAACTTATTTTTTTAAAAGATATAGTGGTACCAACAATATTAAATCAGTAAGTTTAGAAATGATGGTACAATCCTGCCACCTAGAGCTCAAAGAAAACTGTTCACTTCAGTTACTTGAAAAAGTAATGTTTGGTCTAAAAGTTAGGTAGGGTATATCACCTGTTTTTATTCTTCTACTATGAGTTTGAGATTTTTTTATTTTAATGAACACTGGTGGATCAACGTAAGTCACAATATTTCTCAAGTATTAGCCATGCTAGACAGTGAAAATCAGTATCAACAAATCATTTTGTTGTAAATAGCAAAAATGGAAGTTTACTCACATCCTCAGATTTCTCTATAATTCTAAGCTCTGGAGAATGATTCTTAATCTCAACCTTAGGTACTTTGTAAAACAAAGTCAAAGTACAAAAGAAAAAGAAATGATTCTTTTCTTCATATACTCTTTTCATAGCTTTATTTCTACTAAAATAGCAATGTAAATTTAAGACTAAAATCCCAAAATTCTACAATCAAAACCAATTTGCCTAAAACAATGTTAAATTTCAGTTTCACAAGTAACTTTGCACACTTCAACATTCTTACTAGATCATCATTATTAACAACTGTGCATCAGTGGAGAAAACATTTAAGAGAAAATTGAGGCACTAAAGAGGAAAAGACAAATGAAAGTACATAAATCAGGATAAATGCATCCTCTTTTTGGAGATCCATGAAAATACTGGACATTCAGTATTTCAGATTTTTATCTTTCAAAATATAAAGTGCATATCTCCTTTAACCAGCAATTTGTTTCCAAGAATTAATCCTTTGGCTATATACACACAAACACACAAAGGTACGTGTACAACAATGTTTTCTAATGCATTATTCATAATAGGGAAAAGGAAGTGAGGGAAGGAGGAAGAGAGGGAAACGGGAGGAGAAAGAGAGAAAGGAGGAGGGGGGCAGAGAGAAGAAAGGAAGGACAGAGAAAGGGAGAAAAACTGCACAATCTTTGGAGCAAAAACAAAAGAAAACAATTTCCATTAATAGGGAGCTAATGAAAAAACTGCTATACCCACACAACAGAATATAGTGTGTAAAATATACTCAATAAATGTTTGCTACAGATTTCCATAAGTTCTCTACCATGTGAGAAAAAAAAATAATGATGGCATTAATAACCAGAGAACTTGCCATCAATATTATTCCATTTATTAGGTTTAAGCAAAAATGACTCAACAGGAAAACTGGGCCATTCTTTGATTTGCAAATGATCTGTGAAGGAGCTTGCATTTTGATTCCTACTTTTTCATCAGCATCTCTGATGTCTAACAACCATATTCAAGAATGGAATGGTAAAAATGGCCATCTGGAAATCTACATTATTACTGAGCTTTCAAAGAGATAAAACTTGAAACTTCCACCTAAAAGCAAAGTTTAACCAATTCTATAACCACAGATTAAACGCACTCTCTCTCTCTCTCTCTCACTCCAATGAATGAGTAAAATATTTTAATTACCTTTCCTGTGCTTTGTAAGATAGTTGTTCGTGTCCTCCATACTCTCTCTCTGCTGACAATATCTCGGGTCACATCTACCTCAGCATCCACAAAACTCCTCTGTTTAAGGGCAGTTATGTCATCATCTAGATCAGTCTTGATAGTAGATCTTTTCTTAGCCATAATTTTGGCTTTGATTGCAGCAATTTTTTCCACTGACATAGCTTCAGACAAAGACCTAAAAGCAATTTCTTTTTTAAATTTTCACAGCAGGCATTCCTGGAGTGTATCATAAATATATTTTGTTACATTTATAAATTTCTGGTAAAAACACTTACATGGCAATAATTAAGGTTTTCTTATCTGTAAGACTGACTTGCTATTCTGCAATTATATAAAATTTTTATAAAGAATTCATGTCGAGATATTACTCTAAGAGCAAATTAGTAATTTCTTAGAAGTATCAATACAACAAAATTCTTCATGGTTTTTCATCTCTTCCCCACAAAAAAGCAGGACTCATTAATATAGGTGCTTTTCTTTATATTTTCTGTATCTATGGAAATTAAACACACACACAGATGCCACTTTGGAAGGAGGTAAAAAATCCATCCTACAGAAAGTTCAAAGCCTAGGTTTTCCTTGAAATTTATTTCAAGGTTTCAAACTTGTATGCCATAGTGCAGAACATAATTTAAGTGACAGGCTTTTATATGCCACAAAAACATACTCCTTTAATCTCTGGAAGATAAAGCCATATTTTATACAGTTTTCTTTTTCTTCCCTTTTCTTGATTTTCAAATAGGCAAAATAGTTGAAAGAGACTATGTTTGCAGAAATATAAAAAAAGACAACACTGAAAGTATACGTCATAAAATGATAATCTTAAGCAAAGTGTCTTTTATCATGTAAAATGAGAAAAAGAATTAAAAAGTGTTTGGGTACCTTAATAACAGTAGACAAAAATATTACTTTAGTCACAAGATGAAAATCTTGAAATATGTTTACACAAAATCTAGAAAAAGGACAAAAATTCCTGCAGGTTTAAATACAGTAGTATTATACAGTATTCTAATTTTATTCAGATTAGGTATGAAGGTACTTTATAGTAGTGCTCATATGCATCTGGCATTTGATGCATTTTGTGTAATACTGTGCAAATTTCCCTTAAAATCTAAAGCACACCAGCATACCTTAAGCCAAATTCAAATACAGTACTCCTGTTTGGCTTTCCACAGTTTCAGTTACCTGCTATCAACCACAGTCCAAAATATTAAATGGAAAATTCCAGAAATAAATAATTCGTAAGTTTTAAATTATGTGCCGTGCTGAGTAGCCTGCTGAAATCTTGTACTGTCCTGCCTGGGACACCTGCCTGGGATATCCGGACACGAATGATCCCTTTGTCCAATGTATCCATACTGTATACACTGCCTGTTAGTCGCTTAATAGCCATCTCGGTTATCAGATCGACTATGGCAGCATTAAAGTACTTATGTTCAAGTAGCCCTTATTTTACCTAACAATGGCCCCAAAACACAAGAGTAGTGATGCCAGCAATTCGCATATGCCACTGCCAAAGTGCTTCCCTTAAACGACAAGGTGACCTTGGCACTCCTTGGCTAGAGTTCAGGACTATCCGAGGTTTCAGGCATCCACTGGAGGTCTTGGAACATATCCCCAGAGGGTGGATGGGGGACTACCGTACTTCTCCAAACTATAATCAAGCCTCCAATGGACTTTGAAACATAGAATTTTTACTTACAGCCAAGATGAAGTACCAGAGACTAGACTAACCCTCCAGCCTTTAAATAACCAGTCAAAATACATAAAACAATGGTTTACTAGATGCTAGATATCAAGCAATGAAGGACAGTAATTCCCTAACAAATGAGAAACAAACAAGGTAAGCCCTATGACTGCCTCAGCTTATTGCCTGTAAGTTTCCAAGACATGGCCTTGGGAGGAGAACCCATGTAGAGCTGAGCGGATTCTCTGATAAGAAGAAATGGAGCTGAGACTACAGCAAGACCAAGGTGTTTAGAATTCATAGGTCAGAAGACCTGAGAACTGCACAGAAGATCCCCCTCACGTACCCCAGCAGAATTCTGACTAGCACAAATATGAAGAAACTATGTAAGGTTGAATAAAGAACCACCCAAGTGAATTAGACAGAATAATGCCTAGTGTTCACACAAAGTGAAGAATAGTGCCTGTTCCACTAGCCAGAATGAAACCTCACGTTCATGAAGTATTAGGTACTCAGAATGGTCTTCCCTCAGTGGGTGGGGAATAATTACCCTAGCTGACCAATGTTCAGATAAATTAAAATCAAGACCCAAAAGTAACAAACTGTTTCCAAGGGATTTAACTGTGTCCCAAAAAAAAGCTAAAGATGATGTGGGGAGATATAACAATATCTAGCCCTCAACAAGGTAAAAAGTATATATGATGTTTGGTGTGCAAAGATCACATGATATGTAATAAAGCAGGAAAATGTAATAAAGCAGACATGTAATAAAGCAGAACGAGGAGAAATATCAATCAATCTCAAGGCATGAAAATAATTACAAGAACTACGTTCTATATTTCAACAAGCTAAATGAAAAGATGAAGTAGGTATGTTTTTTAAAAAAGAGCAAAACATGCAAAAATTAGCTGGGCGTGGTGGCATGCACCTGTAATCCCAGCTACTCGGGAGGCTGAGGCAGGAGAATCACTTGAACCCGGGAGGCAGAGGTTGCAGTGAGCCGAGATCACGCCACTGCACTCCAGCCTGGGTCACAAGAGCGAAACTCCGTCTCAAAAAAAAAAAGAGCAAAACAAACTTCAGATGAAAACTACAATGCTGGAGACTAAACATGCATGGAATTACATAAAAAAAATTAAGTAAAGTTGAAAACACAACAGAAACTATCCAAAAAGGACTCAAGAAAGAATTTAACAGATATAAAGTTAATTCAAAAAAAGAGAAGAATGTAAGTGAACTGTCAAAGAAAAAAATACTAAAGTTCAGCCAGGCGCGGTGGCTCACGCCTGTAATCCCAGCACTTTGGGAGGCCAAGGCGGACAGATCACGAGTTCAGGAGTTTGAGACCAGCCTGGCCAACATGGTGAAAACATCATCTCTACTAAAAGTATAAAAATTAGCCCGGCGTGGTGGCAGGCGCCTGTAATCCCAGCTACTCGGGAAGCTGAGGCAGGAGAATCGCTTGAAACCAGAAGACAGAGGTTGCAGTGAGCCAAGATCGCACCACTGCACTCTAGCCTGGGTGAAAAAGTGAAACTCCGTCTCCAAAAAAAAAAAAAAAAATTAAAGTTCAGTACAACAGAAACTATCCAAAAATAATTCAAAAAAGAATATAAACAGACAGATAGAAAAGAATCCAAAAAAAAGAAAAGAATGTAAGTGAGCTGTCAAACAACTTCAAGTAGAGTTTGAGTAGCTGGAATCCAGAAAAATGAAAACATTTTTAAAAAGTGAAGAAACTATGCCCATCCATTCATGTATTGTCTATGGCTGCTTTCCCCACACCACAAAAGTTCAGTAGTTTCAAGAGACCATATTACCTTCAAAGCTAAAAATATTTAACATGTGGCACTTTCCAGAAAAAGCTTGCTGACTTCTGGTGTAAGTAATCAATAAGAGGTAACATAAAATGAATTTCTCAGCTTATAACGCAATTTTTAAAAAGAAAGACCAACATGGTAATAGAAACAAGAAGACTTTTCAAAAAGCATGATAAACACAATGACTTCCAATCCCCACACATGTTCTTACGAACTTAAGAGCAAAGAGGCATAAAATGAATCCAAGAGGTAAATGTAAATGTGGAGAGCATTTTAATATTCCTTTTCCTTATACTTTTACATATATCTAAACTACCTACTTTCTACTTAAAAAGAATTCTTACCTAATCTGTTCAGTCTGTACAATCCCTTCTTTGTGACCCTCCAAACGGGCAGCCAATCTCTCTTTATCAAGGCGCACACACTCTTCATCCTGGAAATAACCACTGGTTAATGCATTTAAAATTTTTATTGAACTTTTAGGAAGAAAAAACGCTACATGTAACTTTTCCTTACCAAATTTCCTACCTCTACAATTCTAGGTATCAGTGTCTTTAGGCCAACTTCAAGACTACTTTTGGCTACGTAAAGATAATAACAATAAATATATGTTGAATCTTAAGACTGGAATCATCGAAAAGCTTAGGAAAAACTTGCTTAGCTACTTTTTTCTTTATGATTAAGTGCTCTTCCCATATCATAGCTGACTTTCTTCAGAAAGACACAACAAATAAATTCATCTTTTTGAGAAAGTTAATAACCAAATGTTATGACAAGCCTTCACCAGAGTCAACAATTTCATTTTGGTATCTCCATTTTTTTTTCATCTGTTGCTACAGGTCCTGAATCCATTAGCACTAATCAAAATGCTCTAAGGAAAACCTTAAAGGTTTTCAAAGGATGGTCATTAGAACGTTAGAAGCTTCCAACTAAACGCCTCATGGGCCACTTCAAGATTTTGTCTGAAATTCAACCCTGGTAGCTCAGCTTTTATCTAATTCACATATTATGATGTCAAGTAAAATTTAGTCTGAAAAGCTGTTGGTTAAAAACAAAACAAAATCTGGTAACCCTGATCCAGTTTAATGTCCACATTCAACAAATAACAAAACTGAGGACCAGAGTCAATGACTATGACTAATGAAATACAAAACTGTATAAAAAGCATCAGCATACTCTAGAGATCCAAAAAGATGTTGGGCTCCAATTCATGTCCTATTATTAATCTATCATGTAAAAATCTTAAAATGAATAAATCAGCTGAAATAAATGCAAAAATATTTTGGCAAATGCATCCAACTTTTTCCATTTGCAATAAAGATATAGCCCAGATTTCTCAAATTCCTTACTACTGATTTTAAAGATAACTGCAGCCTAGATTTTTATCAAATCAGAAACTCTACCCTCAGTTTCTCTTTCCTAGCACAGTTCCTTATAGATCCTCAAAAGACATACACTGAACTGAAAACCAATGTTGAAAACCATAGCTGTTTATGTAACACATTTCAACCCCACAAATGATTTGGAAAAAAATGTATTATGCCATTTCCTGCTGATTTTTTAAGTTACTGGAATCCCAGGAAACTAGGACTTCTGCCATGTTGAATTTTTTCAAATAATTAGACTGTGATGTTCAGATTGTTTCAAATAAATGGCATCCCTTGAGCTGGGCGCAGTGGCTCATGGCAGTAATCCCAGCACTTCGGGAGGCCGAGGTGGGCAGAATGCTTGAGGCCAGGAATTTGAGATCAAATAAATGGTATCCCTAAATTCATACACATTGTTTACCACAGGTCACAATCTCCTTTCATATAAGGGGAAATATTCAGTTTTACTGCCACAAAATTTATACCCAGTATAGCAGAATGGCTAGAAACCAGACTGCCAAGGTTCCAACTGGTTCTTCAAACCTCAGGAACTCACTCTGTCTGAGCCTATTCGCTCATAGATGATATGCACAGTACTACCAACTTAATGAGTTCTGGGAGTACTATGCATATCATCTATGAGCAAATACGATTACATGAGTTAATACATATAAAGTACTTAGAATAACACATAGCATAGAGCAATAACAATGAATCAATTATCATCATTATCTCTTAAAAATATCAGATCCATTTCTCAGAATATCCTTAATTAAGATTACATTAAAGTAGTAAGTACTTCATGTTCACAGCTCTGAGCAGTAAAGCAAGCACCCATAACACATTGTTCCAAAGGTAGGCAAACTACATCCCAAAGACCAATTCTGGCCCGCCATCTGTTTTCTGAAGTTTTTTATAGAAACATAGCCACATCTGTTCATTTATGTATTGTCTATGAGTGCTTTCACACTACAATATTAAAGTAAAATAGTTGCAACATAAACTGTATGGCCCATAAGGCCTAAAATATTTACTATCTGGCCTTTCATAAAGAAAGAATTCTGTAGCCTGGCCAACACGGAAAACCCTGTCTCTATTAAAAAAAAAATCAAAAATTAACTGGGCATGGTGGCAGGCACCTGCAGTCCCAACTACTCGGGAGGCTGAGGTGGGGGGATCACTTAAACCCCGGAGGTCGAGGCTACAATAAGCTATGATCATACCACTGGACTCCAGCCTGGGTGACAGAGAAAGATTCTGCCTCAAAAAAAAAAAAAAAAAAGAACAGAAAGGAAAAAGAATTCTGACCCTTGAGCCAATAGGTTCATCCATAAGAATATAAAAGCAAAGAAAATAAAATGATTTGTCCCTCACATAGCTTGCATGTGAGAGAGCTAAAACTATAGCTTGAGCTACTTATTAATCAATTGTTCTTTCTACCACAAAAATTTTTCCAGAAAAAAAGCTCCTCAGGTTACTGCAATCAAAGAATCCTTGTTACTAAAGAATCCCAATTTCAATAACAATATAAATAAAATTGTTTAAAATACAGTTTCTTTACCTCAATTCGTGGTTTCTTTGCTTCTGCTAAAACTTCATCTGCAGCTCGTTTGACTATAAAAGAAAGAGAAGTAAATAAATGTGTAGTTTTGGAATGGGCTTCTGAAAGTTCAATATAAATATGCAACAAGACATACCTTGAGTAGATCGCTGAAGACCTATTTCTAAGGGAGCGCTTCTGTCTATACTTGCCGATGTTGCTGAAGACATAAAAAGATTCACGTAAGGATTACTATTTCAACATATATATTGGATATTATTACAAGTGAAATGCTTTAGGTTTTTTATATACTTCTATATGGTGATTTTCTCTAGGTAAAAAATTCAGTTTTAAAGCAGCTCTGCAAAAACATGTTATTTAAAAGATTAATCTATACTAGAAAGTCTCTAAGAGGACAAACTATTTTTAACAATTTAGCTTACAAATTACTGAGATGATCTGACTGAAATTAGTTGCTTCAAAGTATATGCTCCAATGTCATAACACAGACACCTAAAAAGGTGTAAGTAAACACATAAATATATATATACACACACACATACACACACATATATATGGACAAGATTTTTTTTAAGTTAGCATT
This sequence comes from Homo sapiens, assembly GCF_000001405.40. Taxonomy (NCBI): domain Eukaryota; kingdom Metazoa; phylum Chordata; class Mammalia; order Primates; family Hominidae; genus Homo; species Homo sapiens. Next base: position 193,135,006 of record NC_000001.11, on the reverse strand, counting down.
CACCCTAAACATGCAATTTTTAGTTATTCACAACTGGTAAAAAACTAAATTATTTTTAAAATTAAATTACTTAATTTTTGAATGGCTCAACAAAAAGGGGTATACCTGTCCCCATTCACCTAGTTCCCACCACCCTATGCAGCCAACTAGTCTCTTATATATCCTTCTAGAGTTTCTTTCTGTAGATATGAGAAATACAAAATTATTTTTACCCTTTTTAATACAAAAGGTGACATACTAAACATACTGTTCTGAACCCTGTTTTCTTTTTTACCTAACAACTTATCTCCCATAACCCTCCATATCAGTAAGTAGAGCATTTCCTTTACTTTTTTTTTGAGACGGAGTCTCGCTCTGTCACCCAGGCTGGAGTGCAGTGGCGATCCTGGCTTACTGCAAGCTCCACCTCCTGGGTTCACGCCATTTTCCTGCCTCAGCCTCCCGAGTAGCTGGGACTACAGGCACATGCCACCACGCCCGGCTAATTTTTTTGTATTTTTAGTAGAGACGGGGTTTCACCATGTTAGCCAGAATGGTCTCGATCTCCTGACCTCGTGATCCGCCCGCCTCGGCCTCCCAAAGTGCTGGGATTACAGGTGTGAGCCACTGTGCCCGGCCCTCTTTAACCATTTTTTTATAGCTACTGAGTACTCTACTGTATGGCCTAACTACAATTTATTTAACTAGGTCCCTGTTGATGAGCTGTTCAATTTTAGTCTTCTGTTGTTACGAACAATGGCACAATAATATATTAATATAAAGTCACAAGTTTTCATAAATATATAAATGTACATATAGATATTATATATAATGGCAAGTTTTTTTAAAGTTAGCATTCACCCTACACATGTAATTTTTAGTTATTCACAACTGGTAAAAAAGCTAAACGAAATATACCTCTAGGATAAAGTTCCAGACACAGGATTTCTATGTTAAATTTGTAATGTTAGACTGCTGCCAATTCTTCAATGGGGGTGTAGGGGTGCACTGATTAACATTATAACCAACAATATAGTAGAATATCTGTTTTCTCATTGCTTCACCAGAGCATATTATCAAACTTACAGATTTTTTTCTATCAGGTTAAAAAAAAAAAAATCCTATCTCCGTATAGTTTAAATTTGCAATTCTCTTATTATAAATGATATTAAGCATTTTTCATGATTTTATCACCTTTTCTGTGAATTTTATGACATAATCCATAGAGTGTTTGGTCTTTTATGCATAAAGTTCCAGGACCCTTCGTATATTAGTGAGATTAGCCCTTTATCTGTGATGAGTTGAAATATTAACATATTTTCCCAGTTTGTCATGTCTTTTGTTTTTTATAATACAGAACTTTACTACTTTTATCAGCTTGTAACTGAATAATCCCACCTTCCTCCCATTGACTTGACATGTCTCTTTAATCATATGTTAAATTCACATATAGATTTCTAACCTAACAGATAAAGTTTTTTTATTAGTGTATCTAGTCATTTAGTTGTTTCAAATTATCAGGGTTTTAAGTTCTCCAGAATGACTAGCCTTTTCTCAATGCTCTTCTACAAATTTTTAGGATGCTTACTTTTGCCAATGAACTTTAGAATCACCTTGTCTAGTTCTATTCCTACCTCAAGAAAAACTAGAGATTCTTATTGAGACCATGTTAAATGTATAAATTAAGAACCAACATCTTTAGCTATTATGTCTTCCTAAGAATACGGTCTTAATATTTGCTCAACCTTTTCATTAAACTATTAAATTAACAGTTTTTAAAAAGTGGCAAAGCAATACGCTTAGTGACTAACTCTGTCCTATAAAAACTGCCAGGCGCGGTGGCTCACACCTGTAATCCCAGCACTTTGGGAGGCCGAGGCAGGCAGATCACAAGGTCAGGAGATAGATACCATCCTGGCTAACACAGTGAAACCCGGTCTCTACTAAAAATACAAAAAGTTAGCCAGGCGTGGTGGCAGGCGCCTGTAGTCCCAGCTACTCAGGAGGCTGAGGCAGAAGAATGGCATGCACCCGGGAGGCGGAGCTTGCAGTGAGCCAAGATCGCGCCACTGCACTCCAGCCTGGGGCGACAGAGCAAGATTCCTTCTCAAAAAAAAAAAAAAAAAAAAAAATCTACAGGAAATGACATAGATGGATAAAGGGCAACTCTACTTTTGATTCTAAAAAGAAAAATCATTTGCTCTAAAGTGCTTCCCCAAAACTAGCCTATTTATCAGGCTCACCTGCGATGCTTAAGAATAGAGAATCTTAGACCTTATATCACATCTTCTGAAGCCAAAAACAAACAAACAAAAAAAACCACTATTTTCAAACCATATGATTCTCATCACTTAAAAAGTTAGAGAAACACTGCTCCAAAGAATCAAATTTGCTTTGATTAAAAAAAAAAAAAATGGCTGGGCACAGTGGCTCATGCCTGCAATCCCAACACTTTGGGAGGCCAAGGGAGGAGGACTGCTTGAGCCCAAGAGTTCAAGACCAGCCTGAACAATGTAGCGAGACCCCATCTCTGAAAGAAAAAAAAAAGTTTCTTCTATCCTCCCCAACTCCATCCTCTTCACAGAATTGAGACTCCCTCTTTAATACTGCTGGGTTCTAAACTTTTGTGTATCCAGTCTCCCTTGCATGACAGTAAACATGTTTACATGTTTAAGACAGGGATTTGGCATTTTGCACAACACCCAGCATAATGCCTTTTAAGAATAAGCACGTAATAAGTCCTTATTGAATGAGGACAGCATAGGAAGAAAGCATTCCTAATGATGATCTTTCCATTATACACAAGATTCTCTGTGGAAATCAATCTTACTGCTTAAAGCCATGCATGACAAGACAGCTGTTAATGACTTAAAGGTACTACACGTCACACTCAGCAAAGTAAGACCCAATAGTTGTATTATATCAATGTACTTGTACTCTGTAAGAGAGTAAATTAATAATTACTCATTTATTCAGTTAAGAACCTACCATGCACCACTATTGTAAATGCTGGGTATTTAACAAGACAAACAACTGTCTGTCCCCTTAGGATTTACCTTCTAATGGGAAAGACAGACACTATGTACATAAACAGATATATAATTTCAGGTCAATGTATGAGATCTGGTGAAAAATAAATCAGGATGGCACTATATAAAAACCACAGAAGGAGGAAAGGAATACTATATTTTCGATAAGAGTGGTCAGAGAAGTCTTCTCTGATGGAACAACATTTGGAAAAACACTTGAGCACAGATCTAAATGAAATAGTAAGCAAGTGAGCCATGTGATAATGTAGAGAAAGACAACTCAAGATAGAAAGAGAAAGTGCAAAGGTGCTAAGATTAGCATAGCTAAAAGACCAAAAAGACTGACTGTTATGAGCAAAGGAAGAATGGTAGAAGATGGAGTCACAGAGATTTAGGCAGAGGCAAGATGACTGCCAGGGTAACAAGTATGAGTTTTATTCTAAGAGTGATGGGAAGCCACAGGTGAGTGACACAATCAAGTTTATATACTTTTTCAAAAGCAGGACACTCTATTGCTAAGACTACACTATAGGAAATAAAGAGTGGGGACCTGTGAGGAAGCTATACAATAATCTAAAAAGCAAGGATGAAATAGGGCAGGTAGAATGGTAAGAAGTTGTCATACTTTTAAAAAGAGAAAAAAACAACTTGTTGATAGAATGGATGTGAGATGTGACAAAGATGTCACCAAAGTTCTGGCCTAAGCAACTGCAGGAAGAGCGTCTCACTACCCCTTACTAAAGTGGGAACACTGAGAAAACAACAGACTTGTTTTTGTTCTGTGTGAGGGCAGAAGGGAAAGAGGGAATCAGGCATTCCATTTTCAGTGTTAAATTTCAGATGCCTATTCAACATTCAAGGAAACATGTTGACAGTAAATTTATAAATCTGGTGCCCTGAAAGAAATCAATGCTGAAAAAAACACTTGAAATTTCATCAGCATATATATGATATCTGAGCCATAAAACTGAAAGAGATCACCTAGAGAATACAGGTTAAAAGAAAAGATAAAAAAAAAGATCAAGTCTTGGAAACTTCAAGAATTAGAGGTCAGGTACAGAAGTAACCAAAATAAACTGAGAGGTGAACAACGAGTAGAAAGAGAACCAAGAGGCTGGTGTTCCAAATGCCAAATGAAGAAAGGCTTTCAAAAATGAGTGGTCAACAGTATCAAATGCTGTTGAGAGGTCAAGTATGGTACAAGAGACCAAAGGATGTAGCAATCCTTAAATCAGTTTTGACCTTACAAGGAGTGATTTTAGTGGGATGGTAAGGATGAAGGCCAGACTAGAGTGGCTTCAAGAAAGAAACAAAGGTAAAAAAGAAGCAATGATACCACACGAACTCTTGCAGAATATTTTACAGTATCAGGGAGGAGATAAATGAAGCAGTAGACAGTAGGAATGTGGGATCAAAAACATTTTTTAAACATGAAATCTTACTGTAGGTATTCTAAAAGGGAATGATCCAGAAGAAAGTAGAAAACTGATGATGTCAGAGAAACAACAATTTACGAAGACAAAGTCTTTGAGACTGTGAAAGGAGATGGAATCCACACACAAGGAAGGGGTGACTGGCCATAAGGGCAAAGACAGTGCATCCACTGTATAAGAAAAAGGTGAGCACATGGACAAAAATGAAGGTAGGTTAATTTTTTGGTGGAAATACAAATTCTCTTCCCTCTAATCATTATTTCATAGGGGAAAAAAGAAACAATGTCTGTTTAAGACTGGGAACAATTTAAAAAGTACTCACACGCTTCACCATTGAGATATCCAAGTAGATCTTTTCGATCAGGTCTTCTAACCACAGGAATATTTTCAGTCTAAAACCAAAATTTTAAATGAGATATGAAATGAATAACAATGATACACAACTTAATAAATATTAACATGTAATGTCTGAATTTTATTCCAACATATCTTGAAAAAACGTATTTTAAATCACATTTGTAAAAAATGACTAGGCTAAAAGAACCTAATAAAAATCCTGAAAATTTATTAAACATGTTAGTTACTTTTAATAATTTTCTTACAACTTGATATTAACATGTAATGTCTGAATTTTATTCCAATATATCTTGATACAATATATTTTAAATCACATTTGAACAAAATGACTAGGCTAAAAGAACCTAATAAAAATCCTGAAAATGTATTAAACATGTTACTTTTAATAATTTTCTTGGCTGGGCGCGGTGGCTCACACCTAGAATCCCAGCACTTTGGGAGGCTGAGGTGGGTGGATCACCTGAGGTCAGGAGTTAAAGACCAGCCTGGCCAACATGGCAACACCCCGTCTCTACTAAAAAGACAAAAATTAGCTGGGTGTGGTGAAGCATGCTTGTAATCCCAGCTGCTCAGGAAGCTGAGGCAGGAGAATCACTGGAACCCAGGAGGCGGAGACAGGCGTTTCAGTGAGCCGAGACTGCACCACTGCACTCCGGCCTGGGCAACATAGAGAGATTCCGTCTCTAAATAAATAAATAAATAAATAAATAAATAAATAAATTTCTTTTTGAAATTCCAGGAAGATATACAGAAAATAATCATTAGAAATAAAGCAATGACCAGGCACAGTGGCCCACACCTGTAATCCCAGCACTGCGGGAGGCCAAGGCGGGCGCATCCCTTGAGGTCATGAGTTCAAGACCAGCCTGGCCAACATGGTCAAACTCCATCTCTACTAAAAACACAAAAATTAGGCAGGGCGCAGTGGCTCACACCTGTAATCCCAGCACTTTGGGAGGTCGAGACGGGTGGATCATGAGGTCGGGAGTTCAAGACCAGCCTGAGCAAGATGGTAAAACCCCATCTCTACTAAAACTACAAAAATTAGCTAGGCGCGGTGACAGGCACCTGCAGTCCCTGCTACTCGGGAGGCTGAGGCAAGAGAATCGCTTGAACCTGGGCGGCAGAGGTTGCAGTAAGCCGAGATCACGCCACTGTACTCCAGCCTGGGTGACAGAGTGAGACACTGTCTCAAAAAAAAAAAAAAAAAAAAAATTAGCCGGGCGTGATGGCAGAAGCCTATAATCCCAGCTACTCAGGAGACTGAGGCGAGACCCAGTCTGAAACACAAACAAACAGTGCAAGAAAAATTGGTAGCTAACAGATTTCAGTTTAAATCCTTTGTCACTTTATATGTGTAACAATGAAGTAACAACAAGAACCTTTAGTATCTTTGGCCAATGACCTTATATTGAATACTTATTATAATTTACTGCACCAAACATTCTGCACTGACTCCTCAATGATTTAGATAAACTGTATTTAATCACTTAAAAATTAACCTTTTATTTTAAAAAGGTCAAGCTAAATTTTAGTTTCTCCTTATGAGTTTAAAAATTTGAGTGCAGAGTTTTTTTGTGCTTGTATTCTTTTAAACCAGCCTAGGCCAGGCATGGTGGTTCATGCCTGTAATCCTAACACTCTGGGAGGCCAAAGTGGGTGGATTGCTGGAGCCCAGGAGTTCGAGACCAGCCTGAGCAACATGGAAAAACTCCAACTCTACAAAAATATAAAAGTTAGCCAGGCATGGTGGCAAGCGCCTGCAGTCCCAGCTATACTCCCAGCTACTCAGGAGGCTGAAGGAGGAAGACAACTTGAGCCCGGGAGGGTAAGGCTGTGGCAAGCCAAGATCCTGCCACTGCACTCCAGCCTGGGTGACAGAGCAAGACTCTGTCTCAAAAAAAAATAAAAAATAAAAATAAACCAGTCTATATGGAATATCATAAACAGTTAAAAGATTTGAGTTAATTTTAAGTTACTGTTTCTAAGTCTAATAACTTACATCATCATTTGGTCACTACTGAGTTATGTACACATCACAATCCACTGAAAAAGATTACATCTACTCACACTAAAATAGGAACTAAGGATCAGGAATCTGTTTTCAGAGTGGTCTGCTCAGCCGGACGCAGTGGCTCACGCCTGTAATCCCAACACTTTGGGAGGTCGAGGCGGGCGGATCGCGAGGTCAGGAAATCAAGACCAACCTGGCTAACGTGGTGAACCCCCGTCTCTACTAAAAATACAAAAATTAGCCAGGCATGGTGGCGTGTGCCTGTAATTCTAGCTACTTGGGAGGCTGAGGCAGGAGAATCCCTTGAACCCAGGAGGCGGAGGTTGCAGTGAGCCGAGATCACGCCACTGCACTCAAAAAAAAAAAAAAAAAAAATGAGTGGTCTGCGCACAGGAAAGAGCAAATAACACAAAGTAATTAGGAGACAACAATCTCGAATTCATAGAATTTTGGAATTTTAGAATCCTACTCTTTCAATCTGGCAAATACTTATGAAAAATGAGTTAAATCTTATGCAACCAAGGGTCCCAAGGTCCACAGTAACAATTACAGCTATCAGTTATATGCACAACCATTTCCCAAAAACAGAATCTATAAATCTAAGCCAACTATCTGAATCTTTGTTACACTAAAATGAATATATCCAACAAAACACTGTAAGAACTACCTAATTTAGTTTTTAAAGATCTGAGTTAAAATAACCTTAAAGACGGAGCTGGTGCTATTTTTTTCCCCTTATTTTCCCAAGTAGTCCCACTCTAATTTTATTTTTTTAAATATGTAACATAAATATATATTTCTTACTCAGGAAAGCAGAAGCCTTATGGTTTAATACAAAGCCCACTAAGTGACGGGATACTTTCTCAATTGCTATAATCACACACACACACACACACACACACACATTTTTTTTTTTTCCCTGAGACAGAGTCTTTGCTCTATCACCCAGGATAGATGCATTGGTGTGATCATGGCTTACTGCAGCCTCAACCTCCTGGGCCCAAGTGATCCTCCCACCTCAGCCCCTTGAGTAGCCAGCTGGGAGTATAGGTGCACACTACCACGCCTGACTAATTTTTTTTATTTTTTGTTTTAACAAAGTTTCCCTATGTTGCCCAGGTTGGTCTTGAACTCCTGAGCTCAAGTGATCCTCCCACTTGAGCTCAGCCTCCCAAAGTGCTGGGACTACAGGCATGCACCACCACACCTGGCTTTTAGTTGCTTTAGACAACAAGTTATTGTTTGAAAGATACATAAGCCAGAAACCTTAACTATTTCTAGTTGGGAGGGAGGTTAGAGTTATAGAAGTTAAGTTTCACACAGCTTAATGTGATCCAGCAACGGTGTTAGGTAACTCAAAAAGCAGCTCCAGTGATGACAGACACAGTGATATTTTAAAAAATTGTTTTAAGAACTATAAGAAAAGTTTAAGAAGATTGTTTTAAGAACTATAAGAAATGGGAAAAAGTAGTTATTTATAAATACATTTCATACTTAATTTTAAGTGTATACTTGTAAGCAAAAGCAACAAATATTAAAAGCAGACATTTAATTATTTCAATTATATCTTCAAAAAATTTTATGTTCAACTCTACCAAAAATAATCTGAGGGAAAAGCTCATTTAAAAAAATTAAATATCTTTTAGGCCATTTTATGTGGGCATTATAGTACTTTTCCATGTCATACAGCTATCCTATCCAAATAACTCTGAATCTTATTTACTTATCAATTATAATATACTGCTATAATTTAGGTCTTAATGATACTTCCCTACAGATGAAGAATCTCATCATCATAGTTTATGAAATTAGTTCTTTTCAAGTTGTTTCCAAATATTTCCTCTGAGTAATAAATTTTCAAACACTGAGAAAGCAAGCAAAACTAAAAACAAATGAACTTCTCCAGAGTACTAAAACAGCTGCACAAAACTGATTAAGAAACAATTTTTTTAAATGTCTGCTAATCTTAATCCTTACAACCAAAAAAAGTTTTCTTGAGATTAAACTAGAGTTCTGAAGTAACAGGGTCCTTCCACAGGCTTACAAGTTTTTCTAAACATCTCTATAAATACTTTTAGCGTTTCGGGTTTTCTTTTTCTTGAGATGGCATCTCACTATGTTGCCCAGGCTGGTCTTGATCTCCTAGGCTCAAGCAACCCTACCGCCTTAGAGTCCCAAGTAGCTGGGATTACCAGCGTGCACTAAGAAGCCTGGCTCTATAAATCCCTTTAAAACTTCCTTTGTTATAAACATTACCCACACTTTACATGAAAAAATATCACAGATTAAAAAGTCTGTGTAAGTCACACAGTCACCTAATTTTGACTCTCCTGGAGACACTCATACAAACCTTTCATTCTTTTGATTTGAAACCCATGAGGGAAGCTATCCATTCCAAATGATACCTACTACCACGAAGCCAAAAAAAAAAAAAATGTGTTAATACAAAAATTAGCCCGGCATGGTGGGCCATGCCTATAGTCCCAGTTTCTCAGGAGACTGAGGTGGGAGGCTGGCTTGAGCCCGAGAAGTAGAGGGTACAGTAAGCCGAGATCACACCACTGCACTCCAGCTTAGGCAACAGAGCCAGATCCTATCTCAAAAAAAAAAAAAAAGTTTTAAAATGAATTATTGGCCAGGCACAGTGATTCATGCCAGTAATCCCAGCACTTCGGGAGGCCGAGGCAGGAGGATCCACTGAGGGTAGGAGTTCAAGACCAGCCTAGGCAACACAGCAAGACCCCCTCATCTTTAACAACAACAAAAAAAATTAGCCAGATACGGTGGCACAGGCCTGCAGTCCTGGCTACTTGAAGGCAGAGGTGGGAAGATCACTTGAGCCTAGGAGTTCGAGGCTGCAATGAGCTATGATCACACCACTGCACCCTAGCCCGGGCAACAAGGCCAGACCCTGTCTCTTAAATAAATAAAAATAAAACTGATAAATAGATAGATAAGTAAAATGAATTCTACTTACAGCTGCACGTCGGACATAAACAGGATGAGAAAGGTGCACGTTATTAAGTAGAAATAAAATGGAATCCAATGTGTAGTACTCTCTGGGTTGGCCTTCCTTTCCAGTCCTGAAATAATTAAGGCAAGATTTTTTTTACTGACAATTCTAATTCAACTCTTCAGGCTGGATTCATTTATATAAACAACTTTGCTAACAACAATGAGTTTAACATAGCTAACAAAAAAAAAGTATAAAATCTAATAATGAATAGACTGTCATGATCACAAAAGAAACACAAAGGAAGGCAATGACAAAAAGCAAGAAGTAGGGAAAATACAAAAAATTCATACTCTAAGGTACTACAAACTTTTTAGAATTAGGCCCAAATTAGGCTCTGGGCTTTACCAATAGAGAAATCTAACCAGATCCATATCGAAGAGGATCCATAAGAGAAAACAATTACACTGCTTAGAAGAAGCACAATTATCACTGGTGCTAAATGTAAAAGAAATTTATCCTATGGCTCTTGATAAATAAGATACTGCTGAACAACATCCTTCACATTCTTACAGTAAACACAACACTGAATTTCAGGGGTATGACTGTTATGGCATCCCTCAAATTAGACCAATAATGTAAAACCAAAATGCTATTCTACCTGTGATAAAACAATGTAGTCTACTAACGGTGCAAGATCTCTAATGCAGGTACTAATATTACCTCATTCCAATCCTACCCTTCCTTCTACACTTTCCCCTTCTATATCTTTGAATCCATCTGAATATGGTCCACTATAATCAGCCCTAAACCTACTTTTCTACCTTCTAGTCCCATTTTTCCTCTAAACCAATGTATTTCAAACCACACACCATCAATTATTGTACTATGAAACCCAATAAATAGTTAACAACCATATTTTTTCTATTTTCAGAATAGAAAAGAACAGAAAAATAAAATGCACTGCATACAATAAGAAGAGTAAGTATTGTTTAGTGTTTTATATGTGTATATATTTCCATGTGCATGTGCACATATAGAAAATAAAAACAATTTCTTGGTGTGATAAACTGCTGAAAAAGTTTAAAATCTACTGTGATAAGCACTCCTTTTTCACTGGCTTCACTGGATTGCTGTCAACACATTTACTTTCCAGTTCTTTATGCCTTTAAGCATACAGCCTTTAAGTATACAGTTCACTCATCTTGGAAGACTTAACCCATCATTTAGCCCAGAGAATTCCTACCTATTCTTTAAAGCTTGTTTGTTCATTCATTCATTCATTCAAGAAAACTTTGTTGGATGTGAACTTGCCAAAGACAATTCTATGGAACCTTCTCCTAAATAACCCCAACTAGAAGTGACTGCTGTCTTCAAAAGCTATTGTAGAAAGCATTTCACATCAACTTATAGAAAGCATTTCACATCAACTTATCTGTTTAATCTCCTCTATTCAGACTAAGTTAACCTCCTTTGAGGTAGAAACCAGAGTCTTAGGAATTTTTTTAATCCTCAGATTGAACCACTTCACACCCTAGGTACTCCTTAGCCATTGTCTAAAAAAAAAAAAATTCACTAAAAATCCAACCACATGTAATTCTACCTATGCAAATTATTCGAAAGGGTAAAATACCAGAAACTCAGAATGTCATTTGATCAACATTTTATAAAGCTAATTAAATCATAAGACAAAAAAATTTTAAAACCAACCAATAGGCAGGGCGCCGTGGCTCACGCCTGTAATCCAAGCACTTTGGGAAGTGGAGGCGGGCAGATTATTTGAGGTCAGGAGTTCGAGACCAGCCTGACCAACACGGTGAAACCACATCTCTACTAAACTACATAAATTAGCCGGCCATGGTGGCGGGGGCCTGCAACCTCAGCTACTCAGGAGGCTGAGGCAAGAGAATCACTTGAACCCAGGAGGCAAAGATTGCAGTGAGCCAAGATCGCGCCACTGCACTCCAGCCTGGGCGACAGAGCAAGACTCCCTCTCAAAAATAAATAAATAAATACCAACCAACAAACTAAATTTCCCTAGTTTTTCATCGACTCTTCATAAAGCTTCCATTCAAAGAAACAAAATGAGTAGGGAAGTTGTAGCTCAAGGTTCTAATTCTAGAAGCGATGCACCAATGACAGTGACATCATTAAAAAGGCCCCTAATGACTGTTAGAGCCGTCTCTAGAAGTTTTCCTGAATGACTTAAACTGATAAAACTTCACATGGACCAACATTCCCAAACATTTCCCTTTAAAATACACTTCCGAAAAATCACACGCACCATCTATTTCTTAGATCTGTAAAGCTCACTCATTTCACCAACTCCTGAAGACCTCTCTAACACAGACTTTTATGACTCTTCCAAATTCACCAAATTTCTTTCCGGTCCTAACTTCAGGGTTGATTCCCTTTTCTCTTCTACAGGAATCACCCCCACCCCAACAATGAAAGGAGATGAAATAAACCAGGAGTTGCAAAGACCAGCGGAGATAGTTACATAGCAGCCTGGAAAAGAGAAAAAAAAAATAAAGAACAAAAAGAGGCGTCTACGGCACCAGACGGTGTGCTCCTTTGTGCACCTATGTTCAGGTATCCCTTGCGCACCAGTCCCACACTTCGCTGGTACACATACCTACTGATAAAAATTAACTGTAAAAGTCAGAAACTCCCACGGTACCTTTCCTTTGGGCTTCTCAAAAATTTTAAGTGATGAACTGCTCTAGAGCTCCGCCCCTTCTTTCCTTACCCTAAAAGTGCAACTTCTGCTCTAGAGAGAAACTTTCTTTTCCCCGAACACCCGTTTTATCCCATCCCCAGGGGAAACGGGGGGAGGGGTTAAGAAAGAGGTCGCCTGGGGGCGCCCAACTCTGCCCTGCCACCCCTGGGCCACAGCCATGCCGGACTTACCCCCAAACAACATAGTTGGTCTTCACATTCTTGGGCCAGGAGAACTCCCCGAAGATCACTTCGTCTCCCTTCACCACAATCTCCTTCTTCTGGATGTTGTACTGTCGCAGGACGCTAAGCACGTCCGCCATCTTCCCCCCCCTCGCCTCCGCCGGCTCGGGGCGCCGCCGCTGCCGCCGCGCCTGCCTCCTTCTTCTCTTGTCGCCTCGCCCTCTTCCTCCTCCTCCTTCGCCGCCGCGACGAACCAACAGCAGCAGCACTAACAGCCGTCCTCGCCTACGACAGCAGCAGGGGCAGTAGCCACCCAGGCCGCCGAGGACCCCGCGCTGTAAGGCAAGGCCCCGCCGCCGGCTGCCCGCGGAGAACGCCTGACTGCGCCCCTCCAGCGAGGCACATCCGCCGCCAGGGGGAGCCGCGACCGCCTGGAAAAGTGCCCCTCCCAGACTTCAGCTGGGCACGGAGCCCACTCACTCGCTGAAACGCTGAGCGCTGGGGCACCGCGCCCACGTACGGCGCACGTACGGGGAACTTTGCCGGGCGCGCGCGCGCGGAGCACGTACCCAGTACCCCGCGGCGCGCACCAAGCGGCGTCAGGTGCGCGCGTACCTGAGCAGTGGGTCAGCACTTCCATCCCCAGCACGTGCACTGAGTATTTAACGAACTGTCTCGGGTGCGACCAGAGGCTCCCCCGGGTCCCTGCTTTGGCCGGGATGGAATTCGGCAAGGATTTGCGGAACACTAGAATTACCTTCCTATTTAGATCGGACCCAGGCCTAGCCAAAGACCTCTAGGACTTAGTGATCCGGAGAAGCCCTTTTGAAAGAGTGGGGCTCTTGGGGTTGGGGTTGGGGTTTTTTGTTTGCTTTTGATGTGGAAAAGAACGAGTTTTGGTTTTTTGTTGGTTTTGAGTGGAAAAGACCGAGTCCAGAAAAAAAAAAAAACAGTTCTGGGCACTGCTCGTCAAGTTACATAGCTTCTCACAGCATCAATTGGTTAATGAAGAAAATGGGGTTAATACGAAGATAAGGTAAACGCGCCTAGCAAGTCAATAAAATATCCTAAATGTTGGATCCTCCCTCTTCATTCTTTGGATGATGACTTTTTCCATCGCGGTCCCTTCTCCCCGCCAATCCCGAAGGGCTATATTCAAAAGGCTGTGTTCCAAGATGTAAATGGGAAAGTTGCCCTAACAGAAACCCCAAACGGTCCAATTTAGAACACTTCCAGACTACCCAATTTTTTAAATGGTACTCAGAAGTCTCAGTGGTGTCCTTGACATGCGTTTTGAGACGGTTAAGATAAGTTCAATATACTATGGCCAACCAAACACATCCTATGGGATTGTTTTTTTTCTTTTACCATGTCAGAAGGAAAAAAGAGGCAACTTTGTGTTTGACATAACCAAATTCCTTGACCTGTTTTGAAAAAAGTCAATCTTTTCACAACGCAGAGGACTACAGATACAGAAGTGTGTGGTTCATTTCCGATATGATCTGTAGCCATTCTGCAACTGTTAGTTTGTGAAATTTTTTTCTGTTCCACCAATGTTTTCACCCCGTAGTATTCTCCTGAATCTCACCCCAAGCACACACATTATAAAGAAATGGCTACAATTACCTATCCCCACATTCTCTATTCATACCTGTGTCAGAGCACTCAGTACCATATTACTTCCCTTTATAGTTTATTTGCCTGCATCCACAAAACTGAAACACCATAGATCTGTGTCCTCATATCCTACTGTCTAACATTATTTGGTACATATTAGTAATAAATGGATGAATTCAATAAATTGATGGAAGCTCCTAGTAAATATCGAGTTAATACATGGATAGAGGCTTCTAATAAATGTTGAAGTAATGAATGGAAAGATAAGCTCAAGGAAGCCAAGATTTCATGATTAGGAGGCTCGACTATAGTCCCTTCAAACGATACTTAATTTTATTTCATACTCAAATAATGATTAAAGTCTCTCTTTTCAGAGAAATTATGTTTTTTAGGTTAATGAATTTTAAAAAGTGGTAAGATAAGTCATTAGTAAGTTGTTGCTTTTAACAGTTAAAGCATTGAAATTTGTAGATCATTTTTTTCCTGACCAGCCTGGGCAACATACCTAGACCCTGTGTCTACAGAAGCAATTGTAGATCATTTTTGTTTTTATCTAAGTACCCTTATAATTGCCCTACCAATACTGGTTCATTGGAGGATGTCAAAATACAATAAAAGGCAAGATTAGTGGTAGAGCTGAAAAATTAGAAAATTAATTAGAAAAAAACAGAAAAATAGTCTGGTTTCTTTGTCTTGGGCAAAAGCAGTCCACATCTCCAGATATTAGCTCCTGAAGAATTCCTAAAAAATCTTTAGTTTTATGTCTTCTGTTAGAGTAAATGCCCAGCAATCAGAAGAAAGTGGTATGTCTTTTTAGTTGGAAACGATGGATCCAACATCATTACCTTGGAGTTTAAACCACTACCTCAATTGCTAACAGTACCCAATAAGGTTCTTTCCACCAGTGCCCAAGGACAGTTTTATTCTGGTTCCTTTTCCAAAGGACCAAATTGCCAGGTTTTAGATCAATCAAAGTCTGCTTAGGTAAGTATTTTGGAAATGCACTTGAACCTACTAGGGATAATTCGGCAGGTAGCATAAGTCTCATGAAGCATTTATTTATATTACTCTGTAATGGTAGAACGTAGGATTGGAAGTAAAATTTTCAAATACATGGGTAGGGGGAGGCTGTTAATTCAAGAAGAGATAATCTGTGGGTCCCAGAAGGGGTTGATTTATTGTCATCAATCAATCATGACTAATGGCAATTTGAAGGGCCATGAAATTTGTTTTTCGAAACTGTTGATAATTTTAGTTTTAGGACTCTGTTAGTTCTCTTTACTTTTCCTAAAGTTTGGGGGAAATCAGTGTGTGGAGTTATAGCTCCCTAGCAAGGAAAAGCCTCAGTCCATCCAGAGAGTAAGCAAACAACAACCCAGACATAGTCATAGTTTATTCCAGGGAATTATTATGGGTTGGGTACTTAATTATGGGTTAATTATTTACTTGATGTCTTTGATATATATAGGTTTATTCAGATTGTCCATTTCTTCTTGTGTGAGTTTTGGCAGATTGTGTCTTTCAAGGGGTTCCATTTTATCTAGGTTATGAAATTAGTGGGATATAGTTGTTCACAGCATTTGTTATTATCCTTTTAATGTTCATGTCATCTGTAGAAATGTCCCCTCTTTTATTTCTGATTTTAGTAATTTGTGTCTTCTCTCTTCTTAGCGTGACTAAGAGGTTCATTGATTTCATTGATCTTTTCAAAGAACCAGCTTTTGGTGTGATTACTGATTTTTTTACTTTCAGTTTTACCAGTTTATGCTTAACTTTTATTATTTCTCTTCTTTTGCTTACTTTAGATTTAATTTGCTCTTCTTTTTCTAGTTTCCTGAGGTAGAAGTTTAGATTATTGATTTTTAGGTCTTTCTTCTTTTCTAATATATACATTCAATGCTACAAATTTCCCTCTAAACACTACTTCGCTTCCTCCCATACACTTTGGTAAGTTATGTTTTTATTTTCTTGCAGCTCAAAATATTTTAAAATTTATCTTGAGATTTCTTCTTTGACTCATGTTATTTAGAAATGTATTGTTTAAACTCGACATATTTTAGAATTTTCTCGCTATCTTCCTATTATTGATTTCTAGTTTAGTTTCATTGTGGTCTGAGAGTAGATATTGTATGCTTTATATAATTTTAAATTTACAAAAGTGTCTTCTATGGCCCAAAATGTGGTCTGTCATGGCGAATGTTCCTTGCATGTTTAGGAAGAATGTTTATTCTGTTGTTGTTGAATAGTCTATAGATGTCAACTATATCAAGATGACTGATGGTGTGGTTGAGTTCAATTACATCCTTATTGATTTTCTGCCTGCTGGTTCTGTTCATATCTGATACAGGGGTGTTGAAATCTTCCACTATAATAATGGATTCATATATTTTTCCTTGTAGTTCCATCAGTTTTTTGCCTTATATAATTTGACGCTCTGTTGTTAAGCACGTACACATTAAGCATTGTTCTGTCTTATTGGAGAATTGACCCCTTATCATTACATAATGCTCTTCTTTATTCCAACAAACTTTCCTTGTTTTGAAGTCTGCTCTGTCTGAAATTAAAATAGCTAATCCTACTTTTTTTTATTGGTGTTAGCATGATGTATTTTTCTCCATTCATTTACTTTTTATCTATATGCGTGTTTACATTTAAAGTGGGATTTTGTGGATAACATAGAGTTGGGTCTCATATTTTGAACCACTCTGACAATCTCTTTTAATTGGTGCAGTTAGACCATTGATGTTCAAAGTTATTATTGATAAAGTTGGATTAATATCTACCGTATTTGTTATTGCTTTCTATTTGTTGCCCTTGTTCTCTGTTCCTATTTATATCTGCCACAGTTTTTCTCCTGTGTGTGTGCGTGTGTGTGTGTGTGTGTGTGAGAGAGAGAGAGAGAGAGAGAGACAGGGTCTTGCTCTGTAATCCAGGCTGGAACCTAATGGTGTGATCATAGCTCACGGCGGCTTCAAACTCCTGGGCTCAAGTGATCCTCCCACTGAAACCTCTAGAGCGGCTGAGACTACAGGTGTACACCACCACACCGAGCTAATTTTTAAATTTTTTATAGAGACAGGGACCCACTTTATTTTTTAGGCTGGTATCAGATTCCTAGGCTCAAGAAATCCTCCTGCTTCAGCCTCCCAAAATGCTGGGATTACAGGCCTGAGCCACTGCGCCCAGCTGTTTGTGGTTTTAATTGAGCATTTTATATGGTTGTATTTTGTCAGTCTTTCTTTCTTTCTTTTTCTTTCCTTCTTTCTTTCTTTCCTTTCTTTCCTTCTTTCCTTCTTTCTTTCTCTTTCTTTCTTTCTTCCTCTTTCTTTCCTTCTTTCTTTCTCTCTCCCTCTCTCTCTCTCTCTTTCTTTCTTTCTTTCTTTTTGAGGTGGAGTCTCACTCTGTCGCCCAGCTGGAGTGTAATGGCACAATCTTGGCTCACTGCAGCCTCCGTCTCTCGGGTTCAAATGATTCTCCTGCCTCAGCCTCCCGAGCAGCTGGGATTACAGGTGTGCACCACCACACCCAACTAATTTTTTGTATTTTTAGTAGAGACGGGGTTTCACTATGTTGGCGGGGGCTGGTCTTGAATTCCTGACCTCAGGTGATCTACCCACCTTGGTCTCCCAGAGTGCTGGAATTACAGGTGTGAGCCACCACACCCGGCCAATTTGAAGGATTTAAAAATCTTCATTGCTTCAAATATTTCTTCTGTCTTTTTCTTGCTTCTCCTTCTGATATTCCCATTATATGTACATTATACCTTTTGTAGTTGTCCTACAGTCCCTGAATATTCTGTTCTGGGTGGTTTTTTTTTGTTTTTTTTT
The DNA here is from genome assembly GCF_000001405.40 of Homo sapiens. NCBI lineage: Eukaryota > Metazoa > Chordata > Mammalia > Primates > Hominidae > Homo > Homo sapiens. The sequence goes on along the minus strand of NC_000001.11, from coordinate 193,116,896 downwards.
TTTTGAGACGGAGTCTTGCTCTGTCACCCAGGCTGGAGTGCAGTGGTGTGATCTTGGCTCACTGCAACCTCTGCCTCCCGGGTTCACGCCATTCTTCTGCCTCAGCTTCCCGAGTAGCTGGGACTACAGGCGCCCGCCACCACACCCGGCTAATTTTTTTTTTGTTATTTTTTAGTAAATACGGGGTTTCACTGTGTTAGCCAGGATGGTCTCGATCTCCTGACCTCGTGATCTGCCCGCCTGGGCCTCCCAAAGTGCTGGGATTACAGGCATGAGCCACCGTGCCCAGCCCTGTTCTGTTTTTTCAATCTTTGTTTTCTTTGCTGTTCAGTTTCGGAGTTTTCTGTTGAGAGATCCTTTAACTTGGAGATTCTTTCCTCAGCCATTTCAGTCTACTAATGAGCCCACCAAAGGCATTCATCATTTCTCTTACAGTTTTTTTTTTTTTTTCACTTCTAGCATTTTTTTTTTTCAGGATTTTCATTCCTCTGCTTACATTGCACATCTGTTCTTGCATACTATCTACTTTATCCACTAAGACCCTTAGCATATTAATCATTGTTTTAAATTCCTGGTCTGATAATTCCAATATCTCTGCCATGCCTGGTTCTGATGCTTGCTCTGTCTCTTCAAATTCTGTTTTTTTCCTTTTATGTAATTTTTTTCTTAATAGCTGGACATGATATACCAGGTGAAAGGAGCTGCTATAAATAGGTCTTTCATAACATGGTGGTAAGTTGTGGGGGAGAACAAGTGCTCTGTAGTTCTACGATTAGGTCACAGTCTTTTAATGACCCTATGCCTCTGGACTGTGGACTTAGTTCCCTCCTGCTTCCACCCTTAATTGGGACAGGATAGCTAAAGCAGGCTAGACTTGGTGTTTTCCTTCCCCCAAGTCACTGAGGCTCTGAAAAAAACCCCAGCAGGTTAGACTCTAGTTAACTAGTTTTTGCTGAGGGCAGGCCTTGTTAAGAACATAGTCCTCTACTCTATTTCAGAATGATTCATTTTCCCTCCCCCTGCTGAAAACAAGTGAGGATTTTCCTAACATACTTACTGTGAGAACCAGGTCAAGCTCCTGGGGATGAGTCACAAAACTGTGAGTCCACTCCAACCACTTGAGTCAATCCCCCTGGAATTTTTAACTCTCAGACTTGTCCACACTAAGCATCCAGCAATTCACTGATCACAGTTTAGAAGTTCTTATCCTAGCACTGGTTCTGTGGCCATTTCCACTCATGAGTCTCTGCTCAGGTAAGCTGTGAATCCCTGTATTCATCTCTCTCTCTCTCCAATATTGGGGGCAGTGTTTGCCCTGTATCTTCATCTCTTTCACGGATCCAAGAAAAGTTGATTTTTCAATCTATTCAGTTTTTTTATTTAATGTTACAACAGAATGACAACTTACAAATTCCTTACATATGGAAATAAACATATATGTTTTTTACTTAGAAACTGTTCTGGCTTCAAAACATTATTTATTAATTAAATTAATTATTTGTATAATGTCTTGAACGTAGTTAAGGATCTGAAATTTACCACGTTTGCTCTCACAGTAAATACTTATTTGTAGCACTGTAAGAATTTTATAAAATTTACCCCTAAAAAAAAGTATTACTCTTGCATTGCATGAATACCATTACAAATGTTTTATTTATATATGTATACACACATATTTACATTTATATATGGAAATTTAAACATGTCGTAGAAGCAATGATAATTTATTTAACTCATAAAACCAACATAGGAAATATAGGAAGTATAAATCATGAGAAGATTAACTGTGGTCCTGTTCAAAACAAAATATTGTATTGACATTACTTTTATATGGTATTGAAATTTAAAGATTCTGAATCATGCTAAAAGTTCTTCTTTTATCTTGGAAATAACTAAGATCTTGTCTTTTTACCTTTTAAGTACGGTAACAAGGGCTATTCAGGACTCACAAAATAAACACAAAGAGTTCGATGGCCTTTTCAGTGTACGTGCTGCCAAAATGAGTACTTTGATGACTTTTTTGTTTACTTTTACGTGATTGTTTATCTAAACTATATATTCTTAGAGTGAGCACACAATAATTGAATGTTTTGGTTTTTTGTTTTTTGATTGTTAATCTTTAGAATTTTCTAAGAGAGGAATAAAACAGAGAAACAGAAGAAAATGAGAGAGTTGACTTCAGATAAATATAAAATTATCACCTTAAAAGGCTAATTATGCTTTCTCTGAAAAAAAGAGAAAGTTTAGATATGGAAAAACTCATTTTAACATGTACACACACAAAAGAGCGTTATAATAGCTGATTTAAAGAACAACTTGGGCCCTGGACAATTTTATCCACCCATACAGTGAAAAATCCAACACTTATTAATCTTCAGAGTAAGAAAACAAAGGAAGAGATGTCTCCTACGTTAAATTAAATACTCTCTTTTTTAGACAAGCAAGAAAATTTCCTCATGAAGTCTTCCTCACTTTTTGTTCTAAAGCACCTCTCATATGAACAATCTTATTCTTGTCAAAAATAGCTAAAGTGGGTATTGTAATCTCAAATTGTCTCTGGTAAAACTGTACCAGTTAGACAGATAAACATGCAAGTTAATATTATAGTGTGAAAACATAAGGGAAGTAGGTTTTGTCAAGTAGAAAGCAGGTTTTAATTAAGAAGGCCCTATGAGTACTGCAGTGTTCCCTAAAATGGCATTTGTGTAACTCATGTCTTTATAAATTGGCCAAAGGTTAATGGTCACCAAACATGGGGTGGACAAACCTCCTGATTCCAAGCAGATAAAATTAAAGTACTAACACAAAGACAAAACTAAGGAGGATGTCTTTGCATAATTTGTAATGGAGACTCAAGACAAAGAGTTGGTTCAAAGAGAGTGGTCTGAGGAGACCTGAACTTCCCAGCCCCCAGGGCCAGCACAAGGATAGAATTATAGAGCCTCTGCCTGGTATCTTCTTGTAGACTTTTTCTCTAATTGACAACTTGGTAAGCAGACAGACCGTAAAAGGAACAGCTGGAAGACTAGACAACAGTTTCACCAAGGAACGATACAAGTCTGATCAGATAATGGAAGGATGCCAGGGCACCTAATTCCTAAGAAAACAAAATAAAATTCAGTGCGAAGAACTTCAACAAAATATTGGAGCTCAATTCAGTATAAACTTACCTCCTCACTGTGTGCCAGGGGGCCTCAATCAGAAGACACAAGATTCCAGATGTGACGTCCACACTAGAGAGTTGAGGATCTTAGCCTGCAGCGGCAAGGTCTCAGCTGAATCTTGGTGGAAACTTCACTTCTGTCAATGACTTGCAAACAAATATCACCAGGGGCACACTCTAGGCAGAGTTAGTTCACCACAGGCCCTGAGCATTCCTGCATATTCTTGCTGAGGATGCCAAATTGCAGAGCTATCTTTCTGCTGATTCTGAGTAGTTGCTGTAGCTCATCACATAGGTAACTAAATACATGAACGTAGCCACAGCATTGAGACAGCCACATGGGAAGGAGTCCCTGAAGAAACTCCAACCACCCTGCCCACAGGGGTGGAGTCTCAGGAAGTTCACGATGTTTGCAGAGCGGGGAGCCTGGCCCCATCTCTTCTGTGTGGAAACTGGGATTCGAACTGCTGAGTAGGAAGCGCTCTAGCAGGGACTCTGGCCTAGCGAGAGTCCCTGTTTCCCCCTTTTCTTCCCTTTCACCCAATAAAACCCTGTCTTACTCACCATTCAAATTGTCTGCAAGCCTGAATTTTCATGGCAGTGGGACAAGGAACCCCGTCTTTAGCTGAACTAGGGAAAAGTCCTGCAACAGCATGATTACTGCTCATTCACTAGATGAAGAGGACTGATTTGATTGCATCTTGCTGTAATATTTGTTCCTAGACCTTTGGCCCTGGGCAATTCTCTTAAAAAATAACCCACTGTGGGGGCCAGGCACGGAGGCTCACCCCTCAAATCCCAGCACTTTGGAAGGCCAAGGCGGGCGGATCACCAGGTCAAGAGATTGAGACCATCCTGGCCAACATGGTGAAACCCTGTCTCTACTAAAAATACAAAAATTAGCTGTAATGGCACGTGCCTGTAGTCCCAGCTACTCGGGAGGCTGAGGCAGGAGAATCGCTTGAACCCAGGAGAAGGAGGTTGCAGTGAGCCGAGATCGCGACACTGCACTCCAGCCTGGTGACAGAGCAAGACTCCATCTCAAAAAACAAACAAAAAAACCACTGTGGGTTGGGTGCGGTGGCTCATGCCTGTAATCCCAACACACTGGTAGGCCAAGGTGGGCATATTGCGTGAGTCCAGGAGTTTGAGACCAGCCTGGGCAACATGGCAAAACGCCATCTCTACAAAAAGTACAAAAATTAGACTGGCCTGGTAGTGTGTACCTGTAGTCCCAGCTATTTCAATGGGGCTGAGGTGGGAGGATGGCTTAAGCCTAGGAGATCAAGGCTACAGTGAGCTGAGATCATGGCACTGCACTCCAGCCTGGGTGACAGAGTGAGACAGTGTCTCAAAAAAAAAAAAAAAAAGTAACTGCTGTCATCTGACCTTCCATGCCTCCCTGTTGCAACTGGGGCTCAGGAAACCAATGCAAATATGTTGACACTCTGGTTACTGCTTTCAGTAATAAAGCCCTTCATTGTTGATCCAAGTGTGTTGTCTCTGTGTCAGCATTCATGAAACCTACAAACTAATCTGTCAGCTTGCAAGGAGAATAAAATGTCCGACTCTTCACAGTTCTTGATCAGGAGGTGGCAGATTCTTTTCTGCAAAGAGCTAAATATTAAATATTTTAGGGTTTGTGGCCACATAAGGGCTCTGTCAAGTATTTTTCTGTATTGGTTTGTTTTGAAACAACTCTTAAAAATGTAAAAATTTCCAGGTGCAGTGGCTCACAACTGTATCCCAGCACTTTGGAAAGCTGAGGTGACAGGGTGGCTTGAGCCCAGGAGTTTGAGAGCAGCCTGAGCAGCATAACGTGACCCCATCTCTACAAAAACTAAAACATTAGCTGGGCATGGTGGCACACATCTGTAGTCTCTGCCACTCGGGATGCCGAGGTTGGAGGATTGCTTCAGCCCAGAAGGTCGAGGCTGCAGTGAGCTGTGATTGCATCATCGCATTCCAGCCTGGGTGACAGAGCAAGACTCTGTCTCAAGAAAAAAAAAAAGTAATAATCTTTCTTAGCTTTTAGGCCATACAAAAACAGACCACAGATAGGCTTTGGCTCCAGTTTGCCGACCCTGCTTTTAACACACATTTTTTAATCAAACAAAGTTAAGTTTATTGGCTGTTTGCTATAATCGAGACCACATATTATGTGTATCTGTGTAGTATTTCTGCAAGAAGGTGTTAGACTAGATCTGTTCAATTTTGTTTTTTGTAAGGGAATTTTGGAAAGGATTCAGTGATATGGGGTTTTGCTCTGTATTGGTTCCTATCACAAAGCAAGGGTAATTTTATGATTGGGTCTCTTAATTTTCTCTAGAATAGAGATTAGTAAACTTTTTCTGGAAAGGGCCAGATAGAAAATACTTTAGGCTTTGCAAGTTACATATGGTTTCATTCATATATTCTTCTTTGAATAATATTTTAAAGAGTTTGTTGAACTCTTTAAAAAATGTTTAAACCATTCTAACCCAAGGGTTGTTAAAACGCAGGTTAGGAGTTACTTCCTCTGATATGCCTTCCCAGATTCTCAAATTCAATGTAGATTCCCCTCCCATGTATTCTCCTAGATTTTCGTGAATGCTAGATTCATTTATATACTGTTCACTACAGTGCCTGGCATATGGTGGACACGTAATATTTGTTGAATGCAGGAATAAGAGTTTAATTATTTGTGGAATCCCATCACTTAATGGTGAGAGACAATATACAAATGGGAAATGGCCAGACTATATATAACAACAGAATTCTGACCCATAACTGCTGCAGCAAACAGATTTGGCCTGCAGAGTTGTATTTTTATTTATCTAGAAGGTGGGAAGAATGAAGTGAGGCTAAAGCTGTAAGTGGCAAAGAAGTAGAAGTCACTCAAAGTGGTCATTTGGGGATCTGTGTTAAGATATGATTATTACTGATTGGTCTTGTTTTTTCTTATTTTGTTTTTTAGAGACAGAGTCTTGCTCTGTTGCCCAGACTGGAGAACAGTGGTGATTATAGCTACTGCAACCTCAAACTCCTGGACTCAAGCAATCCTCCCACTTCAGCCTCCCAAGTAGCTGGGACTACAGGCACACACCTGGCTAACTTTTTATTTTGTGTAGAGACAGGATCTCCCTTTGTTGCCTAGGCTGGTCTCAAACTCCTGGCTTTAAGCAATCCTCCTGCCTTGGCCCCCCAAATTGCTGGAATTACAGGCATGAGCCACCACACCCAGCCCTTGTTTTGTCTTGATTCATTATGGTCACAGAGTGGTTTTATCTGGTTGTTGGTATTCTGAATTTATTTTTATTTAACAGGAAAACACAATGATCCAGCTGTTAGTGCCAATCCAGATCCTGAATGGCAGAGGCTGCTCTTCACTTTGTCTATAAGTAGCGGGAGTGGAACTGACTTCTTTCACTACTGCAGTCCTGACTATGCCCATATCAGATCCCTTATCAGATTTGTGCTTTATATAATAGCAATCAGCTTGATAGGTCTTTGTTCAGTGTTTGGACCATATAGTGGAGCTTTGGTAACACTAGAACTGGAGACTTGTGATTAAATCTCATTACCATTAATGTTAAGTATAGCCTTGTGTGGGAATGTTACAGAGAAAAGGACTTAGAGACTTACCGAATCGAAACTTTATGTCTTGGGAACTCTAAGGATAAAAGTAATTTTAAAAAAAGAAATGGAACAATTTTTTCTATCTTGGATAAAATAACAATTGAATATTGTATTGGTCAGGGTTCTCCAGAGAAATAGAATATATATAAAGAGATTAATTGAAAGGAATTCACTCACATGATTATGGAGGCTGGCAAGTTTAATATATGCTGAACCAATGTCCTAGTTGGAGTCCAAAGGCCAGAAAGCTTCTGCAGAACCAAGGAGATCCAATTATCCAGTTTGAAGGCCATCAGGCAGGAAGAGCTAATGTTCAGTTCCAAGGACATCTAGCAGAACTCTTTCCTGGCTGGAGGAGGGTCATCATTTTGTCCTATTCAGACTTCCAACTGATTTGATAAAGCCTACCCACATTATGGAGGGCAATCTGCTTTACTCGGTCTTCAAATTTAAATGTTAATTTCTTTCCAAAACATCCTCACAGAAACACCTAGTGGCCAAATACTTGGGCATCCATTGTCTAGTCAAGTTGACACATAAAAGTAATCATTAAAGATATTGGGCTTTTTTTTTTTTTTTTTTTTTTTTTTTTTCAGAATTGAGTTGAGCTTGACTCAACAGTCATCTCCTAGGATAAATTGTACCTGTATTGATAATTGTTCTAAGGTGCTCCAATAATATGGGGATCTGTTGGGGCTGGGGGATGATGGTCTGATCTCAGTCTGGTTGGCTACTGGTACAGCAGAAGAATAACATGTTGAATTTCCAATAAAAAGAAGCAGCAAGCCCAATTCAATAAAAACTTCAAAGAATATCTAATAAATAGCCTTTGCGAAACCAAGAAAAGAAAGTAGAGGGCAGTAAAAGTAAGGCATATGACAGAACTAGATTTGTTGGTTTATTTGCTCTTTCAACACGGATTTTTAAATATGGAAACACAGACAAGTCATGCTTGCTTTTTTAAACCAACAAATTAAAATTGCGAACATGGCTAATTTCAAATCAGATTAAATAAAAAATTTCTGCATGGAAAGCATGTAATAGCTTTTGTCTTCTTCCTTACCACCTGGAGAGCTCTTCCCCTTCCCTTCTCCCTCTGCCCCCACCTTGTCTGCCTAACTCTTACTCTTGTTAAAACCTTAGGTTACAAGTTTCTTCCTCTGCCATTCCTTCCAAAATATCAAATTCAATTTAGGCCTTCCTCTTATGTATTATCCTAGGTTTTCATGAATGCTAGTGTCATTTCTGTGCTGTTCACTACAGTGCTTGGCACATAGTGGGCACATAAAATTTATAGAATTCAGGAACAAGAGGTTAACTATGGAATCCCATTATTTAATGGTGAGGGACTGAATATATAAATGGATAATGGGCAGAACACACATGACAATAAAACTCTGACTTCGAGCAAACAGACCAGAACAATTAGAACTTGGTTAATGACTACCAGCTTTCCAAATATGCTCCCCAAACCAGTCATATAGGATGCTTCCCTTCCAGTTGGCCTGCCTTCACGTCTTCATGCCAACAACTTTTTTTTTTTTTTGAGATGGAGTCTCACTCTGTCACCCAGGATGTAATGCAGTGGAGCCATCTTAGCTCACTGCAACCTCTGCCTCCCGGGTTCAAGCAATTCTCCTGCCTCAGCCACCAGAGTAGCTGGGAGTACAGGCATGCGCCACCACACCCAGCTAATTTTTTTTTGTATTTTTAGTAGAGACGGGGTTTCACCATATTGGCCAGGCTGGTCTCGAACTCCTGACCTTGTGATCCACCTGCCTCAGGCTCCCAAAGTGCTGGGATTACAGGCGTGAGCCACCATGCCTGGTCTGTCACTTTACTTTTAAAATGTACAACTTGATATTTTGATACATGTATATGTCTTAGTCCATTTTCTGTTGCTTATAACAGAATATCTGAAGCTGAGTAATTTGTATATAAATTGTTCTTACAGTATTGAATGCTGAGAAGTGCAAGGTCAAGAGGTCACATCTGGTAATGACCTTCTTGCTGGTGGGAACTCTGCAGATTCCCCAAGCCATGTAGGACATCATGGGACAAGGCAGCAGAGAACTCTGTTTTATAAAGCTGCCAGTTCTACTCCCATGATCACCCATTAATCCATTCATTCATGTTCCAGCTCTCATGCCCAATCATCTCTCAAAGGCCCCACCTGTCAGCACTGCCACATTGGACAGTTTCAACATAAGTGTCAGAGGGGACAAACATTCATTCCAAAGCCTGATACACTGTATAATAACTATCACAATCAAGCTAATTAACATAGCCACCACCTTTCATATTTACCATTTTTTTCTATTCCCTTTATTTTCTTCTCTCTTTTTCTTTCTTTCTTTTTTTTTCCAGACAGTCTTACTCTGTCGCTCAAGTTGGAGTGCAGTGACGCAATCTCAACTCACTGCAACCTCTGCCTCCCAGGTTCAAGCGATTCTCCTGCCTCAGCCTCCCGAGTAGCTGGGATTACAGGCGCGTGCTACCATGCTCGGCTAATTTTTGTATTTTCAGTTGAGATGGGGTTTCATCATATTGGCCAGGCTGGTCTTGAACTCCTGACCTCAGTTGATCCACCCATCTCAGCTTCCCAAAGTGCTGGGATTACAGGCGTGAGCCACCGCACCTGGCCCCATTTTCTTTCTTGTGTGCAAGTGTGAGAACACAAGATCTACCCTCTTAGCAAATTTCAAGCATACATTGCGATTTTCCTAACTATAGTCACATTGCTGTACTTTAGCTCTCTAGAACTTACCTATCTCGCATAATTGAAACTCTGTACCCTTTGACCAACATCTCCCCATTTCCACCTTCTCCCAGGCCCTGGCAACCACCGTTCTACTGTCTGCTGACATATTTCTTAACTTGCTATTGCAGTCATCACAACTATGACCAAAAATAATAATCACTTCTGTAGCTACCCCACGAAGCACAAAGAAGTTGAAAATTATCAATATATTTATTAATATATTATGCTGAATTCAGGCATAACACTTTCTTCTGAAGTACTTTACATTCTGAAATCCTTAAAAAAATCTGTCCAGTGAATTCTGTGCTTGATAATAGTCCATCTATGCTGTATTAAAATTAAATTGTAACATGATCGGTTCACCTCATAATGATCTTTATTTCATAAAACAATTTGAGATGAGGTAAAATTTGACTTCAAAACTAACATAACACCATAAATTTCCAAAATAGTTTTATAAAAAAATTAAAAAGCCCACAACACTATAGATAGATAACATACCTTAATTTTTATTTTATTTTATTTATTTATTTTTTTATGAGACGGAGTTTTGCTCTTGTTGCCCAGGCTGGAGTGCAATCGTGTGATCTTGGCTCACTGCAAACTCTGCCTCATGGATTCAAGCGATTCTCCTGCCTCAGCCTCCCGAGTAGCTGGGATTACGGGCATGCGCCACCACGCCCGGCTAATTTTGTATTTTTAGTAGAGACGGCGTTTCACCAATATTGGAGGGGCTGGTCTTGAACCCCCAACCTCAGGTGACCCGCCCGCCTCGGCTTCCTAAAGTGCTGGGATTACAGGACTGGCCACTGCGGGAGCTGCGGCAGCTGCGGCCTCTGGGTACGGGGTCAGCGGGCAGTCCTGTAATGGCCACATTACAGGACAGGCCATCGCGCCTGGCCACATGCCTTAATTTTCAAAGTCAAATTTGTCTTTAAAAAGAATGAATTCCTACCCTTTGGGGGTATTTATTTTTGCAACTAACTTCCATCCTTTTATTAAGTAATCAAACATAGCCCATTTGAATGTTGGAAAAGAACTGTCAGAAATACAAGTTCTTATTTTGTACTTTGGTAACATGAATTTTACACTTAGTTGAACATGAAGAATCAAAAAAGCTCTGGATTGTTGTAATAATTGTTTAGAATTTTAGATGTACCATTTGACCTTTGACTTTAAGATGAATTTCAGTGTCCTCAGTAAATAAAGGCTTACCCCCAACCTTAAATAGTGACGCACAAAGGCTATTATTACCACCACTGAGTGGCTTAAATAATCCTGTCAACAGCAATCGCCCATTTCCAAAGCCATGGTGAAACATCTCTGTGCTAATTTCTTTTGTTTTGTTTCCTAATTTTTTTTTTTTGGCAGGTGGTGGGAAATAATCTTTGTCTTCTTTGGAGTAAACCTTCAACACCGGATTTTTTCTTTTAATTATGGATGTAAACCCCAATATCCCCATAATTTACATTGGGTCTCGACCAATTGCCTAATTATAAGAGGATATATTTAGGCTCTTATTTCATCCACACAAAAACTTGTGTAACAGGTAGTTGGAAACATCTGAGGCACCACTTTGATTCTGTTTTGGATGGTCATGTTTTTTCTCCTCCGTTTCCCCAGCATGTCTGCCACCATCCTCATGCACTGCTTCCAAGTGCCTGGGAGCCTTTATGAGCGTCCCTAAACCTAAAAGAATCCAGAGGCGGGGCTCGGATGAACCCTCGAGATAAGCAAGTGAGCCGCTTCTCCCCTCTAAAGGATGTTTACACGTGGGTGGCACTCGCTGGAATCCAGCGCTCGGGCAGCCCTGGGAGGACGCGCTCAGCTGCGAGGAGGTGACCGGCGGCGGCGCGGGCAGTCCGGAGGGGCGGGACGGGGCGGGGCAAGGCGGGGGCCGGGCCGGAGGAGGCGGGCTCCCGGGATCCGCGGTGTCCGGCAGTAGAGCTCGCTGCAGATCCGGGCTCTGACCATGATTTGGCGCCGCGCGGCGCTGGCGGGGACGCGGCTGGTTTGGAGCAGGAGCGGCTCGGCAGGCTGGCTTGACAGGGCGGCGGGAGCTGCGGGAGCTGCGGCAGCTGCGGCCTCTGGGTACGGGGTCAGCGGGCAGGAGTGCCGCGGCGTGGTGCGCAGGCCTTGCGGGGGTCTGGAGAAAGCGGTGGGCGGAGGTGCCCCTTTGCCCCGGCGCCGGGTGGGCGAGGCGTACTAGCGCGTGGGCTCTGAGTCATAACACGCAGAGGCGCTCGAGGGATGGGCAGGGAAGGGTGCCCTCCGCGGCTGTGCTGACTTCAGGAGCCTGTGACTCTCGCGTTGAAAATACTTCACTCATGTTCACTTAGGCCATCCCTCTGTGAATTGCTACATAAAATACAAGACGCCGCAATCAATTGGAATTTCTCTGAAAGAGCGAATGATTCTTAGTCCAAGTGTGTCCCAAATACTGCAGTGGACATAGGAAAAACGGAACAGTTTTCTGGTGTTTGGTTACAATTCTAATTTGACCGGGCGTCCTGCATTCTTGTTTGCTAAACTTAGCCACCCTACTGCAGGAAGTGAAGGCGATGATTCCCGCTGAATGGCCAGAGCTTTTAGGATAGAGGCTGACTGATGGTGATGCCGCCTGCGGCTAGACCGAGGATAGTGCTTTCCTTACACTTCCTCGTTTGGAATATCAGCGGCTTCGGGACCTGCAGTGGAAGGGAACTGCGGCTGTGCTGCCCACGCCCGCGCGGCTGGTGCCTGGCGGTCCTGCCGGCTCGCACTTCCGCGCCTGCCACTGCGCACTTGGCCGGAGAGTCTGTCTCGCTATCTACTTGATCTGGGAGCTTCTATCAGTTTTGCAAGATTCTAGGAATCTCAAGTTTAACTTTCCAGACCAAGCTAGAGACCCCTCCTGAAGGGCTAATCACAGGCTGTTAAGTGTTTGACAGCTCTTTGAGGCCCCGCCGTGTTTTTTTCTGCGTATCCCTGGGGTCAATATAGCACTTTGCCTACTTAGCACACAGTAGGCGCTCCATAAATGTGGCATGACTAGGTGCTTCATCTGTGTTGAAATGAAATGTTTATTGTGCACTTACTTCCTCCGTGCATGTTTCTATTCATAGTTCGCGACAGTTTTTACCAAGGTCAACTAGAAATTGAAGGGAAAGGGTGTCTTCCAGAAACTTTTATTTGGGTAATATTTCAGAATGCACCTCCTACCTCCTCTCACTACCCAAGAAAACATTCTCTTGTGTTCTATTGGAGCTCCTTCAGTAGTAAATGCTGTAGTAGATGGTTTGGGTATGACAGTTTAAGTGCTGGACCTGAGATGAAAGGACTTGCTTTCTTAGTTGATAAACCAAATACAGCTTGCTGATTTATTCCACCAATGCTCTTCCTTAGGGCTAGGCCAGTGCTGCCTAACCTTTTCTGGTTTAGGCTTCAGGAACTCAACTTTCTTTTATCTTAAAGCTTCACCCTCCTCTCAGGTTGGCTGCAGTCTCCCTAGCTCGCTACCCTTAACTCCTTCCTGAGTTAAGCGCACAGGACTTTTTTTTTTGTTTTAAAGTGTTCCTTGCTAATACTATTAGGAAGCAAGGAATAATAGATTGTAAACATTGGGTAGGTTATAATGTTATAATGTTTAATTCCTGTCTCTTACTCTTCTTTGTTATAACTGAACAAACTGATGTTTGCTGTAGCTTCCTCACTCTAGGTGAGCTGATATCATAATCGTTCCCCCTTATCCGTGGTGGACACGTTCCAAGACCCTCGGTGGATGCCTAAAACCTCGGATAGTACTGAACCCTATACATGCTATTTTCCTATACATACTTGCCTATGATAAAGTTTAATTTATAAATTAGGCAGAGTAAGAGATTAACAACAATAATAAAAGAACAATCACTTTAATAACAAAATGCTCATTTCAAGGAATCCCTTGCTGAATCTTCTCATAGGCCCAGTGCTTTTTGGCATAACACATTGCTGTCAGTTGGAACACTTTTTCTGTTCTTGTCTCCACAAATTTAATACCTTTTCTGGCTTAACTAAGCACTTATACCTTGTGGCTGTAACTTGCAGTTTGAGGTGTGACATCAAAACTGCCATGAATTTTTTACTTCTTTACAACTGCACTGATAGAAGATCCGTTCTTACCATAGACCTTAGCAACCTCAGCGTGTGATTTTTTTTTTCCTATTAGGTGGAGAACTTTCACCGTTTCACTTAAAGGAAGCACTTTAGGGCTTCTCTTTGACGTACCTGAATTGCCAGCATCACTACTCTAGTGGTTTGGAGCCATTATTATTATTATTATTTAAGACGGAGTTTCACTCTTGTTGGAGCCATTATTAAGTAAAATAAGGGTTACTTGAACACAAGCATCACCACACTGTGACAGTCGATCTGGTCACCAAGACAGCTGTTGACTAAAGCGTGGGGAGCTTATACAGAGTCCATATGCTGGACAAAGGGAGGATTCATACCCTGGGTAGGAGGAAGCTAGATGGCTCAAGATTTCATCATGCTACTTAAAACTTACGAACTATTTTCTTCTGAAATTTTCCATGTAATGTTTTTGGACCACAGCTGACCTTGGATAACTGAAACCGTGGATAAAGGGGGACTACTGTGTAGGGCAGATGTTCATTATCCAAGGATAAGATGTACTGGAAAAAGCTATTAGAGTGGATTCACTTAAAATAAGACTAGTATTTCAGGCCAGGCGCGGTGGCTTACACCTGTAATCCCAGCACTTTGGGAGGCCGAGGTAGGTTGATCATATGAGGTCAGGAGTTCGAGACCAGCATGGTCAACATGGTGAAACCCCATCTCTACTAAAAATACAAAAAATTAGCCAGGTGTGGTGGTACATACCTGTAGTGTCAGTGACTCGGGAGTCTGAGGCAGGAGAATTGTTTGAACCTGGGAAGCGGAGATTGCAGTGAGCCAAGATCACGCCACTGCACTCCAGGCTCGGTGACAGAGCAAGACTCCATCTCAAAAAGAAGACTAATATTTCATGCTATCCAGTTTAAAAAATTCTGCTTGGGACTATTGCAAAAATTAAACAAAACATAAAAAGTAGCTTTATGTTTACATTTAAGAACATTTAAATTTTAAATGCACCCCCAATGAATGAATACAGTATTGATTTGAAGGCAGAATATTTGAGTTTTATAACATAATCACAAGGATAATAGTTTTTTAAATATTTGAAGTTTCAAAAATTCTCTTATTCTTTAGATATTCGAGTAATTCTCTTTTGAAACATCTATTATATGTCATAATCCTCTTGTAAGATTTGTAATTTTACTCTGCAGTTAGTTTGCATCATGGTGTTTGATATTGTTCCAACAGTGCGGTAGGGCCTGGTTGACCAAGAAAGATGAGTGGATGGGGAAGAAAAGGTTCCAGGGATAAAAAGATTTGATGATGATAAACTGGTTGAGTTTTTTTTTTTAGTGATAATTTTCCTGACAATGAATGCTTCCTTTTACAAGCTCCCAATAGCTAGGTTTTGGATAATAAATACTGAGATAATGAGAGGTCCTGTATTCAGGAACTAATAGTAGTAATGTTAAACATTATTGAGCATTTACTATGTGGAAGGCACTTATCTGCTTTCTGCGTATGAATTCATTTAATCTTCACAAAATCCTTTGAGACGTGCCAGTGATTATTGTTTCCACTTTGCAGACTAGGAAATTTGGAGCTATGGCCCATTGCGGTTGAGATACTGTAGCTTCCTCAAAAATCTTTGAAGATTCCCTGCTTCACAGTGTGTTCATAGAGTTTTGGCATGTTTTACTAAGAAAATAGAAACTATATTTTTAAACCAATGGTCAGGTCATATGGCATAGGATGGAATATTTGAAATTTGCCAGTTATAAATAAGAGTGTGTCAAGCTTTAAACACAGTAAATATGATTTTATCAAATAATTAAGGGTGTTGGGAAGCTAGTTACATAAGCACACAGGCCTTTTTGGTTTTAGTGAAACAAATACTTTGTATATTGACATTTTGTACTGATAATAAGTAAAATTTTTTTCTATTTTGTAAGTTTGGCTATATTTGTTTATGAGATTGATTTTTTTCAAATAAAACTCGTGATAAATTATCCTTAATGCTTAATAAACTACATTGTTCTCTTAAATTCCTTTTAGGATGGAGAGCAATACATCATCATCTTTGGAGAATTTAGCGACGGCGCCTGTGAACCAGATCCAAGTGAGTGATGTGGGAGATGATTGAAAAACTTTCCTCTGTAGAAAAAGAATTGTCCCTTATATATTTAATATGCTTATTCAATATCCAAACTTGAGATAGTTTAGCAAATGAATTAAGAGATTAATATTTATTTTAAAATCTGCTATGAAAATCATCCTTGTGACTAAGAAGTCCTAGATCATTTTGGTAATTAAAACGTATGAGATTTATTCTTAATGAAGTCTTCACTCCCTCTAAGTTGGATAATGAGGTTGGCTGCTCCTTTTCATCATACCCACTTGAGGTCTAGTGTTGATACCAGTCAAGCTGCCCTTAGCTAGGGATCCTATTTGATTTTGGCCTGGGAAGCAGTTTAACAGTTTTCTTTGTTAGTACAGAACCTAGTGTGCAGTAGTTACTCCGTAAACCATCCTCTCAGGGATAGGACTTCTTTTCCTCTTTCTTTTACTGAGAAGCTTCGTTAATTCTGCCTTAGAAAATCTCTCTTACATGTATGTTTTTCTTCCCTTGCAACCTACAAGACATACCATTTTTTCTCTCTTGCTTACCACTCACTACTACCACAAACAAAAAAAATGTCTGCCTTTAGTTGATTTGGCTAAACTCCTAGCTGTTGACTATAACTGTGAGGGAATTGCTTTTTTATTTGTTTGTTTTGTTTTGTTTTGAGGCAGCGTCTCGCTCTGTTGCCCAGGCCAGAGTGCAGTGGTGCGATCTCAGCTCACTGCAACCTCTGCCTCCTGGGTTCAAGCAATTCTCCTGCCTCAGCCTCCCTAGTAGCTGGGATTACAGGCGTCCACCACCACACACAACTTATTTTTGTATTTTAGTAGAGATGGGGTTTCACCATGTTGGCCAGGCTGGTCTTGAACTCCTGATTTCAAGCAATCTACCTGCCTCGGCCTCCCAAAGTGCTGGGATTACAAGCATGAGCCACCGTGCCTGGCCTGAATTGCCTCTTTTAAAGTAAAAATACAACATCATGGGATATACAGTTAAGGGCGAGCTTGAGAAGTGGGAAGAGAGTTCTAGAAACCCTAACGCTGTCATCTTTAGTTTCAGCTCACTTTGGAATCTCTTCATCAGTGTCTAATATATGTCAGAGCCCTGGAAGCTCATCTCTCCCTACACGATGGTGTTAGTGTGTCTTGTAACCTGAGGCAGCATGGTGGAGGGAAGAGCACTGGCTTTGGTGTTGTGACAAGGTTGAGTCAAATCCCAGTATTACGAACCACTCAGCCTTAGTTTTGTCCTCCGTAAGATGGATTCATTAATACATCTCTGGTATGGCAGGCCCTCCCTAGGATGGACTTTTATACTAAATATTACTAGTAAACACAAGGGAATCATAAAAATAGACCAACTTGCAGACAGCTGGGCTAAAACTCAGGACCCTTCTGACACCCAAGGGTGGGTATAACTTCTGAAGCATGGGTCTTATACTTTCTGGTTTTTGGCCTTCATCTTGAAGGTACTGCTTATGATCCACCACAAAAGAACAGACTAGACAGGCTGGGCACAGTGGCTCATGTCTTAATCCCAGCACTTTGGAAGGCCGAGGCAGGTAGATTGCTTGAGCCTAGGAGTTCAACACCAGCTTGGGCAACATGGCGAAACCCTGTCTCTACAAAAAATATCGAGGTGTGGTGACACATGTCTGTAGTCCCAGACACTTGGCAGGCTGAGGTGGGAGAATCACCTGAGCTCAGGAGGTTAAGGCTGCAGTGAGCTGAGATCGCACCCTTGTACTCCAGCCTGGACGACAGAGTAAGACTGTCTCAAACAAAAACAAAACAAAACAAAAAAAAACCTAGACAAATGTCTGGGTGCTAAATCTATCCATTCAAAATCTTTTGAAGGTCCCAGGCATTCATATGTTTAGAAACAAAAAACAAAAAGAAAAACTTCATAGGCTGCGTGGATGCATAGCAGAATCTCATAGCCATTGTGGTAAAGGCCTGGAAGGTAGTTTTCAAACCAGGCTGATATCATCATTATATGGAGAGGTTTTTTAAACATACAGTTTTCAACTTCTACCTCAAACTCATTGAATCAGCATTTCTGGAAGTAGCTTTTCCTGAATTAAGAGTATGAGAATACCTTATCAAGAGAGTAATGACAGCTTTTGTACTATAAAGGTATATAGGAAAGGATAGAAGTAGAGGGGTAAGCCTTACATTTTAAGAAGAAATCATATACCATTCCTTACCATTGAAAGTTATAGAATAGAAGGTAAGGAGTTAACTCCTGAATACCTACTGAATATTTGAAAAGAAGTATAATGTTTTGGGGCTGGGCGCGGTGGCTCACACCTGTAATCCCAGCACTTTGGGAGGCTGAGGCGGGTGGATCACCTGAGGTCAGGAGTTTGAGACGAGCCTGGCCAACATGGTGAAACCCCGTCTCTACTAAAAAACAAAAATTAACTGGCCGTGGTGGCAGGTGCCTATAATCCTAACTACTCGGGAGGCTGAGGCATGAGAATCGCTTGAACCTGGGAGGCGCAGGTTGCTGAGATCCCACCACTGCACTCCAGCCTGGGGGACACAGTGAGACTTTGTCTCAAAAAAAAGAAATGTACAATGTTTTGGTTTTTTTGTTTGTTTGTTTGTTTGTTTTGAGACAGAGTCCACTTACTGTGTTCCTCAGGCTGGAGAATCACTGGAACCACCTCCCTGGTTCAAGTGATTCTCCTGCCTCAGCCTTCTGAGTAGCTGGGATTACAGGGATGTGCCACCATGCCTGGCAACTTTTGTGTTTTTAGTAGAGATGGAGTTTCACCATTTTGGCCAGGCTGGTCTCGAACTCCTTACCTCAAGTGATCTGCCTGCTTCAGCCTCCCACAGTGCTGGGATTACAGGTATGAGCCACTGTACCCGGCTGAAAAAGGAGTATAATGGAGATTAAATATCTGGACTGTAGAGCCAGATTTGCCTGGGTCTAATCCCAGCTCTTCCACCTATTAGCTGAGAACCATGAACAAATTGTTGATCTTCCTCTGCACCTCACTTTCCTCAACTGTGAAGTGGGGACAATAATAGGACCTACCTCAGGATTGTAGTGAGGTTTAAATAACACAGTGAAGATAAATTGTTGAGAATAGTACCTGGCACACAGAAATGGTTGCTGTATATGAATTGGCTACAATTATTATTTATTGTTATTGCTCTATGCCAGGCACTTTTTGTTATATCTTTTTTCTAATAACATTGCTTTGAAATGAAAAATATCCTCAATCTGCAGATGAGAAAAAATAGATGATGCTTAGTTTGAGCCCAGAATCATGAGAGACCAAAATCCATACCCTTTCCATTATATCTTAATTTATTTCCAAATGGTAATGTCTAGAATTAAAATGATTTTTTGTGGTTTTATTTCAGGAAACAATTTCTGATAATTGTGTGGTGATTTTCTCAAAAACATCCTGTTCTTACTGTACAATGGCAAAAAAGCTTTTCCATGACATGAATGTTAACTATAAAGTGGTGGAACTGGACCTGCTTGAATATGGAAACCAGTTCCAAGATGCTCTTTACAAAATGACTGGTGAAAGAACTGTGAGTATATCCTCTGTGGTGCTGTTCCTCTTTAATAGGTTGTAAACTAGATCACCCAGAGCCTAGAACCTTGTGTTAGGAAAATGAGCCAGACATTCTCTGAGGATAGATAAAGCAGCTGCAGATCTAGGAACCAGATTCTTAGAATAGGAAACAGCAGAGTTGATTTATTTTATTTTTATTCTGTGTGTGTGTTTTGACTGGGGTTGATGAGTAGTGTTATTATGAGTGCTTGTCTATGGATCTTTGAGTTCCTCTTGGAGCTCTTGGCAAGATGAAAGTATTCTTCCTCCCTTTACCTGGGCAATACAGGGGTTGGTCTTCAATTACTTTTCTAATAGGAGTGCTTTAGTGCTCCATGTTTTTAGATTCTTGAAATTTGGATTTTTCCATAATATGCATAATCAGAAAAATGTACAGTGTTGCCACTTTCAAGTTTATTGAAAGTTTATAGTGCACTCTTTCCCTTCAGTAAACAAATGTAAGAAATAACTAAATATTACTGTTTATCTGCTTTAGTTTATTTAAAGCTTTAGTAATCAGGAAGAAAGGTTTTAGAATCAGATTGTTTGGATTTGAATCCCAGTCTGTCATGTACCATCATTGTGATTTTGTGCAAGTTCCTGTGCCTCATTTTCCTCCAAAACAGGGCTAAAAATAATACCTACCTTAAAGGGTAAAGATTTTAAGATTTAATTTGTGAAAGAGCTTTGTGGTGCCAGGCTCATAAAAGTACCCAGAGTTCAAATGTCTCGTTATTATGTGAAATGATCTTAGTTCTGATACTAGAGTAAAGCCTAATTCTTCTTTTGTTTGTCCAACAGGTTCCAAGAATATTTGTCAATGGTACTTTTATTGGAGGTGCAACTGACACTCATAGGCTTCACAAAGAAGGAAAATTGCTCCCACTAGTTCATCAGTGTTATTTAAAAAAAAGTAAGAGGAAAGAATTTCAGTGATGTTTATACTAATAAGTTTGCTAGTACAGTGTCAGTTATTTAAAGTGGTAATGCCCGATAATGTCTTTTAAATGTTTGAGGATGTTTTAAATACATGCATTGTCTTCACGAAGAAGATGTAAAAATAATGAACAATAAATTGCGGTGGAAACCTCTTCTTCCCACTTGCCAATTCTTGAGAAAAAGGGATGGTATTAAAAAAATGAAAGGTTGGAGTTGTATCAAGATAAGAATGTATTTTATTAGGAATTTAGATATGAATTTTACAACCAAGAGCTAGAAGGTAAGCATTTGGAATTCTTTATTTCCTATTCAGGAGTTAACTCTTTATCTCACATAGTTTTTAAGTGGTAAGGACTGATATTTGATTTCTCTTTAAAATTTAAGGCTTTTGCTGATACACTTGTGAACTAGGCAGGAATATCTTATACGATATTGTGAAAAGCCTTCACACTTTGTACTTGTAGAGTAATAGAAGTATATTAAATTTTTAGCATGGAATGAAATTTATCTTAGAGAAACTAAATTACTCATTTAATGACTTAATAGTTCATTAAGTCATTAATGACTTAATAGTTCATTTGTCATTAAAACTATACCTATGGGCAGAAATTAAAAGGAGAAGATTTCGGCATTGTATGAGGATGAACTTTTGAAACAGTGTAGAAATGTACTTTAGTTGGCATGGGATGGTGGCTCACGCCTGTGATTCTAGCACTTAGAGAGGCCAAGGCGCAAGGATCACCTGAGCTCAGGTGTTGGAGATCAGCTTGGTCTACATAGCAAGACCCCCATATTTACAACAAATAAACAAAAATTAGCCTGGTGTGATGGCACATGCCTGGAGTCCTAGCTACTCAGGAGGCTGAGGCAGGAGGATCTCTTGAGCCCAGGAGTTTGAGGTTTTATATATATATATATATATAAATTTTGAGGTTTTTTATATATATATTTTTGGAAAGTAGAACTCTCCACCTCACAATTTAACTTGAGTACATTTCATATATATATACACACACATACACATTTTATATATTAAATGTACTTGAATTAGATTGTGAGGTGGAGAGTTCTGCTTTCCAGAATTTATGTGTATTTTATTTATTTATTTATTTTGAGACAGAGTCTTGCTTTGTCGCCCAGGCTAGAGTGCAGTGGCGCGATCTCGGCTCACTGCAAACTCCGCCTCCCGCGTTCAAGCAATTCTCCTGCCTCAGCATCCTGAGTAGCTGGGATCACATGTGCCCGCCACCGCACCTGGCTAATTTTTGTATTTTTTAGTAGAGACGGGGTTTCACCATCTTGGCCAGACTGGTCTCAAACTCCTGACCTCATGATCCACCTGCCTCGGCTTCCCAAAGTGCTGGGATTACAGGCATGAGCCACCGTGCCCGGCCTTATGTGTATTGTAATACATATATATATATAAATTCTGGAAAGCAGAACTCTCCACCTCACAATTTAACTCAATTTCCAAGAGCCTTTGAACACTTAATGTGTTCAATACTGGGAATACTATTCAAACTGATTTCAATTCAGCTAAACTTAGCAAACAAGATTTATCCTATAGGAAGTCTTACTTTACAATGATTGAAGACGTTCAGTACTTCATTAATGAAATCGTCTTTCCAGCTTCCTATCAACAAGAATTTTTAAAGTGCCTACTATACAAAGCATTTTCCTAGTTGATCCCACAGAGTCACTTGGGGCAGATTACCAGATGCTGAGAAGAAAAAACCCTTCATCAGAGGTGGAGGAAAAATGGATTTCAAGAGTGCTTCTGGTTTTTGTCAGGATGGACCAGAGAATCTGGAACAGTCCTGAAGAAAATAGCTGGTGGCTTCCTTGGCCTTTTGCCATCAATGATGCTTCTTACTTGGATTTAAACTGCCATTAGGAAACCTCTTGATCAAGAATTTAGACAAGAATTTCATTCCCATGTGATAATTTAGGTTATAACACTAGAATGGAACAAAGAGTAGAATGTCTTTAGTTCTTTATTTTGCATTATGTCATAAGAAAGTTCTTGCTATGTTGTAAAATCGTTGTTAGATTCAGGCTTTTGGGGATTCTGAAAACACATTTTGTTAGAGTTGAAGTCTATTACCTGAGAAAGGTAAAATTGTGTCATAATTGTTCATCATACTAGGTATTAAGGGTAGAGACAAGTTACTTCAAGGTATAGAAACACTGACCAGTACTCGACTGTGAAAAACATCTTTACCTTTAGCATTTTTTTTTTGAAACAGTCTCGCTCCGTTGCTCAGACTGGGGGGCAATGGCGCAATCTCAGCTCACTGCAACTTCCACTTCCTGGGTACAAGCGATTCTCAATCCTCAGCCTCCTGAGAGTAGCTGGGACTACAGGCGAGCACCACCACACTTCGCTAATTTTTTGTATTTTTAGTACAGCCAGGATTTCGCCACGTTGGCCAGGCTGGTCTCAAACTCCTGAGCTCAGGCGATCCGCCTGCCTTGGCCTCCCAAAGTGCTAGGATTACAGGCATGAGCCACTGCACCTGGCCTGTGAAGAAACATCTTTTATCAATGCTTCCTAGACTGGTAGGACATAGGGTGAGAGGCGAGTGGTGGTTCGTTCTTGATTATGTTCAGATCTTGAAAGAATTCAACATTAGGGAGAGAAGCCTTATCAAAAGCCTCAAAAACTCTACTGAAGGTAATATGATACCTGATTCTCACTATGGCTTTATTTAAAATAGAAGAAATAAACCCTTCTAATATCTGCATCTTAGTCTTCTGAATTAAACTCATTGACTAATAAAAGATTTTTACTTTGGAGGGTTTAGCACTGCATCAAAAAGGAAGCAGATCTCTCCTATTTGTTAAACGCTAAGGAATGAAAGAAAATAACAATAAATCTGACCTCTTTTTGTCATATGGCACATTAAATATCTTTGAAAAAAACCCCAAAACAATAATAACAAAAGCTTGCCGCTCTAAAACGTTTAAAATATCGGACACAATAATAAATTTTTAAAAATGCAAGGCTAAGCAGGTTTTAAAAAGTATAGGGACTCTCCAAGAGGAAAACAAAACCAGGAGCAGAATCCAAGGATATAGGGAAGCACTGAAGCCAGCAGCTCCCTTACTGACAGTGCCAATCGTGGAATGCCAACAGCTTTAGTTTTAACTGTATGCAAGGGGCTGGTTACAAAGCTGGGGGTTAAGGGAGAAAGATTTAGATAGGAGACCACAGCATACCACCACTAAATCTTCAGTTAAAAAAATTCGTAATATACTTTCAGAGCATAGCTGATGATTTGCCAAGACAGACAAGCGTTCAGATCACTAAAGGTGTAACCATTAGGTAGGTGACTTAACCTCCCAGAACTTCAAGTTTCTTATAAAATGTAGGTAATAGTACTTTCCTTTAGGATTTACTTTTTGAGGAATGGAGATAATACATGTAAATCTTTCAGAGTGGTTTTTAATAGACAATACATAATGGCTATCATTAATCACAATGGTTCAGGTATGTGTGTTTTCTTGTGGACCCATCAGGGTTTTCCAAGATTCCTGCCTGTACCCAGCCAAGAATTTAGGGGGCAGGGGAAGCCTCTGGGGTTTCGTGTTGTCTTGGATATTGATTTCCATTTCTTCTCCCTTTCCATACCTTACAGCTGGATAAAAGTAAGATAATGGTGACTAAGAAAAACTTGTAATTTTTTTCCTCAGTCCTTATTTTTACATTTTTTATTTACATTTTTTTTTTTTTTTTTGAGACAGGGTCTCCCTCTGTAGCCCAGGATGGAGAACAGTGGCTCTATCATGGCTCACTGCAGCCTCAAACTCCTGGGCTGAAGTGATCCTCCTACCGTAGCCTTCTGAATAGCTAGGGCTACAGGCACATGCCACCATGCTCAACTAATTCTTTTTAGTTTTTTGTAAATATGGGGGTCTTACTGTGTTGCCCAGCAAGATCCCCATAGTTACAACTTTTTAGTTTTGAACTCCTAGGCTCAAGCAGTCCTCCTCCTTTGGCCTCCTGAAGTGCTATGATTACAGGTGTAAGCCACAATGCCCGGCCCTTTATTTTAAGATCTGAAATACGAGCTGTTTACTGGAGTTCATTAATATAAAAAACTAGGCCATTTTTCACTTTATCATTAGATAATCAATTTACATTTTAATTGCCAAAATATCTGTAATTGAAAAGCTGTTGAAGAAAAAAAGGGATCTTCTGTACCTGGATTTTACTGTTTACTGATAAAAAATTACCATTTGAACAACATCTTTTAAAGTCAGGTTTTCTTCATAAGGTTTAATATTGTTAAAATTTATTAAATCTAGTATGTATAATTTGTGATCCTTCTTGTACAAGTGTTGAAATGAGTGCTGTAAAATCAACCAAATGTTTTGAAGTTTTGGTGAATATATTCTGATGTAACTTGCTTTCAGTTACCCACAGTTCAGATCTTAGAACTTTTCAGAAAATTTTTATGGGAATTGAGAGAAAAATGTCTGCAAATTGGCACTGAAACAGTGTTTTTATTTGCATAGTTGACTTTTTGTGTTTGGATGATAACTTTTGCCAAAGGCAATTTTGAGTAGATCTTTTCACAAAAGAATCCTATTTTAAAACTTTAAATAATTTGTTTTCATTAAATCTAATCATTTTGTTATAATTGAATTCCATGGGTAAAGAATCTTTAACTTCATATACTTTTAATACTTACATAAAACTAGATACATTAAAAGGTCAATATTAATTATCAAAACTTAAATTTTACCTTGTTCAAATACAAGATTACTAAAGGCTTTAGATTTTTTAAGGCATATTATAACCTTAACATTCGTATTTCTTGAAAGAGATAGACAGACACTTGTTTAATGTGCATAGAGTTTATTTGGTACATCTATCAATTTCTACAATAACTGACCAAAAACAGTTCACACAGTGTCCACCTGCACTCCATGTCTAAAATGATTTATTTAGTAGGGTATTTTGCAAGGCTAGAAAGGAGAGAAAGGATTTCACAGTATCAGTGAAAACTGTTTTATCATGAAACAAATGTAATACATTAATATATTCATTCATTCTCTATTAGAAAACAGCAAAATTACATTGTTAGTTGTATTATTTACAGTGAAAACTTGGAAGACTTGACAAAGCATCAGTTAGTTTATCAACAGACCTAGGAAGCTCCCTGTCCCCTCCTTTCAGGGTCCTTTCCTTGGAAATGAAATAAACTTAAATCAGATTTTACATAACTTTAAGCACCAGCTTGACAATTTAAAGTTTTATTTCAGTTTTATAAAATACTCCTGCTTTGAAAGGCAAAGTGAATGTAAAAATGTGAATGTAATTAAACAAGTCACTGGCCTGGAAACTTTTTATTGCAATAGTCTTTATGTTTTACTACTATATTCACTTCTTGGAATGAATTTGCTTGTAGGTTTGAAACAAAATATTTGCCTTTTGTCTTGAAAAATTCCCTTAAAAAATTAATTATTTTTGGAACTGTACAACTACATTTTCATTCGATGTTAAATATGCAACTTGGTCCTTGGATATCATGTTACAAAGTCCAACCTGTTGGATAACTTGTTATAGAAAACAATAAAAAACCTTAAACTATCATAAAATATTACTGATGTTAACAGTCATGTATGTATAACACATCACTGTATCTAGATTTTCCTGTTATTGGATGTTTAAATTACCAATGTACAATCAGGTTTTAAAATGTAATACTTAAATTTCCATTCACTATGTAAAATTAAAAGCTCTAAAAGACCCTTTGAGTTCTGTATTTCAGAAACATTAGAACACTATTAAGGCATTATTTAAACAGACCCCAAGGAAAGTAACTAGTATGCCTGAATTACAGAGCAAGTAGTATTTTAAGGCAGTCAAAAGGTTCATTTTTTCACTTTAAGGCTCTTGAATACTTAAGTTTATTCTATGTAGACATTATTCTGTGTAATTTAAATATTCATCAAATGGTCAGTTATTGAAATCAAAGCCTTTATATAAAGCAAATGGACAGTTTAGAACTAGATTATAATACCCCACTCCCCACTGGTTTTTATAAAAGATGATTCTTATATCTCATCCCTTTGGAAAATTTCATTATCAGAAGCTGGCAATAAAAGGAAAAACATATAACTGAAATACATTACAGAAGTTATGCCCAGTCACGCCATACCAGATATAGAGAGTCCATATTCAGAGTAACAGTGCAACAAAAACACTTTGAGTACTATTCATTAATTGTATATTTTAAATCTAATTTGGCTACGTATGGATTATATATAGTTTACGTTACAAATAAAGCCAAGTTTCAATATGTTTGTTGATATAATATTCCCTCAATTATATCTGGTAATGATATTTAAAACAGCAGGGTTTTAATTTCATTTACTGTCTTTATCCACATATCCATATCCACATCGAAGTGAAACCAGCAGACATATAGCTAATTTACTATTTCCTTTGTTCAAGCATATATTCTGATATCTAAAAGTGCATAAATTTAAACAACTTAAGATGAAAAGTTGGCCAGGTGCGGTGGCTCACGCCTGTAATCCTAGCACTTTGGAAGGCCGAGGCGGACAGATCACGAGGTCACGAGATCGAGGCCAGCCTGACCAACATGGTGAAACCCCGTCTCTACTAAAAATACAAAAATTAGGTGGGCGTGGTGGCGCGTGCCTGTAATCCCAGCTACTTGGGAGGCTGAGGCAGGAGAATTGCTTGAACCTGGGAAATGGAGGTTGCAGTGAGCTGAGATCGCGCCACCGCACTCCAGCCTGGTGACGGAGTGAGACTCTGTCTCAAAAAAAAAAAAAAAAAGAAAAGTTAAATATCATTTATGTTCATAAAATTAATGTGGTGCATGGCAGGGCTAAATAAAACAGAAGCAAAGGGAAAAATCTTTTTAGGATGAGAAGGTTAGCTTTTGTATATTTTTGTTGTATATATAAATTCATTCTCACTGAAAATAATCATCGTAATTTCCACAATAGAATTTTCTAAGATGTTCTCCACTAGTTTTTTCTTTCCACTATTTTCCAATATAACTTGGTATTTTCAGGGTTTAAGGAATTGTGCCATTTATTATAATTTTATTCAAACAGTATGCTTAACTACATTATTAGTTTTATACATGAAAAATACTACCTTAGAATTAAATTTTAACTTCATAATTTTCAAAAAAGCAAATTAAAAAATGCACCAATTAAAAAAAAGCCAAATGTGAGTAAGTTATCTACAAGACTTTTTATGCCACAAGCAACGTATCTCTATATATGCTCAGTGAAATATTTAGTAAACCAAAGATTTTGACAATGGTCTTTATAATTATGGAAAAAAAGCATTGAGACACCTGCT
Source organism: Homo sapiens (assembly GCF_000001405.40). Classification (NCBI taxonomy): domain Eukaryota; kingdom Metazoa; phylum Chordata; class Mammalia; order Primates; family Hominidae; genus Homo; species Homo sapiens. The sequence goes on along the minus strand of NC_000001.11, from coordinate 193,089,270 downwards.
ATTTTCTGAAAGAGTAATCAGTTAATTATTTTTCTAAGAGTGCTTATATAGTAAGCACTTATCTTTTCAACATAGCTAGATAACATAATTACAAAGGCTGAATAACTGATCTTAAAGGCCACAGAATTTCTGCAAACATCTAATATAAAAGATATACAATATAATTTGATTTGGGGAGGAGTGTATCAATCTACTTATTGTTCCAAGAAGCCTGCCTATTACTAAGTTGAAAAAGAAAATATGATCTTATACTTGTATGAAACAAAAAGCAATCTGCAAAAGGTTCATCCCAAACCTCTATGTGGGTGACTTTCCTGTCATTCATTTTATTATCCAGATAGAGAAGGACTAGAAAAAGAAACAACAGAAATGTAAGAAAGGAATTTTAAAAGAAAAAAAAGAGGTAGAAAAGTAATCTTCCAACAAATAAGAGATGAGGAAACAGACATCAAGGAAACACTAAATAAAATCCAAACAGTAAATACAACTAATTTCATTGATTAACCTGTCATTTTTTTTTACAAATTCTTTCTTGTGCATGTTTACACTGATGCCATATGACATTTCTCCAGAGGGGATAGTGCCTTAACAATCACCCCAAACCTGCAGTATATAAGACTAGAATTTTTCATTTTTGATTACCTACTGTAATAGCATCAGTTACCAAGAAATTTGTTATTTGTGGCTACAACAGGTCAAGTTAAAGTAAGTCCAACAAAACATTACAATGATTTAGGCTTTAGTTATTTAGGTGTAGCTTTACTATGCTTTTAAAGGTGTTTCTCACTTAATTGTGAGACCTTCAGATTTATTCAAGAATCCTACCTTATCTTTCCAAAATAATTTCACATTGTTTCTGTAAAATCTAGAAAATAAGAAAAAAAAAATCCCTGATGAAAATAGTACTTTACTATTTGTAGATTTACTGGTTACTTTAAAAGATTAAGAGAATGTTTGCTGGCTGGGTGCAGTGGCTCATGCCTCTAATTCCAGCACTTCGGGAGGCCAAGGCAGGAAGATCCCTTGAGCCCAGGAGTTTGACACCAGCCTGGGCAACACAGTGAGACGTTGTCTCTTAAAAAAAAAAAAAAAAAAAAAAAAAAAAAAAGCAGGCGTGGTAGTGCAGTGCACACCAGTGTTCCTGGCTACTTGGGAAGATCACTTGAACTTGGGAGGTCAAGGCTGCAGTGAGCTGTGATCATGCCACTCCAGCCTGGGTGACAGAGGGATAGCCTGTCTCAAAAAAAAAAGTTTGTTAACAGCATTTCCTCAGAGTATAAGCTTGTTTTTCTAGGTCTGTCCAAGAAGATCTTGGAGTATATTTTTTCTCCCTCTTCAGTAGAGAATAGTGACTTTTTGGGTAATACTTTAGCTGTGAAAATTTTTCTTCTAAATTTTTCTACTCTGAACAGGAATGTTTTAAAACACTGTTAGGCCTATTGAGTGAGCTATTTTTCTAAAACATTTTATCTTTTGAAATACGTATCTTATTAACAAGAATGTTTTTAACCAAAAAAAAAAAGAATTCTAACTTGTATTGCAAGCCCTCTTCCCAGTTTCAATTTTTATACAAATATTAAATCACTGATTCTTCTATGATCCAAGCACAGATATGTTACTTTTTAAGGATAAAAATAATCAAATCACTTAGGTTAAACTGGTTGTCTACAGTCACACAGTAAGTTAGATAAAGCAAAGGAGGTGTCAAAGGGTAACACTAAATTCCATTCACTAGCATCTTGCCTCACTAACACTCTCATAAGATAGATTACTAAATAATATAAGTATTAATAAATGGAATTTCCAAGAACTTTCAACTAATAAAGGGTGGGATTATAAGATTAGTTTTTGTTTTACTAATTACAACTATATCCTGGAACTATTTACATACTACCTAGGAAATAAAGTTTGTTTATTCTTGCAGGATTGTTTTTAAAAGCAGTATTTTCCCAAATATTAATTTAACAGTAATCCTAAAAGTAACTCAGGAAATAAAAAACTTATCACTTCAGTACATTTTATTCATAATGAGGTAAAGTTTTTGTTTTTTCTCTATATATGTAGATATATATAGCAACACAGGTTAATTGTGCTTGAGGATTCCTATGAATTACAAGATTATACATGTTCCCATTCTATTTTTCTACTCCTAAAGCAATCGTATATACATTATTTCCTAATAACTCAATAAGGTAAAAGTCTTAAATAATTTTATTTTATCCTCTACTCTTCTGAGACCATGTATTCCCATGTTGTGGGGAAATAAATTCTGGCACAGGAATGAAGAGACCAAGATTTCTAGGTTATAGTACTTCAAAATCACACTCTGTCTTGGACCTCAGCTCTCTAACAAAAATTTAAAAAATTAGCTTTTAGGTTTCTAAGGTTTCTTCCAGCTCAAATATGCCATGATTTGAAAAGTTACCTTCTGTGGTAGCTTCTCCTACTTATCCTTTCTTTCTTAAATGTTACCCTAGTCCATTTAATTAGACCTACCTAAATACTTCAGAAAGGTCATATCCATCCAATCTTGTATCCTTGATGGATTTAATATTAACTTATAGATATATTTGTCTAAAAGTATTATGGAAATAGTACACAACTGAAGGTAATGCACTTTTGTACTATATTCTATTTAACATTTCTATTAGGAATAAAATGATCATGTTATAATTTTTAAGATCTTGGGTTTACTTAAACAATTCAATAACTATTACGTAATTCTATTAGTTTCTTTAAACTTTAAATTCAATCTGAACGTAATATTTTAATGTGTCAAAAGTAGCTAATATATTCAGTTCAATGCTTGACAGGGTTAAAAACGTGAACAACATCAGAAGCAATGCATGTCTGGAGTGGGGGTGAGGGTGCTATGAGCTTTGCTGAACAAAAATATCTCAGGTAAATCACACTTAAAAACTGATACCAGTTGCCTTGAAGGAATGGGTACATATCAAAACCAGCATTAATATGTCAAATAAATTTGAAAGGAATATTTTCTTATTCCCAGAGCCCAAATTTCACATAAAACAGAAGAAAATATGTACAGAAATCCTCAGACTACTAAAGTCCCCCTTTCCCAAAAAACATAAACCCTCTAACCCCCAAGCACCTAAAAGGCTATAATTTACATTAACTACAGTTTGACTTTTCACATAACAGCGAGAAGGACCTTACAAATCCTCAGTAAATCTTCAATTAATATTTAGAGAACAACAGATACGCAAACAGGTTTTATGTGTAAGCTACCTTAGACGGCCATAATAAAATTATGAGCAAAGATAATGGCATTTCAACAGATTGCTTTAATGTTAAACCTCACAATGAAGGATACTTGCTCAATAAAATAATGCACTTTAGTGTAATGAAAAGTTTAATACATACAAATAATACTGAAAAAAATTCCTAGTGACTGGCTAGCTGGTAATATGCTACTCAAAAATTGCCTTTCAAACCTAAAGGACCTAGATTGCTTTATTATTTGTTTACACTATCAAAGAAGAATATTTTGCCACAAAATGAATAATGGACAAAGAGGCCATTGACATGTATACTTTTAAAAATATTAACTAAAAAAATAGTTAAAAGTAAAAAATTTTATTTTAAAAGTAAGGAAAAAGCTAAACTGGTTATAGTTGAGATTTTAATTGTTATACTTTGTGAATGAGGGGGAGTTAAGCGCTTGAAACATTTTATATTATTTACACTTAAGAGTATGAAAAACAGTGTGAGACTACATCTGGCTATGTTATTATAATTCAGAGGAAATCATTATCAAGTCACACCCCTTGTAGCAATAAAATATAACAAAGCAAAAAAAAAAAAGCAAACCAAATAGAATCCCTCAGCCAACACAAACTTAGTCTATTCTTAGGGGTTGCCATGATGTTTCTGATTAATGGTAACATATTCCACAAGTGCAAATAAAACATCAGAAATAAAATATCTTTTTCACTGAATAAGAAAGCTGTTATTTGTGTGATCTTAGTAAAACTCTGAAAGGAATTTGTAAAACTCATTCATAATTTAATCAAATGCCTTAGTTTTTTTTTTTACCCCCTTGGTATAAAAGTTTACAGATGAGTTTCATATTTCATCACAGTTATATGGTCTAGTGCATTTCAGAGTATTTGGACATTATCAAAGCTGTCCTTTCCCAATGAAAACATTTAAGAAAACGTTAAGCACTTCTCAAGTAACATGATGTGGAATTACACTTTTTGCTCTTACCTCTTTTAGGTACACACGTATTATTCAACAAAGCAAAACTATTTTACAGTGTCTGTTAACAAAAAGTTCTCTATTAGATAGAGGAAACTACAGTATCCTGAAGCTATTTCCCCAAGAGCTAGTTTAGTAGATAGACCTTTGGGCCCATCTTATTTTTCCTTCTTTTTTTTTTTTCAGTAAGGTAACTTTCCATTATGCACATACTATACCATCATCATTCATTGGGTGGAGATTAGCTGGGAAGTAGCTGTATATTTTTAGTGAGATCACTGATGGCAATGGATCTCTGGATCGTGCTGCTGCTTATGGTTAAATCATATCTAATGTGAAATTTCGAATTACATCCAGAGCTCCAGTATCAAAGCCGCACATATCCAACATGCCTCTATCATCTGGGTCTGCAATGGTGAAACCATTTGATGTCATTCCACAAACAATCAATTTAGCTGGAATATCCATTTTCTGTAGAAAAAGACCAAAATACATATTAAAAACATAAATGTAAGGAAATGCAAAATACCTCCAAAATTAAAACACTTTAACATTTCTCTACCAGAGCTTTTTAAATACAAAGTCATTTTTTTGCGGGGGTCAATCTTTTAAGGCTAGAATATGGGAGTTTTAGAAGAAGGGACAATAAAATTGTATAAGAATCTGCCTGAAATTTCTACTTCTCTCTTCAATTACTTTACTTGTTCTATGGGCTGCAGTGTACATTATTGAGCAGCCTAGGCACTTTGTACTTATGAAACCTGTCAGGTTATTAAGGGTGCCAGATATTTTTATCAACATATCAAATGCTGGGGCAGTGTGTATGAGTATATATAAGGACATATCTCTGGGATGATCAACTTTTGGCTGATGACTTTGATATGTGCGATATACACATGTTCCACGTAAGAACTTGTCCTCTACAGCTAAATGTAAGATTAAAATAATTGAATTTTTGAGAAAAACCAACAATCACTGAATGTATACACATGAGAAACTACAATGCACTGTTTAAATAATACATCTACCGTAACTGTTAAAACAACTCTAAGAGGTAAGTAACTTACTATGATGTAGATCAGTTAAATAATTTGCTCAGGTCCACACAGAGTAAGAGAAAGACTCGGGACTCACAACCAAACAGTCTTTACTCTACATTCTATCCTGGTTGGGCAGTGCCTCATGGCTGTAATCTCAGTGCTTTGGGAGGCCAGAATTTCAAGTTACAGTAAGCTATGATAGCACCATTGCACTCCAGTGATGGAGACCCCATTTCTTAAAAAAACAAAACAAAACAAAACAAAACTATTCCCTTACCTGCAGCTTTCAAACTTAAGCCTGCATCAGAAATCCTCTGGAGGGCTTGTTAAAACACAGTCCCAACGTCAGAGTTTCTGATTCAGCAGGTCTCTGACGGGCCTCAGGAATTTGCATTTCTAATACGGTCGCAGGTGAGGCTAAGACTGCTGGTAGGGAAACCACACTTTGAGAACCACTACTCTTCATCAACAAGTTCTATTTCTACTTCTAGTCACACTAGCCATATTTTAAGTGCTCAAAAGTCCCATGTGATTAGTGGCAACCCACATTGGAGAGTGAAGATTTATGTCATTTCAGAAAGCTCAACTGGAGGATACTGATTAGAACACAGATATGTCCATAAAACATAGAGCATAGATTATAGCTTTAATTTTATGTAATCCTTTTGCAAAACTCACTAATACTTTCAATTTTTCAAGGAGCACACTGAATTATTAAAAAAAACTTACAGCTAAGGTAAAACAAATATTCTGATTATTACCAAAAATACTGTTTGCAAAGGATATTCTTAGTAATGTTTAGCAATGGAAACTGGTTAAAATAAATTTTATGTGTGTAATCAATACTTTTTCTTATTTTAAGTACTGCTGAGTCTATAACGGACACTGGCTCCTATATAAGATACAGAACTACTTGTAGTAACATTTTTTGAAACACATAAGTGAATAAGAATCAAGAATGGCCAGGTGTGGTGGCTGTAATCCCAGCACGTTGGGAAGCCAAGGCTGGAGAATCGCTTGAGCCTAGGAGTTTGAGACCAGCCTGGGCAACATGGTGAAACCCCATTCCTACAAAAAATTAGGTGGGCATGGTGGCACGCTCCTGTAGTTCCAGCTACTTGGGAGGCTGTGGTGGGAGAATCACTTAAGCCTGGGAGGTTGAGGTTGCAGTGAGCTATGACTGAGCCACTGCACTCCAGCCAGGGCAACAGAATGAGGTCCTGTCTCCAAAAAAAAAAAAAAAAAATCAAGTATTAAAATAATATTATTTGGGTGAGGAACCGTATTAGAATTTGTTTTACCTTTCGATACTCCCTCAGAGCAATAGCAGGATGGACACCTCCAGCAAAGGTCTCATTATCAGTGAATACAATGAAGACATCAGCAGGTGTGTTTGTCTTCTGAGCCCAGATCATTGGAAGAGAGCAATCAGTTCCACCTGCTGGGATCTAATTCGGAACAAAAGCATGAATAAATAAGTAAATAAATCCTTAAAAATACTAGTTTTTACAGTATCATTTTGTTTAGCACCAATATATACAGCCTTCCCAAAGCCTGCATATATATTTTCGGTTTTGTACTTGTCATGCAAAAATTAAGACAAAAAAAATTTTGTTCTCACAGATTAATACCATACATGACATCAATATAAAATCATTCTACACGTTATGTAAACTTAACTAAGTAAACTTAAAAAACACAGTTTCTTACCTGACTCATAGCCATTAAAACCTGTTGTAAGGTCATATCTGTAGTCACTGGACATGGTACCATTTCATCGGAAAAAGCAACTACATAAGAATCTTTTTCTGTTCGTGTGACAACCTGAAAAATTCAATGGCAGTAATTTTCAGCAAATTTGGGGGGAAATACAATATTTTGAATTTTATCCAACTTCATGTTTAAAAGAAACACTGATGTTTATTTCTTAACTTTTTATTAGTGTGTTTTAGAACTATACATTAACAGTAGTACAGCTTTCAAAGTACTTTCACAAAAAAACTGGCTATCATGACTATCCTTTGAAGCAAATACAGTAAATATTCTTCTCATTTCATTAGATAAGAAATAAAGCCCCAGTAAAGAAGCTAAAAAGTTTGCCTACTATTCATCTGTTTGTTATTCACTGACAGGATAGAACTAAAGTCTCTAGACACTCCTATTAGTTCCCAGATCTTTTAAGCTTCAAATCGTTAAATAATTTAAGCATTATTTTTAAAATAAATTTTTAAAAAATTTGTCTTTTTTTCATTTTATCTAAGCATTATCTACTTCCTAAAAAATCCATTAATATTTAATCTTTTGTTGTAAAAATTAAAATTTCTACTCTGCTTGTTCTTTAGACATACTTTTTCAACACACTTAACACTCTGGCTTTACACAATTATCTTTAAATATAAAATTAAAAATGTGACAAGCTGAAATGACAGAAAAAAGTGAAAACATAATTCTTAATCATTATTAATCTTATAGTTTTGCTCTACAGTAAACATGTTTTTAGAATGGCAAAATTGTCTTAGGTGTTCTCACCATGCACATTGCTGCAGCAACTGTACTAGCGTTGAGTATACTACCCAAAACTCTTTGGTTCATAGAAGCACTGACATCAACAGCTAGTAAGAAACGTTTTCCAGTTGGTTCAACTGTCTACAGAGAAAACAAAACAATCATTAAAAGCATAACAGAAATTATAAGTAGACTAAATTTCTAAATCATATTTACTTATCTTACATTAAAAAGACTGATAAAAGGCCTTCAGATTTTTGATATACCAATTGACAACTATTTAAAAATGCTCATCTGGCATAGCAGCTATGACTGAAAATTAAAAAAAAATAATAAAAATACTTAGCTTTTACAGGTAAAACAAAGGAAATAACCTATTCAATAATTTTAGTTAAATAAGTTACCATCCTATTTTTAAAATCTTTCCTCATTGAAGTAAAATGAGAATTTTTAGTAGGAAATTTTTATTGTGGTAAAATATAACATAAATTTGACCTTTTTAACCATTTTTAGATGTACAATTTGGTGGCATTAAGTACATTCGCAATGTTGTGTAACTATCACCTCTATCTATTTCAAGAACTTTTTCATCATCCCAAATAGAACTTGTACCAATTAGGTAGTAACTCCCCATTGCCATGTCTCTCCCTAGCCCCTGGCAACTTCTATTCCACTTTCTGTCTCTATAAATTTTCCTGCTGTAGATATCTCATATAATGGAATCATACAATACTTGTCCTTGTTTGTCTGGCTTATTTTACTTAGTATAATCTTTTCGAGATTTATCCATGGTGTAGCATGTATCAAATTTAATTCTTTTCTAAGGCTGAATAATATTCCATTATATATACCACATTTTGCTTATCCATCTGCTGATGAACATTTGGGTTGTTCATCAAAATCAGTTGTATTTCTATATACTAGCAATGAACAATTCAAAAAAGAAAACTAAGAAAACATTTGTTCACAATAGCATCAAAAATAAAAGACAAGAATACATTTAACTCTTGGCTATTGTGAATAATGCTACTGTGACTACTGGTATACAGATATCTGTTTGAATACCTGTTTACAATTCTTTTGGGTATATACCTAGAAATGGAATTGCTGGATGGTATGGTAATTCTACGTTTAACCTTTTGAGAACTGCCAAATTGTTTTCCACAGGGGCTACACCATTTTACCATTTTACATTCCCACCAGAAATACACTAGGGTTCCAATTTCTCCACATCTTCCCCAACTCTTGTTTTCTGCTTTTTTGATATTAGCTATCCAACTAGATGTGAAGTAGTTATTACACTGTCATCTTGATTTGCATTTCTCTGATTATTAATGATGTTGAGTATTTTTCATGTTTTTTTTTTGTTTTTTGAGACAGAGTTTCACTCTTGTTGCCCAGGGTGGAGTGCAACGGCACAATCTCAGCTCACTGTAACCTCCACCTCCTGGGTTCAAGAGATTCTCCTGCCTCAACCTCATGAGTAGCTGGGATTACAGGCGCCCGCCACCACACTCAGCTAATTTTTTTTTTTTTTTTTTTTAGAGACGGGGTATCACCATGTTGGCCAGGCTGGTCTCGAACTCCTGACCTCAGGTGATCAACCCTTATCGGCCTCCCAAAGTGCTGGGATTACAGGCGTGAGCCACTGCACCTGGCCCTTTTCATGTTTTTATTACTCATTTGTATATCATTAGAAAAATGTCTATTCAAGTACTTTGCCCATTTTTAAATTGGGTTTGTACTTTTGCTGAATTTGTAGTTTTCAGTATTCTGGATATTAGGCCCTTATCGGACATATGGTCTGCAAATATTTTCTCCCATTGTGTAGATTATCTTTTAACTGTCTTGATAGTATCCTTTAATATACAAAATGTTTAAGTTTGATGAAGTTCAATTTATTTTTTCTTTTGCTGCCTGTGTTTTTGGTGTTTTCTAGTTTTAGCTCTTAAATTTAGTCACTGATCCACTTTGAACTAATTCTTGTATTTGGTGTAAGATAATGGTCCAACTTCATTCTTTTGTATGTGGATATGCAGTTTTCCCAATACCATTTGTTGAAGATTGTCCTTTCCCCAGTGAATCATCTTGGCACCCTTATCAAAAGTCAACAGACATCCAGATGCAGTGGTTCACGCCTGTAATCCCAGCACTTTGGGAGGCCAAGGTGGGCGGATCACTTGAGGCAAGGAGTTCAAGAACAGACTGGCCAACACAGTGAAACCCTGTCCCTACTAAAAATGGAATAAATTAGTTGAGTGTGGTGGCGCATGCCTGTAATCCCAGCTACTTGGGAGGCTGAGGCATAAGAATCACTTGAACCCAGGAGGCGGAGGTTGCAGTGAGCTGATATTGCACCACTGCACTCCAAACTGGGTGGCACAGTGAGACTCTGTCTCAAAAAAAAAAAAAAAAAAAAAAAAGTCAACTGAACATATATGCAAGGTTTTATCTCTGGACTTTCTATTTCATTGGTCTATATGTTTATTCTTTTGCCAGTGCCACACTGTTTTGATTACTGCAGCTTTGTAGTAACTGAAAGAGTTACTGAAGAGTCCTCCAGGTTTGTTCTTTTTTTAAAGATTGTTTTGGCTATTTGGGGTCACTTGAAATTTCTTAGGAATTTTAGAATGGGTTTTTCTATCTCTGTAAAACATGCCATTGGGATTTTGAAAGGGACTGCATTCAATCTGTAGATTGGCTGCTTTGGATAGTATTGTCATCTTAACAATATTAAGTCTTCCAATCTGTAAACACAGATGTGTTTCTATTTATTCATGACTTAATTTCTTTTAGCAATGTTTTGTAGTTCTCAGTGTATAAGTCTTACAGCTTCTTAAATTTACTCCTGTCTTTTATTTTTTGATGATCTTGTAAATGGAAATGTTTTCTTAATTTCTTTTTTTGGATTGTTCATTGCTAGTATATAGAAATACAACTGATTTTTATGTGTTGGTTTTATACCCTGTAACTTTGCTGAATTCATTTGTTAACTTTAGGGTTTTCTAAATACAAGATCATGGCATCTGAGGATAATTTTACTTCTTTCTTTCCAATTGCAATGTCTTTCATTATTTCATTTTCTTGCCTTATTACTACAACTTCCAATACTATGTGGAATTAAAGTGGAAAAACTGGGCATCCTTGTCTTTTTCTTGATTTTAGGGGAAAATCTTACAATCACTCACCATTATGACATTAGCTATGGGGTTTAAACATCTTTGTTTTTTAAATCTCTGGACTTTATCATGTTGAGGAAGTTCATTTCAGGTTTAGTGGTTTTATTTTTCATCATGAAGGAATGTTGAAATTTGTGAAATGCTTTTTCTGCATCAGTAAGATGATTATGTGGTTTTTGTCACTTCATTCTACTAATGTGATGTATTACATTGATTGGTTGTCATATGTTGTACTATCTTTGTATGCCAGGGATGAATATCACTTGGTTATAGTATGTAATCCTTCTATTTTGCTGCTGACTTTGGTTGCTAGTATTTTGTTATATAGCAAGATGTTTTAGCTTGTGTCTTTGATGTGAGATTTCCATTACTAAAAAACTCATTTTTTATCAAGACTGATGAGATCTATCTACCAATTAATGGGGAAAACAGAGGACCAAGTCAAAGGACCTGACAGGAATGCAAATTTCTAAAGTTAGTGATATGGGTTGGATTTGTGTCTCCACACCAATCTTATGTTCACTGTAATCCCCAATGTTGAAGGTGGGACCTTCTGGGAGGTGACTGGATCATGGGGGCAGTTTCTAATAGTTTAGCACCATATTCCCCCTTCTGCCAAGATTGTTGATATGGTTTGGCTGTGTCCCCACCCAAATCTCATCTTGAATTGTAGTTCCCATAATCCCCACATGTTCAAGGGTGGGACCAGGTAGAGATAATTGAATCATGGGGGCGATTTCCCCTATACTGTTCTTGTGATAGTGAATGAGTTCTCACGAGATCTGATGGTTTTATAAGGAGCTTCCCCCCTTATGCTCATCACTTCTTCCTGCTGCCATGTGAAGAAGGACGTGTTTGCTTCCCCTTCTGCCATGATTGTAAGTTTCCCAAGGCATCCTCAGAAGCAGGGCAGTAGCCACTGTGCTTCCTCTACAACCTGTGGAACCATGAGCCGATTAAACCTCTCTTCTTTATAAACTACTCAGTCTCAGGTATTTCTTTATAGCACTGTGAGAACAAACTAATACAGTTAGTAACTTAAAAGTTACCAAAATGATCTTAGAATAATTAGTTGCTACCCAAAGGTAAAGAGAAATACTTTACTCTTAAACTTACACGATATTAATTATATACTCACCACATATGAACTAAAGAAAAACAAATGAATACCTAATTAAAAAATGATTAAACTATTAATACTACCTTTAAAATGTATTATTACAAAAGATATTAAGTCTTCAGTCATTTGTTTTAAAACAAAAATCATATCACTACCTTAAATGTTTTATAAAAAGCAGCATCCAATGCTTTCAAAATTTCTTCATCAGGGCGCCACTTCAGTTTCCCTCTGAGACCATGACCTGTCTTGTAAGTTTCTAATGCGATCAAAATATGAAATGGATGTATACGAGCCTAGAAACAAAGTATAAGGAAAATTTTAGCAAAAAACAGTGATTATGTATACTCCTTAGATTTTTGTGTTATTGTAGCTAATAACTACATTTCATATAGAAAAGAGAAAAATGAAAATGTATTAAACTTACACTTAAGAGCCATAATGCAATTTGGTATAATGAACATCTCGAAATACCTTAAAAATGCACTGACGGCATTTCTAAAATTTAGGAGCCACTTTCTCAGTTAGTAGTAGCTAATAAAGAACAATGATAATGCTTACCTTTTTTAATAGTTTTTCATTACACAGTTTTTCACATACTAAAGATACTTCTGAATTTCCTGGTTCAAGTACTGAATTAGCAGTCATCTTTCCTAGATTCCTTAGTAATGCAGTAAGCGGCATTTCTTGTAACAAAGCCTTCCATACCTATTGCAATAACATAGGCAGAAATACCAGGAATTAAGGGAAAATAAATCAGTATAACATACCTATATAAAAAAATATTCATAATACAGTCTCTGAGGCTTTCATTTGGGGTTCAAAGTACTTTCAGAATGAAAAATGTCTAAGTAAAAGGCTTATCAAATAAGCTAACTTGTTTTTTACTAGAAAAAGGATGTGAAGTATATTTTATGAAGGAAATGCATAGATGATTTTTTTTTTAATTAGCAAGGCAGTAGATTTTCTGGAGTGAAACTAACACAAATGCCACCTACATCATGTTGGACATCATGGTAGGTGTTTTAAACAGACATCAATTTCAAGATATATTTTAAATAATTTCTTTTTAAAAGTATAAATATATAGCTACCCCAAGTTTATCCTTTTAGCACCTACACTAAATTACTCATGTTTAATCACATGCTGTAACATATAATTCACTCACCTCTTTAGACTTTAAGTGATTTGTTAAAAGATGTTCTCTAACTAATCTATGTTCTTCTATTAGATGAATGACTTCTAGCTCATCTCTTGTGCGCTTCACTTTCTCTACAGCCTCCAGATACTTTAATAATTTTTCAGTCTCCACAGAGAGTGCTTTTTCTTTATACAATTCATGAACTTCTTTCCAGCCCTTTGTAATATATTTGGTCACAATTGCAAGTCCTTTAACAAGATAAAGAATTGAAAAAGCATGCAGGATTACCAAGTAAAAAAACAGAACATGTTTCCTCAAAATGCATTATATGATCAACATAACTGGATACACAAGAGTTAATGCCCTTACACTGGGATGCTGCTTTCCATGATATAACAATTAAGCAAATGGGGTGAATTAATTTTCTTATTCCATCATTACTATTTAAATATGAGACTTTAGAGTAAAAAAACCTGTATCCTGAGTATTTTGTTACAGAGGCTTTTCTTTCTTTTCTTTTTAAAGACACCAGCATTAGAAAGTTTCAGGTCCATAATCTCAGAACAACTCACGAGAGTACAGATCTATCTCAATTAATATTGTATTGTATTGTAATGTATTATATTATATTAATTATATTCACTTGTCTCTTTTTGCTGTTGAATAAAATATATATATTTACAAAAACAGCAGAAATAAGTAGAAGTGGACAGGGTAGCTTCTTTTACACTATGTTTTAATAGCTGAGAAGTATTACTGCTCAAAAAAAAAAAAAAAAGGAAACAGTAACTTGTTGATTTCCTCCACAATTTCTTCCAATAGAAGAAAGAGAAAAGAGCCTTGGATTGGGGGTGAGAAAGTCTGGGTTCTAGCCTATACTCTGCCAATAAATGGTGGTCTTTCTAGGTCTTAGTTTCACCACTTCTGTAAAACAGCAGGGATTGGATTACAACATTAAAATGTCTATGAGGGACAAGCAAATAAAATAAATAAAACCACCACGGTGAGGCCAGGCACCATGGCTCATGCCTGTAATGCTAGCACTTTGGGAGGCCAAGGAGTGTGGATCACCTGAGGTCAGGGGTTTGAGAACAGTGTGCCCAACGTGGCAAAACTCCATCTCGAAAGCTGAAACTGGATCCCTTCCTTACACCTTATACAAAAATTAATTCAAGATGGATTAAAGACTTACATGTTACACCTAAAACCATAAAAGCCCTAGAAGAAAACCTAGGCAATACCATTCAGGACATAGGCGTGGGCAAGGACTTCATGTCTAAAACACCAAAAGCAATGGCAACAAAAGCCAAAATTCACAAATGGTATCTAATTCAACTAAAGAGCTTCTGCACAGCAAAAGAAACTACCATCAGAGTGAACAGGCAACCTACAGAATGGGAGAAAATTTTTGCAATCTACTCATCTGACAAGGGGCTAATATCCAGAATCTACAAAGAACTCAAACAAATTTACAAGAAAAAAACAACCCCATCAAAAAGTGGGCGAAGGATATGAACAGACACTTCTCAAAAGAAGACATTTATGCAGCCAAAAGACATATGAAAACATGCTCATCATCACTGGCCATCAGAGAAATGCAATTCAAAACCACAATGAGATACCATCTCACATCAGTTAGAATGACGATCATTAAAAAGTCAGGAAACAACAGGTGCTGGAGAGGATGTGGAGAAACAGGAACACTTTTACACTGTTGGTGGGACTGTAAACTAGTTCAACCATTGTGGAAGTCAGTGTGGCGATTCCTCAGGGATCTAGAACTAGAAATACCATTTGACCAAGCAATCCCATTACGGGGTATATACCCAAAGGATTATAAATCATGCTGCTATAAAGACACATGCACACGTATGTTTATTGCGGCACTATTCACAATAGCAAAGACTTGGAACCAGCCCAAATGTCCAGCAATGATAGACTGGATTAAGAAAATGTGGCACATATACACCATGGAATACTATGCAGCCATAAAAAGGATGAGTTCATGTCCTTTGTAGGGACATGGATGAAGCTGGAAACCATCATTCTCAGCAAACTATCGCAAGGACAAAAAACGAAACACTGCATGTTCTCACTCATAGGTGGGAATTGAACAATGAGAACACATGGACACAGGAAGGGGAACATCACACACCAGGGCCTGTTGTGGGGTGGGGGGAGGGGGGAGGGATAGCATTAGGAGATATACGTAACGTTAAATGACGAGTTAATGGGTGCAGCACACCAACATGGCACATGTATACATATGTAACAAACCTGCACGTTGTGCACATGTACCCTAGAACTTAAAGTATAATAAAAAAAAATTAGCTGGGCGTGGTGGCACATGCCTGTAATACCAGCTACTCAGGAGGCTGAGGCAGGAGAATCACTTGAACTGAGGAGGCAGAGGTTACAGTGGGCCAAGATCGTGCCACTGTGCTCCAGCCTGGCCAACAGAGTGAGACTCTGTCTCAAACAAACAAACAAACAAACAAACACAGTGATGTAATAGAGAGTTGTTAGGGTGTGGTGACTGAACAGAGTGTGCCCTGACAAGTGGTGTAGACACGTATTGACTTAGTGCTGCCAAAAGAAAAAAAACTTACTTTCAAGAGAAGCCAGAATATGGGTTTTTATGTCGATTTTTAAAGATAATGACAAAGAATTCATTTTTACCCAAAAATATTGTATAGGCCACATGAAACACATCTCTATGCCAACTGAGCCTATTATGTTATTTTTGAATGCTAAATAACTTGATCAAAAGTTAACACTAACATGCAGGAACTTCTCAAGTATTGTGACTCTTGCTATCTTCCAGATTTTGGTGCAAAATCATCTTAAATGAGTAAATGTTTCCTGTGAGTATATCTTCTATTTTGTTTTTCCAGTGAAAATAAAAATTCCTTAAAGCAGTTTTATCCTACCCGGTTCTGTAATTGCGCTGGCCATGCAGTGGGTGCACAATAAAAATACCATACCTGATGACTTGAATCACATTTTGACTTGTTTTGTCTGTTATAAATACACATTACACTTAAAGGCATTAAAATACTATTAATTCTGTAGCTTAGAGTTTTTCCAAATTTTTAAGCTTTGAAATGCTAGGGATTCTCTGTCCAATGTGATATTGCTATTACTAACATGGTTTCAACTGTGAGTTCTGCCCTCAACAATTTCAAATTAAAGAATCCTATGTGTGGAAGTAAGTTTAGGAAACATCTACTAATTCCTCATTATATAGACCAAAAAGACAAAGCACAGAATAATTATTTTCACAAGTTCAGAAACTAATTGGTCCAGTTAGAACTAGTAATGGGCGGTCTTTCTCTTAGTCTAGTACTTGCTCCACACTTCCAAGACACATCTCAACAAACCAATAAATAAAGCTGGATGCCTAAGTCCTTCTTATGTTGGATCAAATATTTGGATAAAAAATTTAAATGTAAAAAATAATGTTTCTTAACCAAGAAAATGTTAGGAAAAAACCACAGATAAATATTTTAGGTTGGAAAAGGCCCTTCTAATCCTAACACAAAACATAAACCTATGAAGACATGGATAAATTTGACTACATTAAAATTCAAAACTTTAGTGTGCCAGAAATGTCCCCCAACCAAAAAAAAAAAAGACAAAGAAAAAAAAGAAGAAAAAATGCATGCACTGTATATAAATAATACATTATCAACTCCTCTAATATGAACCCCAAGTTCTTAGAACAGTTTCTATCCATAGTAGGTGCTCAATAAATATTTGCTGAGGGCCAGGCACAGTGGTTCATGCCTATAATCCCAGCACTTTGGGAGGCCAAGGCAGGCGGATCACCTGAGGTCAGGAGTTCGAGACCAGCATTACCAACATGGTGAAACCCTGCCTCTACTAAAAATACAAAAATTAGCAGAGCATGGCGGCAGGAGCTTGTAATCCCAGCTACTTGGGAGGCTGAGGCAGGAGAATTGCTTGAATCTGGGAGGTGGAGGTTACAGTGAGCCTAGATTGTGCCATTGCACTCCAGCCTGGGTGACAAAAGTGAAACTCCATCTCAAAATAAATACAACAAATAAATAAATAAATATTTGTTGAATGAATAGTGATCACAATCAATAGTTAAAAAGACAGTAACTAAGTGGACAAAAGGGCTATGATGTAATTGTATAATTATACATATATACACACACATACATATATATTATATATACATACATATAATTATATGCATACATATATAGGTATATATATGTATATAGGTATATATATATTACATACTATACTATATACTAACATTATATATTATATATACTATATTATACAATATATAGGTGTATATATATATATAATCAGCACATGCAAAGATGAGCTTCTGCCCAAAAATGTAAATTCAAAGAATCTTTCATGATTCTACTGAAAGAGATTAAAAAATAATGACAACAGTTAAGTGTTCAAATGTGGGTACACTGATCCCTTTCACATACTGTTTGTGGATTTAACCATTATGAAAGTAGGTACTCTATGCAAGTGTTTTCATTGTAGTATTTTTGTAACAGTATAAAAAAACCAGAAACAACTCTTGTCAATAAGAGACTAGCTAATAAATTACAGTCATACAATGGTATATATGCAACTATTTCTACTGACCTGAAAGAAACAGCAATAGCAATAGCAATAATATACTTTTTACTGAAACATAGAAGGCATGTAACAAAATTTAGTGAAACACAGTAATATATGTTTAGGAAAAATCTGGAGTAAATTACAACATCTGATATACAGCAAGGGCCCTCAACTCCCAGGCTATACACGGATACCAGTCCGTGGCCTGTTAGGAACTGGGCTGCACAGCAGGAGGTGAGCAGCAGGCAAGTGAGCTCCACTTCCTGTCAGATCAGTAGCTGGGCATTAGTCTCATAAGAGCACGAATCCTACTATGATCTGAGCATGTGAGGGATCTAGGTTGCGCTCTCCTTATGAGAATCTGATGCCTGATGATCTGAGGTGGAACAGTTTCATTCTGAAACCACCCTGCCCTCCCCACTGCCTGCGGAAAAACTGTCTTCCACAAAACCAGTCCCTGGTATCAGAAGGGTTGTGGACTGCTGATATGCAGTTATTTCTTTTGAAGAGTAGGACTGCATCATATTTTTCTGTATTATTCAACTATTTTAAAACATGTAATCTAATAAAATCAAAATAAAATGTTTATACATATAAATATTTGCAATTTATTATTTACATTTCATTTGAAAAACCCCAGTTATAGTTAAAAAATAAGTCAGGAATTACTGAAGAGATTCTGTATATAAAAATATGTGTGGAAGGGAGAAATAGAGAACCAAAGTGTACTTCTACTACATGTTAGGTGCTGGGACATTTAGTCTCAATAATTGTAAGCTTATTCTCCTTACCCTCCTTTTAATAGATGAAGGTCAGAAACTCAGCTTAACTTACTTGGCTTAAGTCCACAGAACTGAAATGTGAACCCACCCTTCTGAGTGGCTGTCTTTTCAAGTTTCACTTCCGGTGCAAAAAAAAAAAAAAAGTCAAATTTTGAACATGTTGATTTTTGTGGAACTTCACACTTCAAATTACTCCTGCCCAAGAGTTTTTCTTATTTCTTTTCTTAAAAGGACTAGTAATTATTACGGAGCCAACTAACTTTTCAAAAGTCTCTTTCCATAGATACAGAAAAACTGCCCCAAGTTATTATGTCCCCTGACTAACTGCCTGAAGACAATTAACTTCCTGAATTGTTAAGTTCAGCACTATATCTGGTATATTCCTTTAGGTTCCATGGAAGATGGGTTCCTAGGAAGATGGGGAGGGAAAAAAGGAATGGGCTAGAGCAGTGGGTACAGCATGGCCATCTGCCGCCTACTGGCAAGGAGCTGATTTGCTTATTGCAACTTTTTTTTTTTTTTTTTGCTTTTCTACTTAGCATTTTATTGGTTACAGAGTAGTTTTCTATACATAATCTTAAGGAACAGCTGTGTACAGTTACCTAAGTTTTACAAACGATTATACTGAGACCAAGTTTGAATATCTGATGAGTAACTGGCAAAGCTGGAACTCAAAAGCAGTTCCTTCTAGTGACTGTACCCATATCCAAGGCTTATTGCAACTTTTAGTCTTGCCCCTGCTACTTACACAGTCCAGAATCACTTGGGTGAGCATTCCAGTTAGGACGGTGGCATTTTAAGATTCAGAATATTAACCTATAAACCTGTCATTTGATTCTTGATTATTAATGTCTGGATCGCCTGTGGTAGGGGTGTAATCCCAGGAAGGCATTAAATATATTTGAATTAATGTATATTTTGAGAATAAAAGGCTATTTCTAGAAAATATTACACACTTGTCTTATGTTAAATAAAAATTTGCTATTTATTGAATATCCCTTACCCACCCTTCTTCCCAATGAAGATCTTATGCTTACCTTCACTGGAAGGTTTAAGATGTGACAATCTTAATAGATCTTTGTGAGACCAGCCATTTCTCTGTTTATATTTTGTAACTGCCAGAGCAAGGGCCATGCCACCTTTCTCATTGTACCAGTCCGCTATAGCCTTCCGGAGGGCACGACCCCACATGCCACATTTCATGCTTTCCTTCAGATCTTTCTTAAACTGGATAAAAGTAAAGAGATGGGTAGGAATGCGACAAACTTCAGAAACAGCTTTAAATGCTGCTTGTTTTGTGCTTATGTCGGAGCACTGGGAACAAATGGCAAGTGCAAAGAGCATAGGCTCTTGCTTTGTGGTTCTGCCTTCTTGACTAAATGACTTTATTTCTTGTATCACTTCACATCCTCTGCCATCTTCAATCAATCTAATTAAAGCTTCAGCATTTTCAAGGCCCAACTTCTGTTCTTTGATATAATAAGTCCCACCTTCAGAACCGAAACATAAGAACCGGTGTAGTCGATTCATGTCAGTGACTTGCCATACATATCCATCCTGAGAATTGGCTATCTGCTTCTCATTCAGTGGCTGCATTTGGTTTACAGATTCCTCCATTTTTTTTTGTCTTTAGGAAACCTAACAAAAAGGCAAAATGTTATTACAACTAGATGGGCACAATAAAATTACAAAAGGAAAACAAAATGTAGGTTTACTGAAATGTTATTAACTCTTTTAATTTAAAAACATCTTTTAAGTTCCATAGTTTTTCCCTTAGTACAAAATCAATATAAATGTCCTGAAGAAAAATCAGGAAAGGCAGAAAATGAAAGAAAAAAACCATATCTGAATACTTTGAAATGACTACCAGTAATATCTTCAGTTTTTAAAGTGTTTTTGTTTTGTATTCCTATTTTTATAATCTAAAGAAACTAAAAGCCCTTCACAGCAAACAAACAAATCATAGCCACAGTGGTGTGATAATCAGAAGCAACTAAGGCGTCACATTTTTGAGATACAGTGTGCTCCTTCAGAGATTAAGCAGGTAGATCAGTATGGCATCTTGAGGCCCACACAGAGAATAAAAGAAGGGAGGGCAGCAATAGTAGCTGGCACTAAGTAAGAAAGATCATACTCCCTGAAGAATTGTGTAAACATGTTTGGTTGCCTATCTAACATTCATTCTTCCCCCTTCTCTCTTCTCCTCTTCTTGGCCTCATATCCTTCAAAGGAGGCTAGGCCTTTCCCTAGCCCCAAGGGATGGATCTTTATTGCTCTAAGCCAGTGGTTCTCAAACTCAATGTACATCAAAATTACTTGAATTACTAATTGAAACATAGATTGGTGGGTCAGCCCTCTCAGGCACTGCCCTGAGTTTCTTTCATAATTTAGTAGGTCTGCAGTGAGGCCTAAGCATGTATACTTATCACAAGTTCCCAGCTGCTGCTGCTGCTTGACCCAGGCCCAATAATCATGGTGCTCTCCTTGCCACATGACTGGTATAGGGAGTTGGGCATGTGTCATGACTGGCCAGTATGACATGATAAGTCAGCTGAGAACACTTTTGAGGTTTTCTTCAGTCTTAAAAGGGGGCTCAGGCTCTTAAAAAGAAATGTTCCCTTTTCTGCCTTCTGACATTTTCATTTGCAAGTGATGCCTGGAGTGGTAACAACCATCTTCAGACCTTGAGATAAGCCAGTTTAAGATGGCACACCAATATATAAAGAGAGCAGAACAGAAAAAACAAAGAACCTGGGTCCTTGATATCGGGTTACCTGAAACTGCCCTGCTTATACACTTCCTATTATGTCATAAATGTATCCTTATTGTTTAAGCCATTTTTAGGTTTACGGTTTTATGTCATCTGTAACTACCCTCACTCTACTCCTTCCATTAGCTCTAAAACTCCTAGAACTAGCTGTCTGGAAACAACATCCCTCTTTATCCTTCTAATGGAGGAACCACAATTGTCACTTCTTCATCAGTCCACCACTATTGTTACTACAGTATCACTGTTTATTGAGGTCCTTCAATCTGTCATGTTATTTCGGTGCACTGGGCTTCTGTCCATGGCTAACAAAACAGCACAACCAACAAAAACTTAAACCAGCATTTACTGAATACATACTATGTGTAAGACATGAAGACAATTTCTCTCCCATTAAAGAGACTAAAAAAAAAAAATTTGGGCCGGGCACAGTGGCTCACGCCTGTAATCCCAGCACTTTGGGAGGCCGAGACGGGCGGATCACGAGGTCAGATCAAGACCATTCTGACTAAAATGGTGAAACCCCGTCTCTACTAAAAATACAAAAAATTAGCCGGGCGTGTTGGCAGGCGCTGTAGTCCCAGCTACTCAGGAGGGAGGCTGAGGCAGGAGAATGGCGTGAACCCGGGAGGCGGAGCTTGCAGTGAGCCAAGATCCTGCCACTGCACTCCAGCCTGGGGGACAGAGCGAGACTCTGTCTCAAAAAAAAAAAAAAAAAAAGAAAGAAAAAAAATTTTTTTTTCTCCTCATCACAGGAAAATCACACTCATTTGTGGGGATAGAATCACAATGCAAACTGTAGTTAAGTGCTGTAGTAGAAAAGTATTATGAGTGAGCAAGGGAGTATAAAATAATATTGTCTCAATAATCCAGAAAGATTTGTGCAGAGAAGGCAAATTGTGATTAAGTGCTGTAGTGGAAAAGTGAGTGAGCAAGGAAGTATAAAATAATACTGTCTAAATAATCCAGAAGGATTTGAGCAGAGAAGGCAAACTAAAAAACTGATAAAGTTTAGGGAAGGCGCTCCAGGAAGAGGTTTCTGAAATCTCGATCTGTCTTTATATTCTAGAAAAGAAACTGTCTAAGCATCCTGTAGAGCCATAAAGACATGTTGACAGATACGGTCATAACTTAAAGAGGAACACAAGATAAAAGAAGTTTTGTTCTGAAGATCATGCTTACTTGAACATGTTTATATATTACAAGGAAGGCTAAGGATAGAATCTTGGTGAATATTAACCATTAAAAGCTAATGAGAGAAAGGCCTTTTAAAGAGAGACGGAAAAGGAGGTGCACAGAGTTGAAGAAAACCGACAGAGAATAGTATCATGGACTACAAGGAAGAGAACTTCAAGGAGTGAATGGTTGGTAATTTCAAATGGTCAGAGGAAAAGTAAATAAAAGGCTAGAAAATGACCACTGGGTTTAGCAAGTAGGAGTGACTAGTGAGAGCAACTGCAGTAGAGTGGTATAAGAAGTAGCTTGATTACAGTGAGATCAGGAGAATATGCAGTGAGGAAGAAACTTCACAGCTAGACTACTCTTTTGTAGACACATACTTATAAACTATGAAGGAAAGTAAAAGAGGATGGGACTTAGAGAAAAAATCTTTTTACCTTTTTCAATGGGAAGATGCTAACATTGAAAGATTCAATTTGGAGAGCTGAAGATACAGTAGAGAAGGGGGATAACTGAAGGAATTTCTTAAAGAAATGAGAATGAGCTTAGAGCATCCAGGTTGAGACTGGCCTACTGACAGCAAGAGATATTTCCTTTATCTTTTAAGGGTAAAGAGTATAGGTAAAGATAGATTTGAAGGAATGAGGGATAAGGAAACTGAAGACATTCCCCCCTGACAGGAGATGTAGAATGCCAAATGGTATGTGGAGAAGTTTGGTAGAGAGGGGAGGAATGAAAGACTGGGTCTCAGAGAGGGGAACACATAGTGGTGTAGGGATAAGTGCATGGGAGAATGAAGAGCCTCACATTTTGAATGTGACTGAGGGGGACAGTGATCTGAATTGTGTTCGGAATATTAGTGTCAATATTCCAAATAAGACGCTAGTATAAATTTGCTTATGTTAGTGGAAGCCTAGGTCTCAGGTGGCATCAGAGATGTAATGATCATATTAGTCATTAGGGACAAATTCATAGTTACTGAATACAGCATAGGTTGAAACTCCTGTTGCAGTGGATGCCTGTTCTCCTATTTATTATTATCCTCTTTTCAAATTTGGCTTTTATCTCTACCTTTCGATCCAAAACACTTTAAGAAGACTAACATGCTTCTCAAAGACTGATACCTTAATTGCCAATTCCAGTAGACAATGTTATGTTTTTCTGATCTTTACATTACATAGACTTTGCTAGTCTCTCCCTCAGCTTTCATAAAAACAGGCTCTGGTTGCACTTCAACCTGTCTACTTCTGCTTATTAGTTTTATTTGTTAGATGAGTAACACTGAAATGACATCTAATATCAGATAATTCTACTAAACTTGCTTTCCTGCACCAAGGCCCAAGTGGTGGGATTTAAAAGGTCCCAAACCAAACCTCAAAATTCCCTCTCCCCTCAAATTCTTTTCCTTGTATTATTCATTGTGACCACATGTAGCTACATTATTGGTTCCCTTGAAAGTAGAAACCAAATCTTATCATTTTTGTCTCCTCTTTTGTATTGCTTTTATGTAATTAGCAATACATACTTAAAGCCAAATATCATTAAAGTTGACTTTCTGAACCATTTGCCAAATAATTATGCACAATTGGTTTCTCTTTCCCATAACACATTTTGAGAATAAAAGCCTCAATATTTATAATGCAAAATATAATACAAGTCTTTAAGATAAATTCTGTAATCAGAATGATAAATGTACTATATGCAGGTAGTGAAAAATATAATCAAGAAAAAATAAAGTTCTAAAGAAAAGTAATGAATACTGAGTAAAAATGTCATCTAAGAACAAAATTTCTGTTTTTCTAACATATTTAATATTAGGTATTCAGGTACTTCTCTAGAGCAAGCAGCAAAATGAACTTTTAAATCTATGAAGGATGTCTAAGAGGTAATCTCTAAGTATAATCCTTATAATCCCTATTAGAAGAAATAAAGTTACTTATTCATGGACTCTTCCTTTTGCATGTTATGATATAAATGACAACCCTGAGGACATACCCTTTCAGTATTTCTGCAGCAGAAACTGCTCAGGTTTTCCTATGCTTCTGTGACTGTACTTTCCAGAGTGCAACATAAAACAGTGGAACAGATAACATTATTAGCAGCCAGGGCACCTTCCTACTTGATTATATAAATTTACCAGGGTCATATTCATATTTTAAAAGACAGAAAACAGAATAACATGTCCCAAGTTACTCTCCTTCTTGTCACTGAGTGTGATACACACATAAACTCAAAATTCGGCAAAGTGATGTGATACTGTGGCATCTTATAAGAGAGAGTACCTGGTCTTTGGACATAATACCCAGCAGAAAGTTTCAAAAACCCGTGGTATTTCCTGAGAAATAGGAGTGTCTTTGTTACATTAATGAGGCAACATGGGCCCCTAGGTAGCTTCAGGATGGGGGCTAATCACTAGAAAGACCAACTATATGTTTAGAGGAATAAACTGGTCAGGCCAACCTTCCATGAAAGGAGGAGGACTTGAGATCAAGTTCAGCCATGTAGCTAATGATTTAATCAATCATGCCCATGTGATGAAACCT
This sequence comes from Homo sapiens, assembly GCF_000001405.40. Taxonomy (NCBI): domain Eukaryota; kingdom Metazoa; phylum Chordata; class Mammalia; order Primates; family Hominidae; genus Homo; species Homo sapiens. The sequence goes on along the minus strand of NC_000001.11, from coordinate 193,064,182 downwards.
CATAAAAACTTTCTTCATCGATACTCAGTGGAGCATCCTTGGTGAACAAAAACTGATGTGCTGGGAAGGTGATGTGCCCACATTTCACAAGGATGGGCATGGAAGTTCTGCATCCTTCCCTTGCCCCAGACCTTGCCATATGTGTCTACTTCCTGTTTGGCTGTTCCTGAGTTGTATCCCACATTTCACAAGGATGGCATGGAAGTTCTGCATCCTTCCCTTGCCCCAGACCTTGCCATATGTGTCTACTTCTTGTTTGGCTGTTCCTGAGTTGTATCCCTTATAATAAAACTGTAATTGCAAGTAGAGCACTTTCAGTGAGTTATGTGAGTCATTCTAGTGAACTATCAGCCTTGAGGGGATTATGGGAAGTCTTGAATTTGTAGTCCGCAGGGCAGAAGTGTGAGTAGCCTGGGGACCCCATTTACAGCTGGTGTCCAAATTAATGGCATTCTTAGTGGGGACCTTGTCCTTTAATTTGTGGGATCTGATGCCAACCCTGGGCAGCTAGTGCCAGAACTAAACGGAAGTGGGGGACACCCAGCTGATGCTACAGAATTAGTGTTGGAACGCAGACACCAAAGGCAAAAGTGACAAAATAAAAAAATAAACTGGACTTTATCAAAATTTAAAACTTGTATTTCCAAGGACACCATCAAGAAAGTGAAAAGACAACCCAAGAAAAAGGAAAATATTTGCAAATCATACATACAATAAGTGACTTGTATCTAGAATATATTAAGAACACTTACAACTTAATAATAAAATGATAAATAACCCAAGTAAAAATAGGCAAAAGATGTGAATATTACTCCAAAGACACACAAATGGGTAAAGAATCTGAAAAGGTGTTTTTCCAAAGAAGATTATCAAATGGCCAGTAAACACATAAAAAGATGACGAACATCATTAGTCATCAGGGAAATGCAAATCAAAACCACAATAAGATACCACTTCACATCCACTAGGACAGCTATAATCAAAACAATAATATTAAGTGTTGGTGAGGATTTAGAGAAAATGAAACGCTCATATACTGCTGGTGGGAATGTAAAATCATACAGCCACTTTGGAAAACAGTCTGGCAGTTTCTCAAAAGGTTAAATATAGTTAGCATATGACCGAGGAATTCTACCACACACCTAAGAAAAATGAATACATGTATCTAAACCAAAAGTTGTATCCAGATGTTTTTATCAACATTACTCATAACGGTCAAAAAGGAGAAGCAACCCAAATGTCCATCAACTGATGAAGGGATGAAAAAAATATGGTATATCCATACAATGGACTATTATTAGACAATAAAAAGGGATGAAGTAGTGATACATGACACAATGTAAACAAACCTTGAAAACATTATGCCAAGTCAAAGAAGCCAGTCACAAAAGGCCACATATTGTATTACAATTCCATTTATATGAATTTTCCAGAGTAGGTAAATTCATAGAAATAAAAAGTACATTAGTCTAAGGTTGTCAGAGGCTGTCGGAGTGGGGGAACACTGGGAAGTGACTGCTAATGGGTAGGGGATTTCTTTTTGGGTGATGAAAATGTTCAGAAATTAGTGGTGATGACTGCACAACTCCGTGAATATACTAGAACCCAATGCACTGGATACTTCAAAATAGTGAACTTCATGATATGTGAATTATATTCTAAAAATCTATTATTAAAAATACAAACATAAACTAGCCAGGTAAAATATATTTGGAAAGTTATTTAAATAAACAAGCACTTAACTCTGCTATTATCTATATCAGAATGGAGAGCACCAATACAATTGATTACACAAAAATTATATTTAGCCCTACAATTTTTATATTTGACTTTTAAAAGCAATTTGAGATACCCACAAGACATATACAGCAACTTAATTTCTTCTTTCTCCAACTGCCATCATCTCCTGCCTCAAAGCTTAAGCTCCATTATCAGTGGTTTAGAAGGCAATTGGGCAGTGAGTGAGGTCAGAACCTGGTCATCAGTTAATCCATTCCTGGATAATCAAGTGTTGTAAATCCAGATTAACAACAAAAAGATATAGTTAATTCTTTGGATGGGCCTGACCTATCTATCTAGTGCTCTTAAAACACACCATACAACTAATGTTGTATTAAATCTCTATAAATTAAGTTCTTGAGAAGTTAAATATTACAATACTATAATATTAAAAGCATGGACACTTTTTTTTTTTTTTTTGAGACAGACTCTCACTCTGTCACCCAGGCTGGAGTGTAGTGGCGCGATCTCCACTCACTGTAACCTCCGCCCTCCGAGTTCAAGCGATTCTCCTGCCTCAGCCTCCTGAGTAGCTGGGATTACAGGCGCCTGCCACCGCACCCGGCTAATTTTTTGTATGTTTAGTAGAGACGGGGTTTCACCATGTTGGCCAGGCTGGTCTTGAACTCCTGACCTCGTGATCCACCCGCCTGGGCCTCCCAAAGTGCTGGGATTACAGGCGTGAGCCACGGTGCCCGGCCAAGCATGGCCGCATATTAAATTGGTTGTGGATATTTTATACAATGTCCATTTCTCTACTTTTAAATTTAATTTAGAATGCAAAATCAGGAAATGCTAGTAACACACATTATATAATAGCACTTGTTTCACAATCATCAGAACTACAGCATATACAGTATCTTTTATCAGTACTAATGTGTTATTTCCAAGGAATCCTACATTTTTCTTGAATTTACACATCTCAATATCTTCCAAAGTCTCTTTATAATTTATTTGAAAATGCTGCCTTTCATCTCAAGAAGTCAAACACATTTGCAGATTATTCCTTTTTAAATGAAGTCAAAGCTGACATATCTATGAGAGTGCATGACAAATGTAAAGAAACAACAATAGAAAATTGGGCCCATGATAGAGGTTTGTTTACCCATGATACAGGTATCTGAATCCACTGATCAATGTGATGCTATAAAAACTGATGAGGAAGGAACTGTGGCAAAAATGACAGCATGCTAGTCTGAGGGGAGCTGCCAACTGGTTGCCACGTGGTATGGAACTAGTAGTTGCCAGATCTCATTTTTCTCAAAGACCCAGAAATCTGGCTTTTTATGTAAACTCTCAGGATTAAACGTTAACATAATGAAAGGCATCTTAACCCCCTTCTCTGCTTACTTCTAGATTGTGCCAAAGGCTAAATTTTCAGTTTGGTCTTTCTACAATAGGTACCATGTTAATTAAGTTGGGTATCAAGTACATTTTAGTTTTGATGTATTTTGCACAGAAAACATTTTCAAGTTCATAGCAATATTACAGATTAAAAAAAATACCACAAACTACTTTGGGCTCTGATGCCAATCATTCTGGACTCTGTGCCTCTTAAACTTTTCCAATAAAGTATCTCAAGGAAATATACTGTACAGAATCCTCCTAGTCTCCAAGTTGAGGGCAGAGTTTCCGGAGATAAACTTCAAGAAAGTTACAAAAAAAATTTTTTTTAAACCAACACTTCATACAAATTTTGGCTTCTACCCCATAGCGTACTCAGGCTCCTTTTAATACAAAAGCTGCTCTGTTGCTTCCCTCAATAAAATTTACCACGTTTATTTCATGGCTTCACATAATCTGTAGCACAAGGCTCCCTAACTCCAGGGCACAAGTCACCTATTTGAGAAGGAAGGAGTCAGAGTTTTACCCACTAAAACATTTTTTTTTTCTGGAAGCCAAAGGTCTTTCTTGGAATATGTAGCTTTTAAGGAGTAAATATACACTTAACGACTTCAATATACTCTTAAAAACTTTAATCTTAACACTATAGTATTCTATAAGAGCCTGCTGAATGAGGGCAATTTAGTAAATATTTAGTAAATATTTGGTTTAACTCATCATCCAGTTTTAGAACCATTCCAAATGTTTTTAGATTAATACACGACATTTGTTTTCAACCTAATTTTCCCTTGACGCACCGCATCCCCTTCCACTAGTCTAGCAGCCCCATGGACAAACCTTTCTCCTCTCCCTCGTTATTCCTCTGTGATAAATTCACCCTGTCTTCCCACAAAGATCCTTCTTCCAAAACCCAGATCCCGGGCGACGCCTCTCCGCGCAGAAGCCGCGGGAGAAGGAGGAGAAAGAGGAGGAGTAAAGCAGGCCCTCTCGACGTCGGCCTGTGGGGAGCGATGCCGACAAGCAGGAGCGGTCCCGGCTTCGGAAAGGGCCCACCCTGAGGAATGGTCCGGCCGGGCCTAGCGAGGATGTCCCTACCGCGATGCTGGTTCCGTTACCCAGGGTGGACAGGCGCGGAAGCGGGACGGGGAAGAGCGATAGTTTCGCGGCGTTTGCCCAGCCTCAACCCCTGGGATGCGGGTGAGAGACATGGAGGACTGGTCAGAATTTGCGCGTCCCTGGGGCCGCACAAAAGGCTCCCAGCCGGCCTCCCGCAATGTCCTCACCTGTACCTGGCAGCCGACCCCCTGGATCCGCAGCGCCGCCAGGAGAAGTCCTGCGCAGCGCTGGGAAACGACAAAAGAAGGCAGCCTGACGGGCAGCGACAGCCACAGCAACAGCAACAGCCCCACTGCCGCCGGGGATTCCAGGTTCGGTTCCCGGGAACGAGTCCTGCCCCTCTTCTTTTGCCCCGCCTCCGCCCCAGAGGGGCGAGGATCCCGGATGTTGCCTCCTCGGCGCTGTGAATCACCGCCCTTTCTTCTCAGGCCCCAGCCCTTCCGAATCCGCTACGGGTGCTGCAAGGCCTGGGAAGAGTTTCGATGTCTCTAGGGTGGCTAGAGCGTCCTCCCGCGCTCAGTCGCGCTGCAGGTGACGGCGCCCGGAGGCTGTCGGGAAGTAGGCGGGGTGACGTGTGGTTGACGAGCTCGGCGGCGGGTTTGCTGAGATCTGTGGCCGGCGGCAGCTGGTGCGGGGGGCAGCTGAGAGCGAGAGGTGGATCGGGGCGGTGTGTGGCCAGGGCCATGACGGGCAATGCCGGGGAGTGGTGCCTCATGGAAAGCGACCCCGGGGTCTTCACCGAGCTCATTAAAGGATTCGGTGAGAACCAAGGGGACCGTCCTGGGCCTGGGGTCACGGGAGGAGGCCCAAGCTGGGCATGGAGTGGTTCCCTGCGGCCACCGCCGCCCCGCGTCTGGAGAGGTGACTTCAGGAACCTGGAGTCCGGGTGGGGGAAATGTAGATGTTCTGCCCTCTCCTCAGCTCGAGACAGTCGCGTTTCCACAGTAATTTGTAGAGCCACACCACGAGGGCAAGGATCGTGTCAGTCTTGTGCCTGCTGCATCCTCAGGACCTGGCACCCAAATCCTGTAATTGACTTGAGGGCCCTCGCTCCCCAAGCTCTTAAGCACGTATTGCCCTTTGCACTGCCCCTTCTCTGCGGCGCGCACCTTATCCCGGGCTGGTGAGGTCAAGTGCATTGCTCAGGCCATTAGTCCTGCAGAAGCCACCCTAGGGTGCGCCTTCTCAAGGGTGAGGTGTCTGCGGCTCAAGCCGCCCAGGAACTCGAGATTCTGGTTATTCAAAGCAGAACGCCTTGAATGTGTGAATAGCTCTTCGGGACGTCCACACACGCTGACTGCGTGGGCCTGAAAGGCCACTTCACTGGTTCCGCTCTCTGCTCATTTCTGGCTTCCGGTGAAGTGAGTTTTCTTGAGCTAGTGTTCTAGACTAGAGGCCACATGCTTTCCTCACAGTTTCTCTCTGGCTGTATTTAGTGCCTTTCGTCCTAAATAATCAACACATTTTACTTTTTATCCTTCCCTATTTATCTTGTTCTTAGTCTCTTCTTTGGACAGTACGTTTTTATCTATTTCCCAAGTGTTATTGACTCTACGATGTTAAAACTTTTACGCGGGATTAACAATTAAACGTTGATGTAGATATTGCCTGTTGTACACAGCTTAATATTTGGAATGTCATTTATCAAGCATATGTTGTTCATCTTCTATATCTCAGGCACAGTGGTAAGGATTGGGAAATTTTCTTTTTTTTGTTTGAGACAGAGTCTCGCTCTGTCGCCCAGGCTGGAGTGCAGTGGCGCGATCTTGGCCCACTGCAACCTCCATCTCTCGGGGTCAAGCGAATCTCCTACTTCAGCCTCCCGAGTAGCTGGGATTACAGGCACGCGCCACCATGCCCGGCTAATTTTTTTTTTTTTAGTAGAGACAGGGTTTCACCATGCTGGCCAGGCTGGTCTCAGCTCCTGACCTCGTGATCCACCCGCCTCGGCCTCCCAAAGTGTTGGGATTACAGGCGTGAGCCACGCGCCCACCCAAGGATTGGGAAATTTTCATGTGAATAAACCATAACTGCTGTTTCGAATAATTGACAGTCAAACTATAATATGGTGTGTTAATTGCTATGTTAGAGTATATACAAAATGTTAAAAGTACACAGGTCATGGAGGAGCACAGCCAGAAGGAAAAGCATAAACAGTAGTGATGTTAAAGTATATGGGTTAGCCAACAGCTAGCAAAGTGACTAGAACATAATATAGCAGACTGGAGGAATATTTATTTGGATCTGAAACTGAAAAGATAAACTGAGGACAGATTGTATGCCATGTTGTATAGTTTGAATTGCCCTGTAGTGACTGGGGATTTACCTATCAAATATATTTTAATGCTGAAATGACATTATTTTCATAATTAAGGTTTATTGTGCTTTTAAGTGTGCAGGGCAGGTTGGAATAAAGTGAGAGAAGCTAGACATCTCTTAAAATGGTTGGAGTCCGAGATGATTGGCTAAACTAGTGGGTTAGGAAGGAGGAGTTAGATTCAATAAGTTTGCTATATTTAAATCAACAGTTGCATGTGGTAATGTCTGCTCTTCATTCCTTTGGGAGCAGAAATACATCCATAACACGCTAAATTAAAAAAGGAGTTCTCAGGGCTGCCAACCTTACAGTAGAGGTTGAGTGGTAGTATATTACTCCTACATAAGAGAAAAAAAATCAAAAGGACTGCTTACTAAAAGTTGGGGAAAAAAAGAGGCAAAAATAACTCCCTGGTTTCTAGCCTGGGTGGCTGGTGAAACACTCTTACAAGTGAAGAGCAGGCTTGATGGACAAGAAAATGGATTCAGATTTGGACAGACACTGAGTTTGACATGTCTGCAGATTTAGTCATATATTTTACGTTCAAAACCTTAACAATATGTTAAAGTTAACTTTCAGAAATGTTGTACTAGGTAAGTTTGTTTTTACTCCTTCAATTTCATATGTGCAGAAAACTTGGAGATCATGCATGAAAGAATGATATATAAATTCATCTTCTGTACATGCACATATGAAAAATCAGCAGCTATTAATAAATTGGCTTCATTAGCAGAAGAACCTGCAAACAATTAAATGGTGGTAGTTTATGTCACCATCAGATGCTTCAAAGAGAAAATCAGTTTATTCCAATTATTTCCATCATTTTCATTTTTTCACCCAATTTATAGATTTAAAAAAGCTTTTGGCTGTTGATTCTTTCAAAAATGAAATACCTGTATTGTGAATGCTGTCATAAATTCATTTCAAAAGTTCCATCATTGAAAGGGAAATGAATTGTAGATGCAGTAAGTATGTAAATACAGATTTTGGTAGAATGTAGTATCATTAAATTAAGAAACTGGTGGAGCAGAACTGTACTTTTAATTGGTATGGTCCACACATAATACATATGTGTGCCAAAACAAACCGTGATGGTCTGTTAATAAAAACAGAAGCTGTAAATATTTGGTTACAGCCAAGATAGAGTAATGGGGACTAGATTCATTTTTCTTACAACAAACCAGTGACCCCAGCTTTCATTTTAATAAGAAAGTAGAAAACCTAGAGTAAGCAGATGACAGGAAATAATAAAGATCAGAGTTGAAATTAGTGGAACAGAAAAGAGAAAAAAATGGAGAAAATACATGAAACTAAGAGCTGTTTTTTGGGGAAGATCAATAGAATCACTCTAGCCAGACTGATCAGAAAAAAAGAGATGTTCCTGTATTTCAGTATAGGAATGAGAGAGGTGACATCACTAAAATTTTACAGATATTAAAAATAATATTATGAACAACTATGCCAATAAATTTGACAATTTAGATGAAATGTACAAATTCCTTTAAAGACACAAATTACCAAAGTTCACTTAAGAAATAGATAACCAGTATATGCCCTGTGTTTATTAAAGAAATGGAAATTGTAGTTTAAAATTTTCCCACAAAGAAATTCTAGCCAAGGTGGCTTCACTGGTAAATTCTATCAAATATTTAATATTATAAATAATACCAATTCTACATAAACTCTTCCAAAATAATTGGAGAGGAAGGAATGCTTCCCAACTCATTTTCTGAGGACCAGCATTATCCTGACACCAAACCAGACAAAGATATTACTAGAAAAGAAAATTGCAGACCTATATCCATCATTAACTTAAATGTACAAATTTTAAACCATTTTACCAAATTGAATTTAGTAATTCATTAAGTGAACAATACATCATGACTAAGTGGGATTTACCCCAGTAATTTAGGATTGGTTTAACATTTAAAAAATCAATGTAATGCACCATATTAATAAGCCAAAAAATCAAAAACATGATCATGTCAATAGATGCAAAAGGCATTTGACAAAATCTAACATCTGTTAAGAATTATTAAGTGTTAGATTTTATCCTGCTTGCCAGCAAATAAGTTGGCTTGCCAGTTTCATAGATGCTAGCAGACAACTTTTGGTTTAGAGATAAGGGTTGTATTACTTATAGCATAGTAGGCAGCAGGAGATTCATTTTCACATTGGTTGCCTTTTCCTCCAAGTCCATGAGGCTGGAGGTGGGCTCTGGTGGATGCTGCACAAGTAGTGAGGCTGTATTACACATGAGGAACTCTCAGCTAGAGAACTAATCTTAACAAGGGGGGCTGCTAGCCAACCTGCTCAACTTTTGCCTTTAGGGACACATTATCTTTATTATCCTGGACAGCAAATCAGCCTTCCCTCTGCCTCAAAAAAAAGGTGCTGTCTCTGTCTTCCAAGTCTGTTTACTATATGAACATCCTTGAAAAGATGGTCCAGAGCAAAGCTGGTAATTCCTTGCAGAAGACGTGCAGAAACAGGAGAAACCCATTGAGAATTGTCTTGCAACAATATCCAGCCTTCTTTCTACACTAAATAGCCATTCCCTCAGCCATTCTGCTCAATATGACCTGACCGACAGGGTTGGTGCCAAATCTGTTTAATTTGTGTCTTTATAATGTTTACAGTAAAAAAACTAGATGGCTTTCTTGGATTTTTGTATTGACATTTCCTCTTGGCTCAGAGCATTAATCCAGGGACAGCAAGATGTGTAAGTGATTTTGCAGACTCCACCTTGTCATGCAAGGAGGAAGAGTAATTCCATCATCTATAACAACTCTGACCCGTAAGTTAGGGCAGATTTGAAAGACGTTTGGGTCCAACGTGGTGTTTCCTTAACATGAAGGTCTATTATGACTGCTTCTAAGGTACATTTCATCTTGTTTTGAGGAAAGAGATAATGCCTGGCTTTCACACAAGAAGTCTTGGGGTGCATATGGTGCCCCTGGAAGCAAGTGTTGCTTCCTATTGTTACAGCCCCTAAAATGGGACCAGCTCAGTTTAGGGGTACAAGGTAACAGTGCCTGCAATTTAGGGCTCCCATTTTAGTTAAAATAATTGAGTCTAGTCCTTGTTTAAGGAGAGACTACCTGAGTGCTGTCAATCCAGTTTTTCCTATTTGGTCACATCATCAGCCAAATGGAATTTATCTGTACCATGGAATGACTGAGACTGGGGTTGTGGAAGACATATGGGAGTGTTTTTTGGCAGAGGTGCAAAAGCTGGGGCCATTCTTGCTGCTTCTGATAGATTTATCGGTAGGGTTAGGGGAATGACAAGTTGTCAAAACCGTCTGTTGGAACATAGCATACCTAGCAGTTAAATTTAACACACTGACAACAGTTTGGGAGAACTCCACGAGTGTTTTTCTTGGGGCTCCAGGTTGATTTTTAAGACAGTTATTTTTGAAATTTGTTTCTATCCCTAGACCCATCGGTATAATACAGATGTGTTAGTTAATAAATATTTCAAAGCATTTTAACGTTAGCACCCGCTTTCGCTTTGGAACAGGGTTCTGGTTTAGATGACAAATCGTATGATCATTTTTTAAAAGACCTAGTTCATTTATCCATGACAGTTTTTTTTTTTTTTTGGTAACCAGTGCAGGTAGTAATGATCTCTCTTACCTCCGAACTTCCAGAACATGTTCTATATATGCTTCATATGTAATTTATACATTCTATACAGTTTTTGCATTGTATGTGCTTGTCTCCTACCAGATTGTGACATTTTTAAGTATTGTGACAATAGTTTATTAATTTCTGTCTTTGCCAGGGCCTAGTACCATGCTTGGCACGCAAAAGATATTTGGTAAATACCATTTTAAAACCTTCCCCCCTCCTCAACTTTTTATTTAATATATATTATTGGGGAGTCTGTATTAAGTGATTCTTTGTGTTTATTGTTTGATAATCTTATATACCTCACAAGAATTTTGTGGCTTGGATGAAGCACGTAAATATCCTTGTTTTATATATGCATGGTGCAAGTGAGGCTCAAAGAAATTGTGTTCTTTCTCAAGGTTAAGACCTTTACGACAGTGCTGGGATCAGGATGTAGGTCTCTGGAATCAGCGCTTATTTCTCTTTCCATTATACCATGCTGTATTAGATATTTAACATATGTAAGGAGATAGATGCTAAATTGAATACTGTGTTTTCCTTACATGAACAGATGTGTTTGTGTTTAATGTGAGATTGTTTAAGCAGTGTCGCTACTTGAAATTCTACCAGTGCAGGAGGCTTTGAGGCACTTTTATTCAGCGTACTTTTTCTTTATTGTTGTGGTATGATGTAGAATGTTTTAATGTTTGGCCTGTTTTTTGATTTCCAATAGAAGTAACCAGTGTTAACAGTTGCATTAACATCCTTCCATGCCCTTCTTGACACTGATAGAAACATAGGTTTACATTTATGAGGTTTTTTCCCTAATTTGATATATGTGAATGTCTATTATTCTTAATCTGTTGCTAGATATTCAGATTTTTTCTGGTTCTCCTCCACCGCAAACCATGTAGTAACTCTCTTTGTACATGTATCTTTAATACCAGAATGGGCCTTTAATAGATATTTGCTGAATAGAGCAAACTGAGGCACAGAATGGCATGAATGCCCAGTCACATTGTTAGTTTACCCAACTTTTTTTTCTTTTTTAACCACTGTTTTTTTGCAGTAGTCTAAAGGCTTCTCTAGCTTTTACTTGAAAATCATATGAAAAATTAGAAAGCGCCCAGACTTTGAAACCTGATGTGGGTTTTAATTAGGTTTCTGGCACATACTAGCTGCACTTTATGTAGAGGACATAAAAAACTTTGGTAAATACGGTTGATTTTTGTATTGTGATGATAATACTGGCTAATAGTTGGTGGACCCTTAAAGTGTGCTGAGCACTGAATTAAATTATCTTCTACATTATCTCATTAATTCCTCCAAACAGCTCTGTGAGTGTGAGGAATGTAGAGTTTAAATGGCTGTATTGCTAGTAAATGTAGGAGCCAGCATTCAAACTCTGGCAGTTTGGAGCCCGAGCTCTTAACCACTACACGATTACTACTGTACGCTAGAGCAGAGTTTCTCAACCTTGGCACTGTTGATATTTTGGGCCAGGTATTACTTTGTTGTCAGGGGTTGTCCTGTGCAACGTAGGATATCTATCAGCATCCCTGGCCTCTACCAAATAGTTGCTAGTAGCCTCTCCCCTACCGTCCACACCAGTGACAATAATGACAATAAAAAAAAGTCTATCATTGCCAAATGTTCCCTGGGGAACAAAATCACCCTAGTTGAGAACTGCTGTCTTAGAAGGATATTTGGGAGGGGAGGAGGAGACGTGACTCTGAAGTAGTTGAAAATATACAGTTGGAATTCAGGATAAGGATCAGAACTAAAGATGTGATTTGAAAGTTACTGTTAAGTATTAGTTATTTACTTTCCCAGAAAAAAAAGTATAGAGTAAGAAAAAATAATAATAATATAAGGCTAAAGACAGAGCTGGAGAAATGGAACAGTTGAGTGAAAAGAGTGGATAGAGGTGCCAGAGATTGAGAGAGAGAGAAGGAACAGTCATAGAGTGGTAATTCAATGAAAATAAACTCTTGAAACTCTTTAAATTATAAATATACTCCCACTGTAAATAATTGGGATATATTAAAGAGAGTAATGAGATTTGGCTGTGAGCTTTATTAGTTTTACCATTTTGTTTTGTCATGTGTTGCATTTCCTTTAGTTAATATTTTATTTCATGTTGAAGGAAAAAATGAATTATCCTGTTTACTGAAGAAAATAATTTATTATTTCAGGTTGCCGAGGAGCCCAAGTAGAAGAAATATGGAGTTTAGAGCCTGAGAATTTTGAAAAATTAAAGTAAGTATAATTTTAGTTGTGTTAATATGTATATATATATACTTTAACAAACTTAAAGGATATTCAGATTTGTTTGTTTATTTTACTTGGATTACTCTAGGTTGAATACGTTATGTCCTTTAAGTCTCTTCAATCCTGTGAGATAGATATTATTATTATTTTTTTATAACTAAGAACCTGAGGCTGATAGGTAACTTGCAAGGGAGTCAAACCTAAGGCTCTGTAATTCCATATCCACAAAGTACTGGTTAGTTGATTTTTTTTTTTTTTTTTTTTTACAAAATTCACTTATATATCAATAGTGTTAGAACATGGAACACATTTTAACATAAAAAGCAAGAACAATAGCTCAGTGTACTAAAGCATATTTGATAGATAATATATATTTATAGTAATCCAGAACTTGCCTACACACTATCACATTACCTCTGGGAAAGTTATATTTAAAGTTCCAAATGTTGATGCCAGAAACAACTTTTCTCCTTCCCCCATCTTTCTGACCAGAATCACCTCTTTTAACTTCTCCTTACCCCTGACTACCATGCCCTCAAACATTGACCCTGTATCTTCAAATGGAGGGCTAGAGGAATTTTCACTGGTGGGAGTCTTGGAGTCTGGAATGGGGTCAGGGAATCTTTTAAAAGGGAAAATAGGGACTTAGGAATATGCTAACTGTTGTTAATAGTAAGAAGGTGATAGGTAGTTTGCTTCTTCCTACCTTTCTCTTCCCTGTAAAAAGAGCAATCACTTTAGATGAAATGAGATCATTTGTGGCTAAGATCAGGGAAGGTTAATTAAAAATGGATCATTTGAACTGTCTTTAAAAAATGGGAGCCAGGCATGGTGGCATATGCCTGTAGTTGTAGCTACTCAGGAGGCTGAGGCGAGAAGATCGCTTGAGCCCAGGAGTTCAAGTCTAGCCCAGGCAACATAGTGAGACCCCATGTCTAAAATAAAATTGAATCAAATAAAAAGATAGGAAACCTTTTTTTTTTTTTCTTTTTCTTTTTGAAACAGTCTCACTCTGTCATCTAGGTTGCAGTGCAGTGGTGCGATTTCGGCTCACTGCAGTCTCTGCCTCCCGGGTACAAGTGATTTTTCTGCCTCAGCCTCCCAGGTAGCCGGGATTACAGGCACGCTTCACCATGCCTGGCTAATTTTTTTGTTTTGTTTTTGTTTTTTTAGTAGAGATGTGGTTTCACTATGTTGTCCAGGCTGGTCTCGAACTCCTGGCCTCAAGTAATCTACCTACCTTAGCCTCCCAAAGTGCTGGAATTACAGGCTTGAGACACCATGCCCAGCCCTGAGGATAGGAAAAGTTTTTTGTGGGGTGGGAGGCAGTTGTGATAGATAGACTAGAAGGAATTTCAAAGTAGTGATTTAATGTTTTGTGCTCAAAAACAGTTCCTTTAGGAAAGTGGATGATTTCATTATGTATGAGATGGTAGCATCAATTCATACTGCAATATGAGGATTTTTCATGAATCCAATAATATATGAAGGTTACTTCCTATATTTAATATAGATAATATATGCTATCAACCGTTTATCTATAAACATGTTACATGAACTTTATATATTTTGGAGTTCAGCCAGCTTCTGGTTTTACTATATTCTTATTTTTTAAGTGAGGTAATATCAGGTAGAAATGAATAGTCTACAGATTTGAGAATAAACCTTTCACTACAATTTTATTTTAACTGATATAATTTTAAGTTGTATTAGCATCTTCTAAGGCAACAGTCTAGTAACTATGAATGGCAATAGTGATCTTTTAAAAATTTCCCATATTTACTTCATTTGTATTATATTTGTTAGATAACTGACTAAAATTTTATAGATTAACAATGTATTATGAAAGAAGCAGGGTTTGATGTCATTAATTTGTATTTTATTTTGTAGGCCAGTTCATGGGTTAATTTTTCTTTTCAAGTGGCAGCCAGGAGAAGAACCAGCAGGCTCTGTGGTTCAGGACTCCCGACTTGACACGATATTTTTTGCTAAGCAGGTATGGTCCTTGGATACTCTGAAAAGTCTCAAGAGCAACCCTTTTTATAAACAAGACTCTAGTTTACTACTGTTTGCTACTAGTGTAGTAGTCCTCAAACTCTTACACTCTTAAAAATTATTGACATCTCCAATTACAGTCTTAAAAATTATTGACATCTCAAAAGAGCTTTTGTTTCTGGGATTATCTATCAATGTTTGCCATATTAGACATTAAAACTGAAACATTTTAATAATATTTACGCCAGGCATGGTGGCTTATAACTGTAATCCCAGCACTTTGGGAGGCCGAGGCAGGAGGATCCCTTGAGCCCAGGAATTTGTTTTTTCTTTTTCTGAGATAGAGTCTTGCTCTGTCGCCCAGGCCAGAGTGCAATGGTGCGAGGCTCATTGCAACCTCCACCTCCCAGGTTCAAGCCGTTCTCCTGCCTCAGCCTCCCAAGAAGCTAGGATTACAGGCACATACCACCACACCAGGCTATTTTTGTATTTTTAGTAGAGATGGGGTTTCACCATGTTGGCCAGGCTGGTCTCAAACTCCTGACCTCTCAGGTGATACACCCGCCTTGGCCTCCCAAAGTGCTGGGATTACAGGCGTGAGTCACTGTGCCTGGCTGAGCCCAGGAATTTGACACCAGCCTGGGAAACCTGAAGAGACCCGTCTCTATAAAACAAAAACAAAAAAATAAATTAGCTGGGCGTGGTGGTGGCGTGCCTGTGGTCCCAGCTACTTGGGAGGCTGAGGTGGGAACACTGCATGAGCCCAGGATATGGAGGCTGAGTGAGATATGTTCATACCACTACACTCCAGCCTGGGCAACAGAGCTTGACCCTGTCTCAAAAAAATAAGAAAAAAAGAATTATGAATAGATTTGAAAGTAACAACAATAAACTTGTTACATGTTAACATCGATAACATTTTTTAATGAAAAATAACTATAGTTACCAAAAAATTAGCTAGAAGATTGCATTGTTTTACATTTTTGCAAATCTTTTAAATGTCTGCCTTAATAGCACAGCTGGATCCTATCTGCTTCTTCATTCAGTCTGTTGCAATGTTTTCGTTTTGTTTTGCTTTTGGTTGAAATCAATAAAAAAAGTTCTGTCTCACACAGATGTGTAGTTGGAAAAAGAGAAATATTATCTTTTTCAGGTAAATATATTCTTTGACAGTATGTCAACGCTTTAAAAGTATTGCTTTCTCAAAGGTTAGTTGTAATGTAAAATTTGTACTTTGTTATGGTAAAATCCTTTGGATTATGTTGCCCTTCAAATGGATCTTTTATTCCTGTATGATTTTGTAACATTGTACATTTACCGTTTTATGAATGTCTTCTAAGTGTTGACACATTAGATATGATATTGTTGAGAAGTTAAATTACCCATAGCAAACCTTTTAAGCTCACAGTGGGAGATCTAAGTTTTACAAACTTCTAATTTTTAAATTTTCACTTGAAAATTCAAATTTTATCAACAACAACAAATATTATTAGGTGTTTGTTCACAAAGCCACAGACTGATTTAACTCATTTTTAAGAAAATATGTGCCAGATATCCTTGTCTGGAAAACCACATTTGTCTCTCGTTTGTTCTTTCAAGCAAAAATGATGTTCCAAGGGAAAAAGCTAACAATTTAGCTTACAAATCAATTGCTGAAGTACTTTCTTCAAGATAACTAGCATATCTTGGTATACAGCAGTAGTTCTTTATTTGTACTTCCTATTTCATTCCACAGAATATTAAAGACTTGAGACTTGTACTCCAAGGTCAAAATTTGATAAAAATAAGTTTTACTGCTTTATCAAAGACTTTTTTTTAGTAAAACTTGCTTTTGTTTTCTTTTTTTAAAACTCTTATGTATGTCAGTGAAATAGTTTAATGTCATTGCCTAGATTCATGCTAAAATACCACCAGTTTTACACACTGTTGCTTTTGTGCCAACAGTGCAGATGGAAAAGAAGAGGAAAAGGCAAAAACTGTCTTAGAATTACAATGGAAACCATTTTGAGCTCACAAACTCCTTGAAAAGGGTCTTAGGGATTCTTAGAGAGCCATAGATAATACTTTGATTGCATTTGTTTGAAAATTGCACTTATTTCTGAGACCCAAAAACTTGCTTAGAATAGTCTGATTAACCTTTAGAAAGGTGGAAAATAAAACTGCTTATTCTCATTACTGCCCTTGAGATAAAGCTTTTGCTACTAAGTAACTTGTTTTCTTTTTTCTTTTATTTTATTGCTGCTTTCCATTTTCCTCTGACTTTTTTGAATTGAGTATTCTTAGAGAAATTAGAACTTCTTGCTTTTACTTTAAGGAAAATAGGGTTTTTTATAGTGTAGTTAAAAATGTATCATTTGTTTTTTTTCTGATAGCAGAACTTAACATTACAGCAATATAAATATAGTGATGAACATGAATATCCTTGTAATCCCACACCCATCTCTACTAACCTTTTAACAGTTTGACTCATCCATTTAATCAACAAGTAATCATTGAGCACCTACTTTGCTAGGCATTGTTTTAGATACTACATATATAATGGTTAACAAGAGAGGCATCCTCAACAACTATAATAATAATAATAGTAATAATACAAACAGTAGGCAACATTTACCTCTCTTGTTGTGTGCCAGATATTGTAATTTGGGTATATTATTTAATATTTGCAACAAGCCCATGAGGTTGTTGTCTTCATTTCACAAATGAAGAAATTGAGGCCTAGAAAAATTATTTGCCTGAGATCACAGAGATAATATGTAGTACATCCAGAACTCCAAGTATAAAACCCAGGTTTGTGACTCCATATGTCATACTTCCTCCCACATTTTCTGTTCATATGCTAACATGTTTTCCTTATAATTTTGTTTGCTAAAATTGGATTATTATGCAAAATATTTTGTTTTTTTTTACTTAGTAATGAAAGTTTGACTTTGTTTCATTTCACAACACATAATAAATATTAGTTAACATTTATTGAAAGCTTACTAAGTACTTTTATATATTTAAAATGATTATATTTTAAATTTAAATATACAAAAATTATAAATTTATATATAAATTTAATTATTTATATATTCTATAAATATATAAATTATTATATTTAAATATATTTAATATTTAAAATTATTAATCTGATCCCTTACAACAATTATCTGGTTTTGCAGGCTTCTCATCATTTTACAGATGTGGAAACCGAGTCCTAGAGAAGATAAGAAACTTGATCATGTTATGTAGCTAGTCAGTGGCAGAGCTAGGGTGCAAACCCAGGCACTGTGGCTCTGAAGTCTGTACTATTAACCTGATCACAACACTGCCTCCTTTAGTGTTCTTGGTATAAATATCCTGTAATTTAATTAATTAATCTTTTAGTAGTCAACATTTTGAGTTTCTAATTATTTCCCTAGTCTAAATAATCTGGTCGGGCATGGTGGCTCATGTTTGTAATCCTATCATTTTGGAAGGCTGAGGTGGGAGGATCACTTGAGCCCAGGAGTTTGAGACCAGCCTGGGCGATATAGGGCGACCCTGTCTCTAAAAAAAATAAAAAGTTAGCCAGACTTGGTAGCACACGCCTGTAGTCTTAGCTATTCTGGAGGCTGAGGTGGGAGGATTGCCTGAGCCCAGGAGGTTGAGGCTGCAGTAAGCTATGGTCATGCCACTGTACTCCAGCCTGGTCAGCAGAGCAAGACCTGTCTCAAAAACAAAACAAAAAATCCAAATAGTCCATTTGTATAATATTTTTGTGCTTATATATCATTATACATATAGTAACTATAATTTTAAATCCACAGTTGTTTGTAAATTTTAAGATCTACGTAGTAGAGAAAAGCTAGGGGACAGATGAGTTTAAAAGTCTGTGAGGTGATTTTTCTCCTTTTTAAAAATGTTTTTATTTTTTCAATGTATATAAGCATATATGCCATTATAAAAATTTAAACATTATAAAGTGGATGCTGTAGAAAATAAAAGTGTCTTGTAATCTCTGCTTTAGACATAACCACTGAAAACAATTTATATTTTTACAGATTTTTTTCCCATGTATGTTTGTGTATATTTGTGTTAGGTTATTCTTGCATTGCTATAAAGAAATACCTGAGACTGGGTAATTTATAAAGAAAAGGTTTAATTGACCTACAGTTCTGCAGGCTTTATAGGAAGCCTGGTGCTGGCATCTGCTCGGCTTCTTGGGAGGCCTCAGGAAGCTTTTACTCATGGTGGTAGGCAAAGTAGGAACAGACATCTCACATGGCTGAGCTGGAGCAAGAGAGAAAGAGAGAGTGGGGCACACATTTTTAAATGATCAGATTTTGAGCAACAGCTCACTTAACACCAAGGGGATGGCCTAAGCCATTCATAAGGGATCCACCCCCATGATCCAAACACCTCCCACCAGGCCCCACCTTCAGCATTGGGGATTACATTTCAACATGAGGTTTGGGCAGGGACAAATTTAGAGACTGTATCAGTAAATTAATTAATTGTGTTTCTTCCACACTAAACTGTAAACCTGGGAGTTAGGGATTTTGTTTTTATATTCAGTCCTTGGTACGTGGTAGGTATCCAATAAATGCAGACCGAACCGTTCATCTCTAAGAATATTACTATTAAACAGTGCTAGAATTTACTAACACTAAGATACTAATGATGTCTGATTTATAGAGACCTAGCTACTTTTAAGGTATAAGAAAGTACTCTATAAAGAAAGAAAAAAATGATAGTAGAGTATGAATTTATAATTTCTGGAGTCCCTTGATATTTTTTAGTTCTGTGTTACATTTGTATTATTCCAGTTGTGTTTATGAAAGTCTCAGATTAGTGATTCCCCATATCATTGTTTTGGTACTTTATTTTGCTAACGTTCATATTAAACTGACAGGTCAATAATTCCCCATTAATATCTGTCAGTCTTTTTAGTATATGCCTCCTATAAGCCTATGCTAGGAGAGTTATAATATATATTACATCAATATGTAATAGTTGATTTTAGGTTTCAAGGGCTTACAGTAATAATTTCCAATCCAGGATGTCTGGAGTATTTTCAGAAATTTGAAAAAATTTAATGAAATCATATTTATTTGATAAGGTTATACAGATTAACTAAATGGCATTTATAATGGGATTACCTCAATATAGAGAGGTAACACTGGCTATTTTGTGCTGATCATATACTCTAATTCAAGGGGGTTGCGTGTGTGTGTGTGTCTGTGTATCATTGGTTAATAAAATATTGAGGAAAGAAATATATCCTAGTAATTGCAATTTGTATATAAGGATCCAGAAATGAAATTTTGATAACTGTTCTCCCTCTGCAAAATATTGTAGTCTTGTTATTTCACTGATGAGAGAGCTGAGGTGTGATTTACTTGCTTAAAATCATGCTGCAGTGGTACTGGATTTGTGTGACTCCATGTGTTCAGTCTTTCAGGAAAGAATGACTGAATACCTACAATGTGCCAGATACTGTGGTGCTTGGAGAATGAAAAAGTGCCATGATTCCTGCCCTCAAATATGCTTAGAGTTTCGTGGAAGCAATTGATATTAATCAATTAAATGTTAAATTACAATGATGATAAGTGCTGAATGGAGTGAAATGAGGACTATATTACGAAGTTTAGGAACTGTCCACAAAACTACCCTCACTTTGAACACCAACTGTAGAGTTCGACCAAGACCACCTTCACCTCTGACAGCATTGCAGGTTTGTGGTGGGGGGATCCCCAGATCATCCTCAGGTTCTATAATTGGTTAGAAGACTCATAGACGTTACTGAAAGCTGCTATACTCATGATTATGGCTTATTACAACAGAGGAATATAGATTAAAATTAGCCAAGGGAAGAGCCACATGGGGTAGAGTTCAGGAAAGTTCCATGTGCAGAGCTTCCAGTTGTCTTCTCCCAGTAGTGTCACAGACAGTGCTCACTATTCTGGCAATGCTATGTGACAATATGCAGAGTATTGCCATCCAAGGAACCCCCTCCGATTCTTGGTGTCCAAAGTTTTTAGTGGGCCTTGGTCACATAGACCTGGTTGGCCACCCATGTGGCTGGACCTTAGTCTCCAGCCCCACAGGAGGTTGAGCTGATAATCTTGACCCAATACCCCCACCCTAAGTCACATTATTAGACTATCAGTGTGGCCCAAAGCTCTCAGGTAAACAAAGACTCTTAGGCATTCAAGGACTTAGAACTCATCTCCCAGGAACCAAGGGCAAAGCCCAGACCTCTCTTTGGGCAAGGTTAATTTCTTTACTATAGTCATAAAAGTGGGACTTCACCTTGTCAGAGAGAAAGCCTCTCTGAGTAAGTGACAGTTCAGCTGAAATCTAAAGGTTAAGTAGGTATTAACTAGGGGAGAGAGGTTCAGGATCATTCCAGATTAATTACAGCTTTATAGCAAAAGTGAGTAAGACTAGTAAAAGGTACAGGAAGAAGACCAATGTAGCTGAACTGTGCAGAGCAAAGGGGAGATGTCCTGAGATATGAAGCAGAACAGGAAATATGTTAGCCAGGATATTAGGTACAGTTAGGCATAGGCATAAAAAAAACAATAGTTTATAAGAAATAGGTGGTTTTTTTTTTTTTTTTTTTTTTTTTAATATTCAAGAGCTGTCAAGGCTCCAGGCTCTTTTGTTTTGCTCCTTTGTGTATGTTTTCTATTCCAAAGGTTATTTCATGGTCCAAGATGATTTCTGGGGCTTCAGCCATTCTTTCTCAATTCCGTATTCAGACAGGAGGAAGGGGAAAGCACACTCCTTTCCCTTTTATAGAATTTGCCTGTGTCACATGTATGCTTGTCTCTGGCCAAAACTCAGTCATTTGAGTTAGCAGTAGAGGACACTAAGAAAGTTGTCTTCATTCCAGGTGGTCATGAGCCTAGATAAAATTTATGTACTCTAGCCTACAGATGCAGACAGAGGTCAGATCTTACAGGGTATTTTAGGCTGTGATTGAGACTTTTGTCTTTATCTTTAGAGTAATAGAAAGTTACTGAAGTGTTCTAAGAAGAGTGTCATGAACAGATTTTCATTTAGAAGAGGCCATTTTGGCTCCAGTGTTGGGAATGCATTTGAGAAGTAGTGTAGGACAAGAGTAGATGTAAGTTAGGAGGCTTTTGCAGAAGTCCATGTGATAGTAAACAAAAAACTGGAAGTAAAGACAGATGTGAATAGAATTTAGAGATAAAGTATTACCACCTTTAATGTGTAATAGATTAGATGTGAGGACGGAGGAGGATGACATTATGATGATGGCTGTTTTTCTTTTTTCCTAAAAAGTTGCTCTTAAGGTACCCAGAATGGGATTATAAGAATCCTTGGTTAATAACACATATATATGATTGGTTTATTCATGGTCTCCTTTTATTTATTTGATTATTTTAAGAAACAAAGTAAGTGCCTAAGAACTTACCGCTGAAATAAACTTTATCTATGTTACTTCCTTCTGTCCCACCCATCGTTCAATGTACTTCTCGTCTTCCCTCTCTCCATCCAGTGTAACCCTTATGTTGAATTCTGTTTATCATTTTCTTTTTATGTATTTTTTGTAATCCTGAAAAAGGTGTTTGTAAATAAAATTTTAACTTGATAAAAAGTATCGTGCTCTATATACATTTTGGGAGTGTTTTTTTTTTTCTTTTTTTGGAGACAGGATCTCGCTCTGTCACCCAGGCTGGAGTGCAGTGGCATGATCACAGCTCATTGTAGCCTCAACCTCCTGCCTCAGCCTCCTGAGTAGCTGGGACTACAGATGCACACCACCATACCCTGCTAATTTTTTATATTTTTGGTAGAGACAGAATCTCATTATGTTACTCAGGCTGGTCTCTAACTCCTAGACTCAAATGATTCTCCCATCTTTGCCCTCACAAAGTGCTGGGATTACAGATGTGAACCATTAAGCCTGGCCTACTTTTTTCACTTAATATTATATTGTTAAGATTCATCCATAAGTTTATTATGATAGTTCATTTATTTTGCATGCTATATGATACCAGCTGCACTAACATGCTACAGTTTACTTAATCTTCTGTAGTTTGTTCTTTGGGTTTTCAATTTGAGTTACTGTGAATTGTGTTGCTGTAAACATTTTTTGTACATGTGCAAGTTTCTCCTGGTGTATACCTAGAAGTAGAATGAGTATTTCATCTAATATGTAAATGTGCAACTTTTGAAGGAAATATCCAAACGTTTTCTGAAGTAGCTGTTCAAATTTGCATTTCCACTAGCAATGTGTAGGAGTTGTTACAAAGCCACATATTATAACACGTGGCATTGCTAGGCTTTTAAATTTTTGTCAGCTAATTGGTTCCAAAATGCTACTTCATTTTTGTCTTGGCTTATGTCTCCCTGATCACTAATCATGTTGAAATGCCCTTCATGTGCTTAGTGGCCATATGTATTTCCTCTGTGAAATTCTTGTTTATGTTATTTTTCAATGGGGTTAATTATGCTTTTTTTAAAAAAAATTTATTGATACATAGTAGATGTACATATTTTGGGGATACATGTGATAATTTAATACCTTCACATAATTTATAAAGATCAAATTAGTATAATTGGGATATCAGTCACCTTAAATATTTGTCTTTATGCTAGAAACATTCAAATTATCCTCTTATAGCTATTTTGAAATATATGATAGATTATTGTAAACAATAGGCACCCTACTGATTTGTCAAACACTAGGTCTTCTTTCTTCTGTTAAACTGTATATTTGTACCTATTAATGAAACTCCCTTCATCCTCTTCACCACCCCACCCTTCCCAGCCTCTGGCAACCATCAGTCTACTTTCTATCCTGAAGATTTGCTGTTTTAGCTTTCACATGTGAGTGAGAACATGAGATATTTGTCTTTCTGTGCTTGGCTTATTTCATTTAACATAATGACCTCCATTTCCATATTGCTCCAAATAACAGGATTTCATTCTTTTTTATGGCTGAATAATCTCACATTGTATGTATATACTACATTTTCTTTATCCATTCATCCATTGATGGACACTTAAGTTGATTATATATTTTGGCTATTATTAATAGTGCCATAATAAAAACAAGGAGTGCAGATATCTCTTTGATATATTTATTTCCCTTCTTTCGGATCTGTATACCCAGTAGTGGATTGCTGGATTATACAATAGTTCATTTTTTAGTTTTGCATAACCTCCATACAGTTTTCCATAGTAGCTATACTAATTTACATTTCTACCAATAGTGTTTATGAGGGTTCCCCTTTCTCCACATCCTCACCACTTATCTGTCATTCCCTTTTTGTTAAAAGCCATTTTAACTTGGGTGAGATGATAACATTGCGGTTTTGATTTGCATTGCTCTGATGATTAATGATGTTGAGTATTTTTTTATATACCTGTTGGCCATTTGTATGTCTTTTGAGAAATGTCTATTCAGATCTTCTGTCCATTTTTAAATCTGATTTTTTTTATCTTCTCCTGTTGAGTTGCTTGAGCTTCTTATATATCCTGGTCGTTAATCCTTTATAAGATGGGTAGTTTGCAAATATTTTCTCCCATTCTGTGGGTTGTCGCTTTACTTTGTTGATTGGTTCCTTTGTTATGCAGAAGCTTCTTAGTTTGATGTAATCCTATTCATTTATTTTTGCTTTTGTTGTCTGTGCTTTTTGAGGTCTTACTAAAAAATTTTTGCCCCGACCAGTGTTCTGGAGATTTTCCCCAATGTTTTCTTATAGTAGCTTCATAATTTCAAGTCTTATATTTAAGTCTTTAATCCATTTTGATTTGATTTTTGTGTACGGTGGGACACTGGGATCTAGTTTCTTTTTTCTGCAATGGTTATCCAGTTTTCCCAGAACCATTTATTGGAGGAACTACCCTTTCTCTATTGTATATTCTTGGCACCTTTGTTGAAAATGATTTATCTGTAAATGCATGGAGTTATATCTGGATTCTCTATTCTGTTCCATTGGTCTATGTGTCTGTATTTATGCTAGAATCCTGTTGATTTGGTTATTATAGCTTTGTAGTCTATTTTGAAGTCAGATAATGTGATTCTTCCAGTTTAGTTCTTTTTGCTCAGGATTGCTTTGGCCATCTCGGGTCTTTTGTGTTCCGTATAAATTTTGGGATTGCTTTTTCTGTTTCTATGAAGAATGCCGTTGGTATTTTGATAGGGAGTGCATTGAATCTGTCCATTGCTTTCAGTAGAATTGTCATTTTAACAATATTAATTCTTCCAGTTCATGAGGATGGAATATCCAGTTTTTGGTGAACTCTTCATCAGTGCTTTATACTTGTCCTTGTATAGATCTTGCACTTCTTTGGTAAAATTGATTCTTAGGTATTTTAGATTATTATTTTTTTTTTGAGACATAGTCTCACTAGGTCACCCAGGCTGGAATGTAGTGGCACGATCTTGGCTCATCTCCACCTTGCCTCCCAGGTTCAAGCTATTCTTGTGCCTCAGCCTCCTGAGTAGCTGGGATTACAGGCATGTGCCACCATGCCAGGCTAATTTTTGTATTTTTAGTAGAGATAGGATTTTGCCATGTTGGCCAGGTTGGTCTCAAACTTGAGGCCAGGTTGGCCTCAAGTGATCTGCCCGCCTTGGGCTCCCAAAGTACTGGGATTACAGGCTTGAGCCACTGCACCTGGCCTACTTTATATTCTTTGTAGCTCTTTTAAATAGGATTTTTTTCTTAATTTCTTTTTCAGATTCACTGTTGGCATATATAATAGCAGCTGATTTTTGTATGCTGATTTTATATTCTTCAACTTTTTTGTTTTTGAGACAGGGTCTTGCTCTGTCTGGAGTGAAGTAGCACAATCATAGCTCACTATAACCTTGTGCTCCTGGGCTCAAGCAATCCTCCTGCCTCAGCCTCCCGAGTAGCTAAGACTACAAGTGTGCACTAGCACAGGTGGCTAATTTTTAGAATTTTCTGTAGAGACAGGGTCTCATTATGTTGACCAGCTGGTCTTAAACTCCTGGGCTCAAGCATTCCTCCTGCCTCAGCCTCCCAAAGTGCTGAGATTACAGGTGTGAGCTACTGTGCTTGGTTATATCCTGCAACTTTACTGAACTCGTTTATCAGTTCCAAGAGTTTTTTGGTGGTCTTTAGGTTTTTCTAAGATTATGTCAGCTATGAACAGTGCTAATTTTATTTCTTCCTTTCCAGTTTGGATGCCTTTTATTTCCTTCTCTTGCCTGGTTGCTCTAGGCAGGACTTGCAATATTACGTTGAATAAAATGGTAAAAATGATCATCCTTGTCTTGTTCCTGATCTTAGAGGAAAGACTGTGGTTTTTTTTTTTTTTTTTGAGATGAAGTCTCACTCTGTCGCCCAGGCTGGAGTGCAGTGGCGCGATCTCGGCTCACTGCAAGCTCCGCCTCCCGGTTCACGCCATTCTCCTGCCTCAGCCTCCCGAGTAGCTGGGACTACAGGCGTCCGCCACCATGCCCAGCTAATTTTTTGTATTTTTAGTGGAGACAGGGTTTCACCGTGTTAGCCAGGATGGTCTTGATCTCCTGACCTCGTAATCTGCCCGCCTCGGCCTCCCAAAGTGCTGTGATTACAGGCGTGAGCCACGGTGCCCGGCCTAAGACTTTAACTTTTTTTAAATTCAGTATGATATTAGCTGTGAGTCTGTTTTATGTGGCTGTTATTGTGTTGAGGTATGTACCTTCCATATCCAGTGTATTGAGGGTTTTTGTCATAAAGGCATGTTAAATTTTATCAAATGCTTTTTCAGCATCTGTTGAAATAATTAGGTAGTTTTTTTCTTGGTATCACATTTATTGATTAGCACATATTGAACCATCTTGCATCCCTGGATGACTCTTACTTAATCAAGGTAAATGACCTTTTTTTTTTTTTTTTTTTTAATACTTTAAGTTCTAGGGTACATGTGCACAACGTGCAGGTTTGGTTTGTTACATATGTATACATGTGCCATGTTGGTGTGCTGCACCCATTAGGTAAATAATCTTTTTAATGTGGTATTATTTAATTTGGTTTGTTACTTTTGAATTTGGTTTGTTACTATTTGGTTGAAGATTTTTGCATCTATTATCATCAGTGATACTGGTCTGTAGTTTTTTTGTTGTGTCCTTGCCTGGTTTTGGTATCAGAATAATGCTGATTTTGTAGAATGGGTTGGAAAGCATTCCTTCTTCTTCAATTTTTTTGAAGAGTTTGAGTAAAATTAGCATTCATTCTTCTTTAAATGTTGAGTAGAATTTAGTAATGAAGTTGTCACATCCTGGGCTTTGCTTTACTTTTAATTATGGCTCTGATCTCATTACTTGTTATTAGATTCTTTAGATTTTTTTATTCCTTCCTGGTTCAGTCTTGGTAGGTTGTATGTATCTAGGAATTTGTCCATTTCTAGGTTTTCCAATTTTTTTGTATATAGCTGTTCATAATAGTTTCTAATGATTCTTTGTATTACTGTGATTTCAGATGTTATGTGTCCTTTTTTGTTTCTGATTTTATTTATTTGGATCGTCTTTCTTTTTTCTTAGCCTGGGTAAAGGTTTGTCAATTTTGTTTACCTTTCCTGAAGATTTTTCATTTCCTTGATCTTAATATTGTTTTTTTAAGTCTCGATTTCATTGATTTCTGCTCTGATCTTTATTATTTCTTTCCTTCTAATAATTTTGGGTTTGGTTTGTTCCTGCTTTTCTAGTTCCTTGGGGTATATAATTAGGTGGTTTATTTGGAGTCTTTCTACTTTTTTGATATTTTCGCTATGAATTTCCCTCTTAGTATGCTTTTGCCATATCTCATAGATTTTGGTATGCTGTATTTCCATTTTTATTTGTTTCAATGCATTTTAAATTTTTTTCTTATTTTCTTTATTGGCCTATTCATCATTTAGTAACATGTTGTTTAATCTCTATGTGTTTGTGTAGTTTCCAAGGTTTCTATTATTGATTTCTAGTTTTATTCCATTGTGGTCTGAAGAGAAACTTGGTATGTTATTTTACTATAAATCATATTATTCAGTGATTTATTGAGAACTTGTTTTGTGGACTAACATGGTCTATCCTCGGTGTATGCTGGATATCCATATGCTGATGAAAATAGTGAAAATAATGTGTATTTTGCAGCAGTTGGGTGAAATGTTCTGTAAATGTCAGTTAGGTTTATTTGGTTTAGTCTGTAGTTAACCTCTGATGTTTCTTTGTTGGTTTTCTGTTTGCATGATCTGTCAGAGAGAGTAGATAGTAGTATTTGCTTTAGATCTATAAACACTTGCTTTATATTTATACACTTGGGAACTCAGGTGTTAGGCGTATACATATTTATAATTGTTATATTCTCTTGCTAGATTGACCCCTTTATCATTATGTAGTGACCTTCTCTGTCTGTTTTTATAGTCTTTGCTTTGTAGTCTATTTTATCTGATATAAGGATAGTACTCCTGTTCTTTTTTTTTTTTTTTTTTTTTTTTTGGTTTCCAGTTGCACAGAATATCTTCTTCCACCCTTTCCCTTTTGGTCTATATATCTTTATAGATGCGGTGGGTTATTTGTACCCACCATATTATGGGGTTTTATATCTTTATGAACTCAGAGACTCTATGCCTTTTAATTGAAGAATTGAGCCTATTTACATTCAGTGTTATTATTGATAAGTGAGGACTTATTACTCCCATTTTGTTGCTTGTTTTCTGGTTGTTTTGTAATTGGTCTCTTCCATTCTTACAGTCTTCCTTTGTTGTTAAGAAATTTTCTCAGGTTGTATGTTTTAATTTGTTGTTTTTTATTTTTAGTGAATCTATTACAGGTTTTTGCATTGCGGTTACCATGAAGCTTACAAAACATATACATATGACATGTTATTATAAAGAGGTAACAACTTAGATTATAAAGAAAAGAATAGAAGCAAAGAAAAAAACTCTACACTTTAACTTTTTACCCCTTATATTTTGACTTTGTGTTTTGTCAATATACGTATTTCTTATATTGTCTGTTTCAACAGGTTGCTATTGGTATTGCTGTTTGGGGTAGATTTGTCTTTTGGGCTTTATATCAGAGTTATGAGCAGACTGCATACCATAGTGACAATATTATTCTGGGTTTCTTTGTGTATTTACTTTTACCAGTGGATTTTAGACCTTAAAATGTTTTGGTTTTGCGCATTAGTGTTTTTTTCTGTTCAGATTGAAGAAGTGCCCTTAGCATTTCTCATAAAACAAGTCTCGTTGTGGCCACTTCTCTCAGCTTTTGTATGGGAAAGACTTTACTTCTCATTCATATTTGACGGATAGCTTTGCTGGAGAGAGTATTCTTGGATGGTGTTTTTTTTTTCTTCTTTTAGAATTTGAAAATTTCATCCCACTCCCTCCTGGCCTGTATGGTTTCTGTTGAGAACCCCGTTGCTAGATGAATTGAAGCACCTTTAGATATTGTTTGCTTGTTTTCCCTTACTGCCTTTAGGATCCTCTCTTTGTCTTTAACCTTTGAGAGTTTGATTATTATATGACTTGGAGTAGTTTTCTTTGGGTAGTTTTATTTTTTAGGTTGTTGCCTTTGGCATAAAGACAGGCAGTTCACTTTCATCTATTAATATTATATTTAGCCATCCTGCTAAACTTTTCTATTATCACTAATAATTTGTTTTTTTTTCTTGAGTGGGTGTGTTTTTATCAAAATGACCATATCAGGTATAAATAATGATAGTTTTATTTCCTCCTTTATAATCCTTTTGACTCTAATTTATTTTTCTTGTCTTAGTTCCTAGCTAAGACCCTCCAATAAAACCACTTGCAACTTAAAAGAGAATGCCTCTTACCATTTCTCCATTTAGGATGATGTTTACTCCAGCTTTTTTATTTTTAATGTTCTGTTATTAATTAGTGTGTTTATTATGAAAGTATATTAAATTTTTTCAAATCCTTTTTCTGCCTCTATTGAGATGATCTTCTGTATTTTCTTCCTTTTGCTAGGTTAATGCAGTTAATTATGTTCGGATTTTTCTAATATTAAATCATTCTTCCAAACCTGGGATAAGCCCACTTGGTCAGGGTGTATTCTCTTTTTATGCACTATTGGGTTAAATATAGTAGTATTTTGTTTAGGTTTTTGCATTTAAATTTTTGAATGAAATGTGTCTTAATTTTTCTTCTTCTGTAATGGCTTTGACTCGTTTTAGTATTAAGGTTATTCTGGCTTCATGAAATGAGTTGGAATTTTCTCTTATTTTTAGTGCCTTGAACAATTTGTGTAAAATTAAGGTGATATACTTCTTCAAATTTTTGTAGAATTGACCTGTATATCCATGTAGGCCTGGTATTTTCTTTGCGAGAATATTTTAAAATACTGCTTCATTTCAGTAGTTAAGGGACTATTGTGGCTCTTTATTTTTTCTTGAGTTGGTTCTGGTAAGATGTATTTTTTTAAAAGATTTCTTCATTTCAGCTTAAATTTTCAAAATCATTTCATACGGTTGTTATTAATATTCTTTTATTCTTTTAAATCTTATTTTATTTTTAGTTATATTTCTAATTCCTAGATTTCTCACTTGCATGTTTGTGTGATAGTGGTTTTATGTATTATATTAACCTACCACTCTTTATTATTTCATACTTTTATTAGGGTAGGAACCTGGCTGATCTTATTTCTCCTTTTAGCCGCCTTCAGTCCTTCCTGTAAATTGACTTAAACTGAATCTTTCTGAACCACTGTTTTGATTATTTTATTTCTATATTCAAAATGTCTTACTCTTTGGGTAAACTCCTAATTACTCAAGGCCAGTGACTTAACAAGGTAAAGAATAACCCCACTATGACTATAACCACACTAGTACAAATGACCAATATGCTCATTGTCTCTTGAACAACAAGCACATCAAACATCTTAATTTGTTCTTTTGTTCACACTGTTCTCACTTTTTAAAGTGAATTTCCTTCTCTATTCTCTAGTTCCTACCAAGCTTTCAAACCCCTATTAAAATTTCACATTTGTGAAAAAACTTTCTCTGATACTCCAGTATAAAATGATTTTTTCCTTTACTATTTTGTTTTTCTGGTGTTCATCCCTTTTTTCTGTGTATCTTTCTTTATAGAGTCTTCATGAGCAGGACATTTATACTTTTTTTCAGTATCACTTTCTCTTGGGAAAGCTACTGTTACATTCTCAACCTTTTTCCTTGACTATTAAAAAATTTAAAATTGTATGTATTTATATTGCTATAGCTGTGACTCAATGAAGATTGACAATAATTTTTTTAACTTAATATATATATATATTGTATACTTTAAGATACATGTGCAGAATGTGCAGGTTTGTTACATAGGTATACACGTGCCATGGTCGTTTACTGCACTGATCGACCCATCGTCTCCATTAGGTATTTCTCCTAATGCTATCCCTCCCCTTGCCCGCAACCCCCCGACAAGCCCCGGTGTGTGATGTTCCCCTCCCTGTGCCCATGCGTTCTCATTGTTGAACTCCCGCTTACGAGTGAGAACATGTGGTGTTTGGTTTTCTGTTCCTGTGTTAGTTTGCTGAGAATGATGGTTTCCAGTTTCATCCATGTCCTTGCAAAGGACATGAACTCATCCTTTTTTATGGCCACATAGTATTCCATGGTGTATATGTGCCACATTTCCTTTTTCCAGTCTATCATTGACGAGCATTTGGGTTGGTTCCAAGTCTTTGCTATTGTGAACAATACTGCAATAAACATACATGTGCATGTTTCTTTATAGTAGAATGATTTAAAATCCTTTGGGTATATACCCAGTAATGGGATTGCTGGGTCAAATGGTATTTCTGGTTCTAGATCCTTGAGGAATTGCCACACTGTCTTCCACAATGGTTGAACAAATTTACACTCCCACCAACAATGTAAAAGCTTTCCTGTTTCTCCACATCCTCTCCAGCATCTGTTGTTTCCTGACTTTTTAATGATCGCCATTCTAACTGGCGTGAGATGGTATCTTGTTGTGGTTTTGATTTGCATTTCACTAATGACCAGTGATGATGAGCTTTCTTTCATATGTTTGTTGGCCACATAAATGTCTTCTTTTGAAAAGTGTCTGTTCATATCCTTTGCCCACTTTCTGATGGGGTTGTTTATTTTTTTCTTCTGCATTTGTTTAAGTTCCTTGTATATTCTGTGTATTAGCCTTTGTCAGATGGATAGATTGCAAACATTTTCTTCCATTCTGTAGGTTGCCCGTTCACTCTGATGATAGTTTCTTTTGCTGTGCAGAAGCTCTTCAGTTTAACTGGATCCCATTTGTCAATTTTGGTTTTTGTTGCAATTGCTTTTGGTGTTTTAGTCATGAAGTCTTTGCCCATACCTATGTCCTGAATGGTATTGCCTAGGTTTTCTTCTAGAGTTTTTATAGTTTTAGGTCTTACGTTTAAATTTTTAATCCATCTTGAGTTAATTTTTATATATGGTGTAAGGAAGGGGTCCAGCTTCAGTTTTCTGCATATGGCTAGCCAGTTTTCCCAATACCATTTATTAAATAGGGAATCCTTTCCCCATTGCTTGTTTTTTGATTGACTATAATTTATATAGGCAGTACTTTAAGCTATTTTTATATTATTCCTCTGGACATCTACTCTTCTTTTGTATAAGCTTTGAAAAGAAATTCTCTAGTCTGGGGATTACAAAATCAAATGCCTTCAGTATCAGGTTGTCATCATGAATGTGTGAATTGGATTGTGTGTAAGAAGTAGAGAGTAGAAGTGCCCTGATAAACTAAAGACTATATACCCTGGCGTAGGAATTCAAACCAAACTCTTAAGGTTCTGGGTCAGTCCTACTTGAGACCCTCTGCTCTAGCCTCATTTCTATTATTGAACTCTACTGCTTTATTTTAAATTATCTTAAAAGCCAGAGTTAAAGTAGAACACTTAGGTAAGCTAAAGATTTTTAAAGTTGAGAACTACCTAAATAATTCATACTGCAATAGATTTTTTGTGACGTGAGTTACAGTTCTTTCAAATAGAACTTTGACTATATATAAGATTATTTTTATGTGAGATTTAGGAGGACAAGGACCACATCTTTCTTATTCACTGTTCAGCCTTTATTACAATGTCTGGCACGTAGTAGGTGCTCAGTAAGTATTATTTGAATGAATGAATGAATGGCTGTACACCTTTAAATTTTCTTTTGTTTTTTGTTAATTTTGTACTATGTATAGCATAACCACTTGGTGGCACTAAACTCATTTTAAAACTTGAAGACAATATTCTCATACCCATGTACATTGTAACTTTTCTTCTCACAGACACATACAAAATGAGTTCTAATATATCATGGACAGTGTAAATTATTATTGACATCAAAAAAGAAAGTAACCACAAGAATTTTTTCTACTTCTTAAAATCCTAAAATAATGGATTACAAATTTGAAGTCCTTAGATTATAGAAATGTTTGATAATCTTTTCTGCCGTAGCCTCACTGCCTAGTTTAGCATTGGGTATATATTAAATCTTTAAGGTGTCTTGATTTTGAAAGAATGTGTTAATAAGTATAAATTTTAACTTCTCCTAACTTTACTCCTCCCACTGTGCTATCCTCAGATAATTTCACCTTAGGTAATTTAGACCTAAGATAAGGGAGTACTAAGTGTTACAGTGTTTTAGTCAACCACATTTATAAAGTCCTCTTTAATCATTAAAGTTTGCATCCAAATTTACTAAAGAACTGTGATTCGGATCAAAATACATATTCGTATAAGTCAGCAGCAATGCTAATTGGATTCTGGATCTATCACTACTTTTTCCTAATTCATCAATTTTAAGACAGTTTTGAATACAAAATGCTTAAAGAGAAGAATTGTAGAAGCATGGTGATGTTATAGTTATTGAGAATTAGGAGTACGAGACTATTCTGTAATGGAGAGTGCAGTCTTATTAAGGAATTTCTCAAATATACTTCAGTCAACAGTTCAGGAACTGGTAGATATTCATAAGATCTTAAAAACCTCTACCAACATGAGAAATAGAGAACTATAAGAATTAAAGAAGGAAAATAATTGAATTTTTTTCTTCTGAAATCAGGCAGGATAAAAATAGATAATTTACTAAAATGTAAAATCATAAGCTAATTAGCATTATTGGAAAGACTAATTACAATATAGTAACATAATACTGTAGTAGGACTAAGCTGTAATTTAAAAAATTATTCAGCTCTGTGATTAACCTTGCTGGTGTTCACACTGATCATCTAAGGTTCTTTCCAGCTTCATGATCTCAATACCATAGGTGCTTAGGCAGTGTGGAAGAAACTGCTGTTCATAAAGTGGTTTATAATCTTGTTGGAGAGACCACGTGTATGTACAGAGATAGCCTAGCATGATGGCTATGTACACAAATTCTAGAACAAGATCAGCTGTGTGCCCTTGGGCACTTACCTCTTTGTGCCTCAGCTTCTACAAATTTAAAATGAAGATGATAATAGTAATCCTTCTGCATAAGTTGTTGAGAGGATTAAAAGAAATAATGCATGTAGAGTGCCTAGAAAAGTAACTGGCACATAGTAAATGCTATCTAAATGTTTTTTCCTTTGGCTAGAATGTAAGGTCCAGATAATTTGTTAAATGATTATAGCTAGATGATAGCAATGTAAAGACTGTAGATGATTGAGTGAAAAAAAATATGTGGACATTGTATACCCTGTTTGGGAATTTAAATGAGGGTGGAAACTAATGTGAGTTGGGTTCAGAATTTCTCTACAATCACACAGGTGAATTGAAGCTTATGCTCGGTTATAAAATACTAATTGAATTTGAATAGGTAGAAATGAGTCTAGGAGGAAATGAATAGGAGAGGGGGACAAGCTCTGTTGGCTTAATCAGCTATGTTTTCCATCAGGATGATTGATCTTGTTACCCTAACTGGATTGGTTTTTGGTAATATTATGAGTTCATTGAGTTCATTTGGTTTCCTAGAATTTTCAACTCCAGAAGTGCAGCAAATTTCTGAAAATAGATTAGGATAGAAATTAAACATATTTATTCTGTTTATGCTGAGACTTCATAAAATATAATTTGAAAACTGTTCATGTTTTGGGGCCATTGTCACCAGTTAAAAACCATTTTTTATTTTTTTAAACACATTGATATCTTCACTTTTATATTTTATAGGTAATTAATAATGCTTGTGCTACTCAAGCCATAGTGAGTGTGTTACTGAACTGTACCCACCAGGATGTCCATTTAGGCGAGACATTATCAGAGTTTAAAGAATTTTCACAAAGTTTTGATGCAGCTGTGAGTACAATCTTCTTATTCCTAAAATGTCATATTTGTGAAAGTTTGTATATTAATAGGCTACTTTAAAAAATTATTTTAGATGAAAGGCTTGGCACTGAGCAATTCAGATGTGATTCGACAAGTACACAACAGTTTCGCCAGGTAAAGAGACTTTATGTTAAATAAATACTGTTTCTTTCTTTGCTTCTTTGAGTTTCACTATTTTTTTATTTACTGTAGACAGCAAATGTTTGAATTTGATACGAAGACATCAGCAAAAGAAGAAGATGCTTTTCACTTTGTCAGTTATGTTCCTGTTAATGGGAGACTGTATGAATTAGATGGATTAAGAGAAGGACCGATTGATTTAGGTAATGCAGTTCCTGTTCCTGATATTTCACTTTTGACAGGGGAAAATCTGTTGGGTATTTACCCTCATTCAGTGCTGCTTAAATTTTCAAGGTAAAAGTGACTATGAGGTAACATAATATAATGAAGGCCTTAAGCTCTTCAGTGTGTTATATTAATATATAGGAAGGACATCTTGACTACCATAGTTCAGTTGATGCCTTTGAGTTTTTCCCAAGTAAAATTATTTTTTAACCTATAGGTTACATAATTTATATTTTATTTTCCATTTAACATTTAAAAACTACCCTTAGTGAACGTAAATAGTTACTCTTGTCATTTTTAACCCATTCGTAAGGGATAGCAAGCATTTCTTAACATCCGTATTAAAGTATTTTCATTTGGAATTGGATAATTTATTGTTTTGCAATCAAGAAAATATTTTTCTTAAAATTTCTCTATTTAAATAGTGCGTTAATGTGTTATCCTTTCTGCAAAAACATAGATTGTTCTGATCCTACCCCGTCTCTAATGCTGAGCAAAAAATGATAAACACTTATCAAAGTTGAAGGTACAATCTGTGGCTCTGAAAGATTACTGAAATAATAGGTTCACAAAATAATTTTAACTCCTTATTTTGACTTCATTAAATTTTCTTTTTCTTTTTTTAATAATAGGTTTGAAGTCCAACACAACTTGTTTTAGTTGAATCTAATGTTATAGGCTATTCATAAAACTTTATACTTTTAGATTTTAAAAAAATTAACATGGGTGCATTTTGTTTGTACTTTTTGCCATGCCCCATGCGTAGAACCAATAGTTTATCCAATGCAGATTTACATGCTGCCTCTATATTTAAAAATATTTATTTTTCTATGTGTGTTATAAAAATTTATTTATGGAATTGAAACAACATAATTATACTAAAAAGAGTTTTACTGCTCTAAATTTATTAAAATATTTGTAAAAAAATATTTTGGGCCAAACTTTTGCATTTTAAAGTTGATTGTTCTTATTTTTATTTGTGTTAACTGTTTTAAAATTTCTTTCTAGGTGCATGCAATCAAGATGATTGGATCAGTGCAGTAAGGCCTGTCATAGAAAAAAGGATACAAAAGTAAATGCTCAGCTAATCTCATTGGCATAATATTCTGTTTTTTAAGTATTTTTTAAACTTGTATTTTATTGTTATTTTAGCAGTGTGCATTGAACATCTACTTTTTTTTTTCTTTTTAATTTTTCGTAGAGACGGGTTTTCACCATGTTGCCCAGGCTGGTCTCAGACTCCTGAGCTCAAGCCATCCGCCTGCCTCGACCTCCCAAAGTGGTAGGATTACAGGCGTGAGCCACTGTGCCCAGCCAAACATCTACTTTTGATTGGGTTAATGCATTTAAGAAGTCTATTTCAGAAAATCTCTAAATTTCATGTAGTAGTATGTCATCTTGTCTTTAGAGAAGTTAAACATGCAGATTTCCATTAAGTTAGATAATTTTTTATTTTCTTTTTTTTATTTTTTGAGACAGAGTCTCACTGGGTCGCCCAGGCTGGAGTGCAGTGGCACAATCTCGGCTCACTGCAACCTCTGCCTCCCGAGTTCAAGCGATTCTCGTGTCTCAGCTTCCCGAGTAGCTGGGATTATGGGCACATGCCACCACACCCGGCTAATTTTTGTATTTTCAGTAGAGGTGGGGTTTCACCATGTTCTCCAGGCTTGTCTCAAACTCCTGACCTCAAGTGATCTGCCCACCTTGGCCTCCCGAAGTGCTGGGATTACAGGCATGAGCCACTGCACCCGGCTAGGTATTTTGTACTGTTGGATAATTGACAGTTATTTTGTAGAGTTTTATTTTTGAGGGTTTATTTTTAATATTAAGCTCTTTATTTTGGGGTAATTGTATATTCAATTTCAGATAATTATATATATATTCAGTTGTAAGAAATAATACAGAGACATCTTGTGTATTTTTTATCTTTCAGTGGCAACATCTTGCAAAACTATAGTGTAATATCACAGCCAGGATACTGGCATTGATGTAGTCAAGATACAGCAAAATTTGCTCTCCACAAAGATCCCTTGTATTGTTCTTTTTAGGCACAACCACTTCTCTCCCTGCTGCCTTTCCCTTTCCTTTACTTCTTAATCCCTAATTCTATAATTTTTGTCATTTAAAGAATGTTATATATGAATTTTACAATATGTAGCCTTTTCGCATTAGCTTTTTCACTCAGTTTATTTCTTGGAGATTCTTCCAAGTTTTTAAGTGTATCAGTAGTTCATTTTTTTATTCATAGATGGTATTCTGTGGTATGGATATACCAGCTTTTTGCCTCTTCATCCATTGAAGGACATCTGGATTGTTTTCTATTTTTTGGCTACTGAGAATAAAGCTACAATAAACGTTTTTGTGCAGATTTTTTGTGACTGCAAGTTTTCATTTCTCTGGGATAAATGCCTATGTGTTGCATTGCTGGGTTGCATGGTAAATGGATATTTTTTTTTTTTTTTAAGAAACTACCAAACTCTTTTCCAGAGTGACTGTACCATTTTATATTTCTACCAGCAATATATGAACGGTCTAGTTCCTCTGCATCCTTTTTAGCATTTGGTGTTACCACCATTTTTAGTTTAACCATTCTAATAGATGTATAGTGATACTTCATTGTGGTTTTAATCTGCATTTCCCTGATGACTAATGATGTTGAAAATCTTTTCGTGCCTTTAGCTCATTTTCTGATTGGATTGTTTTTTGACTCTTGAGTCTGAAGTTCTTTACGTATTTTAGATACTAATCCTTCATCAAACACATTGCCTGCAAATATTCTCTCCCAGTCTGTAGCCCATCCACTTGTACTCCCAAAATGGTCTTTCACAGAGCAAAAGGTCTTAATCCTGATGAAGTACAGTTTATCAATATTTGACACTATGAATTGTGTTTTTGTTTTCAGTCTAAGAATTCTTTGTCTCGGTGTAGATACCAAAATTTTTTTCCTGTGTAATTTTCTTAAAAGTTTATAGTTTAATGTTTTACATGTAAGTCTATGATGTATTTTGAGTTAATTTTTGTATATGGTATGACATTTAGATCACGGGTCATTTTTTTTTTTTTTTTTGCCTATGCATATTCAATTACTCAGGCACCGGTGGTTCAAAAGGCTATCCTTCCTCCACTGAATTCCTCCTGCACCTTTGCAAAAATGGAGCATATTGGTGTGGGTCTATTTCTGGGCTCACTAGTCTGTCCATTGTTCCATTTATCTGTTCCTCTGCCAGTACTACATTGTGTTGATTACTGTAACTCTAAGTCTTGAAATCAGGTAGACCGATGCCTTTCATTGTATTCTTCTCTTCAAAATTGTTTTAACTACTATAGTTCCTCTGCCTTCCCATATAAATTTTAGTATAATCTTCTCTATATCTATAAAAGTAAGACTTTGGATCTTATTTAAAATTTCTGTGTGAGCTGGTTTTTATGGACATGGCTCTGACAGGGTAAATGTAAATTGTGGGTGCCACCTCATTACACCAGGTGGGAGTAGAAGTCCAGCTTCCCTACTAGGCCTTCAGTGACAACTGAAATGGAATAAGGCTCCTTGTTATTGCTGGGCAGAGATGGGTGTTCTAGCCCCCAGCAGAGTTTCTGTTGATACCACTCTGGCTGAGAGGGGTAGGAGTGCCTTGCTATTGCTTTCCACTCATACTGAAGTGGATGAGGCTACTTTGCCACTGGATGGCAGTGACAATTTTGGCTTCCCATTCTGTGTCCTTTGATACCACAAATGGGTGTTGTCATTACCACATGGCAGGGATGAAAGTCCCCATTCCCTACCCAGCCTTTTTAAATACCAACCTAGGAACCTTGTTAAAGGTTGGAAGACAAGACTGGAAGTCCAGCTCTCTATTCTGCTTTTACTGGTTTTGAGTAGGGGTGAGGTCACAGATTTTTCAATCATGTTTGGCTATAGTGGAATGATTATTGTCTAAAAGTTTTCTGTCTTCTGAGGCTGCACCTTTTCTATTTGGCTAGAGAGAGCAGACTTTTGTTGGGGCTTTTTTTTGTCTGTGCCTGTTGGTATTTCTGGGTTGCTGGTTTCTTCAGCTCCAATTCTGGGATATATGAGGCAGAAAAAAACCTCAGGAAATTCACTATTGTATCATTCTTGGTTCCTGAGTTCCCCAGCTTGTCTGCTTTTTTTCTACCTTTCAGAATGTTCTTGCTTGCTCTTTTTAAAAAACATATTATGTCCAGGGTTTTTAGTTGTACTTACTGGCAGGGATAGGGACATGGAAGTCCCACAATCAGTGTTTTAAAGACATTTTTACATAGTTCAAATTACTATAGTTATGTTGGGGCCATTTGTTTTCAGTGAATAGAACTGTGTATGAGAAACTCTTAGAGATAAACTAATGCAAAATGGGCTCATATTTTCTATATATTTTCATCTTAATGCCATTTACATAGTGTTATGAATAATGCTTTTAATGTCAGTTGCTACCAT
Source organism: Homo sapiens (assembly GCF_000001405.40). Lineage (NCBI taxonomy): Eukaryota > Metazoa > Chordata > Mammalia > Primates > Hominidae > Homo > Homo sapiens. The sequence continues at coordinate 193,024,703 of NC_000001.11, read as the reverse complement.
GAACCAGCTTGTTATGAGATGCTTCATTGATATCAGAGTAGTGAAAATCAAACATTCAGAAATTTTACTATACGATATAATTATATATTATATTAATAAAATATGTTATATTTATTTACATATAAGATAAAATTTAAAATATATAAATTAAAAATAGAAAGTTCATCATGACTTGGAAAAAATTATATAATACGGAGCATAGTTAATACCCATCAAGATGCCAGTCTAAATAATTTAAGAAATATGGAGTCTCCATTTGTTTTTTTCTGAGCTCTTAAGTTAATGTGTTGCCATATTTCTTATAAAGGTAGGGAAATTGATGAAAATGTTTTTTATTTCAAATGTTTTATGACATTATTTTAGAATATTTAAAAAACATTTGTGATTGATGGAATTTAGCCAATTTTGTTTTTCTACAGTTGTCTTTCCTATATGAAAGCTTTTTTTTGTTTTTTTTTTTAAGAGACAGGGTCTTGTTCTGTTGCCCAGACTGGAGTATAGTGCACTATCATAGCTCACTGCAGCCTCCAGCTTCTAAACTCAAAGGATCCTCTCCGCTCCTGAGCCTCCCAAGTAGCTGGGAGGCACCTATGTGCCTGACCTGAAAGCTTTTTAAAAGTGTCCATTTTTATTGCTAGCCAATTGATAGACTTTTGTTTATACTAGAAAATCAAGAGGGGAATCACGATGGATTATCTTAACGGTAATAGTTGTACAATTCTTTATTACATTATAAACTTAAATAATTTTCTTCTAGGTACAGTGAAGGTGAAATTCGATTTAATTTAATGGCCATTGTGTCTGACAGAAAAATGATATATGAGCAGAAGATAGCAGAGTTACAAAGACAACTTGCAGAGGTTCGTGGCCATGTTTCTAAGTACAAAGTTCTAGCTTGGTTATTCTCTCAGGAAAAGTATTTACTTTAAATATATATATAATCAAGTGGTCTGAATGGTGGCTAAGCGAATACACACTGGATTCAGGCTGCCTAGATTCGGTTCCTGGCTTTGCACTTAGTGGATATAGGAATCTGAGTATATTTCCTTGTGCCTCAGTTTCTTCATATAGCATAAAAATAATAAATAGTATTTACCTTAGAATATTGTCATGAGGAGTAAATGAAGTATTATGTGTAAATCACTTAATGACTAACAAATGGTAAATGCTAAATAAGTGTTAGGAATGAACTATTTTAACTATTTTCTGTGACTTCATTATATAATTAAGCAAGTTAATTCTCAAAGAGTTAACTGGGTATATTTAGAGTCACATGTAGTCTTTACTAGTCTATGATTACCTTTCTATAGTAAATGTCATTGGAGAAGAGATTAATAGACAAAGTTTATTTTACAATCCTTTGAGCACATTTTCTTAAGAGTATATTTAAGAAAATTTATTTTATAGTGTATTAGGAGAATATGGCAATAGAGTATATTACAGCGTAGGTTGTTTTTAGATGAAAATTCGTATTATTAGAACATAGAAATATGGAAGGTACTATTTTGGGGCTTTTATCCTTTAATGCTGCTGTTAGGCGGGCATGCTGCTATCAATATGAAGAGTAAAAATTTGAAAATAATCATACTGTGTTTATCATTTTAAAATATTCTGAATGTAAGCCTCAATTATTAGGGTGTGCTATTTCTTTTCCTTCCCCCAAGGAGGAACCCATGGATACAGATCAAGGTAATAGTATGTTAAGTGCTATTCAGTCAGAAGTTGCCAAAAATCAGATGCTTATTGAAGAAGAAGTACAGAAATTAAAAAGATACAAGGTATGTTTTTAAAAATGTGTTCCTTTAATGTTTTAATATAGAGCAGTATATTTCAAGATGAAGGTACATTGAATATCTGATGGCTTTCCCTCCTATCATTTACCAGATTTCAAATAATTTGTTGATTCTCTTATCACTACAAAGATAAGTAGTGAGATGTCTTTCATTTTTATTTTTGTAAAATATTATTAGGAATAGAATTTTAACCTATTTGGTGTTTCAGTTCACTGTAGTTATTATTCCTTTTTTTTTTTTTTTTTTGGACAGAGTCTCGCTCTGTCGCCAAGGCTGGAGTGCAGTGGTGCAATCTTGGCTCACTGCAACCTCCACCTTCCAGGTTCAAGCAATTCTCCTGCCTCAGCCTCTCAAGTAGCTGGGATTACAGGTGTGCACCACCATGCCTGGCTAGGCTAATTTTTTGTGTTTTTAGTAGAGACAGGGTTTTGCCATGTTGGCCATGCTGATCTTGAACTCCTGACCTCAAGTGATCTGCCCGTCTCAGCCTCCCAAAGTGCTTGGATGTGGAATGTATATGTCATTTGTCATGTGTTATGGTAGTAAAGGATTATTTTTCATTTGAACCTCAGTGTAAGGCAAGAACTGTCCTTTTTGTTGCTCCCCACAGTGTCAGTAAAGTGTTTTGCATCATACTTAACAGACAACAGATACTTTGCATCATACTTAACAGACAACAGGTGATTGTTAAGTGAAATGAATGGGCCTTAAACTAGTAGGATTTCTTCAGGTGAAAGTGGTAGGGGCAGGCAGGCAGGCTCTAGAGTATTCCAGGCGGGAAAAAGGGAGGGACAAGTTCATGGAGATAGGGAAGGAAAAAATAATAGCTTTCCCAATTATTTTCCATTTCACATGATATTAAAAAAAGTAAATTACCCATCTTTATATATACTTATGTGTTTATTATGTAATTAACTAACTTTTAATATCTGCCCAAAATACAACACAAAGTTTCCATAACTTCCATAAGGTGTCCTGCTTTATTGTTTGGGAATGCTTTGTTTAAAAAAAGATAAAATGATTGTCATACTGCTATAAAACAAACATGTTAAGCTTTAATTTAATTAATTAACTGAAGGAACTCTAGTTAAAGGAGAAGTCAGAGAAGCTCAAATTTATATGAAGTTTAAATGAATTTATAAGAGATGGAAACTTTCTATGGAAGGGCAATCAATTATACTTCTACCAGGCAGAATATATAATAGGTCAGTGGCAGTAAAAGCCTAGAATCACATAACTTGAGAGGATGTTATCTAGACAGTGCATAGTTTTCCACTGAAGTAGAAATTTTTTCCTGCAGTGTACCCCCTTTCGATAAAAAATAATCTGAAGGAAAGATTGTGCTTGATCACAAAATAAAGCTGGTCTCATTAGACTTTGCCTGATTATTTGCACAGGTGAAGTAGCAAATGTTAATTTAGCTTGTAGATGTTTAGTTGTTTTTATAAATGACATTTTCATAAGTAATGTTAGATTGGACTTTTAAAGGCCTCTATTATTTGCTAAGTCAGGGGCAGGAGGCCCTTGCCCAAGAAACTCCCTCCACATGTTTTATTGTGTTAATTTTTATTCTCAGTGGGAATGGAATCTCATTATTTCTAAAATCATTTTCTTATGAGAATGGATATACCATTTCTATTTTGAGTTGGATGCAAAGAATAAAATATCAAAATTAGCAGAAATGTAGTTAGTGTGGATTGATGTTTTATTTTCAGATTGAGAATATCAGAAGGAAGCATAATTATCTGCCTTTCATTATGGAATTGTTAAAGACTTTAGCAGAACACCAGCAGTTAATACCACTAGTAGAAAAGGTAAGTATTTTATTGGTAGATACTTAAATTAAGTTTAGAGTCTCCAAAAACATAAAATGTATTTTTTATTTTTTGCTTGAATAGAGGTAAAATTTTTGGAAGCTTGTACGTTTTTATTCTTTTGCTTTTGCCTCTTGTTTTCTACTCTGTAAGAATTAGTTCAATTGAGACTGTAAAACAAAAATAAAGAATTACCCCACTGCTTTAGGCTTCCAGATTCTTAGTGTCAAGACCTCAGGTTATGCTGTATTAAAATAAAATTTAAAACACTTCCTTTAAGCAAAAGTAGATTTTTAATGCTGATAATTGAAATAATATTTTCCTATTTAGCAAAAATTTGAGTTGATATAACAGAATTTAAAAGTAGAATGGACATTGTTGGGTTTAAAAAAAAAATAGCCTGTACTACGAAATAGGTTTTCTTATTTCTAATTTAGTATCCATTCCACTGAGGGAAAACTAGCATAAGTTAGTGAAGAATTCTGATTTCTATGATTTTTTTCATAAGTAACAATAAAATATTTGTTGAATAAGTAAAATGCAGTTAAATTGTTTTTAAGTTCATACTGTAAATCAGTGTTTCTGAAAGTGAACATCAGTGGATACTCTTTAAAATACATGTTACCTGGCCCCTCCCCAGATATTCTGATATAGGGGAAGGATTCTTTAATAAGTTCCCCAAGTGATTCTAATGCAACTGGTCTGTGTACCACAGTTTGAGAAACACTTTGAGAAGACACTACTAGGCAAATAAAATTTTGGACCATTAACTTAAAGACGAGAATACATGGTAGGTATATTTTCCTTATTAATTTTAAAGTTTACAAAGCAAAGATTGATTTCAACCAAGCTGTTTCATGTTATACATTCTAAATAATATGAGATGTGAGCTAATAAGTTTTTTGTGTATATTACCTTATTGATTGAAACATGTGACCCAACTTTTAGCATTAAATGTAAAAATTATTGCAGAAGACTGCTAAATCTTCTCTTTTCCATTATAGGTTTTTCTGTTCATGCATCTCAGGGTGTATTCTAAGATGGGAAACTGTTTTTAAAGTTTTAGATTAATACAGGGTCCTGTGGTTCTCAAAATTGCTTGGTTAACAAGAATACCTAGATATGATGTTATTAATCATATCAAATGTTTTTCTGTTAAAAATATTAAAATAACTATAAAATGTGCTAAATATGTGATACATCAGATTTTAAGTTAGATAAATGTTACTAGGGACTAGGACCCTTAGATAAATATTAAATGTATAAATTTTGCATTAAAATTGATCTGTGAACAGAATTTTTTGTGTGTGCAAATTAGTAAGTAAAAGAACCACTGTTGTTTGATTTTTAATTACACTATATCCCCAGATTTTTTTGAGAGCATAGTTAGAGAACAACAGCTTGTCAGCTTAACATTAGAATAATTATTCCTTAGTTCACATTTTTTGGACACAAGGTGGCAGCATATAAATACCTGATGTTAGTGGAACACCAACTCTGTTGTGTTTGCCTTCATTTTCTTAAGGAAAGTAGTTATTGACCTTCTAGTTGCTTATTTCTCTAAGCTGTTCTTTTATTAATATTCCAGAAGCAATATTGAGATAGATTTATTTCTTATATACATGCAATAACTATTATTCTCCTAGGTTCTGAAGGAGCTTAGACTCATTTAATTGGAATTGTTGAAATGTTTTAAATTATTCATCAAACATTTATCTAGCTGCGAGGATATTCCAGGCACTCTGTTAAGGTCTAGGGATGTATACATAACTGAGACATATTATTTTCTCTTAAGCAACTCATGGTACAATTTGGGAAAGGAATAAATGAACAATTATGGTATTGTGCTAAATAGTATTATTTTGATAAATGCCAGGATAAAGTCAGGCTAAAGATCCCCAGCAAGCACAGGGTAGCTCCTAAATAGCTTTATAGCCACTTAAAATTTCACATCCATAAAGTTTTAAATATGTGGTGGGAATTAAGTGCTTAATCTGTAGCACTATATCCGTTTCCTTTGCAAGAATATATTTTTGTTCATCTTATTTTGGAAAAAAAAGATACCATATTAAAATATCATTTTCTGCAGATAAATGCAAATTTAAAAAATAAAGCGTGTTGAAAAACTGTTAGAATAAAGATTAGATTTTATAATTATATAAAATCTTTACCAGTGATAGTTAATTACTTAATGGTAATACTTCTAAGAAAAATTACCTATAGAATTCAGAAATAGATAAGTTGGAATAGTGGATCTTACTGTGTTTTGTTTTCAGGGAAAATAGGATAAAAGAACAAGGTGTGAGAAGGAATAGAAGGAAACAAACAGGAAAGATATGGCTGCACCATGCAGTGCTACTATATGCTGAGATTCTACAGGATGAGATTTTTGAATAGCTGAGGCAGTTGCCTATAATCTGTGATGACATAAAAGTATTTGACCTAAAATCTTTTTATTTGCAAAATAATAAATAAAAAGTGATTCTCCCTCGGCATGGCTATAATGAACTTGGTTAGAACCTATAAATGTTTTTGTTATGTGAGACTTTTTAACCGATGAATTCGTTGAATACACACCACATTTAAAAACTGCCTAGGAGGTAATCCAAAAATATATAGTTATAAAACTTCTTGTATTATGTACCAAATCTCTTTCTTAAAATATAAAATAAAATTATCTAGTTTAAGATTACATTTGTGAGACTTCTATTTATTCAGGTATATTTATGATTAACAAATTTTTGTCTACACATTTGTATGTAATTATGAATCATTGTCTATCTTAAATTTTTAACTACCAATAACTTAACGTGATGTAAAATCATAAATTCCATTGCTATGGGGAAATCCAAACAACTTCACAATATTGAATTTTGTCCACATTTTACTATGACTTTGTGATTCAATTGGTAATAAGTAAGCTTCAGATCTTTTTCTATTTCTTAATAGAAATAAGGTAGAAGAATAGTTAAGGCTAATCACAACAATATCTACATTAGTATCTATTAATGCAGAATTATCTGATTTGAGTCAGTACTTTTTAATATCATTGGTACACTGTATAGAAGGAAAGTATTTTTAACAGTATATATTTTTCCATGTTATTTATATGATTTTATTTTTATTTTTTAACAAAAACAGACCAAAATACAGGCTTTGAATTTAAATCTTATATATATGTTACTTATTAGCTGGAGCTTTTAGGCACTATTTACTTTCTTATAACCTCTTTCTCATCTGTAAACTGGGAATCATACCTACTTCACATTCTTGATGATTAAATGAGATCATATCTGTAAAGTGTATAAATTAGTGCTCAATTAATTGTGATAATTATTTTTAATTTTAATAAATGTATAGACACTCTGCCTTATATGTGTTTGCTCATTTAATTATGTTGTAAAGTTTATATCAGAAACCAGTAAATTTATTTCTTGTTAATCCTTCTCAATATTCTATTAAGTATACTCAGATCAATAAGGAAAGAAGCACATACTTTTATTTTAAATTATGCCTAAAACCAAATTATATTTATTATTTGAGGACAGAAAACTTTGTATGAGATGCGATACACATATCAAATTACAAATTATGCTTGTTAACTAAAAACGTTGATGTTGGCAATTAACTTTATTATTTTTAATATGACACACAGACTATTTGCTCTTATTCATTCTAAGGCACAGCACTGTTTTATCATACTGTTAAATAATAATTATACTACCTAATACATTACAAAAAGAGATTGTAATTGTTTTAATTGCTGTATTTTTTATTTAAGGACGTTTTAAAAAAAGTTGTATAATGTAGAAGTCTAATTCATTGACTCTTCTGAAGTGGCACAGTGGAAAAATATTGCATTGTAGTACTCTAAAATCTTGCTTTTAGAAATGTCTTCTGAACACCAGCAGAACTGGCATCATCTGAGAGTTTGTTAGAAATACAGAACCTCAGGCATTTTACTAAATCAGTCTGCATTTTAACAGGGTCTCTAAGTCATTGGTATATACATTGAGAAGCAATGCTATAAAGCATATGTCTTTGATCTGTATTGAGGACTTACTGTATACTAGCTGTGGGACTTTGGTCAAGCTTGATAACATCTATAAGCTCTGGCTTTTTCATTTGCTAAAGAATAAAACAAGTACTGTGTTCAAGCTATATAATTGTAATGAAGATCTATTGAACTAGTATGTAAAAACATTTTTTTTTAGGTCATATAAATAAAGTTTGTTGACACCAAGGATACATAATCCTTTAGTGACATTATGTTAAAGTCACTTAAACTGTTATGTTAAACTCATTTATTCACATTTGCAGAAACTAATGTAAGATTTTTCTTATGCTCATGTGAATAGGAAATGGGCAAATATGTGTATATATATTGTTTTGGAATACTCATGAATGAGTTTGACTTTATGGAATTTTTAAATTATTACAATTATAATAATTCATTTCACCTTCAGATAGGAAAGAACTGCAAACCAAACATGATCCTTTCTTAGGGCAAAGAATAACTATGTAATTGTCCAGGAAAAGTTTGTTATAAGTCTCAAGTTATAAAACATAATGCTTTAGAAGTCTTATAAACAATGTATTTCAAGCCTTTCAGCTTGAGAATACCCTCTTAGGCACATTTTATTCTAATATAGTCTAAAACTGACTTTTAAAATTTTGTAACATACTATTTTTAATTTTTAGGCAAAAGAAAAACAGAACGCAAAGAAAGCTCAGGAAACCAAATGAAGATGTTTTCAGATATGTACACATTTCTGCTTCTGCACATATTTTCATGGAAACCATTATGTATAAAGAACTTAGAGCAACATCCTAATTGGCTCAGTGCACGTTTGGCAATAGTGCCAGCCTGTCTTGTCTTTAATGCATGGATTCATAAACTTCTTCCCTACCTGCATCATGTGCATGTAGTGCATATTAAATGAAAGTGATATTAAGAATGCTTTCCCAAATTCCATTATTTGACATTGAGTCTGACAACTGTTAGTTTTCTGGTTGTCTAACTACCATATGAAGCTAGAAAATGCACAAACGATATTCCTTATCTGTAATTTAAATACTTAAAATTTGCAATTGTCAGATCTTGATTAAACTGGTTGTCTTATTTCTTCTCATCATTAACGGAAAAAAAATCAGTATTTCTATCTTTGATATCTAAGTGTTTTGAGGATTTTAAAACTGAATTTTATCTGCTATACCAGTTATTTGAGAAAGTATGATTTTAATGTAAATCATTTAAAAAGGACAAAAGTATAATTTCCAGTGATTTTCACTGCTGTCAGTAGAAAAGTAATAAACATCTCAATTTTATTTTAGTAAATTTTCTTCAAGTGTTTGGGGTTATTTGTTTATGTATTAGAGAATTGTTTCAGGAAGGTCTGAGTATTATGCTTCAAAGCAAAATTTCAGGTTAAGAAGAAATTGTAAATCTTAAAGAATGTTGGTGTTACTCTCAATGGAATATTGTTTCAAGCTTGTAAGCTGTGTATAAAAAAACTGGAGGTCTGACAGTTCATGTTATCTGCTTTTTTAAAAAGATGGTAGTGGTGATGGGGGTCTTTCTATGCCAATTTGAATAAATTTCGTACAGCCTGCAGTTTTCAAGAGCCATATGTAATTTGCTCACAATTGATTTTTAAAAATTGATTTGGGAGTTGCTTTGTAATAATCTTCTGCTTCTAATCTTCCTTTGCAAGTCAGACTTTAAAGAAGACTTTATAAAGCTTTCTTTTTTAAAGGAAGTAACCTACTTTTTTCTTTATCAAGAATATTTCTGAGGTTGATACATGACTTTAACATTTTATTATTTATTGTAAAATCAATTTAGCATAATTTATTTTATTAGGGAGAATGTGTACCCATCTTCCAGCTTCAGCACATTTTTAAGGATTGTTTTTAAGCTTAGTAATTGTGGTATTAAATGACTTAGAACTAATGGAGAAAAACCTGATAGGAAATTGATAGAAAAACGAATGAAATATTTTTCATACATAATTTCAGTTGGAGGTAATGGAAAATATGTAGTCTCTCAGTTATTTGTGGGTAAATATGTTTTGCTGTTGATACAGTAATAATTATGGAGTGTTTTCAAAGCCATGATATAATTTTTAAAAATAGATTTTTAAGGAAGGCTCATCTTGATCTCATTCGTTTATTTCAGCTTAATTTATATATTCTTTCCTATTGAGGCTTAAATTTTGTTAAGCAATGTGAGGATTATTGTGGTAAGTTGTATTTAGTAATCAATACAGTGTGATACTGGCACTAGGATTGACAAATAAAGCAATGGAACAGAAGAGAGAGCCTGAAAACAGATCAACGTTTATATGATCACTTGATTTCGACAAAGGTGGCAAAACAATTCAACAGAGAAGGAAAGTCTTTTCAACAAATGGAGCCAGAATAGAATAGCTGAATATCCATATAGAAAAAAGTGAACAATGACCCCCTACCTCACAAAAATGACTTTGAGATGAATCATAGACCTAAATGTAATATTTTAAAAGTATGAAGCTTTTTAACTGAAAACAGATGATATTTTTGTGACTTGGGGGGTTAGCCAAAGGTTTCTTAGGTCACAGAAAGCAGTAACCATAAAAGATCCAAAATTAGAGCTCATCAGAATTGTCATTGAAAGTGTTAACAAAAGTAATATCAAATGACATTTGAAAAATATCCTTGTAAAATGACTATATTAATAGGTATAAGGATTTTTCTTATTAATCTAATAAAATTCCTTAATAGGAATTTCCATAGCTTAAGAGTGGTTTATTTTATCTGCATCTTCTTTGGTGATTGCAAATCCCTTGTGATACTTCATGATTACTTCTGTCTGTGAATAAAGAAGTGTGACTTGTCTGGGTGCTATATGTTGCTGGTTTGAAATTAAGTCATGAAGCTAGAGGGTAGAGAAAATGGAAGAATAAAGAGCAACCCATAAATAGATAAATGCTATTTGGAAAGTTTTTTTTAAATGATATTTTATAGAAAATCTTGCTCATTTCATATTTAGTCTTTTCTAAAATTTTATTTAATTATTGGGTAGGTGAAGTCGCTTCCATTCTATTTTAAGCCTTCAAAATAGCCAATTCTAAGGGATGTACTTCTGTTATTATCAACAAAAACCTTGCCAACAGCTGCGGCACTGGCTACTCTCACCTTATATGTTTAGTTCCCAAGATAGCTTGCCCTTTTCCGAACAGCAGTCAGCTCGACTGTGCCACTAAAACAGACAAATATTTGCTCGGGAATCACAACCACGGGGACTTGCTCCCCCAGTTAGGACCATGGTACATATTTGTGTGTATATTATGGTGTTACATGCAGATTAATACTTTCAATTAATCCTCCTAGTTGCCTGTAACGTTAACATTTCAAGATGCATTTAGATATTTTTATCCTGTAGGAGGATTTTGTTTATTTGAGGGAAAAAAAGGGCTTTTAATGTATTCTCCTCAAAAACCATTTAGAGAAAACAGATAAGTAAAAATAAAATTTAAATTACCATATTTCTATTTACAGGGATGAGCACATTAACATTTTATGTATTTAGTGATCCTTTTTCCTCATGTGTACACATATGTTTTTGTGTGTTAGTCTTGCTTGCCCTCCCCATAGTCTGAAATAGTTCTATGAAGTTTATATTATTTTTAAACTTGATCATATACAAATTTTCAGGAAACAAACCACTCTAGCTATTTGAAGAGGAATGCAGATTTATATTGGGAGTTTTGAAACTACATAGTTTCTTACAAAATCATTGGAAGGTTTGGAGGAGCGGTTTCAAGCTTAAGTCTCCAGAGATTACTCCCATCCAAACATACAGTATTGGTGTACCTAGGGAACTGCTCACTTTTGCAACAGTCAGGGAGTTCACTGTTGGAACTATTAATGTTAGAACATGTTGCAGTAGTTGTGTTCAAGGAATGAGGAACCTGCTGTAACACTTAATGACTGTGCACTGGAATGCAGAAAAGTTAAACCTTCTATGCCTAAATGCCTAAAACAGACAAACTGGATAGTTATATTTTTAGAATGATACTGCGTTTTTTAGAGTAGTATGAATTCCTAGATCAGTCAAACATGCATGTTATTTAGTTTGTTCTTTAGTATATTGTTAACTGGCCTAAATCCAATGACTGACATGGTAAAGATTCACCACTTCTAGCATACTGGGCACTTTTTATTTTTGACTTGATTACATTAACTTTTTGAAAACTATTCAGTGATTTATTCAGCCAATCTTATGAGGTACATCTGAGTTGTTCTAGATGCTAGAGGATAGTATAACAGGAAAAAGCCCCTGCTCTCATGGTGAGACAGATAATAAGTATGTAATACAACTTTTCAAATAGTAGTATGAATGGTAAAAAAAATAGGGAAAAGGGGTGGGAGGAGCTGAGGTTTGATAGAATGGTCATGGAAGATCCCATTAATGAGATGTACTTTAAGTAGAGACCTAAATGAAGATAATTTTTTCTCTAGTACTGAACTAGCACTGTACAAGTGGATTGCATATAGGCATATAGGCAGAACTTCTCTAGTACTGAACTAACACTGTACAAGTGGATTGCATATAGGCATATAGGCAGAACCAATGTGCAATAATTAAGAATATTAATTTGCAATCATGTTTGATGGTTAAATGGTTTATTAATGTTGGAGTGTCAATATGAAAATGGGTTGAATAAAAGATATATGGAAATGCCTAGGACTACTGCTCTATTTACTTTTTAGCTTATCCATATATTTTATGTAATATGCTTCTTTGATTCTTTCTTGTAGCAATGATAATATAATATTGAATAAACCATAAAACCAGTGGGGAAAGTCTCATGTAGGTGTATTTTTAAAAAACATTTTGAACTGTCCCCCGCCCTCCCATTATAACCATTAAGACTAAAACAGGCTGGGTCTGGTGGCTTATACCTGTACTCCTAGCACTTTGGGAGGCTGAGGCAGAAGCTCAGAAGTTCAAGCCTAGTGTGGGCAAGATGGCAAGACCCTGTCTCTTAAAAAAAAAAAAATAGCTGGGTATGGAGGTGATATGTGCGTATAGTCCCAGTTACCCAAAAGACTGAGGCTGGAAGGTCCCTTGAGCCAGGAGTTCGAGAATGCAGTGAGTTGTGATCAGCCACTGTACTCCATCCTGGATAAGAGAGTGAGACCCTATCTCAGAACAAAACAAATGAAAACAATGAAATTACTTGAAAAAATTTGGGAGAATATTTTATTACTTAGGGACAGGGAAAAGCTTCCTAAGCACCAAAGAAAACATAAAAGAACCCAGAAGAGAAATACTTGACAGTATAAAAATTAAAAATTTCTGTAAGGCAACAGACACCATAAAACTTTAAGAGACAGCAAGCCAACAAATAAAATTTTGTCATACATAATATGCAATATGCGTATTACAATCATTAGACAAATGTATAATACACAGTTCCTCTGTAAATTACATATTATATATGAGTAATATATTTATTGTGCAATCCTGCAATAAAGCTATAAAATATGATTGTAGGGTGTTCCCCATTGATGGCTATTCTAACATTTTAGATATATTTCACTTTATCTTCACACCAATCTTATGAGGTAAGTATTAACTTCATTTTAATACTTAAAAGATATCTGCTTTTTTCCTTCTATATACCTTTTCCCTTTGAATCAAACCATCTGTGTTCTGAGTACTCAGTGGGTGATCTGCAGACTAGCAGCAATGAGCATAACCTCAGAACTTGTTAGAAATGCAGAATCTGAAGTCCCACCCCAGAACATTGGAATCAGAATCTGCATTTTAAAAAGATGCCCAGTTGATTAAATTACATTTATGCACATTAAAATTTGACAGATAATCTCAGTTATTTTTATGCTTATGGAAATAATTATTGTCTCCATAATCAATAGGCATTGTGTTTTATTTTCTGAATTTAAAAAATTGGTTTTAGGACTTCTACAATTTCAGTAGCCAGATGTGAAAATGCAATCAATTAGAAAAAGTTATTAGGAATAAAATAGAAAACTATTCACAATGTGCCAAACATTGTCCTAAGTACTTTTTTTTTAGACAGAGTTTTCTATTGTTGCCCAGGCTGGAGTGCAATGGTGCCATCCCGGCTTACCACAACCTCTGCCTCCTGGGTTCAAGCGATTCTCCTGCCTCAGCCTCTCGAGTAGCTGGGATTACAGGCATGTGCCACCACACCTGGCTAATTTTGTATTTTTAGTAGAGACGGGGTTTCTCCATGCTGGTCAGGGTGGTCTCTAACTCCCAACCTCAGATGATCCTCCCACCTTGACCTCCCAGAGTGCTGGGATTACAGGCGTGAGCCACCATGCCTGGCGTCCTAAGTACTTTTTTGCACAGTAACTCCAGCCTTCACAGATATGAAATAAGTCACGTTATCCCCATTTTTCAGATGAGGGACACTAAAGCACAACAAAAGACAATGGGTACATTAGTTATGGTGTATTGGAATACTAGGCAGTCATTGAAAAGAATATGAATGTCTATGTATTAATATGGAAGGATGTCTGTGACTTATTTTTAAGGAAAATGAAAGTATAAGTAACTTGCCCAAGTTCATACAGCCAGTAAGTAGTAGATCTAGGATTCAAACTTGAACTCGTGCTTCTCTCTTTCACTTCCTCCCTCCCTCCATTCCTTCCTCCCCCCGCCACACTTCCATCCTTCATCCTTCCCTTCTTTCTTCTTCTTCCCCTTTTTTTTTTTTTTTTTTTTTTTTTTTGAGATAGAGTCTCGCTCTGTCACCCAGGCTGGAGTGCAGTGGCACAATCTTGGCTCACTGCAACCTCTGCCTCCCAGGTTCAAGTGATTCTCCTGCCTCAGCCTCCCGAGTAGCTGGGATTACAGGTGCGCACCTCCATGGCTAATTTTTGTATTTGTAGTAGAGACAGGGTTTCACCATGTTAGCTAGGCTGGTCTCAAACTCCTGGCCTCAAGTGATCCACCCGCCTTAGCCTCCCAAAGTGTTGTGATTACAGGTGTCAGCCATAGCACCCTGCTCTCCTTTCTTCTTTATGGTAATTTCTTGTGATGCTCAGCTGCACACATCCTTTATATACTTCCACGATTCTTCTCATAAAAATGATTCTTAGAGGTAAAATTTCATTATGGACAGAATTGTACAATGGAGGTGTTTATGTGAAAAAACTATCTCCGGATTTATTAGAAGCTTTGTAGGAGACATTGATGACCTTTGCTGAGTTATTAAGGAATGCCAAGAGTAAGTGGTAACTATGAGCTCTGAGATCCAGTGGCTCCCTGAGGGCTGGTAATTAGGATTTCGATTAGAGGCTAACAAGCGATCCAGGTTGGGCCTCCCAGGCTGTCTCCAAGTGAGGTTACCAAGGTCCAGGATCTGCCCTTTCAGCTTATGATTTGAGTATACTCATTGAAGGTGATAAGGACTTTGGGTAGTTAAGCCAACTTAATAAAACTTGCAGGAGACTAATGTACACCTGAAAAACAATCTATTAATTTACTTTACAATTATAACTGCCAGCAGACCAGACATTTCTGTCAGCTTATTGACACATTGTCTCCCTGGTAGATAAACTTACCAAGGAAACCGAATTAAGGCCAGAAGGTTAGTTGACTATAGAACTGGACCAAAGGAAATTATTTGTTGTTTAAAGATACTTGCTATGATAGCCTGTGACATGGTTTGCCGTGTTAGACACCAACCAAATCTGCCTGTAGATAGGTTGAAAGCTAGGCCGCTTGTGCCAAACAGCCAAATTTTGAATGTAAAGGAAAATATCTTGAAAGAAATTAAAAGTGCTACTCCAGTGGACACATGAATGATAAGAAAATGAAACAGTCCTATTACTGATATGGAGAAAATGTGAGTGGCCTGGATAGAGGATCAAGCTGGCCACAATACACACCTCCTTGATCAAATTGTTACTGCATGCTTCTACTGCTAGAGACACAATGACAAAATTTTAAACTTCATAATTATCACTTTTCTGGTTGACATTTCCCTGCTTCCTTTCTTGTGTCAACAAGTGTTTTCAAATGTGTTATAATTTAAGTTTAAATTTATTTGATTTGGCCAGGCGTGGTCATTCACGTCTGTAATCCCAGCACTTTGGGAGGCCGAGGCGGGTGGATCACTAGGTCAGGAGTTCAAGACCAGCCTGGCCAAGATGGTGAAACCCCGCCTCTACTAAAAATACAAAAATTAGCCAGGTGTGGTGGCATGTGCCTGTAGTCCAGCTACTCGGGAGGCTGAGGCAGAGAACTGCTTGAACCCAGGAGGCAGAGGTTGCAGTGACCCGAGATTGCACCACTGCACTCCAGCCTGTGCAACAGAGTGAGACTCTGTCTCAAAAAAAAAAAAAAATTATTTGATTTTAATTTTTTTCTAATCTGGCCTTTTAGTGACATCTGGAGAGACTGCTTAATCTAATTTTTCAGACTGTCTCTAGATGAGGGGACTATTTCCTATAATCTATGTAATATCAGTGTATGAGGAATCAGTATTTCTATTCTAATAATGCCAATATGACCTTTCCTAATATCTTATGCCTGAAATAGCCTATATCTAACTTACTTGTTTAGAATGCTCTGCACACTTGGTACAACGTGAAAAGTTTTTCTCTTAGGGCATACAGGATAGTTATTGGAGTGGCTGCATTGCTTATACAGTGAACACCTTGGGTGATGCAGTTACTCTTCAGATTTCAGGCAGAAATTTACTTGAATTAATGTTTGTAATAAAAAACAATGGTGTGCCAACTTAAGTAGCCTCATTACATCTTCCATGAGTAACTTGCTCACTCTAGCCTCTATGGCCATTCTAAGAACTGTACTTTCTTGCCAATTTTATTGAGGTTGGTAAACACAACTTCACAGATAAGACAGTGGACTTTGTGCATATTCTTTTATTCTAAAATTGTAACCCTATGTTGTAGTAAGTTGGAGAACAGACTACTGGATTTGGACTTAGGGGACCTGGGATTCTAGTCCTGCTAGTCTATTAACTATTGTGTGATCTTTGCTTATATCCTGTTATCTGCTGAAATGCACTTTGTCCTTTCCTTTGTTGTAATTTTCAAATAGCACTTATAGAGCAAACAGGTGGCTTTCACATCTGTTTATACAACTAAACCTTAAAACAAATATTGCTCTATTAAAACTTCATTGTATTAGACTTTCTCTCTCTCTCTCTCTCTCTCTCTCTCTCTCTCTCTCTCTCTCTCTCTGTCTCTTTTCTAGACCTCTCTTTTTCTGTTATGGTTGAATCCAAACATAAGAAATCAGACTTATAAAGCTTTTTTAAAGAACACATTTGAAGTTTAGGAAAAGTTTTGTCATATTTCCTTAGCTATTTTGACAACACTTTGGGAATCTATTTTCCCTCCAATAACAACTTCATAAGCTCATAAATGTAACTTATACTATTGTCTTGATGTGATCCTTTTTGCTAATTCTAACTTCCAAGATGATATAGAGTATAAGCTAGTGTAAACAATACTTATTCTGATGGAGCATCTGCATCTTGGTATCTAGTCATCTGTACACACAATCTTTATAGCTTCTTTCCAAATGTATTCACAGAAAGGAAAATCAACTCTTTTCTAGATATGTCTTTAAATAAATGTAGACAATTCTGGAGCCTAGTGATAGGATTACCATTTTAAAAGTTTCGAATTACATATTTTAGCATCAGTAAATATCAGGAGAGAAGAACTATTAGAAATACCACATGAATCCTTTTATTATAATAGATGAGGCAAGATTGAAGATAGGCTGAACATCTGCTTGTTCATTCATTAATTCATTCAATCAAAAAGTATACATTATCTACTCTGAGTCATGCTCAATGCTATGTATTTGGGTTACATGGGTGAAAAGACATATCTTGCTCTGTATCATGTTTTCTCAACTATTCTACAGCCTTGGGCTGGGTTTTAACCTGGGGATTATAACGTGCCCTGGGAATAACTTCCCTACACAATAGGTATTAGTAACTGTTACCAGTGTATTAGACAAAACAGTCTAAAATAGGACTAGTTTGTCCCCGTATGCTGTAATAATGTTCATCTATGAGCATACCTTGTTTTACTGTGCTTCACTTTATTGTACTTCATAGATACTGTGTTGTTCACAAACTGAAGATTTGTGGCAACCCTTCAATAGGCAAGTCTACAGGTGCCATTTTCCCAATAGCATGTGCTCACTTCATGTCCATATATCACATTTTGGTAATTCTTGTACTATTTCAAACTTTTTGCCAACTATATCTGTTATGGAGATCAGTAATCAGTGATCTTTGATGTTACTATTGTAATTGTTTTGGGGTGCCATGAACCATGCCCATGTAAGACAGCAAACTTTACTGTTGTGTGTATTTTGACTGCTCCACTGACACGTCTCTCTCCCTCTTCTTGGGTCTCTCTATTCCCTGAGACACAACAATATTGAAATTAGGCTAATTAATAACCATTGTACATTGTACACTTTAAACCAAAAGCAGAAATGATTAAGTTTAGTAACGAAGGCATGTCAAAAGCCAAGATAGGCTGAAAGCTAGGCCTCTTGTGCCAAACAGCCAAGTTCTGAATGCAAAGGAAAAGATCTTGAAAGAAATTAAAAGTGCTACTCCAATGGACACATGAATGATAAGAAAATGAAACAGTCCTATTACTGATATGGAGAAAATGTGAGTGGTCTGGATAGAAGATCAAACCGGCTACGGCATTCTTTTTTTTTTTTTTTTTTTTTTTAACTTTCAGTTTAGCTTCAGGGGTGCATGTGAAAGTTGGTTACACAGGTAAACTCGTGTCTCAGGGACTTGTTTTACAGATTATTTCATCATCCAGGGTTTAGCCCAGTACCCAATAGTTATATCTTCTGCTCTGCTTTCATCCTCCCACCCTTTACCCTCAAGCAGACCCCTGTGTTTGTTGTTTCCTCCTTTGTGTTCATAAGTTCTTACCATTTAGCTCCCACTTGTAAGTGAGAACATGCGGTATTTGGTTTTCTGTTTCTGCATTAGTTTGCAAAGGATAGTAGCCTCCAGCTTCATACATGTTCCTGCAAAAGACATGATCTCATTCTTTTTTATGGCTACATAGTATTCCATGGTATAGACGTACCACATTTTCTCTATCCAATCAGTCATCGATGGGCATTTAGGCCAGTTCTGTATCTTTACTATTGTGAATAGCACTGTAGTGATCCATTCATGTGCACGTGTCTTTATGATAGAATTATTTATATTTTGCTGGGTATTGCTGGGTCGAATGGTAGTTCTGCTTTTAGCTCTTTGAGCAAATGCTTTCCACAATGGTTGAACTAATTTACACTCTCACCAACAGTGTTTAAGTGTTCCCCTTTTGCTGCAACCTCACCAGCATCTGTTACTTTTTGACTATTTAATAATAGCCATTCTGACTAGCATGAGATGGTATGTCATTGTGATTTTGATTTGCATTTCTCTAATGATCAATGATATTGAGCTTTGTTTCATACTTTTGTTAGCCTCACGTATCTCTTCTTTTGAGAAGTGTCCGTTCATGCCCTTTACCCACTTTTTAATGGGATTGTCTGTTTTTCTCTTGTAAGTTTGTTTAAGTTCCTTATAGATGCTGGATATTAGACTTTTGTCTGATGCATAGTTTGAAAATATTTTCTCCCATTCTGTAGGTTGTCTGTCTACTCTGTTGATAGTTTCTTTTGCTGTGCAGAAGCTCTTGTTTAATTAGATCCCATTTGTGAATTTTTGCTTTAGTTGTGATTGCTTTTGGCATCATTGTCATGAAGTCTTTGCCAGTTCCTATGTCCAGTTGGTATTGCCTAGGTTGTCTTCTAGGGTTTTCTAGAGTTTTGGGTTCTTTCATTTAAGTCTTCAATCCATCTTGAGTTGAATTTTGTATATGGTGTAAGGAAGGGGTCCAGCTTTAATTTTCTGCATGTGGCTAGCCAGATCTTTCACCTTCATAGTTAGCTGTATTCCTAGGTATTTTCTTCTTCTTGTGGCACTTGTGAATGTTATTGCTTTTCTGATTTGGATCTTGGTTTGCCTGTTGTTGGTGTATAGGAATGCTAGTGATTTTTGTACATTGATTTGTATCCTGAAACTTTGCTCAAGTTGTTTGTCAGCTGAAGGAATTTTTGGGCTGAGACTATGGGGTTTTCAAGATATAGAATCATGTCACCTACAAACAGAAATAGTTTTGACTTCCTCGTCCTGTTTTGATGTGCTTTCTTTCTTTCTCTTGCCTGATTGCTCTGGCTAGGACTTCCAATACTATGTTGAGTAGAAATGGTGAAGAGGGAGTGCTTGTCTTGTATTGGTTTTCAAGGGGAATATTTCTGGCTTTTGCCCATTTAATACAATGTTAGCTGTGGGTTTGTTATAGATAGCTTACTATTTTAGATATGTTCCTTCAATATCTAGTTTATTGAGAGTTAACATGAAGGGGTGTTGAATTTTAATGAAAGCCTTTTATGCATCTATTGAGATAATCACATGGTTTTTGTCTTTAGTTCTGTTTATGTGATGAATCACACTTATTTGATTTGGTATGTTGAACCAACCTTGCATCCTAGGGATAAAGCCTGCTAGATAGCAGTGGATAAGCTTTTTGATGTGCTGCTGGATTTGGTTTGTCAATATTTTATTGAGGATTTTTGCATCAATATTCATCAAGGGTATTGGCTTGGAGTTTTCTTTTTTTTTTTCGTATCTCTGCCAGGTTTTGGTTTCAGGATGATGCTGGCCTCATAGAATGAGTCAGGGAGGAGTCCCTCCTTTTCAATTATTTGGAATAGTTTCAGTAAGAATAGTACTATTTCTTCTTTGTACCTCTGGCAGAATTCAGAAAACAGCCTTATATTGGAAAAAGATGCCATCTAGGACTTTCATAGCTAGAGAGGAGAAGTCAATGCCTGGCTTCAAAGCTTCAAAGGACAGACTATTTTTCTTGTTAAGGGTGAATGCAACTGGTGACTGTAAGTTGAAGCCAATGCTCATTTACCATTCTGAAAAATCCTAGGGTTCTTAAGAATTATGTTACATCTAATATGCCTGTGCTCTAGAAATGGAAGAAAACAGAACACATTTGTCTACAGCATGGTTTATTGAATATCTTAAGCCCACTTTTGGGCTACTGCTCAGAAAAAAGAAAAATTCCTTTCAAAATATTCCTGCTCATTGACAATGCACTTGGTCACCCAAGAGTTCTCATGGAGATGTATGAGGATATTAATTTTTTTTCATGCCTACTAACACAGCTAATTCTGTAGCCAATGGATGAAGGAATAATTTCAACTTTCAAGTCTTACAATTTAAGAAATAAATTTTATAAAGTTATAGCTGCCATAGAAAGAGATTTCTTTGATGGACCTGGGCAAATTAAATCAAAATCCTCAAGGGAAGGATTTACCATTATATTTGCCATTAAGAACATCCATGATTCATTGGAGAAGGCCAAAATGTCAACATTAACAGGAGTGTGGAAGAAGTTGATTCCAACCCTCATGGATAACATTGAAGGATTCAAGACTTCTGAGTTGGAAGTAACTGCAGATGTGGAAGAAATAGCAAGAAAGCTAGAATTAAAAGTGGATCCTGAAGATGTGAGTGACTTACTGCACACTTATGATAAAACTTGAATGGATGAGGAGTTGCATCTTATGGATGAGCAGAGAAAGCAGTTTATTGAGATAGAATCTATTCCTGGTAAAGAGGCTGTGAACATTGTTGAAATGACAAGAAATTATTTAGAATATTACATAAACTTAGTTGATAAAGTAGAAGTAGGGTTTAGGAGGACTACAGTTTTGAAAGAAGTTCTACTGTGGATAAAATACTAGCAAACAGCATTGCATGCTACAGAGAAATCTTTTGTGAAAGGAAGAGTCAATTGATGTGACAAACTTAACTGTTGTCTTATTTTAAGAAATTACCAGACCACTACTACCTTCATCGATCTTCACACTGATTAGTCAGCAGCCATCAACATCCATGCAAAACCTTCCACCAGCAAAAAGATTCTGACTCACTGAAGGCTCAGATGATTGCTAACGCTTTTTTAAGCAATAAAGTGTTTGTTAATTAAGGTATGTGAATTTTTTAGATATAATTCTATTGCACACTTAATAGACTGCAGTATAGTGTAAACATAACTTTTGTATGCTCTGGAAAGCCAAAAAAATTTATGTGATTCCCCTTATTCTGATATTTGCTTTACTGTGGTAGTCTGCAACTGAACTTGTGATATCTCTGAGGTATGCCTGTAGTTTGAACATAAGTTTATGAAGATCAACTTCCACTTGAGACTCCAACTTACTATTAGATGTTGTGAACACAATATAAAAATTTCTGTTCATGGCCCGGCACGGTGTCTCACACCTGTAATCCCAGCACTTTGGGAGGCCGAGGCGGGCAGATCATGAGGTCAAGAGATGGAGACCATCCTGGCCAACATGGTGAAACTCTGTCTCTACTAAAAATATAAAAATTAGCTGGGTGTGGTGGCATGTACCTGTAGTCCCAGCTACTCAGGAGGCTGAGGCAAGAGAATCGCTTGTGCCCGAGAGGCGGAGGTTGCGGAGCCGATATTGTGCCACTTCACTCCAGCCTGGCGGCAGAGCGAGACTCCGCCTCAAAAAAAAAATTCTGTTTATGTTTTTTTTTTTTTTCAGATTCAGTAACAGCTTATTTCTGGGGAAAAGATAAGGGAAGAAAAAAAGAACAAAGGTATTAACTGGATTTCAGTTTAGGTTCAACTTTTTAAAAAATAGATTTGGGAATACAAGTGGGGTTTTGTTACATGGATATTTTGCTTAGTGGTAAAATCTGGTCTTTTGGTGTAACCATCACCTGAATAGTGTACATTGTCCCCCGAAAGTAATTTCTCATCCCTCCCACTTTCCTGTTCTCCAGTGTCTATTATTCTACAGTCTAGGTCCATGTATACACATTATTTAGCTCTCGCTTATAATTCAGAACATGTGGTATTTTACTTTCTGTTTCTGAGTTATTTCACTTAAGATAATAGCCTCCAGTTTCATCCATGTTGCTGCAAAAGGCATCATTTCATTCTGTTTTATGGCTAAGCAGTATTCCATGGTGTATATATGGCACATTTTCTTTAACCAGTCATCTCCATTGATGGACACTTAAGGTAGTTCCATATCTTCGCTATTTTGAACAGTGCTGCAATAAACATACAAATGCAGATAACTTTTGGATGTAATGATTTCTTTTGTGTAGATACCCAGTAGCGGTATTGCTGGATTGAATGGTAGTTCTATTTTTAGTTCTTTGAGAAATATCCATACTGTTTTTCGTAGAGGTTGTACTAAGTTACATTTCCACCAACAGTATGTAAGTGTTCCCTTTTCTCTGCATCCTCACCAACATCTGTTATTTTTTGAATTTTTAGTTATAACCATCTCGACTAGTGTGAGATGGTATCTCATCGTGGTTTTAATTTGCATTTCTCTGATGATTAGTGATGTGCATCTTTTCATATGCTTGTTGGACATTTGCATGTCTTCCTTTGGAAAATGTCAGTTCGTATTATTTGCCCAGTTTTTAATGGGGAGATTTTATTTGCTTTTTTTTTTTTTTTTTTTTTTTTTGTAGACAGAGTTTCACTCTTGTTGCCCAAGCTGGAGTGCAATGGCGAGATCTGGGTTCACTGCAACTTCCGCCTCCCGGGTTCAAGCGATTCTCCTGCCTCAGCCTCCTGAGTAGCTGGGATTACAGTTGCGTGCCACAACGCCTGGCTAATTTTTTGTATTTTTAGTAGAAACGGGGTTTCACCATTTTAGTCGTAATGGTCTCGAACTCCCGACCTCAGGTGATCTGCCTGCCTCAGCCTCCCAAAGTGCTGGGATTACAGGCGTGAGCCACCGTGCCCAGCTATTTGCTTTTTTTGTTGTTCTTGTTTGAGTTCCCTGTAGCTTCTGGATATTAGTCCTTTGTTGGCTGTATCGTTTACAAATATTTTCTCACATCCCATAGGTTGCGTGTTCTCTCTGTTCATAATTTTCTTTTTTCTTTCTTTCTTTTTTTTTTTTTTGCTGTGCAGCAGCTTTTTAGTTTAATTAAGTCCCTTTTGTCTATTTTTGTTTTTGTTACATTTACCTAAGCCAATGTCCAAAGGAAGTTTTCTAGGGTTTCTTCTAGAATTTTTATAGTTTCAGGTAATATATTTAAGTCTTTACTCCATCTTAATTTTTGTATATAGTGAGAGATAGGGATCTAGTTTCATTGTTTCGCAGATGGCTATCCAGTTTTCTCAGAACTATTTATTGAATTAGGGTATCCCTCCTTCAGTTTAAGTTTCTGTTGATTTTGTTGAAGATCAGTTGTGTGTAGGTATGTGACTTTATTTATGGGTTCTCTATTCTGTTGTATTGATCTATGTGTCTATTTTTATATCAATAACATGCTTTTTTTGGTTACTGCAGCCTTGTAGTATAATTTGAAGTCAAGTACTATGATGCCTCCAACTTTGTTCTTTTTGCTTAAGAGTGCTTTGGCTATTTGGGCTCTTTTTTGAAATGAACTTTAGGATTGTTTTTTCTAACCGTGAATAAGGACATTGGTATTTTGATAGGAATTACAATGAAGCTATAAATTCGATGTTTTATAGTTCTTGTGTACATCTTCCACCTCTTTAGTTAAATGGATTTTTTGTAGTAGTTGTTGTAAATGGAATTTAGTTACTGATTTGTTTCTTAGTTTGATCATTATTGTTGTATAGAAATGCTACCTATTTTTCTATGTTGATTTTTTTATCCTGAAACTTCTGGATTCATTTATCAAATCTAGGAATCTTTTGGAAGAGTCTTTAGGGTTTTCTAGGCTCAAGACTATATTGTCAGCAAACAGAAATAATTCAACTTCTTTTCCAATTTGGATGTCTTTTATTTATTTCTCTTGTCTGATTGCTCTGGCCAGAACTTCCAGTACTATGTTGAATAGAAGTGGTGAAAGTGGGCATCTTTGTCTCATGCCAGTGCTTAGGAGGAATGCTTTTAGCTTTTCCCCATTCAGTATGATGTTGACTGTGTGTATGTCATAGATGGCTCTTATTATTATTATTAATTTATTTTACTTTAAGTTCCAGGATGCAAGTGCAGAACGTGTAGGTTTGTTACATAGGTATATGTGTGCTATGGTGGTTTGCTGTACCTATCAGCCCATCATCTAGGTTTTAAGCCCTGCATGCATAGCTATTTGTCTGAGTGCTCTCCCTCCCCTTGCCCCCCAACCCTCTACTGGCACCAGTGTGTGTTGTTCCCCTCCCTACGTCCATGTGTCCTCATTGTTCAACTCCCACTTATGAGTGAGAACATGTGGTGTTTGGTTTTCTGTTCCTGTGTTCGTTTGCTAAGGATGATGGTTTCCAGTTTCATCCATGTCCCTGTAAGGGACATGATCTCATTCCTTTATATGGCTGCATAGTATTCCATGGCGTATATGTATATGTATATGTATATGTACCACATTTTCTTTATCCAGTTTATCATTGATGGGATTTGATTGGTTCCACATCTTCACTATAGTAAATAGTGCTGCCATAAACATACGTGTGCATGTGTCTTTATAGTAGAATGATTAATATTCCTTTGGGTATATATCCAGTAATGGAATAGCTGGGTCAAATGGTATTTCTGGTTCCAGATCCTTGAGGAATCTCCACACTGTCTTCCACAATGGTTGAACTAATTTACCTTCCCACCAACAGTGTAAAAACATTTCTATTTCTCCACACTCTCGCCAGCATCTATTGTTTCTTGACTTTTTAATAATTGCCATTCTGACTGGCATGAGTTGGTATCTCATTGTGGTTTTGATTTGCATTTCTCTAATGATTAGTGATGTTGAGCTTCTTTTCATATGTTTGTTGGCCGCATAAATGTCTTCTTTTGTGAACTGTCTGTTCATATCCTTTGCCCACTTTTTGATGGGGTTGTTTTTTTCTTGTAAATTTGTTTGAGTTCCTTGTTGATTCTGGATATTAGACCTTTGTCCGATGGGTAGATTGCAAAAATTTTCTTCCATTCTGTAGGTTGCCTGTTCACTCTGATGATAGTTTCTTTTGCTTGTGAGTGCTGTCAGGTGGCAAATACTCTGTATGAGTTCCTTGCTTATACATAGCCTCAGTGTGGTGGTTTTCTCAAATGCTAGTTGTAGTAACAGTGTACTGGACATGTAAGTAGACTCTTGGCCACCTGCAGAGATGGGAAGGTGGAGGTCTTGAGAAACTTTTCTCATTCCCAACATTCCCAAGCACTGTGCATGGTGTCAACAGATTTTTGTATTGGGTTGTGCAGTTTGACCTCCAGGCCAGTAGGTGGCATTGGCAGGTAAGAGTCAGCTGCAGTGGTAGCAGTAGGGTGTGTGTTTGATCTTTTTTTACCTAAAGAAGCTCTCTTGATGCCTCAGGCCATGGACCACATTGTGGGACTCCACAATGGCCTAGGCTCTGCTCTCAGAGCTAGGCAAAGCTGGGTGAAGCTGCACGAGGCTCATTTGCTCTCAGGTCCATCAAATGGCAGGTGCAAACACCAGCCCTGATTGGGGTAGTCGGAGAGTGGTGTAGGTTCTGTGAAATTTCCTTTGTTATAAATGGCCTTAGTGTGGTGGCTTTCTCAGATGCCAGCTGTAGTAGTAACGTACTTGAAGGGACTCAAGGCCTCCTAAGTAGCCAGGATGGTGTGGGCAATGGTGGTAGCTGAGGTCCATAAAGGATTTCTTCTTCCTGAGGGTTGTGTGATTGTGTCAGTAGATGTTATAATGGGCTGTGCAGGTTGACCTCCTGGCCAGTAGGTTGCACTTGCAGGAGAGAGACAGCTGTGACAGTGGCCGTGGGATTTATGTTTGACCTTTGTTAGCCAGGAGAAGTACTCAGAAGTCCCAGCATATCACCTGGGCCATGGAACTCCTAGGGGTCCCTGTCCCATGTTCTGCCACCAAGGTGGGTAGGCAGGCAAAGCTGGGTCAGGCAAGTCTGCATTCAGGTTTCCCAATGGTGAGCACAGTAGCAGCCCCAACGAGGGTCTGAGGGCAGTTTCCTGTTTGCTGGGGCAGTGTTCCAAGGAAGGAGTGGAATCACCTCTGCTGTACAAAAGAGCCCTCATGAGGAGAGAGTGGAGCCTACGCTTCACAGCCCAGCAGGCAGTAGTGGGACCCCAGTAGCTTTCAGGCCTTGACCTGGTGGGTCTCCCACCAACAGCCCACTGCTGGCAGGAAGCTGAAAAAGTCATCTGAGTCCCAAGCAGTATGTGCTCAGTTTGTAAAATTGCCCCAGGCTGCAAGACTCTCTGCTCTGGACAGAAAGTGGCTCCCAGACAACACCTTGGCTGGTCTGGGCCTGCGAAGTGAGGGTATGCCCAGTTCCTGCACCTGCGGCAAGAGCCCATTACCCAGTTGACTCTCAGTTCTGGCCATGAGGGTTTGTCCTCACTTTAGATTGCCGATCCCAGTTGGGATTCTCTCCCAACCTGTGACCACAGCTTAAGTTGCCTGGCAAATTTCTGCAAGGCTGCCTATGAATTAGGATCAAGAATGGCATGGGCTGCTTTCAACGTATTTGAAGTTTTTTTCATTTTTTTCTGTTGTGCTCCTATGTTCCTTTCTGAATAAAAATTCACACTGTGAATCTCTACACACTATTTTGCTCTTTCTAAGAAAGTGAAATGTGCTAACAAAACTTCCAATCCACTGTCTTGGAAAGACCCCCCTGCTACTTTGAAGTTTTATCAGCGTTTGGGGGCTAGTAAAGTGCTTCCTGGAACTTGGGAATTAAGGAAATGAGACTACATTCTGAAAATTAAATTGAAAGGTTAACACCTAACACATACAGCATAAATACAGAAAATCACTAAAAAGAGGTAGGCCACTCCTAGGCAATTTGAAAGTGACTATAACTTAGAAGTTACAAACTTCTACATACAGGGTCAAGCAGGTAATATAAAGGGGTAAAGGTGACCAGGTAGTAGCAAACTAAATAGGAAGTAATATTCTCTCACAAATATGTGTACTTTTCCCATTTTTCTTGACAGGTTGGTACCTCTTTGTCCAATTTTCTGTTTTCCCTCATCTGAGAGATAGAACAATAAAGATTTGTTTTTCTTTCGAGTTTACTATTGGGGGATGGAAGAACACACACAGGTTAATGGCAAGTGACACGTGGCTGGAGTGGCAGGGACTATGGCAAACAGGAGAACACACACTCTAGCTAGATGGGGCAGCCATTCCTCAGGTGTAGTTGATTGTTGCCAGGTGAAAAGAAAAGCCCAGTTTTGTCAGATAGTCTCGTTTTTTGAGAGAAGCCAAAAATCTAGATTCATTGAAGTTTTCCAATTTGTAAATGTTGTGTTCAATTTCTTTAAAACACTGAAGGCCAAAGTAAACAATCTGTGAGTTGAATTTGATCCAAAGTCTCAACTTTGCAATCTATGCTATAACATATTTGAAGATATTAATATTTTATGACATATCTAATTCAAGAAGGAGCTTTCAAAAAGGAAAGGTCAACTATAGAAGTGAAGATATAATACAGTCATAGTTATATTGAAGTTTGTCTAGAGGAAGTCTTATCCATTAAATGCCTGAGTATTTCTGATCTCAACACAGACAATTCCAATGTTAAACTCACTTCACATTATTTGGATAAACCTAATTTGTTCCTGCTATAGTAGGCATTTTTCTATATTGTTAGATTTTATTTGCTCAAATTCTTTTTAGGATTTTTGCTACTGGATCATGAGTAATATTGGCCTTCATTTTGCCTTTTTCATACTATTTTGCATGAGTGTTGATGCTAAGGTTATGCTGCCACATTATGAGTCTGGTAATTCCATTATCTAAAGTCTTAAAGGATCCAGTCCGGGCGCAGTGGCTCAAGCCTGTAGCCCCAGCACTTTGGGAGGCAGAGGTGGGTGGATCACTTGAAGCCAGGAGTTTGAGACCACCTTGGCCAACATGGCAAGACCCCATCTCTACTAAAAATACAAAAATCAGCCACGCATGGTGGCGTGTACCTGTAGTCCCAGCTACTTGGGAGGCTGAGGCAGGAGAATTACTTGAACCTGGGAGGCGGAGGTTGCAGTGAGCCAAGATTGCATCACTGTACTCGAGCCTGGGCAACACGAGTGAGATCCTGTCTCAAAAAATAAAAATAAAGTCTTAAAGGATCTGTTTTTTATTTTTGTGGTTTTCTCAAGTTGTCTTTGTGTGTGTGTGCAAGCGTGTGCGTGTGTGTGTGTATGCATGTGCACCTTCTTATCTAATGGTCTTGAGAAATTGTTTGTAGGAATATTTTGAGGCTAAGATAAAGGTACCTTCCTCCAAAGAAGACTTACGTTCCTTATACCAGGGAGCTGAAGTCTCAGCAAGTTTGGGATACCCTTAATCTATGTTGAAGACCTGAGGTTTCCTGGCTGACACAAGTGATGAAAACCTGGACAACAAGACTATGGTTGAAAGGCTGGTTTAAGTATTGTTGTCCCTAATCCTAAATATGTAGTCTTTTGGAGTCCCAGTGTTTTTTTTTTTTTCTTTGTAGTGAGGGTCTCCAAACAGACTGTTATTTTGTGAGAGACAGAGCTTTGATTTCTATTCCTTTTGACCTGAGAGGTTGTAAAAATGAAAGTTTAAAATTTCAGAGTTTGGTAGATGCAAACACATCTTTCATATTCCCTTGATTCTCTTGGTTGTTCTTTTCTCTTCTCTGTGGCCTGGTAATTCCATACTATCTTATTTGTACCTTGTTCTTTATTTCATCTTATTTTTAAAAAGTTGTTTTAAGCAGGAGATTTAGTCGGCTACTGGGCCAGCATTACTAGACACTGAAATTTCTTCTCTGTTCATTTCTACAGTGTAAAAATTTTCAAGCTTTACTACTGGTTAACAATTATTTTTCAGAAATACGAATTTCAAGAAAAATAGAAAAATAACTTGTAGTTGTTATCTCTACAGTAGTAGTGTTCTTTGTGTTTTTATGTTCCTTGATTACTAGTGGAGTTAATCTTTTGTGTGTTTAGTGGCCACTTATATTTCTTTTTTAATGAAGTACCTGTGATATACTTATTTTTCTTTTGGTATGTTAATATTTTTGTTATTCATTTGTAATAGTTTCTGATATTAAGAAATGTTGGAGTCTAAGGAAAGCTGAAATCTTATTTCTAATGCTTTTCTACCATCCAATTTTCCTATCAATAAGAAGGAGGAGCAGTGATATTGATGGCATAAGAATAAGGATATTTAGGCATGGGCCCCACTCGGGTCCGGGTTTCAGTTCCTTGGGGAGGCCCCTGGTGTCCAGATACCACAGCTTCTGTCACGTGGAACCTGCTCCGGCTGCTCCAGCCCCAGGGAGGACCCAGGACACCCAGAAGCCGGAAATGGACTCAGTGGCCTTTGAAGATGTGGCTATGAACTTCACCCAGGAGGAGTGGGCTTTGCTGAGTCCTTCCCAGAAGAATCTCTACAGAGATGTGATGCTGGAAACCCTCAGGAACCTGGCCTCTGTCAAAGTCTGGGTGAGAGATTCTGTGGACATAAAGAAGGGAGTCAACATGGTGAACCCTTCAGCCAGATTCCTGATTGTCACCTGAAGAAGAAAAGTCATACTGGGGTAAAACCATGCAAATGCAGCGTGTGTGGGAAAGTCTTCCTCTGTCATTCATTCCTGGACAGGGACATGAGAGCTCACGCCAGACAGAAACGCTACCAGTGTGATGGGGAATGGGGAGAGAAGCCCTGTAAACAGAAACAATGTGGGAAAGCCTCCATTTCCCCCAATAGTGGTCCAAGGCGCACAGTAACACCAACTCAAAAGAAACCTTATGAATGCAGGGTGTGCGGGAAAGCCCTTAATTCTCCCAATTTATTTCAAATTCATGAAAGAACTCGCACTGGAGAGACGGCCTATAAATGTAGGAAAATCATGAGAGCCTTTACTATTTCCAGTTACTTTCGAAAACATGGAAAAATGCACACTGGAGAAAACCGCTATGAATGTAAATACTGTGGAGAACCTTTTGATTATCCCACTTTATTTCAAATTCATGTCATCCTGGAGAAAAACCTCACAAATGTAAAGAATGTGGTACAACTTACGTTCAGACACATGAAATCAGAACTCACGCTGGAGAAATCCCACCAATGTCAGGAATGTGGGAAGAAACTCAGTCGTTCCAGTTCCCTTCGCAGACATGAAAGGACCCATAGTGGAGGAAAACTCTATGAACGTCAAAAATGTGACCAAGTCTTAGATGTCCCATGTCCCTTCAAGCACATGAAAGAGCTCATGCTGGAGAGAGACCTTATGAATGTAATAAACGTGGTAAAACCTTCAATTATCCCAGTTGTTTTCGAAGACATGAAAAAACTCATAGTTGAGAAAAGCCATATGACTGTAAAAGGTGTGGTATGGCCTTCGGATGTGGCAGTTCCCTGAGGAGACATGAAATGACTCACACTAGAGAAAAACCCTTTGACTCTAAACAATGTGGTAAAGTCTTTACTTTTTTAAATTGCCTTTGACAACATGAAAAAAACTCATTTAGCCAGGCGCAGACAGTGCTTTTGGAGGCTGAGGCAGGGGGATCACCTGAGCCCAGGAGTTTGAGACCAGCCTGGGCAACATAAGAAGGCTGGGTATTGTGGAGATGGACGATGTAAATTGAAGAATGCACACTGGATGGAAATGTTAGTAGTCTGGAAAATACAGGAACGTTTTCAATTTTAACAATTACTCTATTTATTATTATTATTATTTTTGAGATGGAATCTCGCTTTGTCCCCCAGGCTGGAGTGCAGTGGCATGAACTTGGCTCACTGAAACTTCTGCCTCCTGAGTTCAGGTGATTCTCCTTCCTCGGCCTCCCAAGTGGCTGAGATTACAGGTGTGCACCACCATGCCCAGCTAATTTTTGTATTTTTAGTAGAGATGGGGTTTCACCATGTTGGTTGGGCTGGTCTCAGACTCCTGGCCTCATGTGGTCTGCGCGCCTCTGCTTCCAGAGATGCTGGGATTGCAGGCATGAGCCATCATGCCCGGACTAGATACGTGTTTTACATGTCTTTTTACAGAATATATAACATGCAGCACCGTGAAGAACAGTCTTCATATCCCTTAAGAAAATCTGTGGCTTGGGTGTGGTGGCTCACACCTGTAATCCCAGCACTTTGGGAAGCTGAGGTGGGAGGATCACTTGAGCCCGGGAGTTTGAGCCCAGCCTGGGCAACATGGCAAGACCCCTTGTCTCTGAAGGAATGCAAACAAATTAGCCAGGTGTGGTGTGGTGGTGGGTGCCTGTGGTCCCAGCTGCTCAGGAAGCTGGGGCCAGGGGATCGCTTGGGCCTAGGAATTCAAGACTATAGTGAACTATGATCCTGCCACTGCACTCCAGCCTGGGTGACAGAGCAGGACCCCGTTTCTAAAAAAATATATATATATAAAGTCTGTGAAGTTTGTGCTTAGACAAAGACTTGTTTGGATTGCCTCCTGGAGAAAGGTTTATGAATTTGACAGTGTTCATATGTCAGAACCTTAAGTTGACTCTGTGGGTGAGAGACCCTTTCAGATGAAAATGAAAGTCTTGAAGTCTTGAAGGAGGGGGTATTTCCACACTGTGAGGGAGAGGTGGGCATGTTAACTTCCCAGAGTTAAATTCTTACACGTCCCTGCCTTGGCAATGGGGCTGGATCTGCTCTGGGGCTCCATTTCAGCCCAAGCTTGGGAATGTGTTTTGCCTTCTGAATGTGAGTTTTCCTTGTGAACTGTGGGTGCAGCCAGCTGCTTATCTAAGCGAGTTCAAATCTCTGTAGGCAGACAGGTAGAGTCTCCCGGGATTACAGGAATCCAATCAACTTGAGCAATCAGCCTAGTTTACAGCCTACTGCTAGGCAGCCTCTTCTTCCCCAAATCCCGGGTGGAATGCGGTGACCTTCTTTCTTTAAACCAGCTCTTTGTTTGTTTGTTTGAGACGGAGTCTCACTCTGTCACCCAGGCTGGAGTGCAGTGGCATGATCTTGGCTCACTACTACCTCTGCCTCCCAGGTTCAAGCAATTCTCTAGCCTCAGCCTCCCGAGTAGCTGAGATTACAGGCATGCACCACCACACCTGGCTAATTTTTTGTATTTTTAGTAGAAACAGGGTTTCACCATGTTGGCTAGGCTGGTCTCGAATGCCTGACCTCAAGTGATCCACCTGCCTCAGCCTCTCAAAGTGCTGGGATTACAGGCATGAGCCACGGCACTGGCCTTGTTTTTTTTTTTTTTTTTTTTTGAGATAAAGTCTCACTCTGTCACCTAGACTGGAGTGCAGTGGCACGATCTCAGCTCACTGCAACCTTCACCTCCCGGGTTCAAGCAATCCTCCTGCCTCAGCCTCCCAAGTAGGACTACAAGTGTGCCACCATGCCCAGCTACATTTTTGTATTTTTAGTAGAGATGGGGTTTCGCCATGTTGCCTAAGCTGGTCTTGAAATCCTGGCCTCAAGTGATTCACCTGCCTTGACCTCCCAAAGTTCTAGGATTACAGGTGTGAGCCACCATGTCCAGCCTGGATACTTATAGTTATTTCTTGATTATATGGTAAACAAGGGGAGGATTACTCATGAGTTTTCCAAGGAAGGGGGAGGAATTCCCAGAACTGAGGGTTCCTCTCCTTTTTAGACCATATAGGGTAACTTCCTGACATTGCCATGGCATCTGTAAAGTGTCATGGTGGTCCTGGGAGTGTCCTTTAGCATGCTAATGTATTATAATTAGTGTATAATCAGCAGTGAGGACAACCAGATGTTACTCGCATCAACCAGATGTCACTTGTCAAAACCATCTTGGTTTTGGTGGGATTCGGCCGCCTTCTTTAACCACAACCTGTTTTATCAGCAAGGTCTCTATGACTTGTATCTGTGCGGACCTCCTATGACTTAAAATACCTAACCTCCTGGAAATTCAGCCCAGTGGGTCTCAGCCTCATTTTACCCAGCCCCCCTTCAAGATGGGAGTTGTGCTTGTTCAAAGGCCCCTGACATGACGATGCTAAAATCTCCACTCAGGGAGGAGCTATAGCTCATGACCATCTCATGAGACCTTATACTGGCAGAACGGCTCAGTGCATGTGTGCCACTGAAACTCCCTCCTCTACATGTGGTGACGCACCCTCTCCCCTCTCCATGGCCTCAGAAAACCCTCCTGTCACTTTGCCTCAGAGAGACACTGCTTTGGAGAATACTCCCCATGGCCTCCTTACTTGAGTCAAGTAGTAAAACCTCTACTGACGAAAAAAAAAAAAAAAGAATAAGGATATTTATCTGGTTGTAGTGATGAGGACAATGTCCTGTGGATCAGGTCATTTAATAAATATTTATTACCAAGTAATATTTATTACCCAATACTAAGTGTCGGGTGGTTAGTGAGTTTCTGGACATATAATGGTAAAAACAACAGACGTGTTTTTTGTCTTCACGGAGCTTACCATTCAGTAAACTGGGTGAGATTGAGATACATGAGTCACAGTCACAAACATATAATTACAAGCCAGTGTAAGTATATGAAAATAGGGTTTTGTGATCTTGTCAACAAGAGAACCTGACCTATTTGGGGACAGTTTGAGTTGAGATCTGAAAGACAAGTGGGAGTTAAATAGACAAAACCTGGGGGTTGTGTGTAGAGGAAGGTATTCTAGGCAGAAGGGAATAGAAAGGCTGTGAGAGGGGAAAGTTTAGTGCTTTAGAAACATTAAAAAGGCCAACATGACCAGGATGTACAAAGCAAATGCATGTATAGAGTTGGAGAGGTAGCCAGACTATGCAGGTTTTTGTGAATTATACCAATGATGTTGGTCTTTATACTAAGATCAATAGAAGCCGTTAAAGGGGTTTGAGCAGCAGAATGATGTGGTCAGAGTTTTATAAGATCACACTTTCTGTAATGGAGAACTGACAGTTGGAAGGCAAATGTGGATATGAGGTGGAATGGACAAATGAAGAATTAAGCTCATTATGCTCTTTATACCTAGTTATGTGCCATGAAACACCACAGACTCCCAGCTCATCTCTTATCCTCCTCATTCTAATTACTCTTAGACTCCTTGTATCCTTCTCCACCTCTCCTTTACTCTGGCAACTCTTCTACAGCATCCACAGTGTAATTTATGGCCCATTATTAGTAAAATCTCCTGCGTCTGCAACCTAGTTTTTAAATGTTTCTTTCTCCTTGCTCTAATGAAAATATGACTCTTCCCTGACAACATTGCCCAGCCATCCAGGCTGTTTTTTCCTCCCACTGAGCTTGGAAATTGGACAGGTCTTGTCCTCTTTGCTCACTGTGGCTTCTCTCATTCTCCCTCTTTTCCTTTTAAAAACTTACTGATTTTGTGCTGGTGAGAATGTGAAGAAAAGAGAACTCTTATACACTGTTGGTGGGAATGTAAAGTAGTACAACCACTATGGGAAGAGTATGGAGATTCCTTAAAAAAAATACAACTAGAACTACCATATGATCCAGCAATCCCACTCCTGAGAATCTATCCACAGGAAAGGAAATTAGTGTATTGAACTGACATCTGCATCCCCAGTTTCATTGCAGCCCTATTCACAATAGGCAAGATATGGAATCAACCTAGGTGAATATGTATAATTATTATTTGTCTATTAAAAAAATTAAAAGATTTTAAAACTTGCTGATTTTGAGTCTCATGTAATCAGATTATGTGATTCATCATTGTTAACACTCCTTATTTCTTTACACTTTTAACTTCAAATAGTATAATTTATTCTAGCACAACTCTTGCCACTAGTTCTTGATGATTTCAATAACAAAGAACTGGTTACTCAGTTCTTTGACGTCTTCTCCTTCAGTCAGCGATGCTCCTTGTAGGAGCCCTCATGACTTTTATCATCACCAATAACTGGATCTTCTGTATAACCTGAATTTCATGTCTCTCACTCTAAACACCATCTCTTCCCTTCTCCCATCTCACTCTTTCCAGCTTCGTAATCCCAGCAATCTTTTGACCCCTTTGGAACTCTCATTTCCACTGATCACACCACTTTTTCACTGTTTCTCTCTGATATTTTTATTTTCTCTTTTCCCACCCTAAATTTCGTAGGCAATTATTGTAAGCCTTCTTTTTCATACACCCTTAATTCTTTTGCCTTTCTCTCACTTTTTACCATTCTTTTGGCAGAACTATTACCACTTTCTAGTGAAGTCCAGCTCTCTATTATTCTGAACCTGTACCTGATCACCTAAAGTGGAGACTAGAGGAAAACACTCAACCAAGTTTCTTGATCGCATTTGAAATTCATGATCACGAATCTCAAGTAGGCCCTTAATGCTGTCAGGTAAACCTCTACATCCTTAGTCCATCTGTCTTTTGCCTTCAGGATGATTATTTCAGACTTTTTCCATTTTGCTGAAACTCCAACATGTCTCTTATGCTCAGCTGATGACCATGCTTTCTCCTTTACTGAGAAAATGGAAGCAATCAGAAGAAAACTTGCATGGATGCCCACCACAACATCTACTTACTTAAAAGCACTGGCACCTCCCTCCGCCTTCCTACCTGTTACCTCAGATGAACTAACCGTATTCCTATCTAAAGCCAGTTTCTCTGCTTGTTCGTTATTTGCTATCTCTACTTGTCTACTCAAAGAGAACATTCTAGCAATTCTTTCCTCTTTTTCCTTCATTATCATTTTTTCACTTTCTACTGGATCATTCCAATTACTTCACACAAAAGTATCTTGACTCTACTTCCCTCAACAAATACCACTCAATTTTTTTGCTTCCCTCTGCAACATACCTCCTTAAGAGGATTGTCTGTATTCACTGTCTCCAAATTCTCTCCTTCCCTTTTCTCTTAAAACCATGCCAACAGGTATTTGACATCACTGCGTGGAAACTGCTCTCAAGATCACTGGTAACTTCATGATGCTAACCTTGGTGGTCAATCTTTGTTTTCATCTCACTCGACTCTATCATCAGTATTTGCCATATGATCACTCCTACTGTGTCTGGAATTGGTGGGTTCTTGGTCTCACTGACTTCAAGAATGAAGCCGCGGACCCTCGCGGTGAGTGTTACAGTTCTTAAGGTGGCGTGTCTGGAGTTTGTTCCTTCTGATGTTCGGATATGTTCGGAGTTTCTTCCTTCTGGTGGGTTCATGGTCTCGCTGGCTCAGGAATGAAGCTGCAGACCTTCGCGGTGAGTGTTACAGCTCATAAAAGCAGCGTGGACCCAAAGAGTGAGCAGTAGCAAGATTTATTGCAAAGAGCAAAAGAACAAAACTTCCACAGTGTGGAAGGGGACCTGAGTGGGTTGCCACTGCTGGCTCGGGCAGCCTGCTTTTATTCTTTTATCTGGCCCCACCCACATCCTGCTGATTGGTAGAGCCAAGTGGTCTGTTTTGACAGGGCGCTGATTGGTGCGTTTAGAATCCCTGAGCTAGATACAAAGGTTCTCCATGTCCCCATCAGATTAGTTAGATACAGAGTATGGACACACAGGTTCTCCAAGGCCCCACCAGAGCAGCTAGATACAGAGTGTCCAATGGGTGCACTCACAAACCCTGAGCTAGACACAGGGTGCTGATTGGTGTGTTTACAAACCTTGAGCTAGATACAGCGTGCCCATTGGTGTATTTACAATCCCTGCGCTAGACATAAATGTTCTCCACGTTCCCACCAGACTCAGGAGCCCAGCTGGCTTCACCCAGTGGATCCCACACCAGGGCTGCGGGTGGAGCTGCCTGACAGTCCCATGCCATGCGCTGGCACTCCTCAGCCCTTGGGTGGTCGATGGGACTGGGTGCCGTGGAGCAGGGGCGGCGCTTGTCGGGGAGGCTTGGGCTGCACAGGAGCCCACGGAGGCGGGGGAAGGCTCAGGCATGGCGGGCTGCAGTCCCGAGGCCGGCCCCGCGGGAAGGCAGCTAAGGCCCGGTGAGAAATGGAGCGCAGCACCAGTGGGCTGGCACTGCTGGGGGACCCAGTACACCCTCCACAGCCGCTGGCCCGGGTGCTAAGTCCCTCATTGCCCGGGGCCGGCAGGGCCGGCCGGCTGCTCCGAGTGCGGAGCCCGCCAAGCCCACGCCCACCCGGAACTCCAGCTGGCCGCAAGCGCCACACACAGCCCCGGTTCCCGCTGGCGCCTCTCCCTCCACACCTCCCTGCAAGCTGAGGGAGCCGGCTCCGGCCTTGGCCAGCCCAGAAAGGGGCTGCCACAGTGCAGCGGTGGGCTGAAGGGCTCCTCAAGTGCCGCCAAAGTGGGAGCCCAGGCAGAGGAGGCGCAGAGAGCGAGTGAGGGCTGTGAGGACTGCCAGCACGCTGTCATCTCTCACTACTGCTTTGGTAAGTTTTCTTCACATGGCTTCCAGAATTTTCTGTTGCTCCACTAGCCACTCACTCCTTTGCAGGGTTTTCCTTTTCTCATGCTTTTAGTGTAGGAATGCTCCACAGTTGAGCCCTTTTCCTCTTCCCAGCTGTATCTACATTGTCTACTGTGGTGATCTTATGTTTATCCATGGCTTTAAATATTTATTTGCCAGTGAACCCCACATTTATATCTCTGGCTCAGATTCCTTTCTCCAACTCCAACTCATATATTCAACTGTCAACGAATTATTCCAATTGAATGTCTTATAGACATCTCAAACTCAACATGTCCTAAACAACAAACCCCTGCTTTCTCTCTCTCTCATACACACACACACACACACACACACGCACGCACGCACGCACGCAAAGACCTGCTGTATCAGCAGCCTTTTCCATTGCAGCTGAGCAATTACAGGTTATCAGCTCATCCCAGTTGCTCAAGCCAAGAAACCTTGAGTCATTTCAGACAGTTTCTTATTCATACCCCACATCCAATCCATTAAGACAGTCTGGTAGCCTTACTTTCAAAATATACGTGGGATCTGAATTACTTCTCTCTGCCTACATTGCTGATTGGTAGGTACCACCATCATCTCTTTCCTGATTACTTCAATTTTTTTCTAATAGGTCTCCCTACTTCTCTCCTGGTACTCATACAAAATTATTTTCAGATAATTAGCCACAGTGATACATTGAAAAAGTAAGTCTGATTATATATTCCTACAGCTTAAAACACTGTAGCAATTACCCATTTCACCAGAATAAAGCCAAAATCCTCTCAATGGCCTACAATACCCCACGTAATCTGCTTTATCTATCATTATCGTTCTTTTTCTTTACCCTCTCACTCCAACTACTCTGGACTCCTTGCTATACCTTAAACTCACTATGCATAACTCAGAATTAAGAAATTTGCTCTTGATATGTTTGCTTCCTGAATACTATTTTTCCAGGTATTTTCTTTGTTAATTCTCTCACCTCCTTCAAGTCTTTGCTAATAAGGCCTAGGCTTACCACTCAATTTCAGATGGTAATTTCCCCAGCTCCCAGAACCTCCTTTGCTCTTATTATCTTTTTTCTTTTTCTTTCATAACAATGATCACTTTCTAACATATCAGGTAAATTACTTAGCTATTATGCTTATTGTGTATTATTTGTCTTCCCCTGCTATCATATAAGCTTGAATGAGGACAGGGATCTTTTTGTTCACTGATGTATCTAAGCACCTGAAACAGCACGAGGCACATACTAGGAACTCAATTAATGTTTGAATGAAAGAAAAACAGAAAACAGAGTGAAGAATTCAGAACCTGACCAACATATATATGAAATAAAGTAAATGATAAAGGAAGCATCCCATTTAATAGGAAATTGGATTAGTCAACAAATGGTGGTTTGTTATTCATTTGGAGGGGAGAAAAAGTTAGATTTATACCTATAAAAATGAATTTCCTAACATATAAGTTAGCCTCAGAACGAACCATTTCAGTGGAGGTTGGGGTTGGAGGAGAGATTTGAATAAATCTTGGTGTAATTTTTTTTCAACCATTGTTTTGGTATTCTTCTACTTGTATTATCTGCTTCTTTGGTATTTTGAGATATAATGTGATGGAAAGAGTGTAATTTCCATGATCTCATTCAACTAGGGTATTTCTTTTATATTCACAATGACATTAGTTTCATGGAGCTTCGCTTCTCCGAAAGCATGCTGCCACTACTTATTCCCCACTGTTTTCTGTCAACTTAATTTCTGGGTTAATTTTCTGGATTGCCTGATTGTAGAAAGATGGGGAAAATAAACACAATTGGTTGATGGGTGTGGGGAGGGAGTAGAGGGAGGCAAATGGGAAGATTAGTGCTTGGGCTCATTGGATCCAGATTCATTTCCAAATGGTAGAGAAGCACTTTAGCCTTTCTGTTGGTACTGAACCTGGGTAGCAGAATCATAGACAAAGGACATAAAAATATGAATACTTCTCATTTTTTTTTATTCAGTTCATCTCCTTTTCAGGAAGTGGCCAGGGTGTACTGGGAGATAAGGATAGAATATTTTCACTCAGCTCAGCTTCATTAGACTTATAATTGGAATCAAACCCTCTAAGATTCTGACATCAACTTACTTTTATTCTCATAGAATATTTCACTTATTCTGCATCTTATAGACATTTAAAAAGATATTAGGACAGGCTTCATGTGGTCATCAGATTAACAGCTCCTAAACCAGTCTCCTCAAACTTCTTTCTAAAATGTTTTCACATAAAATGACACAACAAAATTGTGAAACAGGTAACATGGCTATTGTAACACCCCCATGTATTTTCCCCATTTTTTTCCTCCACCCTGTGTTTTACCCCAACTGAAGGTGACTCTGGTTCACTTATGTCTTCATCTGTGGCTTTTTGGTGACATCTTCCTGCCATAGTTGAGTGATGACTTAGTTGTCTTCTGAATCACGGCTTTCAGCCTACCTGTTCTTCCCACAGTGTCCTTGGGACCACTCTGTTATCCTCTCACATTCTGCCCACACACAGGAGTGAGACATCTTCAGAAACATGTTAACCTATTTTCCATAGAACCTGGAAACAGACTGCCCATAATTGTATTCAGGAAGAATCCAGGTTCTCATACAAGCCACTGGGAAAATGATAAAAGAAATGTTTTTCTACACTTGTGCTGTCTTTTCTGCCTCCCATTCACACATCCTCACTGAATTATCTATATTCAGTCCTCTCCCATACACATAATGAGAAGTAGCAAGGCTTTAATCCTGTGAGGATGAAAATAAGAAAAAATTAT
Source organism: Homo sapiens (assembly GCF_000001405.40). Taxonomy (NCBI): domain Eukaryota; kingdom Metazoa; phylum Chordata; class Mammalia; order Primates; family Hominidae; genus Homo; species Homo sapiens. The sequence goes on along the minus strand of NC_000001.11, from coordinate 192,983,894 downwards.
ATGACATTTAAGGAGCATAACATTGCTTCCTTTCTAGTGATGTTCTATTTTCTTTATTAGCCACTTCCATTCTCATACAGGTTTAACTCACACATCTATATAGATGACTCTGAAGGTCTGGTTTCTCTCCCAGTTTCCTGCCCGACCACCTACTGAACTTTTTAAAGTTCAGTAGATAACTTTAAACTAGATATTTTTAAAGCTACTGTGGCCCAAAATATGCTCACGCCTTTCCTCCTGACTTACCTGTTCCCTTTCTGGTAATACTCACCAAACACTAAATGTTGTAGTCATCTTTGAGTCGTCCTCTGCTTTCTCCTCCTACACTCTGTGGCTGTCTTGCGGAGTTCGTTTACCTCTGCGATGACTCATCATCACCTTCTTTGCATTTCCATTGCTGCCACCCTAACCCTGGCAGGGCCATATTAAAACTTTAAGGTTCCCTCCTCTCCTATATATTATTCAAATTTAAAACTGTGCTATATATATTCACTGAAAGTGAACTTGTTAATTTTCTTTGTGACTTAGCTTCACTGTTTGGAACTCAGAATACAGCTTCCTTTGGAATTAATCTTCTAAATAGAAATTATGTTCCCAAATGCTTATTTAATCCTTAACACAATGAAATAATAGAAAACTCAACCCAGCGGCATAACAATGATTCTATGGGGATATGAATTCAGACTTCCAATATGGGACTTTTCTCATTTTCTGCCCCACAGACTTGATCTAGAAGAAGTGTCTAGATGACTAAAACTCTCATTTGCAATAAACTTGGGGTGTGGATGCCTATGCCCTGGGGTAAGAACTCTGAAAGAGTGAAGGGGCAGAGAGTGCCCTAGGGTGAGAAGAACTGTGAGCTTATGGCCAAAATGCTATTTTGAGGGGAAGGGGAAGGGGAAGCATATTTAGAACCCCGTTTCTTTCTCCTTCCATGGCCCTTTGTAAATGTGCTCTTAGATTCATGACCGTGTAAAACTTCAGGAAGAGATCCCCAAGACCATCTCGTGCTTCCATTTTCAATTTGAAAAGTGAACAAAAAGGTCCAGTAGCCTTGGGAGTGAGTGCCACAGAAATTGTAGCTCAAATCTTAAATTCATCTTCGATTTCTAATTAGATTCCCACTGTCGATGAGAATATATGGTATTCAATTTCCTCAGAATCAGAGGGTCTAACAGTGCTTCCTGACTGTGGGCATATGACCAAGTCCTCCTTATAGAAGAGGTGTCTATTAGGCAAGCTAAGTTATGTCAAAACAAGCATCATAAAATGAGAAAAATATTAAAAACAATATTTATATGGAAAATTGGATTATCATGGGATTTTTTTTTTTACACATCGTATACGATATGGTGTTTTTGAAGGTGGGTGGGGGTGGGGGGGGGCCATAAAGGTTTCATCGCTCCAGGATCTAAAGATCAGGCCCTGATTCCCGTTAACCCAGAGCTAGGGTGACCTGGTGACCCGTTGCGAGCTCCCACATTGACACATCTGAGCCTATTCCCATCTTTCAGTCCAGAGAGGATCATGTTCCTCCTTTCCCCGAAATTTGATCTTTTCCTTGGTGCAGCTGTTTGTAATCTATATTTGATTAGATGTCTGCCTCTTTATGTCTTAAAATTATAATCAATGCTTATCTTCTTCTTTCTACCCTTTATGTTTTATTGCAGTTATTCATTGAGTGAGTACCCAGTTTACGGGCTGTTAACTCTAACGTTAAAGACTCGGTCTGGTCTCCATTTGCAGACTGGTGCTAATGATACCATTAATCACGAATGTAGATTATAGCATCTCCCATCCAGTATCTCCTGTACCTTCTAAGATACTATAGGATTCTAGCACCTCACCCTTTATAAAAAGTGAGGTGATGAAAACTACAGTGCTTGGATCAAACAAATAAAAGGAACTGTAAAAAAATCTTATGCCCTGCTAGCAACAAGTGAATAATTTGATGGTGGTTAAAGGACTTGAGAAAGTTCTAAGTCAGCAGTCTCCAACCTTTTTGGCACCAGGGATCAGTTTCACTGAAGACAACTTTTCCATGAATGGGGTAGGGGGATGGTTTAGGGATGATTCAAGGGCATTATATTTATTGTGAACTTTATTTTTATGATTATTACATTGTAATGTATAATGAAATAATTATACAACTCACCATAAAGTAGAATCAGTGGGAGCCTTGAGCTTATAGTCCTGCAACTAGATGGTCCCATCTGGGGGTGACAGATGGGACACTGTTGGGAGACAGTAACACCCAAAGTATGTTGCTATGTACCGTCTACTCTGGAATCTTATTTTGGTTGCTGTCACTCAAAAAACCCTGCTTCACAAAGATAGGAGGTTGGAAATGGAAGTAGGCTTTTCAGTGGTTTTGTGACAATCCCAGGATATTCCATCTTGACTTTAATCCAGAACATATGGAGATTTAATGTCTCAAACACACTTCTAAGGCCACAGTCATTTGCGATCTCAAGCAGTTGATCCTCTTCTAGCACAGACAAAGTCGATTCACCTGGCTTATTCACAAATGGATTGCAGATCCATTCCTTTCCATTTCGGGGGTCTTTTGTGGTTAGGAAGTAATGCTCAAACTCTTTTGAAAGCTGAGATAGGAGATCACGAACCAGGTGGGAGAAAGAAGGCCCTGGCTCAGTCTCTTTCAAAATCTCTGCTAATGTTTGAAATATGTCAAAAATCCCAATGTTCACTCGTTGCCCCCATAATTCCAATTTGGCTTTGAATGCAGCCCCTTTATCTGCTGACTTGAACACAGTGGTTGTTCTCCCATGAACTGGCAGATTGAGTTCATTGAGCAGGTTGAATGTGTCACACAAGTAAGCAAGTTTTGTGATTCATTCTGGGTCACTGAAATGTGCTGCCAATGGAGATCATTTTTCTAAAAGAAATCTCTGGAGTGGCTCTCCTAACTGAGAAACTCTGTTCAGTGATCTACCTTTAGAAAGCCATCTCACTTCTGGGTATAAGAAAAGATGCTTGTGCTCTGCATCCATCTCCTCACAGAGCTGTGTGAAAAGATGTGAGTTAAGGACATGTACTTTAATGTGGTTGATAATTTTAATCACATCCTGCAAAGCATGGTTAAGGTCAGGTGACATTTTTTAGCTAGCCAGAATTTTTCTATAGGAAGATGCAGTGTATAGACTAACATTTAGAAGCAACCTCTTTGATCCGGGTAGTGAAACCAGAAAGCCATCCAGTCATGGCAGCCACTCTGTCTGTGCATATACCAACACAAAACGCCCAATTCAGTTTTCCTGATATGTAATCATATAAAGACTTGAATAGTTCTGCAGCTGTGGTGTTGGTTGGCAACAAAAGTAAACACAACATATCTGTCAGGCCTCTGAGCCCAAGCCTGCATGTATACATACAGATGGCCTGAAGCAACTGAAGAATCACAAAAGAAGTGAAAATGGCAGGTTCCTGCCTTAGCAGATGACATTACCTTGTGAAATTCCTTCTCCTGGCTCAGAAGCTCCCGCACTGAGCACCTTGTGACCCCCGCCCCTGCCTGCCAGAGAACAATCCCCTTTGACTGTAATTTTCCACTACCTACCCAAATCCTATAAAACGGCCCCACCCCTATCTCCCTTTGCTGAGTCTTTTCGGACTCAGCCTGCCTGCACCCAGGTGATTAAAAAGCTTTATTGCTCACACAAAGCCTGTTTGGTGGTCTCTTCACATGGACGTGCCTGACATTTGGTGCTGTGACTCGGATCGGGGGACCTCCCTTGGGAGATCAATCCCTTGTCCTTCTGCCCTTTACTCCGTGAGAAAGATCCACCTATGATCTCTGGTCCTCAGACCAACCAGCCCAAGGAACATCTCACCAATTTTAAATTGGGTAAGCGGCCTCTTTTCACTCTCTTCTCCAGCCTCTCTCGCTATCCTTGAATCTCCCTCTCTCACTACCCTTCAATCTCCCTGTCCTTCCAATTTCAGTTCTTTTTCCTCTCTAATAGAGATAAGGAGACACATTTTATCCATGGACCCAAAACTCCGCGCCGGTCACGGACTCAGGAAGACAGTCTTCCCTTGGTGTTTAATCATGCGGGGACGCCCGCCTGATTATTCACCCACACTCCATTGGTGTCTGATCACTGCAGGGATGCCTGCCTTAGTCATTCACCCACATTCCCTTGGTGGCAAATCAATTGCCGGGACGCTTACTTTGGCAGCTCACCCACATTGCAGCCCAGGGCTGCTCACCACCCGCTTCTCCGTGTCGCTGCCCTCTCTTTTCTCTGGGCTTGCTTCCTTCACTATGGGCAACCTTCCACCCTCCGTTCCTCCTTCTTCTCCCTTAGCCTGTGTCATCTTACACCTGATCTAAAACCTAAATGCCTTGTTTTCTTCTGCAATGCCGCTTGACCCCAATACAAACTCGACAATTGTTCCAAATAGCCAGAAAACGGCACTTTCAATTTCTCCATCCTACAAGATCTAGATAATTCTTGTCATAAAATGGGCAGATGGTCTGAGGTGCCTGATGTCCAGGCATTCTTTGACACATCGGTCATGCCCTAGTCTCTGTTCCCAATGAGACTCGTCCCAAATCCTCCTCCTTTCCCTCCCACCTGTCCCTCAGTCCCAACCCCAAAGCGTTGATGAGTCTTTTCAATCTCCCTTTTCTACTGATCCATCTGACCTCTCCCCTCCTCCCCAGACTGCTCTTCCTCAGGTCACTCCCCACCAGGCTGAATCAGGCTCTAATTCTTCCTCAGCCTCGGCTCTCCCACCCTATAATCCTTCTATCACCTGCCCTCCTCACACCTGGTCTGGCTTATGGTTTTGTTCGGCGACTAGCCCTCCCCGACCTGCCCAACAATTTCCTCTTAAAGAGGTGGTTGGAGCTAGAGGCATAGTCAAGGTTAATGCTCCTTTTTCTTTAGCTGACCTCTCCCAAATCAGTTAGTGTTTAGGCTCTTTTTCATCAAATATAAAAACCCAGCCCAGTTCATGGCTTGTTTGGCAGCAACCCTGAGACGCTTTACAGCCCTAGATCATAAAAGGTCAGAAGGCCGTCTTATTCTCAATATGCATTTTATTACTCAATCCGCTCCTGACATTAAATAAAACTCCAAAAATTAGATTCCGGCCCTCAAACCCCACAACAGGACTTAATTAACTTTGCCTTCAAAGTGTACAATAATAGAGAAGAGGCAGCCAAGCGACAACACAAACCCCTTTGACTGTAATTTTCCACTACCTACCCAAATCCTATAAAATGGCCCCACCCCTATCTCCCTTCGCTGACTCTCTTTTCAGACTCAGCCTGCCTGCAAGCGGGTGATTAAAAACCTTTATTGTTCACACAAAGCCTGTTTGGTGGTCTCTTCACACGGAAGCGCATGACAATATCCTCCTGCACATGCTCCTGAAAAAAAATACATCACACAAAAACAAGCATTGTTGCCTTGTTGTCAACACTGATAGACTCCTCAACTTGGACTGCATACCACAGTGACTCAATAATCCTCTCTAACTGTGGTGCCTCAATATCCTCTGCTGTTTCATCGTTCATCTAGATATGGTGCTGGCCCAAAGAGGAACATGTGCCACCTTTTGAACTGCAGCCTCTCCTAAAAGTTAATGGCAAACGTCCTTAGCAGCAGGCAGGATCAACTCTTCACCAATAGTAAAGGATTTCTTTGCTTTAGTAGTGCCGTTAGCCACTGAGAATGATGCTCTCAGTGCAGACACATTTGATGAAGTGGTGGCCTTCAATAATTGCTACCGTTCTTCATGTTCACATTATTTTTCTTTTGAAAGATGCAAAAGTTTTGTCTTTTAATGCAGGGTGCTTGGTCTGCATGTGGTGAAGAAGTTTTGAAGGTTTCATGGCTTCTTTGGGTAGCCAGTCACCACATATATAAAGCCAGCTTGGAGAATGTGAATCACCTGTTGGAATGAACCTGTAATTTAAGTCTCGGTATCTTCTTTTAAATGCAACTTTTTGTTGGCAGTCTTAGAGTCTTCTGCTGTCTCATCACTGGGTCTTTTCCCCTTTTCCAAGAAGCTCTCCAGTGATATTTGTTTTTTACTCACTGTGGCTAGGGTTAGCTCGTGGGCTTACCAAAACTGTGACTGAGACAAGTGTGCAGTGTGGGAAAGAGGCATGAATGGAAGTGGTAAATAAAATAATGGGCGGGCCATAAGCGGAATAAAATGCGTCTGATTCTGACTTAAAGCCTGACATTAAATGCAGCTGTACAATTGAAATACATCAACTCACTCGTCACTGTAAAGCCTGCCACCAGATGCAGCTTAATTTGTCACTTGCCACTCACTGATAGGGTTTTGATATGAGCCTGAAAGCAGTTGATTTATTATGGTCTCTGTGCAGCCAAACCTCGCTGCTAAGGTTAATCTGTATTTGCAGCTGCTCCCAGTGCTAGCATCAGCACTTCAGCTCCACTTCAGATCGTCAGGCATTAGATTATCACAAGGAGCATGCAACCTAGATCTCTTGCATACGCGGTTCACAATAGGGTTCGTGCTCCTATGAGAATCTAATGCCTGCTGCTGATCTGACAGGAGGTAGAATTCAGCAGGTAATGCTTGCTCACCTCTTGCTGTGCTGCCCGGTTGCTAACAGGCCACAGACCCTGGTACCAGTCTGTGGCCCAGGAGGTTGGGGACCCCTGTAAATTCATCATAAAAGGTGTCCCAAGTATTCATTGAAATGTAAATAAAGCTAGATGCTAAGTTTGTCTAAACTTGAAGGATATAACTCTAACCTAGGCTTTTGATTCTTTCTATTTTAAATTCTGCTAACCAGTCTTCTTTTCCTACATGCTGTCAAATTTTAAAATCAATGAGCCCCTTATTCATAAACACTTAAAAAAATATTGATTTTTTTCAGGAGAATCTTGGAAGTGCCCAGCGAATTAGGGGGTGTGAATGAGATTAATTTGCATCATAGTAAGCAGCTCAGAACCTATTTTTGGGTTCCCCTTTCCCTTTTTTAAATTAACTTAAAATGATAAGTGGAGAGTATTTCTTCACCTGTCCTATGATATATTTTTTTCTTCTTTTTCTTTCCCTTCTTATCTCACTTGCCTTCGTTTCAATACTCTTTATCTTTGCCAACAACTCCAGAGCCTGTCCCAACTCCCAAGCCCAAACACACTCCCTTAGGGCTGAGAGTGAGAATTTGTGAAAGACTGGGGAAGGGGAATGTCAAAGGTGAAACAATTTGGCACCCACCTCCGTTGGGTGCATGAGCATTCCTCTTGTTGCTGGAGAGAAAAAAATAGATTTTTTGAAGAGTGAGAGTATTTTTGCAGCACACTAGCTGCTAAGTGTTTGCCAAAGTCTCCCAGTAGTTATCAATATTGTTCATAACATGTGCAGTTTTAGGCGTATTGTGCCTATCTCTGAGGAATTCAGTAGTATTCCAACATTGTCTCATTTTTATCATTTTAAATATTTTTAAAATCTCTATTTGACTTATAGGATAGGAGAAAAATAGTTTTTAACTATACTGTATGAATGGAGAGCACAGAGAAAGGTGCATTTATATCAGTTTCCGAAAGTTATGTAGGTAAATGTTAAGCTAAGTTTATTTTATTATTTCTTAAATATTTTTGGATTTTATATTATCTCAGAGGAGTCAATAACTTCCATTTGCTACTGCAGAAGATAAAACACTACCTCCTGTCTCAACACAACATAATTGAATGATCCTTTTTGTGTAACACAAATGTTTAGAAACTTTGGCAATTATATCACTTTATTCATTTTCATCTGTGTTTGGCATCATATAGGTGCAACTGAAGCTAGCTCTTCTGTTTTCTGATGGGAGGTTGAAAGATTTCATAAGAATTGTGTAGTGGGAACGTTGAGCGTGTATGTCCCAGGCATTGTATAAATATTTTATATGTTTTATCTCATTGTATTCCTTACAACAGTATATGAGGTCAGTACTGTAATTCTCATTTTACGCATGTGGAAATGAAGCTAATTGGAAGCTAAATGAAGATAATCAGTGGATTATCCAAGTCACACAGCAAGAAAGTGGCAAAATCAGAATTTTACCCAGGCCAATCTATCTTCGAAACTCCTACTGTTTTTAGTTCTTGTTTAAGATCAATGAATTGTCTGTATGTAATATGTGACTTTCTGAAACTCCACAATCCTATATGCATGAGGATTAGGGCAGTGAGTGTAATCGGTGAGTAGACAGGTCACACTGGCTTTGTCCACGGAAGGCTTTTGTACCAAGGAAGAGGCTCTGGAAATGGACAAAGAATCCTAATGATCAAATAAGCCTCAATGGAATAAACTAAAAAATGAAGTATCAGGCCAGCACCAAGTATTTGGTTTTTGTAGTGTTTTTTTTTTAAGTATAAATACACTTAGAATTTTCAAAACTTTAGGAAAATAGTCAATGATGTCAAGATGTATTCTTGGACTGGGGGATATTTTTCTGGCCACGGAATCACTACCATGGATTCAAATAAAGGTAGATTTTCCTGTTAGAAGAGTAATATTTGTCCAGTAGAAAAAGTTTAAAATTGTAGAAAATATAAAATATGTTTTTCAATTGTCCCAGTTCCTAAAGACTACTGTTCATATTTTGGTTATTTCATAAATTTTAAAATTAAAGAATTATTTAGAGATTAACTGGACTAATTTTTAAGATGAGAGAACTGAGGGTTGAGAATCCTTAAGTGTCTTACCAAGGGATACTAATGATTAAAAAGAGGTATCACTTTGATCACGATGAGGCACTTTTGTTGCAATTACTCCCTCTAAACGACTCAAGTCATTTGTTTCATCTGTAGACTTCACATGTAAATGATTAACTATCCCTGAGAATAACATTTGAAATGGCTTGCTTCACACTACATGAATTCATATTTTAAAAATTCTTAGGTTTAATTAGTGCCATGACTCATAACAAAGGAACTACATTAAGCAAAGCCTAATGTAAGTCTTCTTTCCTTATGCAACTATGAGTGATTGGAATAAGTGGATTTGGTTAAGCAAGATCAGGTTTTGGGGTGGAAGTAAGCTTATCAAAGAATAGAAGGTGATTGCCTTGGTACTGTGGGCAATGTGGTTCACTTAGTCCTGGGTGCTGCAGCAGACACTTCCATCAATGCCCAAGGATCTTTTGGACTGGAATCTGAGCAGATGGTGCCTGAGAGCTCAGCTCTCTTGTTTCCCCTTCCCTGATCAACTTCTCCTTCTTCCATCTTTCTCAACTCTCTTTTCTTGGAACCTCCGTAAGTTAGAATACAGAAATAACTGCTGCAGTGTTGTCAGGTTGAAACACGTTCCCCATTGATTGGTGGTCTCTTGCACTGGACACAGTTGTATAGCTTCTTTTTGCCTGTGGACCCAATATCAGCTGCATCCTCCTAATCTCACTTTTGAGTTTATTTTGGAAACAAAGATTGGAAGAAGATTTTGCTCTTTGTTTTCATTTCCATTATTTAGCTGATATTTTTCACTCATTTTTTTTTACTCATAATTGATTCCTTATCTAAGGATTAAAAAGTAATTTCCTCAGCTCTACTCATAGTCTTGTATCATTGTAATGGTTTTACTACTGATTTTTTTTAAAGGCAGAGATAGATGAATAAAAATAAGGATTTTTACAAACTGTGCAACCATGGGTAAATTACTTGACGTTGAGTCAAGAGGGATCAATGTTCTCACCTGAATCACAGGAGTAGTAATAGCACCTGACTCACTGGGTTGTTGTGGGGATGGAATGAAGGGCATTATGTAAAGCAATTAGCACCTTGCTAGAAGTAGTAAGTGCTCAATAGAAGGTAGCTATTATTATAATTGCTTTATATTAGATTCCGTTTCAGTAGGTCAGGGGTGGAGGCTGAGAACCAGTACCTTGGGTGATCCTGAAGCAACCCATTTCTGCTCTAGGCATTATTCCCTATCTTTTTTAATATTAATAAAGTAAAAAAGATTCATAGACTCAAATATGATAGTGGTTATGCTTTTCACATCCAGTGATTAGGAAACACATAATGGCAAAGTTGCCCTGAATGTATTAATGCTTTGAAATAAATTTGTATCTTTTAGTTCAGCATAATAGTTATGTTTGAAAATAGTAGTAGGTATATGTCACGGATATTGTATATTTAGCCCAAAGACAATGCCCATTTGGTATTTAAAATCTATTTTCATAATGTATGGAGAGATTCCTTTTGGACCTTGTGCCTGCCAGGTCAGAAGTCAGACTACTTCATTCCCAAAGAATTCTGTGGAACATGACAGATCCTTTGCAAAAAAAAAAAAAAATATTTGGTATAAAGTTAATAGATATTTACCCAAGAGAAATGAAAACATATGTCAAAAGAGAAACTGGTGCTTGAATGTTTACAGCAGCTTTATTCATAAGGGCCCCAAATTTGAAAGAACACAAATGTCCATTAACTGGTGAATAGATAAACAAATTGTGCTACAAGCATTTAATGGACACTACTCAGTAATAAAAAGAAATAAATTATTGAGACAATACAGATAAATCTCAAAGACATTTACTAGGTAAAAGAAGTAAACACAAGCCATAAAAAGGAATGAAATAATGTCTTTTGCAGCAACTTCGATGAAGCATGAGGCCATTATCCTAAGTGAAGTAACACAGGAGTGGAAAAACCAAAAACTGTATGTTCTCACTTATGAGTGGGAAATAAGCTATGAGTATGCAAAGGCATAGAGTGACATAATGGACTTTGAGGATTCAGAAGGGGGAGAGTGATGGGGGTAGGAATAAAAAAGCTACACATTAGGTACAATGTACACTACTCAGGTGGCAGGTGCACTAAAACCTCACAATTCACCGCTATATAATTCATCCATGTAAAAAAAAACCATGTGTACCCCAAAAGCTACTGAAATAAAAATTAAAAAAGGAAGTAAACACAAAATCTTACATACTATATAATTCCATTTATATAACATGCTGGAAAAAAAAACAATAGAGAAATAATCAGATCAGTGGTTTTCAGGGGCTGGGGTTGGGTAAGGGGATTCACTACACAGAAGCCCGAGGAAAACATTTGGAGTGATCAAACTATTATATTTGTTTATGGTGATGGTTACATGACTGTACCCATTTCTTAAACCTCATTGCACTGTACAATTAAAGACGTGAGTTTTACTGTATGTAAATTATATCTCAGTAAACCTGACTAAAAAAACTAAACTAAAAAATCCAACTAAAGCAAATGAAAAAAATTCTGAGTGCCTATATCCCTATGTAAAAATATATTTTATTTGTAAAATATGAAATGTATATAAATATATAAAATACATAGATTTAAAACCTATATTAAATATTGCATATTTAATATATTTATATAATATAATTATGTAAATTATATAAATATAATTTAATATATGTTAAATATATAAAAATACATATTTTATATATAAACTATGTAATATATATTAAATATATCTATGTTTTTTAGCTAGATTTCTTCATTCTGTGATTTCAATATTAATCTATATTGATACATATAGATCAAATTCATTCATTTTTAATTGCTATATGGTATTATATTGCATTTATATGCTATTAATATATAATATATAGTATTTAAGTTACCACAGTTTATTTATAGACATATATTTGGACTGTACCTAAATTTTCCTAATACAAGACCATAGTGAACAGCCAAATTTGTATCTTTTTGTGCATATATGCAAGCATTTCTCTAAGGTTATAAACCTAAAAGTAAATTCTTGAGCCAAAAGTATGTGAATCTTCAACTTTAGTATTGACAATTTACTGTTCAAATTTGTTGACCCATAGCATTTTCCTTCTTCTTTTCTTTTCTTTTTTTTTGGAGACGAAGTCTCACTTACTCTGTTGCCCAGGCTGGAGTGCTGTGGTGTGATCTTGGCTCACTGCAACCTCCGCCTCCTGGTTTCAGGCTATTCTCCTGCTTCAGCCTCCCTGGTAGCTGGGATTACAGGCATGCCAGGCTAATTTTTGTATTTTTAGTAGAGACAGGGTTTCATCATGTTGGCCAGTCTGGTCTTGAACTCCTGACCTCATGTAATCCGACCCCTTCAGCCTTCCAAAGTGCTGGGATTAGAGGGGTGAGCCACCATGCACTGCCAACCCATAGTATTTTCTATTTTGGGCGTTTTCTCTTCAAATTTTTTCCATTTCTTTTCTTTTTATACTGTTTGCTTAAGTCATTGGTTCTCAGCCCAAAGGATTTTAAATTATATAATGTCTAGGTCCCACTCCTGTGATTCTGACTTAGTTGATCAAAAATCTAGTGCACAGCTGGGTTTGAGAACCACTGCATTGGTTCATCTTATCCAAACCCATGGCCTTCAATACCATGAATACACCATGGGTCTCAAACATGGACATCTTGCTCAGATTGCTCTTCTGAACTTCAGTCTCCTATATCCATACTCTCTGATGTCAAATTCAACATGTCCAAAGCTGAATTCTTTAACCACATCCCCTCCCACTCCCCCAGGAATCCTCTGCTTCTCTCCTAATGTTCACAAACTCAGTAGAGCAACTATACCCTTGCTGGCTCAGGACAGAAAATCCTGGAGTCATCTTTACTCCTTTATTTCTTTTACTTCCCACAACCACTCCAATGGCAAATTCTGTGGGCTACGTTTTGGAAATATATCCAGGATTACACCAAATTTTTTTTATCACCTCCACTGCCTACTCTTATTGAAGTCATGGAATTTGATTTATTAATATGCTATTAATAGATAATATGTGACATTTAGTATATCACAATTTATTTAGCTACTTCCTCATAGACAGATAGCTGGGTTGTTTCTAAATTTTCCTTGTTACAATACTAGAATGAACAGCTAAGTTCATACCTTTTTGTACATATATGCAAGTATTTTTCTAGGGTCTATCTACCTGGATATTGCAATATATACCACTTTGGTCTCCTTTTAGCAACCTTTGCCCCTCTGTTATGATTTATTTCCTACAGAGCAGCTGGAGGGAACCTTTACAAATCTGTATTAAATAATATCCATCCTCTGCTCAAAGTCCTGCAAGATCTTTCAGATAAGATTGGGCACGTTCAGGGTGGTATGGCTGTAAATCCTGCTAGACCTTTCAGTCAAGTTTGGGTAAAAGCCAATGCCTTTACCATTGGCTACAAAGCCTTTTATGACCGTAAGACCCTGCTATTCCTGTCTCTTTCTCTCCTCCCATTCTTCATTTTGCTTACTTTTCTCCAGACACATTGGCTTCAGTGTCCTTCATATGCTTCAAGCACGCCCCTACCTCGGGACCTCTGTATTTGTTTCCATTACCTAGAAGCCCAATCCTTCATCAGCATGGCTGGCTTCCTCGTGTTTTTTTATCTTTACATAAATATTGTATTCTACAGCATCCTTTCTGAACCATTCTGTAAAAAAAATAGTGCCCCACCATCATTCTCTATTTTTATCTCCTTTATTCTTCCTTAGAACATTTATCACACATGAGCTATTATCTAATTATTTGTTTATTGTCTGCCTCTGTCTGCCTGGAATATATGTTACATGGGAACAAAATATGTGTGTTTAGATCATTGCTATATCCCAGCTCTTTAAAGCTCAGTATATTGTATGTATATATGTATGTAGGTATGTATTTTTCATAAACATTTATTATATATTTATTATGTATACATGTAATCCTCATATTAACTCATTTTGTGCTCACAATAGCTCTTGAAAGTATAATACTATTATCTTGATTTACAGATGAGAAAATGGAGGGTCAAAAAGGCTAAGTGACTTGACCAAGGTCAAAGAGCCAACTGAAAGAGGAGCCAGGATTTGAAATGCAGTTTGTGCTCTTGACCATTACATGGTACTGCTTCTCATTGTAGGTGCTCAAAAAACATTTGTTGAATGAATAAAACAATGATGGAGGAAGGATTTAAATGACAATGAAAAAAGGCATAGTTTATTAGATGTCTTTAAAGTCAAAGTCCTCATTTAAAGCCATGACTTTTTATTACACAAGTAAACAGTCATGTGCTAATTTGCATGACTTCACTGAAAAGATTAGGATGCAATTTATTACCATTAATAAATTTATTGCCGTGTTTTAATATTCAGACAAGTTGTGAAACTTATAGAGAACACTCCCAAGTCTTTTCCTTTCTAAGTAATAAACGAAGTTAGCATTTAGGATCTTCCAAGAGTATTGAAAAATGAGAAATTCCAAGTAGAATCTGAAATAACAGAAATAGTGGCAGCAGGACCTATTTTAGTGGCCCAGGTGGTTGTGTTTTAGTCCCAACCTTCAACATTTGAAAAAAGCACTCATTCCAGGATAAAAATAAGAAGCGTACATTACACATAACAGGGTCTGTTTTTCACCTTGATTCAGGGGAACAGACTGCTCTAAGAAATTCTTCTGGGAACTACACAATTCAGTTCTATTTTATAAACTTACGAAATAATTTATTTCTTAAAAGTGTGGTAACTTGAGGTTATAAAAGAAAAACAAGGCCCTGTGAATCTAGAGTGAGTCAGGAAACCTTTTATTCTGATTGAAACAGAGTTATTTGTATCTGTGCAAAAGCAATTTTTGTTCTAGTTAATTTGCCTTCTGTTCCTCTTTTTTCATTGTGGAAATAAGATAAGGCATAGAATGGAGCATGGGTTTTGTTCATGAGAACTGTGAGTTCAAATTCTGTCATTTACACACTGAGTGATGCCAAGCAACTTGCTCTCCCTTACTAGGTCTCAATTTCTTTAAAATAGTGATGATGTTGCCTACCCTGTAGGGTTACTGTGAAGATTATAGTCTCTGTCTAAATGATAAATATAAAATCTTAACAAATGTTTGTTCTTATGTCTCATTTTCCTATTAAATGGATCTAATAACGTTAGTTTTGTTGTGTGTCTTGGCCATGGGAAGCAATGCTATGTCATTTTGTCCATCTTTCCATTCATTTTCATATCACTATATATGCCACAGAAATGATTAGGTTAGGCCGAAAGTAACAAAATATGGACAGTAGTGGCTTAAAAAGGAAAAATGATTCCAGAGGTAAGTTGGTCAGGGCAGGTATGCTGGTTCCATGGAATCAAAGGCTGAAGTTTGTTCTGTCTCGTTGTTCTGCCAAACATGGCTTCAATTCCCAGGGTCACTTCCTGGGGCGTTCTACCTGCATTGTTGGAGCTCTGCTTACAAAAACCATAGTCCAGGAAGGAGGAAAGGGAGTGAAGATTAAAAGAAGGAGTCCTCTCCCTTTTAAGGCAGTTTCCTGGAAATGCCACACAACATGGTTACTTAGATGTAATATTTAGGAAACTGGTCAGTATGCTTAATAAAAAGAGCTCAAAATACAGTGCCACCTAGGTAGGACTTTGCTCCATGAAGCAATCCAAAGAGCTAAGCTAGTAAGGTGGTTCTAGCAACATGGTGGTTACAAGGTTGCTGCTGCTTTTGCCACTTGCCACTTTCAGTCAATAAAAAGGAAAGGAAGGAATAGGAACAAAGCAAAATTTTTAGGAGGCTGATCTATCTATATAATCTTATAATTAGCAATAATATATGTAGTCATATTGTTAGCAATCTTTGCTCCACATATCAGTGGCCAGAATTTAGTCATTCAACTTCTCCTGACTGCAGTGGAGGCTAGGAAACGTTTTCTTTTGGTTGGGTGACAAAGTAACTAAACAATTGGAGTACTTTGGGGACAGTGAATATTGAGAGGAAACTGGCAATCTCTTTCACATTATGTGGTTAAACAGCTGGATACTAACACTTTCTTTACCAGGATCTCAAATAGTTAAGGGCTGGGTTTTTCAAACTGTGAATCACTCTAATCAGTTATTTATATCCAAGGTAAAATGACTCAAGTGATAAAACTCATGACTCTTTATGACAGTGAAAGTCTGTCAATAATATCTGAAAATAAATTGATTTATATGTTATGGTTTTGATAGAAACTAAAACTACTTGTACTAAGTTAATTGACATTTTAATTGCCATGTCCATAATTACTTGTCATTTCTTATCTTACTTTGCCTCCCTGGTGAATTTGTCAATATTGATTATTTTCTTCTCTGGAAACATTCTACTCCTTTGTTCTGAAACATTAACATTCAGTTTGCTCTTCAGCACCCTCTGAGTTGCTCCTTCTTAGCAATTGCACCTCTTCTGCTTCTGCTTGTGTTCCTGAACCTTCTGTCAGGAGAGCTCACTTCCTCTCAGTGTGTTCTCCATGCACAGTCTCACTTATTCCCATGGCTTCTGCTGCTATCTGCAGAAGACAACACCCATATCTCCTTCTCCAATACAAGCTTTCCTTCTTAAGCTGTTATGCATGTATGCAGATACGTACTGAAGAATTCCATCTACAATTTTTTAAAACTTAAAAATCATGAAATATAAAAATGCCAGAAAAGTGCACAAAGCATAAGTGCACAATGTAATGAACAATAAAAGGAAACATCTGTGGAAACACATCCGAAAGATAACAGTGTTGTCAGCCCTGCTGAAGACTCCAGGCTATTCCTTACTAGCTATACCACCATTCCTTGCTCCTAGAAGTAACCATTGTTATAGTGTGTGTGGTAATAATACCTCTTTTACTTTTAAAAATATAGTTTTACAACCTAAGTATGCATCTCTAAAAATATAATCTTGTCTGTATTAAAACTCTACATAAATAGAATTATGTTGTATTTATTCTTTTAAAGCCATTGGTAATCTGTTTATTGGTAAACACATTTATATTTAGAATGTTAATCTTCAGTATGTTAAAACTTTTTTTGTTATAAGGGAATCCTCTTTATCTTCAATAGTGTATTTATCTTGCTTTTAACAGTTATTACATTATTTCAGTTACTACTAGAATGAGATATTTTCCCCACTTTTTGTTCTTATATTTTGGATGTCTCTTATAAACAACACATAGTGGAATTTAAATCGAGGCTGTCAATATTCGACTCTTACCTGGAGTATTTAGTACATTTATATTTAATGTAATTGCTGATATGTTTGGTTTTAAATCTACTGTTTTACTTTGCATTTTCTATTTATTTCATTTGTTTCGTACTTGTTTTTCTTTTCTTGCCTTCTGTTGGTTTAAGTTGGTGCTATGGTTTGAATATTTGTGTCTGCCCAAAATTCATATGTTGAATTCCTAATCCCCAAGGTGATAGAATTAAGAGGCAGGGCCCTTGAGAATTGACTAGATCATGACAGTGGAGCCCACATGACTGGGATTATGCTCTTATAGAAGAGACCAAAGAGAGCTAGCTAGCCCCTTCGACCATGTGACACAGCAAGAAGGTGCCATCTATGAGGAAGAGAACTCTCACTAGACACTGAATCTGCTAGAACCTGGATCTTGGATTTTCTAGCCTCCAGAATGTGAGAAATATTTTTTGTTTGTTTATAAGCTACCCAGTTTATGGTATTTTGTTATAGCAGCCCAAAAGGACTAAGACCGTTGGTTTTGGTTTCTAAAAATTATCCTATTTTTTTAGTCCCTCTGTTGGTTTGAAGTTTATTCTTGCCTTTATTTGCCTGGTAAATACCTTCTCATCATTAAAGGCATAACCTGTGTGTGTCTTCAACATCCTGTCCCTTCCCCTTTACTAACCAAGCAGAGCTGTTCACCAGTTCCACTGTTCCACATGATACCTTGCATAAACCACATCTTTAGCACGTATTACCCTGCAAGCCAAATGTTACATAAATGTCTTTTTCCTTTATTAGATGGAGACATAGTTAATAACAGACAAAATGTCTAATTCATTTTTGTCAGTCTCTTAATACAGTTTTGTAGGATAACAAACATTATTAAATGTTTGTTAATAAGCAGTTGAAAGTACTTTTTAAAAATCTTTATTGAGGCACAAATGACAAAAAATTGTATATATTTAAGGTTCACAACTTGATGTTGTAATATACACTTACATTGTGGAACGATTGCCACTATCAAGCTAAATTAACGTGTCTGCCACCTCAGAGTTACTTTTTTTTTTGAGATGAGAACATTTAAGATCCTAGTAAATTTCAAGTATACAATATAGTAATATGAAATACAGTCACAATACTGTACATTATATCCCCAGGACTTATCCATCTTGCATATTGAAACTTTGTGCCTTTTGACCAAGATCTTCCTAGTCCCTGACAATCACCATTGCACTCTCTGCTTCTAGGAGTTCAACATTTTTAGATTCTACATATGAGTGAGATCATGCCGTATTTGCCTTTCCGTGCCTGGTGTATTTCACTTAGCATAGTGTCCTCCAGGCTCAATTATGTTGTTGTGAATGACAGAATTTCCTTCTTTTGTAGGAAAGAATAATATTTTATTATTATATTACATTATAATAATATTTTATATATAATAACATGTATGGGGGTATATATACACACACACACATATATATACACACAATACACACACACACATGCATTTTATTTCTCCATTCATCAATTGATAGACACTTAGATTGATTCCACATCTTGGCTATTGTGAATAATGCTATGATGAATATGGGAATATAGATATCTCTTCAACATACTGATTTCATTTCCTGTGGATGTGTACCCAGAGGTAGAATTGCTAGGTTATATGGTCATTTTATTTTAATGTTATTTTAAAATTATTATTATTATTATCATTTTGAGAGGGAGTCTCACTCTGTTGCTCAGGCTGGAGTACAGGGGCACAATCTCGGCTCACTACAACCTCCATCTCCTGGGTTCAAGTAATTCTCCTGCCTCAGCCTCCCAAGTAGCTGGGATTACAGGCATGCGCCACCATGCCCAGCTAATTTTTGGATTTTTAGTAGAGATGGGGTTTCATCATGTTGGCCAGGCTGGTCTCGAACTCCTGACCTCAGGTGATCTGCCCGCCTCGGCCTCCCAAAGTGCTGGGATTATAGGCATGAGCCACCCACACCAGGCCTAAAATTCTTTTTTTAAAGATAGGGTGTTACCATGTTGCCCAGGCTGGTATCGAACTCTTGACCTCAAATGATCTTCCTGCCTCAGCCTTCCAAAGTGCTAGGATTACAAGTTTGAGCCACCACACCCAGCCCCATTTTTAATTTTAAGGAAACTTCCATTTTGTTTTACATAATGGCTGTGCCAATTTACATTTCCACCCACAGTGTGCAAGAGTCCCTTTTTCTCCACATCTTTGTCAATACTTACGGCTTGTCTTTTTTACAATAGCCATTCTAACAAGTATGAGGTGATATCTTATTGTGGTTTTAATTTGCATTTCCTTGAGTAGTAATATTGAGCATTTTTAAAAAATATGCCTGTTGGCCATTTGTATGTCTTCTTTTGAGAAATGTCTGTTAGATCCTTTAACCCGTTTAAAAAATGAGGTTATTTGTTTTCTTGCTATTGTTTGAGTTCCTTATATCATTTTGGATATTAACCCCTGAATATATGAACAGTTTGCAAATATTTTCTCCTATTCCATAGGTGTCTCTTCAGTCTGTTGACCATTTCCTTTGCTGTGCAGAGCTTTTTAGTTTGGTGCAATCCCATTTGTTTATTTTTGCTTTTATTGCCTGTGATTTTGGGTCATATCCAAAAAATCATGGACTAGATCAGTGTCAAGAAGCTTTTCCCCTATGTTTTTGTCTAGTAATTGTACAGTTTCAGGTGTTACCTTACAGCCTTCAATCCATTTTGAGTTGATTTTTACATGTGATGAGAGATAAGTGTGCAATCTCATTTTCCATTTCTGTGAAAAATGTCATTAAAATTTTAATAGGGATTGCATTGAATCTGTAGATCACTTTGGGTCATATAGATATTTTAAAAATATTAATTCTTTTAATTCATAACCACAGGATATCTTTCCATTTGTTTATGTCTTCTTCAATTTCTTTTATTGGTGTTTTATGGTTTTCAGTGTACAGAAATTTCACCTAACTTTAACTTTACTGAATTCATTTATTAGTTCTAATAGTTTTCATACAGTCTTTAGGGTTTTCCATATGTAAAATTATGCATTAAAAGAAAAACTTGAGGCCAGGTGTGCTGTCTCATGCCTGTAATCCCAGTACTTTGGGAGGTTGAGGCAGGTGGATCACTTGAGGTCAGGAGTTAGAGACCAGTCTGGGCAACCTGGTGAAACCTCCCTCATCTCTACTAAAAATACAAAATTAGCTGGGCATGGTGATGCATGTCTGTATTCCCAGCTACTCAGGAGGTTGCAGTGAGCCGAGATTGTACCATTGCACTCCAGCCTGGGCAACAGAGTGAGACTCTGTCTCAAAAAAAAAAAAAAAAAGAAAAAAAGAAAAGAAAAACTTGAGACATAATAAAATTTAACAACATTTATTTGGCAAAGAACAGTTCATGAAGTGGGAAGCACCAAAACTGAAAGGAGATCATGGGCCTTGCTCTAGAAGTGTGAGCAGTGAGCTTTTATTGGTTGAACATGAAAACAAAGAAACTAGATTGGCCACAGCTAGGTATTTACCTTATTTCGATATGGTTTAACTGGAGGCTCCAAATTATATAACCAATCAGCTACTTGGCCATTTATGATTGGCTGAAACTTGATTCAAAATTAATCAGATACAAGGAATGCCTCTAAGTTAAATTTTGGATTGCTTGCATAATCGTGCCAGGTACAGAAATAATTCCAGGCTAATGGCCTCAGGCTTATTTTGCTTTAACACATATCATCTGCAAACAGAGACAGTTCTACTTTTTCTTTTCTTAGTTAAATAACTTATTTCTGTTTCCTGCCTCATTGCTCTGTCTAGAACTTCCAGTGCTGTATTGGACAGATGTGGTGAGAGTGGGCATCCATATCTTGTTTCTGATCTTAGAGAAAAAGCTTGTAGCTTTTAACCATTATGCATGATGTTATCTGTGGGATTGTCATATATGGCCTTTATTATGTTGAGGTACATTCCTTCTATACGTAATTTTTAAGTGTTTTTTAAAATCATGAAATGATGTTGGATTTTATTTTTAAAAACCTGCTTTTTCTGCCTCTATTGAGATGATCATATAACTTTTCCCTTCATTTCATTCATACGGTTTTATCACATTTATTGGCAAATGTAATAAATGCTTATGGAGAACTATCTTTGCATCCCAGGGATAAATCCCACTTGATCATGGTACGTGTGTGATTGAATTCAGTTTATTAGCATTTTCTTGAGGATTTTTGCAATTATGTTATCAGGAATATTGGCCTATAATTTTTTTTTTCTTATAGTGTTCTTGTTTGCCCTTGGTATCAAGATAATGCTGGCCTTGTAAAATGAGTTTGGAAATGTTCCCCCTTCTCCAATTTTTGGAGCAGTTTGAGAAATATTGGCGTTAATTCATTTTTAAGTGTTGGGTAGAATTCACCAGTGAAGCCACTGGGTCCTGGACTTTTCTTTGGTGGGAGGTTTTTGATTACTTATTTAATCTCCTTACTTAATATTAGTCTATTTACATTTTCTGTTCCTTCATGATTCAGTCTTGGCAGGTTGTATGTTTGTAAGAATATATGCATTTCTTTTAGGTTAAGCAAGTTGCTGGCATATAATTGTTCATATATTGGTCAATTTTGTTTATCTTTTCAAAAAAACCAATAGTTTCATTGTTCTTTTGTATTGTTTTTCTAGCCTCTATTTCAGTTATTTCTGTTGTGATCTTTATTTCCTTTCTTCTGCTACCTTTGGGCTTAGATCCTCATGGTGTAATCTTATGCTTTTATTTGAAATCATAGCATTGGGGTGGGCCTAGTGAGGGGATCTGTGGCAAAATCAAGCGCTCCCTTTACTGTCTTTCCCCTATACGAAGGGAGCTTTCTCCAAGCTGTGCTGTGTGGGCTTGTGGGAGGGGTGACATGGGTAATGTGAAACCGTTTTTTCTATCCTCCTCAATATATCTTCTCTTATTTCTCTGCTCCGTCCAAGTGCTATAAACTCTTTCCTGGATTTCTTAGCTCTTTTGAAGATAATTTTGTGCATGGATGGTTTTTCTTTTTTTAATTTTTAATTTTTGTGAGTACATAGTAGGTGTATATATTTTTAATGGTTTTTCTTTTCTTTTTCTTTTTCTTTTTTTTTTTTGAGATGGAGTCTTGCTCTGTCACCTAGGTTGGAGTACAGTGGCACGATCTTGGCTCACTGCAATTTCCACCTCCCAGGTTCAAGTGATTCTCCTGCCTCAGCCTCCAGAGTAGCTGGGATTACAGGTGGGCACCACCATGCCTGGCTAAGTTTTGTATTTTTAGTGGAGATGGGGTTTCACCATGTTGGCCAGGCTGGTCTTGAACTCCTGACCTCAAGTGATCTGCTGCCTCAGCCTCCCAAAGTGCTGGGATTATAGGCGTGAGCCACCACACCTGGCCTTGAATGGTTTTCCAAATTGATGTTTTCATGAGGGGATAAATGGAAACTCCTATTCTGCCATCTTGCTGACATCAGTGCCAGTTGAAAGTACTTCTATCAAAATCCCAGTTCTACCTAAAATGCACATTATTTGTATATAAGAGAGTATTAGTCTGTTCTCATGCTGCTAATAAAGACATACCTGAGAATGAGTAATTTATAAAGAAAAGAGGTTTAATTGACTCATAGTTCAGCATGACTGGGGCGGCCTCAAAAAACTTACAATCGGCCAGGCGTGGTGGCTCACGCCTGTAATCCCAGCACTTTGGGAGGCCGAGGTGGGCGGATCACGAGGTCAGGAGATCAAGACCATCCTGGCTAACACGGTGAAACCCCGTCTCTACTAAAAATACAAAAAATTAGCCGGGCGTGGTGGTGGGCCTCTGTAGTCCCAGCTACTCGGGAGGCTGAGGCAGGAGAATGGCGTGAACCCGGGAGGCGGAGCTTGCAGTGAGCCGAGATCGCGCCACTGCAGTCTGGCCTGGGCAAAAAAGCGAGACTCCCTCTCAAAAAAACAAACAAACAAACAAACAAACAAACAAAAAAAAGAAAAAACTTACAATCATGGCGGAAGGGGAAGCAAACATGTTCTTCTTTACATGTTGGCAGCAAGAAGTGCCCAGCAAAAGGGGGAAAAGCCCCTTATAACACCATCAGATTTCATGAGAACTCACTCACTGTCATGAGAATAACAGCATGGGGGTAACTGCCTCCATGATTCAATTACCTCCTCTAGGTCCCTCTCATAACATGTGGGGATTATGGGAAATACAATTCAAGATGAGATTTGGGCAGGGACACAGTCAAACCATATCAAGGAGATACACCTCTGAAATTGTTAATATTTGATCTTACAGCTAAAATTAATGAGCTCTTTCCCTTTTAATAATCTTTTTTCCATTAAATTAGGTGTAGTTATTTATTACAGTGATATACTTGCCAAATATCTGACTAAACAGTTCTCAAATTTTAGCATCAACTAGAAGTACTGGGAAGAGTTTGTTAAAAATGTAGATTCCTGGGACCCATCTCCAATTTCCTCTCCTCCTTTCTTCACCTACTAAAATTATCCAATCCTTGGAGTCTAGTTCAAAAACCACATTCTCTGTAAATACAATTTCACAAAGAATTCTTTCTTCCTACTCCTGTAAGCCTCACTCTTAAAGGCTCACACTGAATTCTTGAGGTTGGTACATGTTCTGTTCCACACTCCCCTCCCTTTCCCACCTGGATTCCTGCTGTTGGCTTTTTTTTTTTTTTTTTTTTTTAAGTGATGCTCCTTTTGCTTGTTTTCCACAGGGGCTTTGCCAAATGGAAGTTCTGGTCAGCATTTTGCCTTCTGGACCTAATCTATTTTTCTGTTCTTTTCAGTTTCCAGTGCTGATTCTATTTCTCTCTTTTATTTTTCCTTACAGCTAAATGTGGTATAGTAAAGTAAAAAATGAACTTAGGAAAAGCAAGGCTAGTTTCAAATCTCAGTCCTACCACAACTACCCCTATGCCCTTGGGTAGTCATTTCATCTCTCTGGGTTTTGTTTCCTTCCTCTGTCAAACAGGTCAAAAAGAGTGTTATGAAGTTTTATTGCAGTGCAAGAAAGATACACAGAAGGTGTTCAACAAGTGTTACTTCATTTAAAATAATGTTGATTTCCTGAAGAGGTTAGGTAATGGGTACAAAAAGTACATTTTGATAGAAAGAATAAGTTCTAGTGTTCAATAGCATAGTAGCATGACAATGCTTATCAGTAATTTATTATGTATTTCAAAATATCTAGAAAAGATTTGGAATGTTCTCAACACAAGGGAATGTTAAATGTCTGAAGTGATGGGTATCCTAAATACTCTTTCTTGGTGATTACACATTGTATCACATGTACTGCATAAATATGTACAATTATTATGTATCAGTAAAACATAAATAGATAAAGAAGCACAGAGTTGATGTCTTATTTATCTTTGTGACTTCTCAGATTTTTTTTCAGTGTTTTGTGCATAGGATATACCAAGAAATTTTGTTAAATTGAATTAAATGGAATGAATCCAACTAATTCTAAGTAATTAGAAATAATTTGAAACCCTGTTTCAAAACTCAGGAGAGATTTTAAGCCACACACTTAATTTACTCTTTTAATAATGCTGCTTGTCCTAACATGAGGTACCTTGAAACATTTTGAAATGGACAATTAATTATGGCACTTGCATTTAGAGAAGTTTAATGCAATGTGCTATTTCAGGTTGATATTTTCTTTATAATATTTAGAAAGAGGAGCTTTACTTTTTTGTAAATTTGATAGATTTTTATTGACTAAAGTCAACTAATTTATCTTGATTTTTCCCATTTATTTGATTAATAATAATAAATATAAAATAAGCCTTACTGTTTAAGTCACTGCAGTTGAGCAGAACAAATGACATCACAGGCCAGGTTCAGGTTTCTCCTGACTCATTACAATAATGTCTTCAACATTTGGTTTAGCTTTGTCTTTGCTATCCCTAGGGATATGCAGTTTCATGATAGCATAATTTAGAAATGCATTGAAGATAATTTGTAGTATAAATCTGTAACAATAGGGTTCACCATTATTTTACTGAGTTATTCAATTGTATTTTGAAGATTCAGTAACTGCTATCATTAAAACTTAATTATTCAAGTAACTATTTGGGTATCAATTAAGCAGTCTAAGGATAATCTGTGCCTTTGACTTAATTATATATATTTCCTTAGAATTATTCTCTGTTTTGTCCTATTTTTTAATTAAAATTTTTTATTTATTCTAAAATATTTTACTAATTAGGAATTTGAGTAACAGAAATGAAGCCTGGTTTAGAATGCACAAGAATGTGATTTAGAGCTAACACAGATGTGCTGATCACAAGAAGACCTCTAGAGATCATCCAGCCTTTCCTTTACCTTTTTATTATATTCAGGTTCTCAACAGTTTGGATAATGTTTCACCTGTGTCAGCAGATTTTCTTTACTCAGTCTACCAATTCAAATTCTAATTTCTTCCAGAAACACCCTCACAGACACACTCAGAAATAATGTTTTACCAGCTATCTGGGCATTCCTTAGCCTAGACAAGTTGACACATAAAATTAACCATTACACATTTGTAGTTAAGGGTGGCCATGCTAAAAATTTTGCAAATGTAACATACTTGGGAGTAACCTCTTCTCCTTATTCTTTTTCCTTCCTAAAACTCTGGAGGTACAGTAGTTGTTTTGAGACCATGGAGACTGAATATACTATAGGGAAGAAGAGCAGGACAACTAAAGGAACTGGGTACCTGATGGCATTATTTAGATACAGAA
Source organism: Homo sapiens (assembly GCF_000001405.40). NCBI lineage: Eukaryota > Metazoa > Chordata > Mammalia > Primates > Hominidae > Homo > Homo sapiens. The sequence continues at coordinate 192,958,196 of NC_000001.11, read as the reverse complement.
TCCAGCCTGGATTGCACACTCCCAGGTTTTTGCTGTGTGACTAAATAAGAATTAACCACTACATTAGATTTTCTTGCATTCACTTGAATGCAATCCTAGCAGCTACACTCAACATATCTCTAATTTATATTATCCTATGTCTCTCACCTTTCTTCTTATTTCTCACCTTTTCTCATATCCATGAGTGGTACTCCCATTAGTCCAGGATCTCAAACCAGAATTACAGAGTGAAATTCAATTCTTCCATCTCCTTCATGATCCTGTCCTCCTAATACCTCTTTAACATTGCATCAGTCCATCTACTTCTCTTTGTCCTGCTGCCATATGTTAGTACAGGATTTGCCTAGATTATTGTAGCAAACTTTTTTTTTTTTTTTTTTTTTTAGATGGAGTTTTGCTCTTGTTGCCCAGGCTGGAGTGCAATGGCAGCTATCTCAGCTCACTGTAACCTCTGCCTCGCGGGTTCAAGCGATTCTCCTGCCTCAGCCTCCTGAGTAGCTGGGATTACAGGCATGCCCCACCATGCCTGGCTAATTTTGTATTTTTAGTAGAGACAGGGTTTCTCCATGCTGGTCAGGCTGGCCTCGAACGCCCGGCCTCAGGTGATCTGCCTGCCTCGGCCTCCCAAAGTGCTGGGATTATAGTGTGAGCCACCATGCCCGGCCTGTAGCAAACATTTAAAACTGATCTCTGTGTATTTAGTCTTGCTCTACTTCAGGACATTCTCAATACTGCAGCAAAAGTTATTCTAAAATGCAAATCTCATTTTGGCAGGGATGCTGCTAAATATCCTACAGTGCACAGAACGGCCACCAACGACCAAGAATTATCCAGTCCAAAATGTCAGTAAAGCTGAGGTTAAGAAATCCTGTTCCAGAATATCACATTTTTTGGTAAGTCTTCTGTTAGGCTTAAGTGATTTTCTCTTACCCCAACATACCCATTATTGTAGTGGATTTTATTGGTCTGTTTGTCTCACCCCTGAGTAAGGTCAGAGTTCATATCTTACTCATTGTTGACTCCTCATTACTTAGCACAGAACCTGGCACAATGAAGGTATTAGTATTTTTTGAATTACATTGCAATTGAGCTTGTGTATCATTAACTCAAAGAAGACCCTCTTGGCTTACTCCAATCGCTTGAGAGAGCTCAACTCTTCTCCTTATTATACCACTTGAGAAGAAGAGGCTTTTTTGCAATTATTAGGATTCAGAGATTTTGGAATGAGGGGAAAACAAATTTAAAACTTTTTTTTTTTTTTTGAGATGGAGTCTTGCTCTGTCGCACAGGCTGGAGTGCAGTGGCATAATCTTGGCTCACTGCAGCCTCTGCCTCCCTGGTTCAAGGAATTCTCCTGCCTCAGCCTCCTGAGTAGCTTGGACTACAGGCACACACCGCCATGCCTGGCTAATTTTTGTATTTTTAGTAGAGACGGGGTTTCACCATGTTGGCAAGGATGGTCTTGAACTCCTGACCTCATGATCTGCCCTCCTTGGCCTCCCAAAGTGCTGGGATTGCAGGTGTGAGCCACCACGCCTGGCCTAAAACTCTTTTTTTTATGTGGACTGTTTTTTGAATTGCTCCTTTTTCTAAATCCCCAAGTAGCTGATATCACCAGAAGGCTTTGGGAGAGGTAGAGCATCTGACTTGGCAGGGATTCTCTACTTCTCTACTAGGGACAAGGTGGAATCCAATGGGAAGGATGTGGGGTGGGCTATTCGACTGACTGTGCTCTAGTCTCTAAGAAAACACTCTTCTTCGGGTTGGTCATTCCTTTGTTGGAGTGGAAGACCTTGATGGCTAAAGGTAAGATGTTGCCTAGGAGAAAGGAACATAGGCTAGGAGGAAGGGGGCCAATTTCTAGTATAGGCCTTAGAAATATGGGCAGAGGAGTCCTTAAAGCATGTACACTCCTCAGGCCTCACCAAGTGTAGCAGTTTACTAGGACTATTGTAAAAACATACCACAGGCTGGGTGGTTTAAAACAACAGGAGCTTGTTCTTTCACTGATCTGGAGGCCATTAGTCTGAACTCAAGATGTCGGCAAGGTGGGTTCCTTCTAGAGTATCTGAAGGAGAATCTGTTCCCTGCCTCTCTCCTTCCTTCTGCAGGTTGCTGGCAATTATTGGTGTCAATAGCTTGTAGCTTCATCTCTCCAATATCCGCCTTTGTTGTCACATGGCCTCCTTCCTTGTGTGTCTCTGTGTCTGTCTTCTTATAAAAACATTAAGTGACTGAATTTAGCCCTAGTATCCTACTCATTCCCTACCCCAGTATGACCTCATCATAACTAATTATATCTGCAAAGACCTTATTTCCAAATAAGGTCATGAATGAGGCCCTGGGTGGACATGAATTTTGGGGGAGACTATTCAATCCACGTAGGTGTGGGAGTCTCCTAAGGAGTTTCTAGTCAAAGCCCTGTAGAATGAAGTGTATATTTTTTGCAGAGTCTTCACTCTACAAATATCTCACAAATTTACTGTGGGGACAAGTGGTGGATCCAGAATTTAGAAATGCCTTTTTTTCTGGCTACCCTCATTGTAACAAATACATCTAACCTTGGTTGTGGCTCTTTAAATTTTGTAGGTGTAGCCTAATTTATTTAACATGTGTGGTATCCTATTTAAATTTTTTCAACTGACCAAAGTAAATGGTTACCAAAGTAAATGGTATTCTGCCACGTAGAATACATACTCTGTTGTATTCTACGTGGCAGAATACCATCTTACCAGAAGATTGGAGTAAGCTTATTGATAACTCATTATATATCAGTGGTGGTAACATATTGAGTCAAAAGAATCAGCCGCATAATATAAGAGGAGGCCCAGTACTTTATTCTTAAAACTCAAAACTCACATTTCTTCTCTATAACATTTAAAGATTCCATCAACCCAATGCAAATTCTTTTTCTCTTCACCATAGTCAAAAACATATCAAGCACTTAAAGGGGCTATCTTTTCAAAATTGTGATTTAAAAAACTCACAAAATCAGAATTGCTAGTTTTGTGATAGCATTACTTAAAGGAAGATGGGCAAGGAGGGTGTTGCAACCAGAGTTTTAGCAGGAGGCATTACATCACAGTAAGCTGCGTCACGGGTGTCATTTGTGATGATTTGAAACCATAGAAACAAATCAAAGCTACAGCTCATGTTTGCATTGAGCTAAGATTGCAGGCGCGTGAACTGTTCACACCACCAAAAATGGTAAGAATTTTTACCAGCCCAACATAGGTTCAGGTACATTTGTCCTGTCTCAATGCATTTGTGAGCACTTAATAATGTTGACAGTTATGCAATCATCTCTCTGGTCTCCTGACATCGTTGAAAAAGTGGCTTCAGTTGTTTTTTATGATAATTCAAGCTGGGGGTGAGAATAGCTTGAGAAGAAATAAGATTGCAAAGCTAAACGGTAAAATGACCATTAGCACCATGACTGTAAAACAAAATCCACCGTAAAATGGCATAGGAAAGCACTCATGCCTCTTTGTTAGCATATGGATGGTATATACAGTTTAGAGTGCTTAAAAAAGAGATGGAAAGCAGCCATCTTTGACACATTAACCAAGGAAATAAAAATATTGAATTCCTATTAGTTACAATACCACTTGAGTAGAAATGAGAAAGATAATTGAATATGCTGGGAATTTTAAAAAACTTACCATTAAGGAGTATGAGCTATTTTATTTCTGTTGAGAATTAGTCTTGAAAACATAAAACTATTGGGCATAATAATTTAGGGAAACTTCTTCTGTTTGATATTATATATGAAAAAATCCATACACGAAATACAGCCAAACAGAATTGATTTTGAATACGTTGAAAACTAATTTTTTCTTCTTTAAAATAAAGGACAGAAATGTTTTAGAATAATGATTAAACTTCAGATTTCTGCAGCTGTCTCTACATTTGTATATTAGAAATTAGATATCTTCAAATGATTCTCCTCCATTCTTCTACTAACAGCCATAGATTGACAGACCAAGGGTCACATCTGGCTCTCAAGTGTGTTTCTTTTGACATTTACAGTTTCTTTAAAATTGTTTTCAATGTGAATGTCTTTCTTTCTCCAACTGGTCTTTTCTACTAACCTTGATTTTTATTTTCCTGTTCTTTTTTTTTTTTTTTTTCCTTGACCTTCTAATGTGTTCGGTTGCATTTTCCATGTCACAATAGGGTCTATCTGATGCCATTTTTTCTATCTCAGATAACTGTTTTCTTCAATCTTCTGAACTGCGGCTACTGTTCTTTCTAGATTCCTGAAAATCTGCTTTCTCCATTAGATTTGTCATAATGATTTATAACTTGCTTTTCTGTTTTCCAACATGCCTATCAGCAAGATAATATAGTACAAAGAAACAGAATGCTGACAAAACTCAAATTGGTTTAATTTCTTTTTTTTTTTTTTTTTTTTTTTTGAGACGGAGTCTCATTCTGTCGCTCAGGCTGGAGTGCAGTGGCGCGATCTCGGCTCACTGCAATCTCTGCCTCCCCTGTTCAAGCAATTCTCTGCCTCAGCCTCCTGAGTGGCCTCCTCTGAGGATTACAGGTGCCCGCCACCATGCCTGGCTAATTTTTTTGGTATTTTTAGTAGAGATGGGGTTTCACCATCTTGGCCAGGCTGGTCTTGAACTCCTGACCTTGTGATCCACCCGCCTAGGCCTCCAAAAGTGCTGGGATTACATGCGTGAGCCACTGCTCCCAGCCTCAAGTTGGTTTAATTTCTAAGTACTCCCCATTGCTCTAGAATTGATAAGCTGGCTGGACACCAAACTGGTATTAATAAATAGTTTTCCTTCTATCTCTACCAGGGTCATCACTTTTATTGAGTATTAATTTTATTGATTATTAATTAATTCATTATTAATTGACTTGTAGAGTAATTTCACTGCTGTAGAAAGAAGACTAGTGACAAAGATGGAACAGTGAGAAAAGCACCACATCAGAACTCTGTGAATCTCTTGCTACTAATTTTGCTCAAGTACCCATCCCTTTAGCATACCACCTATGTTTAAGGAAATGGCTCCATCCCCAACTCAGGCAAATGTATTCTGATTATTTTAAGCCATTTATCTTAGTTCCATGGTATCCTTTTTAGGCCAAAGAGATATGAGGAGGGGTTGGATGAAGGCTTCTGGAAAAATTTCTCCACTTTTAAGTAGGTAACACTGAAAAATCAGACCTTTTCAGCTTCTCCACTTCATTCTGTCTGGATGTGATACCTAGAAATGCTACCAGCTGAGGAAGAAGCCAAAATGTGGAGAAGGACAGAATCAAGAGAATTGCAAAGAAGCTGAGTTGGAATCCTGACAAACCACGCTGGAGTGGCCCTACCTCCGTTGTTTCAGGCATTTTGAGTCAGGGCTTTCTGGTACTTACAGTCAAAGGCATCTAAATGACAGTCTCCAAAATTCACCATAGCATTGTGTAAGAGGCAAAATACCCTGACTTACTTAACCTCCAGAAATCTCTTTGTTACTTTGTTATCCTTTGGTATAAAACACTTCCCAGAATTCTTTTCTGGGAAAAAAAATCCCTGCAGAAAAATTAGTCCAGTGCTACACTGAGAAAGTTACTAAACAGTTAATCACTATTTCAATTTGATTATAATTATTATAACTTCTGACTGCAAAATAGTTTAAAGTTTGCGAATTGCTTTGTTTCATTTCATTTAATTCTATTAACAGCTCTGTGAGATAGAGGAAAAGATGAAGATGTGAAAAATGGAGCACAGAAAGATTACAATATTGACCAAGATCATGAATCTAGAAAGTGTCATAGTCAGGACTTAAGTCTAAGTCCTCTGATCTAGTGCTCTTTCCATCAAATGACAGCTAGAGGTTGGAGCAAACCTATGAGTTATGAGAGAAGTAGGAAGGCAGCTCCAGACCACTTGCAAGGAAACTGGGATCTGCTCTGGGTTGTGTCATCCACCAGCTGTGAAAACTTAGCTGAGTCATTTTTATTTCTCTGAGCCACAATTTCAAGGAACTACACTAGACAATCTATTATGTGCTTCCGATTCTAACATCCTATGGCTCTGTAACTGAGAATGCTTATGCAAATAAGGTACAAATCATGCTTTATATAAACTATGAGTCTTCCCCGGTGACTACCGGAGAAACCCACTGTGTATATTCTGCTGGGGTTCTATTTTAGCTTCCACATTCATGTCCCATGAACACCTGTGAAAATGTCAGCAGTTAACAGATGAGTTGAACATCAACTTAAACTAGCTTTATAACCCAAGTCACGGGCTTCTCATTTGCAGAATAATTTTACTCTAGAGCTGCAAAAATCATTCGTTGATGAGCTAATTTTGTCACTGTGATTCTTAGAACACATTTAAATGGGCATAAAAAGGCAGTCTTACAGAGTCTTCAAGATGCTTATTTATTATACACTCGAATGGCAAGTTTCCACAATTAATTGTCCTATGACTGATTTCCCTTCACTATTTTAATGAAGCATGTGATATTTGCTACCTCAATAGGTTTAGGTTTGCAAATTTAGCACTAGAGGAGCTATTTTCCCCTAAGCAATTTGTCAGCAGTTTGAGAAAATTGTCATCAGGGAAACCATGTACTTTGGCTGCAGTTTCACAGTCCAAAAGCTTGTCTTCACACAGACAAATTATTAAGTCAAAGAAAATGTAGCACAGCATCACTTAAATCTCTGAACTAGAAACTAGTCTATGTTAGAAAGCACAAAATGATACTAGCAGAGAAATTGTAAAGTATAAAATAATGCTTTATGAAGAATTTTAAGCACTGGCTGACTAGAAATATTAGGGGTTATGGCTACATAAGGAAAATAACTAAAGGGGTATGGGGAAAAGATTGGAGGAAGTCCAGTTGAGTGTGGAATACAGTGGTTTTTGCCTTTATTCTTAGAAAAAAGATGCTGGAAATTGAGTCCTCAGAGGAATGAATCAAGTGCAAAGGTGGTGATATAAAACCTTGTGTTAGGTCTTTTTCTAAGTGTCCTAACTTACATTAGTCAAGTAAAATAGAATCTATTGGCTCATATAAATGGGATGTCCAAAGGGCAGGCTGAACGCCCGACTGTAACCAGGCACTCAGATGATTTCATCTTTCAGCTCCGCATCTTGCTGGATATTGGCTTCCTTCTGTGGGTAAGCTCTTGATACACACTGGAAAAGGTGGCTACAGGAAGCTCAAGGCTGTATCCTTTTCCTTCCCAGGGAAGTATATGTAAATTGTAGGAAACCATCTGATTAGCCCTGTTTAGTTCATAAACTTACCCTGGATCAATCACTGTGCCAAGGAGATGGCATACTCTTATTGGCCAGCCTGGGTCACTGCTGATGCCTAGGTTAGGGAAGCATTATGACAGACATTCCATTGGGAACTTATGTTGTAGGGGTAGGGAGTTTACCCAAAGTAAGGGATTTTGGACGGACAAAATTGTAGGTCTACTTGAAGGTTCTCTTGAAATTTCTTATAGTTTTCATTTTTAACACTAAACCTAAAGCTAAAGAACTAAAAAGAAAAGTGAGTCATGGACAAGCTTTTACAAATTATCCCAAAATACTTTGCCCTAAATTAGAATAAATAAAATAATTAGAATGAATAAAACTTAAAGTAGGTAGTGTGCTCTTTTCATCTAATTCATATTTTTACTATAAACTTGTTATTAAAAGAAATACAAATTGCTAAATGTAAAATGACTGATAATTTAGAAGAAAATTTAAATAATCATGAATTAGACGATGCTTTCCTAATGGCAGAATCCATCCTCAATTATTAATTTGTTTCCACACTTGAATAAATCTAATGTAACCCAGGAGATACTGGAAATGATGTGCTTATTAACCTTAATGGAATTAGTAATTAGAGTGGGTTCCATGGAACAGACTCTGAGATGAAAGACATGCAGACTTATAAGAAAGGGAGGAAGGCAGGATTAAGCAGAGGGAAAAGCTGATCTGCCACGCAATTGCAACTGAAATCTCAGCCCATCCATAGGAGCTCTGGAGCTGGTGTGGCCCTTTAAAGTTCCTAAATTGAGGCAAGGGGCCAGGCCTTTGTACTTCTACATTGACCAGTTACTTAATGCACGCTGACCCAGGGTGGAGAGAGGGACATAAACGTGGGCCAGGAAACTCCCTCAGCTGAGGGCAATTCCTAGGCAGGGACTCAGCTGTGAGCTTTAAGCAGAAAACATTGCTGGGAGCTGGGGGAGTGAATGCCTTAGAGCTTTAGCGCATCACAGCATCCACTACAGGGACTGCCGCTTGAAAGACATATCATGACAGTACTCAAATGCCAGGACTAGTTTCATTTTGGTCTCCAGACGGAAACAGTCTCTTCTGGCCAGAGAACATTTAAATGTTTCCCATTGTCACAACAGACAAGATAACAAAGGAGTCAGATCAAAGAATGCTAATCCTGGTTAGAGGAGGCAATTACTCAAGAGAACAGAGATAAGGAATAAGGTAATTCCAGTGAGAGGAGCACAAAGCATCACATAGGTGCTCCTAGGGTTTACAAGCAAAGAATCATCTGCATAGAACCTTGAAGCAAGATTTTTTTTTTGAGACAGGGTCTTGCTCTGTTGTCCAGGCTAGAGTGCAGTGGTGCAATCATGGCTTACTGCAGCCTCCATTTCTTGGGCTCAGCTGATCCTCCCCTCTAAGCCTTCCAAGTAGCTGGGACTATAGGTGCATGTCACCATGCCTGGCTAGTTTTTTGTAGACACAATTTTTTGTATTTTTTGGGTTTTGTCTCCATTGCCCAGGCTAGGACTGAAGCAAGCCACCCACCTCAACCTCCCAAAGTGTTGGCATCACAGGCATGATCCACCACACTCAGCCTTGAAACCAGATTTAAATATCTCAGCCCAGACAGTGTCTTAACAGAAACAGAACAGCTGAGGCAAAAAAAGAAGATTCTCTTAGCCCAAAGTCAGTGCCCTCATCCAAACTACTTAATTGTGATGACCAGTACCTTGATAAGAGCTGGAATGGATATTACATTATAATTTATTCAATACATCTGTTAAAACAAAGGTGTCAATTTTTGCTTCTCCTTAAAAGTCTTTAGGCTGGCATTTTAGGGTAAAATAGAAGGGTATTATATATCCAATCTCAAGTTGTCTATCTAGCAATTTTTCTCTAAATCAAGTTCTTTTCATCATCTCTAGCTCCACTAACGGGCAAAATTTTTCCTCCTTGCTAGTCCGAAACCCCTGAGAGGTAGCATCTCTGTTCTCATGAGTACCAAAAATGGGAAAATGTGGGACAATTCTCATTTCTCTTTACTGCTCTGCCCCTTTGTTTATCGTATTAATTACACAGAAGACTGCACAGATATATTAGATTTTACTGATTGGTTGGAGGTGGCTGATGAAAATTATAATGTAGGGTGAGAAAAAAAAGCTATTTCTTTTTCTTTTGAGACAGGGTCTCTTGCCCAGGCTGGAGTGCAGTGGCAGTATCTTGGCTTGCAGGAGCCTCAAACTCCCGGGCCCAAGAGATCCTCCCACCTCAGCCTCCCAAATAGCTGGAACTATAGGTGCACCACACCTGGCTAATTTTTGTATTTTTTGTAGAAACAAGGTTTCGCTATGTTGCCCAGGCTGGTCTCGAACTCCTGAGCTCAAATGATACACCCACTTCGGCCTCCCAAAGTGCCAAGATTACAGGCGTGAGCCACCGTGCCTGGCCGAAAGAGCCATTTCTGTGTAATTTTTCTGCATAGTTTAAAATAAAACCATGTAAGAAACTGACTGTCATAGGCAGTTATAGTTCTCCCCAGTCCTTGTTCCTTTAAGTTTAGATCTCTTTGTAAGAATATAAACTTCTAACTCTGCCCATAGCTCCCCATGTACTTTTCAGGTAATTCTATCTTTAGTCATGAAAGTTGATGTTCCCTTAGGATTCACGCTTCTTTTCTCAGCAGTATCTTTAGCCAAATCTGAATTAATCTGTTCAGAATGAACAAGCAGAATAGTCTTTGGATTTGATCCAAATCCCTGAAGCACTTTGGGAATGAGAATGGCTATGCCAGACAGAGAGACCCTGGCGACTTATGATACTGCAGAACACAACAGGCACTTCAGATTGGTCCCAGGTAAGGCTTCTCCACCACTGTGTCACACACTTCTCTTTATTCTTTCACTTGTCTGACAAATAACAGTTGAATCCAATATCTACCCCCAAAGCCCCCTTTTAAGGACAGACTAAACCCGTATGAAAGAAAAAAAATGTTTTCTTACTAGTTCTGTAATTTGCAAAGTCAAATTCTTCTCTTGAGGTGTAATTGATATAATACACAGAGTATTTCATGTCATACTGTCTGCCTCTTCCCAACTTTGAATTGCAGACTTGGGTCCATTAGAAATAAGAAACTGATCATTTACTGAGTTAAGCATTTCCATTTAATCATCATTCCATCTTATATATTTTTCATTTTAGAGTTGGTTCAGTTATATTCAACAAATTCTTTTAAACCCTCATTTAGTCCTCTACGTACTGATATATATATAGATGCCTAAACCAAATGGACCTCATTTCCTTTAAAATTCTGATATCCAAAATAAGCAGCACCAGGTAAGTAACTCCTGTTATGGGATCTTGTCTGGGCATGCTATACTTTATACTAAATCACCTGAAATATTCCTTGGTTCTTAGGAAAACAAGCATCCTAGGTGATTTAGATAATTTAGGGTGCTTATTTGAAAAAAGGTTTGGGGCTTTATTTAATCATTTTATTTATATATTTTTAAATTATTTGAGCATAATAAAATATTAAAAGAGTGTTTTTCCTCCTTTGTTATTTCTGAAGTATTGAATTTATTTGCAGTTAAGTTGAGGGAGAGCAGTGATATTGAGCAGTCAGCTAAAGAAACAAAGCTGTAGAGGTAAGTAGACCAGGTCTTAGAAAACCTTGTCTTTCATGCTAAGAAGTTTAGACATAAAATCAATAGCTTAAGGCAGTGGGAATCCACTGTAGACCTCCCTTTTTTTTTCTTTTTTCCATTGAAGGATTTTTTACAGTAAAGTGACATGACTCTGTTTTTGTTTTAGAAAGATTAGGTTAGTGGCAGTGTAGAAAATAAATTTAAGAAGCATTGATCCATTTGTTCATCTAACAAATATTAAATATTATGAATGTTCTTTTCCCTCAGGGAGCTTAATTTTTTGAGGGAGACAAATGACAACCATTTATATAATAAGTAATTTATTTATACTTGGGAGGATTGCTATGAATGAGGAGTACAGCATTGAATAAGAATGTATAATGAGGAGGCCAGGCGCAGTGTCTCATGCCTGTAATTTCAACATTTTGGGAGGCCTAGGCAAGCTGATCACTTGAGTCCAGGAGTTGGAGACCAGCCTGGCCAACATGGTGAAATCCCATCTCTACTAAAAACACAAAAATTAGCCAGGCATGGTGGCAGGTGTCTGTAATCCCAGCTACTCGGGAGGCTGAGGCAAGAGAATCGCTTGAACTTGAGAGGCGAAGATTGCAGTGAGCCGAGATCAGCCACTGCACTGCAGAGTCTCACTCTGTCAGGAAAAAAAAAAAAAAAAAAAAAAAAAAAAAAAAAAAAAAGAATGTATAAGGAGAAAACTAGTTTTGTGGAGGTTCAGGGAAGCCTTCTAGAGAATAAGACTTGAGGCACAGAGACAAATTATGTCTGTTGCCTAACTGAAATTGGATGAAATTGAATCAGTTGGGGATATATCACATAGAATTAAATAGATCCCCCAAAGAGTTGATGATTATGTGTAAGTGGGGAAGCTAGGATTCTAGGAAGATACACAAGTATTTGGCTTAGACAACTGGATGGATGATGGTTGGGAGGTGAGGGAAGATGTTGATTTTGGAGTGTTCATAGGCCATGGTAGTTCACACCCCCAGAAAGTAATTGGGTATAGAAATTTGGAATAAAAGAAAAACCTTTGGACTAAAGATATCATTTTCGAGTCATTGAGACTGAGTTGATAAATATAGGTATAGAATTAGAAGAGATAATTTGTAAATAATTTTCAGAATGAGACTAGAAAAAACTTAGTACATAATCTTAAAAAATAGTAACATTTAAGGGATAGACAGGGGAAGTGGAATTCATGGAAAATACTGAGAAGAAACTAATAGAGAGCCAGGAAGGAAACTTTGGTGTCATGATCTGTGGAAGGCAGAGGAAGGACGAGGGCTTGGCCACTGATGTCAAATGCTACAGAGAGCTCGAGCAGATATGGAAAAGTATCAACCAGCTTTAGTAACAAAGGCATCACATGATCAGGATAGTTTCTGTGGAGTGGTAATGAAGGCCAGATTGCAAAGAATCACTGAACAATAAGGAGAAACAAATGCAGACCATTCATTTAAGATTCTTGACTATAGAGAGATGAAAGAGATCACCATGGATGAGTTTACTATAGTCTAAGCACTGTTTTAATTTTTTTTAAGATTTCTTTTTAATTTTTAGCTGATAAAGATCTGAGCATGTGATGAATATGGGAAAAAGCCAATCAGAGAAAGAATGGTCAGAGATACAGGAGAGTGGGAGTGTCCTGACAAGAGTGAAGTCCCACAGCAATAGGTGGGGTGGGATCCTGACCGCTGGTGGAGAGAGAGAGATGACTTCCTGTTAAAGTCAGCATTTGTCACTTTCCTCTTGATCTTGTAATAGAGTGATTACAACAGAATAAATTCATACAGTTTCACAGACGAGAATGAAAGAGGTGTCAGGAAAAAGAGGGAGTTCAACAAGATTCTAGAAGATGGAAAGTGAATGGCGTTTTCACAGATGTAGTAGGGAGGCTGCAGCCAAGAGGGTCTCAGAAAAGATATGAGTAAGAAGAAAAATGATTTTCTTGCAGAACCCAGTGAGGGTCAGAAGATATTTTTAGACGTTAGGTTCAGCAGAGAAAAGTTCAAAACATGGAGATGGAAGTCTATACATGGAATTGCCAATTACTACAATGTACATAATACTGGCATAATTTCCTCTAATTCCCAGTTAGAAGATCAGAAGTTTCTTCTCTAAGTAAATTGGACAGTGTCCCCCCACCCCCCCCAACAAATGACCTCTAAATGGTGTCATTTAAGAACCCTGGTATAATAACTTGTTTACTCAGTCATCTCCCTAAAGCAAATCAGCCAGTTGAAACACTTCATTCATGTTAGCAGAACCTTAAATATGAACAAAGGCTAAGGGATCGCTAGAGATTTGAGATAACATGAACACAAGTGGAAAACAAAGAAATCTCTGGTCCTCGAGGAAATACATATAGTGCAAAGAACAAGAGAGAAACAATGTGTAGCAACTTGGATATAGCTGGAGGCCATTATTCTAAATGAAGTGACTCAGGAATGGAAAACCAAATGTGATATGTTCTCACTTATAAGTGGGTGCTAAGCTATGAAGATGTAAAGTTGTAAGAATGATGTAATGGACTTTGGGGACTCGAAGGGGAAGGTTGGAAGGGAGGTGGGGGATAAAATACTACATATTGGGTATAGTGTACACTGCTCGGGTGATGGGTGCACTGAAATCCTAGAAATCTGAAGAACTTACTCATCTAACTAAAAATCACCAGTACCCAGAAAAACTTTTCAAAAACAAATGACAAAGGACTTGTATAGTAATTTCACTGAAGAGATATACAATACTATACAAAGAGATATATATTACTATACAAAGAGACTTGTATAGTAATTTCACTGAAGAGATATACAAATGACAAATAAGCTCAGATTTCCAAATGGCAAATTGAAGATGTCCAACATCACTGATTATTAGAAAAATGCACATAAACATTTTATTATGGACACACAGTTACCATAATAGAATATTATTCGGCCTTAAAAAAGGAGGGAGATTCTGACACAAGTTACAACATGGAGAAACCTTGAGGATATCATGTTAAATGAAATAAGCCAGTCATAAAAGGACAAATGGTGTATGGTTTTACTTATATGTAGTCCTTGGAATAGTGAAACTCATAGAAAAAGAACTAGAAAGCTGATTGCCAAGGGCTGAAGGGAGAGGGGAAAGGGGAATGATTGTTTAATTGGTATAAAGTTTTGAAAAATAAAGAGTTCTGAAAATGGAAGAAAAAAGAGAGAAACACCAAATAAATTCTAATTAGTATTCTCACGGGAATTAAGGATGCCTTGAGAAGGGAATTCAGAGACCAAAAAATAGATCCTGGAAATAGAAAATATTCATTAAAAATTTTAAAAATTCTATAAAGTAAATGAAAGATAATGTTGAGAAGAATCTCCCAGAAAGTATCACAAAATAGCTAAATGGAGGGCAGATATTTCATGGAAATCCCTAAAAAAGATTTTAAATATATTTTGTATAAAAATTTAAAGTTGTTGATATACAAAAGAGGAGAAAGAGCTGATGGAGATACCCAAGATTGTTAGGCAGTAAGTGATTCTGGGAAAGGTAGTGATAAAGGCAACAGCAGAGACAGCTGTGGTTACACAGCTGTGTGAATTTCAACAAGCAGTGTAACCTCTTTGACATTTCTCAACAGTAAATTCAAGACAATCGGACAATCATTAAGAAGGCTAAATTAGTTCAAATAAGAAGCAGCACCTGCCTTATAGTAAATGCTCTCTAAGTGTTGGCAATTAATATGACCCAAATCTCTTTTTCTTTGGAAAACCAAGCTCTTGGGAAAAAAAAAAAAATCAAAACACAGATAGGGATTCTATGTTCAAAAATCCACACTTGTAGATGAGCCTTTACTTAACTTTCAGACCATTTGTTCTGCTATGAGTTAAAACATTCATTTCGCTGCTCCTTTAAATTCTTCGTTCTGTCTGTAGTGTTGTGCCTCTCTTCTCCCAAGGCACCGGGGAACACTGTGGAATTACAAGGATAACAAACTTGGTGTCTAACTCTAAAGTTAATTGCATCACAGGAACAGATGTAAGATTTCAAATGTTACAAGATCTACAAAAGAGTCAGATGATGGCAGGATTATATGTTCTTGAGGTTTAAAATAGTGATAACCCAGACTTAGGTTGAAACAAACAGCAACCCCTGTAGCTTCTGTAGAGGAAGTGAGGCCTGCTTTGATGGGAATTCTCATTTGGACATGCAGGAAACATGATGAGTATTTCTCCTGGGCCTCTACCTGTAATAGTAGCAACCCTCAGTGGAAAAAAAGGACACTTTTGTGGAAGGGGTAACTTTTCTTCCTTTTTGCTTCTTTCCTCAGGGACATTCCACTTTCCCAGGCTTTTGTATGACCTGGTATGGTTTTTGTGATTATGACAGGATTTTCTGTTCTTATGCACTGTGTGTAAGTTCCCTGTAAGTCTGAACCAAGCCTATAATCTTTCAGTTTTCTGTAAATCTTGACGCAGGCCCCTCCAAGGCTTTGTGTTTCCAAGTATTGGAATTGTGATTTGATTGGGAAGATGTATGAATCAGGGCACATGGCTGCAAGTGACAAAAAGATCTTCTCAAAACAACTTTATCAAAAAGAAATACTTGTTTGCCTACCTACCTGGAAAGTCTGGAATACAGCTGACTTCAGATATAGTGGAGTACAATAGCTTAAATGAGAATTAGAGATGTCTCTCTGCTTTTCATCTCTGCTTATTTCTGTTTGTGTTAGCACATTGGGCCTCTTTTTCTGGTGATACAGACAGGCTTCTTCCATACGACTTGGGAAGATGGCTATTAAGCAGCTTAAATTTAAATCTTCCTAGAATTGTGACTCCAAAGGCAAAGAAGGAAGTGCTCCTAATTTGAACTAATCTAATAGTCACATGGAGGATTCTGACTGGCCCATGTGGGGCCTTGTGCTCATGTTCTAAGGAATCATTGTTGCTTGAAGCATGGACAACTCTGGCCTGACATGGTCCCTGGCTCGTACCTGTGACAGGACACTGAGGTAAGGGGGAGGCCTTTCTCAATGAAGAGGGGATGTGCTGTTATCACACATGTAGCAGATAAAACTATAGTTACTGCATTTAACATGATGAGAGAAAAGAGGAAGCCGATCCTCTTTCGTTTTCATTATATCTTTGGCTTGATAACCATATTCAATCTTAGCTCCTCAGAGACCTGGTGGATATTCTTGATTATTAAATTAGTGCTTGGCAGATATATTTGGCAATTGGCATTCATACACATTCGCGCACAATATTATGACAATACATTTTGAATAATGCTTTTGATTGAGCTGTTTATTCATTCTCACTTTCAACAAGCTTCTGTCAAGTACCTAGTACAGGACATGTACTAGAACAAGTCATGGTCTCTGCCCTCATCAAATTTACAGTGTAATGAAGGAGGAAGAGACAGATAGACAGGCACATACCCTTTGAAACTGTACTAAGTACTACAAGATTATATAACAAGAGTAGATACCTTGGTTATATAGGCATATGAGAGACACTGTCTCACAAGAAGTTATATTTAGGTGGAGTCTTGAATGATGAATTCAAGTTAATCAGTTGAAGGTCTTAAGAATGAGCTTCTAGGGAGAAGAAACAACATGTGTGAAGGACCCAGATTGGAAGGAAAGTACTGAATGATATCTGCTGTATGAGACCGAGGAGAGTGAAGGGCACAAAATGTGAGGTGAAAGATGAAGTAGTAGATCATATAGGGCCTTACAGGCTGGACTATGAACTGCACATTTTTATCCTACATACTAGTGGGGAGTCCCTGAACGATTTGATTCAAGGCAGTGATAATTTGATGTATGTTGGCAAAAATCATTCTGGTTATTTCATTCATTTATTTGTTTGGGCTATGGACTGTGGAACTAGGGCACAAGACTGCTTGGGCTTGAAGTCTAATTCTTCCACTTACATGACCCAGAAGAAGTTATCTAATTTCTTTGTGCCTCCATTTCCTCATCTGCAAAATTAGACTAGCAATAGTAACTACCCTCATAGGGCTGTTAAGAAAATTAAATGAGTTAAAATGTATAAAGGTAAGAAAAGTCAAATACTGCATGTTCCCACTTAAAAGTGGGAGCTAAACATTGGGTACACACGGACACAAAGATGGGAACAACAGACACTGGGGACACTAAAAGAGGGGAGGGAGAGGGTCAAGGGTTGAAAAACTACCTATTGGGTACTGTGTTCACTATTTGGGTGACAGGTTCAATAGAAGCCCAAAGCTCAGCATCACACAATATATCCATGTAACAAACCTGTACATGTCCCTCCTGAATCTAAAACTTAAAAAAATAGGAAAGAAAGAGAAGTGCTTTGTATATAGCATTATCTAAATCTTTGCTATTATTGTTATTTAACATATCTTTATTGAGCAGCTGCTATGAGACAGACATTGAGGAAGTATGAAATTGTCTTTGCAAAGTATGACAGTGTTTGCTCACTAGAGAAATTATGTAATAAGGGTCAGAGAGTGTTGGGTGTCATTTTGAATTTGGGTGATCCTGATTTTATAAGGTTATCAGTCTGCCCACTTTGCAATTATGCAGGTTATTGTCTATAGATTTTAGAGTTAGACAGGCAGAACCTGAATTTTATTTCTGGCTTTGCCTCTTACCAAATATCTTCATTTAATAAGTGTCAGTACCCTTATCTGTAACATGGGAACGTTAAATGTACCTACCTCATACTGTTACTATAAAGAATAAACAAGATTATATATGTATGTATATATGTATGTGTGTATTTATACATATTGAATTTTTAGCACTGTGTGTGCTACATGATAAGAACTCACTAAATGGTAGTTACTGTGAATCCTAATTTAAGAAGTCGTGATGGTATGTTTATTTCAATGCAAATTTCCGTGCTTAATGTATTTGTCTGTCTAATATGCGCTCTGAGCTATTGACAAATTGGATTCATTGTTAGTTGCTTAAAATATACCCCAAAGAGGAAGAATGCACACTGGGCTAGTATTATAGTTATTTTTAACTATAATAAAAAATGGAATGGAAAAAAGCAGAATAGAAATAAGAGAGATTTACAATGTTGCTAAAAATACTTATGGATTTCTTAAAGCTTTGATGATGAAATTATAAGCTAAATTTATGTTAAAAATAATTATTGAAAAGAAGAAGATAAAATTGTGGAAGAGATATATCCAAAATACTTCCTTAGCTAACAAAGAATTAACATTTTAAAATTATCATTTTTAAAACTTGCATATGGAGCTTCAAATTTTATCCTCTTATTATTTTAAGGAAACAAATAAATTTAGTGAATTTTATAAAGCACAAATGTTTGCTCTTTAAAAGATGAAGTCTGATTTAAATATCTTTTTGTCATTTTCAAACTTATTTTCAAATCTACCCTTCTGATTCCTATTCTTGTCTCTAAACATGCATTATTATATGCTAGAGCTAGATGGATTTAATTTTTTATGATCTAACACAAATAGAAAGTGAAATATGAAAAGGATATTTCCATTTACATAGCAATAAGTTAACATTAAATCTAGCTTTATGATGTTTAACTTTGAGGTATCCTGCCAAAACACAATTGACTGATAGGATGGAAATGAAAGCCACTAATGGGATGCCTTGTTCTATAAATCAGAGTTGAGGATTATGGAGCTAAGGTCATTTTCTTTATCGCTCTTTGAGGGAAGGCAAAGTAAGTAAACAAGCTTAAATGAGTCTATGGGCCTGGGTTCTCTGCAGGGATACTAAGAGAAGACTAAGACTAAGAGGTAACTGACCTCGGGAAGTTTATCAGCCTGTGGCAGATACCTACAACCACTCAGGAAACAAACTAGGAGTAGGTGCTTGCAAGTAAATTGACTATAGGAGAAAGAAAAGAACAACATTAGAAAGAGAAGATCACACAGAGGAAAAGTGAATTATAAGGTGAAACGCCCAGCAAATATCCTGTAATTCCTCTGCACTGCACAAGCCAGAACATGATTCTAATTCTTCCATGCTAGAATTGACAACACAATCTACTGAGAGAGGTTCTTTAGCATTTAAAAAATATGAGAATAAAGATTTATTTGGCAAAAATTTTCTTATTATTAAAAAAATTTTAGATAATTTTTTACAGCCCTCTGTGCAGAAGACACGTATCTCATAAAGGAAAGACATTTATATATACACACGCCTTGCATTTTAAGCCTCAAATGATTCTTCTAAAAATACAAAGTATAAACTAGGTATTTGGCACGAAAAATTTAAAAGAAGAATGTACAATGTCTCTTTTTTTAAAATAAAATATTTATTTCAACTTTGCAGGAAACTAATGCTTTATTTGTTATTAAATTCAGTTCCTTTTTCACCTCCACATTTTCTCCTAGACCACTGGAATTTCCTCTAACTCTTTGATTGCTCGCTTGTTTTTATGTGTTTTGCCCTGCTTATTTTCCTTTTTCTGGCTAGTTTCAGCGTCTAGTGAAACTACACAACTGTAGTCCAGTAGTTCCCTGAACTTCAGCTTTAATGAACAAGAAAGTAAAAATACATTAGGGGACACCAACATGGGATTGCCAATTTCCTTTTTGTTTTGCTAATGAGAGACATTAAAAATAAATTTCAAAATACTGAATAAAGACTCAGAAGAGTGGGAGGGTGAGAGGGGGTGAGAGATGAGTAGATGGTGAGAGGAGGGAACCATGTACACTATTCAGGTGATGGTTATACTAAAAGCCCACTACACAGTCTATCCATGTAACAAAACTGTGCTCGTGCTCCTTAAATGTACACACATTAAAATAAAATACAGAATAGATTTAGTTTTATACAAAATTCCCTACATTGTTCTTATGTCTGTTATTTCCCCCTGGTCTGGTGAGAAATGTGTTATTGGCTGATCCCAGTCCGGAGCCCCACTTTGGATGTGCTGCTCTACTCCAAGAGAATTAGTCTAAAGGATCTAAAGCTTCAGGTTAAGAACAAAGAGTTAGTTCCCTATATCCTTTGTTCTATGATTACAAAAATTTACATAAAAACACTTTTAAAATTATGTGTTCTTTTTTGTTAAAGGAAATATAATCTTCAGTGACTCTTCATGATGTTGAAGGTGAAATCTCATTTGGAGATGATTACTTTTTCTTTTCTTTTTCTTTCTGTCTTTTTTTTTTTTTTTTTTGAGATGGGGTCTTACTCTGTTGCCTAGGCTGGAGTGCAGTGGTGTGATCACGGCTCACTGCAGCTTTGACCTCCCAGGCTAAAGTGATCCTCCTGCCTCAGCCTCCTGAGTAGCTAGGGCTACAGGTGTGTGCCACTACACTCAGCTAATTTAAAAAAAATTTTTTTTGTAGAGACAGAGGTGTCACTATGTTGCCCAGGTTAGTCTTGAACTCATTGACTCAAGCAATCCTCTTGCCTTGGCTTCCCAAAGTGCTGGGATTAACAAGAGTGAGCCACCATGCCCGGCTGGCTTACATTTTCATTATCTGGGCCCCATTTGCTGTTACAGCCTTTTGCTACCACTTACACTCCCTTCCATATGTGGGTCTCCATACACCCCTGTCTGAGGTCCAGTCCTACTGAATTGCCAGGCTCCTTTATGCTTTAACATGTGCTGTTTATTTTCTGAGGACTTTTCATTTAAAACCCAATTTAAAGACCAACTCCTTGAGGGAGCCTACCTGGGTACCTCCAGGTAGAGGCAGTGACTTCTTCCTCTGTGTTTTTCTAAAAGAGCTCCTTAAAGATAGAAACTATGTTCTTTGAGATTTTTGTTATGCAAATGTGCATTGCTCTAAAGTTAAAATGTATTAGGCAAAACTTACCCTAAATTTTGAAATTTTAATCTTTCTTTTAACATGATTAAAATCTTAGGCAAGACTCCTTTTGTACTGGCTTGTGTAGGCAAAAGAAAGCAGTATAGAGATTTATTCTCCCACTGGCATGAAAGCTGTGATTCTGACCACCTTCTACATCACTGTCTACCACCCCTACACCAGCTCTTAGAAGACAGAGTAACTACAGGCAAGTGTTTTGTTTGTTTAAGATAGCACACTACACGCTCAATATATCTATGTATATACATGAATAATGAAAAAAAATATCTGGATAGATACATACACACAGTCTCTACTCACACATACACACAGAAAAGTGAACAATGCTTATGGATATATATTTTCCTTTATTGTGAACAACTTTCCATGCCAATAAATGTACTTTTATTTCATTATTTTTCTGCTAGCTGCCTGGATGGCTATATTTTATTTAGATTTTTAATTCTTTGGAACAGTGTTCTAGAATAAATATTTGTCAAATGAAGGACAAAACATCTCCTCAGTGCTTTCATCTAAGCCTGATTTGAGACTCTAATGAGTCCAGAAGTGACCTTAACTGCAACCTCCAATAGGAAAACAGGAAGGAAAATGATAGAGAAGTGGTGGCAATGGAGTGACTCATTCTGTTTTTGTGTTTTTCCCCTCCTATCATAAAGTAAAAAACAGTAGCTGAAAAAAAGATGTGGTTTCACAAAACATCATCATCATTTCCTTACTAAAATGACAATGTAGCAACATATGATTATGAAAATTGACTTGGGTGCCCAGATTATATGCCCTTGACGCAGGATGCAACAGTTACTTTACCCAAAACATTACCTTTACTGAGGTATTAAGAATTCTGACATCATGTTCTGAAATAAAGTAATTGACAAAACAATAAATTGATTTGAGATTTGAATTGATTTGAGAAACTCTTTAAATATATGGATTGCATTATATGACTGGCAAGAGACATGCAATTGGGAAGGACCTACCCTCAGAGTGCCTAAGATTGGTGCCTAATGATGTTATGAGGCTCACCTGCCCAACACTAGGAAGGAAGAGAAGAACTTACAAACTTCTCTAAAAATCTTGACCTTGAACTATGGCCTCTCTCTGCTCCTGTCCTCCTTATGGACCTGACCACCTAGTGATTTGAGTAGGATGTGAAGGTGCCATGGCCCAAACCCCAAACCATCATCTATTGAATAAGGTCTGTTGTTGCCTAGAGGAACTCCCAACCACCATCTTCCCAGCCTTTGTAAAGGAGCCATTGTTCTAAATAGGGAGAGAAGCCCTTTACTTTACCTTTTCCTCCAACAGGCTTCAGGGAATAGCTGTGGTTCCTTAACGTTGTGAGTTGCCTAGTCAAGAGCCAGTCTCCCTTTTTCTTTGTTAGCGAAGCCCTGACTTCTCTTCCTGTGCCTCGAAGGTAAAACACTGCTCAGTTTTGGTAATACTTTTGTCTTATCAGAGACTGGTGTAAGGATGAGTATGTGATCTAGGTCTAGCTGATAAGAACTCAGCTGGAGAGCTTCTGGAAAAAATCTCTTCATTATTAAAAGGAGATGCAGGGATGAAACAGTCTCTTTTCTTACATAGGATGCTGTGGTACCTGGAGTGATGCCAGACTGCAGAGGCCACCTGGTGACATGAGGAGAGATTCAACTTAACATGGTGAGGATGGCAGAGTAGAGCTAAAGTGGAAAAAGCATTTCCCTGATGAATTTAAGAAGCTACTGAATAAATATGTCTGGAAGTACCTAACTCTGGACTAAGTGGCTTTATTTGGTTAAATTGAGATTCTACTTCTTGTAGCCAGAAGCAAACTTATTGTTTAATTCTCAATATTAAGAAGTCCTAATGATTCCTTCTGTTGCTTCTACCAAATCTGGTTTTAGAACTCCTGGGACACACATATTCTTTATCATATAGGAATCTTTACTAACACTATTCCATCTATGGAAAATAACTGTTTATTGCACTGCTATTTAATGAAAATATATTGATCCTTTTAATCTAGTCTAAATCCTATTACCTGAGATAGCCTTCCAACATTCCACCAGGCAAAATGACTTCCTTTAGTCTATGTATTGCACTTGGTTTGGATCAGCCTTTCTGCAGTTATCCTTTTTTGCTTTAATCTATATGTATACATTACTGAATCTCTTCAAGTAGATATAAACCTTCTTTAACACAGAAATGAAATAATTTTTTTCCAAATGATTTAAGGAATCATGCATCTTTTTTTCCCATCAAGATCTCTCCTACAGCCCTGGTACAGTACCTCTTAGCAGGCGCTCCTTACGATTTACCCAATTGGTCATGTGTGAAATGAAAAGGTTGAATTAAATGATATTGACAATCTCTTCTGACTATAAGATACAGTGATGATGTCTACACTGAAGTGAAACCATACTTCTCACAGATATATAGAAGTTTGAGAGTTAAACATGAAAAAAAGGAAAACTCTAAGCGTGGATGGTGGTGAAATACAAATATCTTGTATTTTTTAAAATATCACTGTTTTTAATACTACTAATTTTGAACATCTTTACTCATGATATTTACTTTTTGGTGATTATCCAGGATAGCTCTTTGAAAATGCAGAAAGTCCTGTTGTTTAGGAAGAATGTACTAGAAATAGAGTCTCATAATACGTGGCCAATCATAAATATTTTACAGGCCTGCCAATATTTTGGGATTTATTGTAGAGTCCTCTGCCCTTGTTTTAAACTTTGCACACCCATGACATGTTGGGTTTGGAGGAGGATTTGCTTTGTTTGGGGGAAACACTCCAGTGGGCTATTTTTGAATTATGTTTGACATTTAGACTTGGAAATACTGTATTTCCAAGATGCTTATCCCTCAATAAGCTCGCAATGCTTATGTAAAAGTATATCAAGAGAAAATTTTAATCACCTGTTGATGTGATTTTTTTCATAAAGGACTTCCTTAATGTGGACTTCTCTTCGTGTAGATTAAGTGGTGGGTACAAAAATAAACACAAGATGGGGGAAAGTATTCAAGGTTCAAGAACTCAGACTTATCCCTTAATTATTTTGCTCTTATTCTCATTTCTAAGATTTATGAACCTAGGAAAGACACACACACGCACACACAAAATCCCTAGAGACTCTGTGTTTTGGTTTAGCTTAATGATGGATCAAATCTCTGCTTGTTTTTCCACTGGTACCTTGATTAGTTCTATTGGCTCACATGAGAACAGGCAGCTAGGTACACATTAGCTTCTTGCAAGGTTCCACTGAAGAGATGGAGTGGAGGTGGGGGTGTGGAGGAGACAATAGGAGGAAGAAAATGAAGACTGATGCAGGAAGACAAGGGAGGGAGAGCAGGGAGCTTCATGCATTCCTTGGCTGGGCATAGAAAATGGTGACTTTACCTAGCTGCAGAGCTGAAGCTTCTTAGGTAGAAATCCTGCCCTGTGCTTGTCTAGAAGGAGACACAGCGTGGGGAATTTAGCAGAGTTACCTGCAGCTAAGGCCAAAGCAATTGCAAACTGTAGAAGTGGAAGGCACTTGTTGTGTTAAATCAAACTATGTTTTTGACTAATGATCATTTTCTCAAAATGAAAAGTAGCCATGAAACCAACCTGTTTTCAGTTTCTATAAAACACAACAGTTCAATATCTCTGCACCTTTGCTCATGTTATTCCCTCTATCTGGACACATCCCTGTTTCTCCACCTATCTCTTACCCTTTCCCCCAAACCTGAGAGAACCTAAACATTCCTTAAACTCCCCTTTTCTCTGAAGCCTCTTCTGACCTCACTTTCACCTCTAATCAGGTAGAATTTACCATTCTGATTTTGAGCTTCCCACTATAAATGATAAAATTTGTTGTAGCCCCTATAATACCTTAGTGAATTTATTTTCTATATTTTTCTTCTATTATTGTGTTTTTACCCTCTTTAGGGCAGGGACTGATTCCTAATTATCTTTATATCCTTAGAATTCAGCACTGAGACTGGCTTATTGTAGGGATTTAGTATATGTTAGTCCTGTGCGTAAGTAAATGAAGAGTGGTGAGGGAGGAGGTTTAACGACTAAATTGGTAAGGGCAAAAGGATTTCATACCCTTACTTGGTAGATCTGTGCGGTGGTGGTTACCACCCTACAACTTCTTCAGAAGCTGTCATTTCCATGGGGCGTGGAGCTCTGCAATGAGGAGCGTCCCTTCCCTGCTCTGTTTAGGAATCCTACTATTAGTATACTTTCTGGGCTTATCTTCTCTTTCCCCAACTAAATCCCTTGTGACCTCATGGAAAAAATGAAAAATAACCAGTTATCTGAAAAAGTTTGCTTATTTGCACCTAAATTTATTCAACAACCTTCACCAAGTATTTACTGAGTATTTATCATGCTCCCAGCACGATGATAACCTACATGAGAGCTAGGGGATATTGCAATTTGCAAAATCTACACAAGTCACTGTCACTCCTTTGAGGTTCCCAAGAAAAAAATTCCAGAAAGCAATTCACCAGTGCCCTACATTTTAATTTTGTTCTTATATTTATTGGGGATGAATGAAGAGTTCAGCAGGAAATTTCTCCTTTGCTCTGGAAGGTATTTGGCCTTATAGAAAAGAATATTGGCTTTGGAGGCAGCTAGAACAGTCTTAGACTCCCTTCTCTTCATTTGAAGCTATATGGTAATTCACTCAACACCTATAAACATCAATTTCTTTATCAACAAAAATGATAATACCTATACTTTGTAATTATATTAAGAATTAAATGATATAATGAACACGTGAACACATCTAGGAAACAACGGTGCTCACAAAATGTTAGGTACTCTCAGTATTATTATTATTTCACATAGTGCAGAGTGCTAAGAGTAATACCCTTCAGCAAACCTTGTGCCATCTTTATGAATGTGTTATGATTTGCACATTTAGAGCAGACTGTATCTATTAATTCTTTTGTGGAGTGATAGGGATTGCTTATAACATACTGTAAAAATACCTTGATGGAGAAGAGAATCTGATAAGAGAATATCAAGGCTATCATCATTGTTACAACACTGGGATTTCTTCCTTGGAGTCTTGGAACTACTCCAGGCCCAGAATTCTCCAGCTCAGCTCTGCCAGGACTAGATGAGTGGTGGTATGTTGAGGCTCAAAAGATAGCACCAACCATAGAATTTGCACTATGGAGTTAAAAATACTCAAGTTTAAAACAAAATAGTGCTTCTCCCACTATGATGTCCATATCCTAAATCCCTAGAATGCATGAGTATGTTGCCTTATGTGGCAAAAGGGACTTTACATTACAAATGTGATTAAGTTAAGGACCTTGATATGCAAAAATATCCTGGATTATCCAGGTGGGCTCAGTGTCATCAAAGGGTCCTTATAAGAGGGACACAGGAGGAATCAGAATCTGATAAAGGAGATGGGACACTGGAACCTGAGTTTGGAATGATGTACATAGAAGATGGAGGAAGGAGCCACAAGCCAAAGGATGAAGGCGGCTGCAGAAGCTGAAAAGGCAAGGCATTGAAAGAATTCGCCCCTGAAGCTTCCAGAAGGAATGTAATTCTGCTGACAAATGCTGTTTTAAGTCACTATGTTTGTGGTAATTTGTTGCAGCAGCAATAGAAAACTACACACATATTAAGTTTGGATAAAGAAAATGTAGTATATTGTGGAATAATGAAATATATTCAGCCTTAAAAAAAGAAGGAAATCCTGCCACGTATAACAACATGGATGGGCTTGGAAGGCATTATGTTAAGTGAAGTAAGTCAGACACAGAAAGACAAATACTACATGATCTCACTTATATGTGAAATCTAAATAATAGTCAAACTCCTAGAAGCACAGAGTACAGTGGTGGTACCAGGGGTTGGGAAGGGAGGGAAGTGGGAAGACATTGGTCAAAGAGTACAAAGTTTCAGGTACGTGAGATGAATAAGTTCTAGAGATCTAAAATACAGCATGGTGACTATAGTTAACGGTACTCTATTGTGCACATGAGATTTGCTAAGAGAGTAAGAGAGATCTGCCAAAAAATAATTATTATATAGCTATGGATATGTTAACTAGCTTGATTGTGGTAATCGTTTTACAATGAAAATGTTTATCAAAACATCAAATTGTATGCATTAAATATATGCCATGTTTATTTGTCAATTATACTCCAATAAAGCTGGAAAATAAATCATTTTGGCACTTTGAATTGGAGCTTAGAGAAGTCAGAGCTGGAGGCATTTTTCAGTATGAAGTTGGTATTCCAGCTACAGGACTGGCGAACTTTGCTCTGCCACAGAGTGTAGGTGGAAAGTTTGGGCCCTGGAGCAGCAGGGGTCAAGCAGGGAAAGAGGAGCTCAGAAGGAGAGGCCAAGGAGGTGGATAAAACCTTCAGAGGGCAAGTGTCCCGGAAGCTAAGTGAATGAAGAACATGCTTAAGAATGAGGATGGAATCATCTTTGTCAAAAAAAAGTCTCTCTCAGCCTTGTTTCATTATCTAGAGATAATATACAAACAAAAATGGTCAGAGCTCCTAGAAAACCTTCCAAATGATTGTTGTACTTAATGCTATTATTGATAAATGAATTCAGATCTCTTTTGATTGTTCAGAAACATTTTAGGGCAGACCAACCTTGAAGCAACCCAGTTAATTTTTTTCCTTCTTTTAGCATCCTCTCTGTTTCGGTCTTAGTGGTTCCCTTATAATCATGGGTTCTATAGACAGTAGAGACTGGTCAAAAGACAGAAAACAAGCACTAACTTGGCTCTTTTCTTGTGTAAGGAATAGCTCTTGAAAGACAATAGCAAATGATGATACTTTGATGCAGCTAGAGAAAAGACTGTTTACTAAAGTACCCTGCCTGCTTTGCGCCTTTTCCAATGTAATTAAATGACAATAAAATCCCACATGAGAGTACATAAACAATTGCAGTGGAAAGACTGGAAACTTCATTATGCATTTATTAACTAAAGATTTGAGTAAATGATTGCTAACCTTTCTATTTTAAGACAGCCTGTTTATTTGATTTTTTGGTCATCAGTCACTCTCCGCTCTTTCTTATAAGAGTTGTAATGAAATAGTTTAACTATTTTAATTAAATTTAATTTTGTTCCAAAATTCTGATGTTCCTTAAGGTCACTGGAGAGAGTTGCAGTGTTAAAAACTACATATGGGAATAGCTGGGCTAAAAGGAAAAACAAGTGCACAATGGAGCTAATAATTCATTTCAACTTGAAAGCATTTCTTAGGATTTGCTGTCATTTAAAATCACTTTGAAGTCTAGTTTTTTAGTCAAGGGTTTTGGAACACCATTCATTCCTTGTCCTAGTCTACGGTGGCTCTAAGTTGGCCTTACCATCCCCGGATATTATAATAGATAGAGCTTCTTCCTTTTGCTTACAGAGTCGATTTGCTTACAGAGGCTCCTGATTTTCTTTCTAGCTCCATCTGATGCCTCTTTCCCCCTGGGCGTCTGTATTCCAGCATTTTATTTTTTGGAAGTGCCCTCCTATCTCCTGCTTCAGGGCTTTGGCAAGAAATGTTTTCTCTGTGGGAGCTTACACAAACCAGTCCTCAGAGTAGGAACATACATTCAATAGCTGGGCTTTAGGATCTGAGCCTAGGGCCCTCCAGGGAGGCCCAATAAACCTGCTAACATTTTGGCCAGTGCCACGGCATTGGATCTGCCTCTCTGGGGAAACCACTCCCCGCCACCCCCATCTTTTGTGGTTCCAAACCACAGTAGATGGCAGGACATCTTCATAGTCATGAGGAACCTGTTGTTCAAGTCCATAAGAATTGCCACAATATCATACGAAGCCACTTCTTCATCTAGCAAGCAGAGACTACTAATTCCCTCAGATCCCCTTCTTACCATGGAATCTGGCACATTTTAGACACTCAACAAATATTTGAAGAGTAAATGTATCCCTCCTGCTTTTCTTTCACTGTGCCATACTTTCCTCACATTCCCGTTTCCCTCCTTACTCAGATTAGTTCCTGCAATCCTTCATTATAATCAGTCTTTGTCTACCCTTCACTCCTTTCCCTCTATCTCCCTCTGTATTCATTTTCTACGCTGCAGTAACAAATAATTACAGACTTAATAGATTAAAACAACAGCTATTTGTGATTGCATCGTTTCCAAGGGTCAGAAGCCCAGGCACACGTTTACCAAGTCTTCTCCTCTGGTCTTACAATGCGGCACTAGTCAAGATGCAGAGTCTTCCCCTAAACTCACACAATCGTTGGCAGAATTCTTTGCTTACAGCTGTAGAACTCACACTGGTTTGTTTCTCTAAGGCCAGCAGGAGAGTGTCTCTGAGCTCAGAGAAGGTCTAAGGTTTCTGTGAAGGCTTGCTTGATTAGGTCAGGCCCACCCAGAATAATTTCCTTTTGATTAGAGACCTGTAAAATCTCTTTACCACATAACAACGTAATCGTGGGAGTGATGTGCCATCATATTCGCAGGCCCTGCCTACACTAAGGGGAAGATGTGTTTACCAAGGAATGTGGAATTCTGGGGGCCATCTTATTCTCTCTACTGCACTGCCTATTGCATGCATCCCCTGAAACCCCAGACTCCTCAGTTACATTTAACATTTCACCCAAATATATGTATTCACATGGCTGACAAAAATACACAAACATACCGATTGCTCTCACTTTAAATTCTCAAGCACAAACTGAACCCTCTTCAACTGGGCCTTCAAGGTTTCCAGCAACCCAGTCAGTTTGTTCTATTCCTCCTCTAGGTAAACACTCCCCTGTCATGTTCTCCTACCCCCACTTACAGCTTTCTAGAGTGAAAATTTAGACACGAATGGCGGATGACTCCACATGCCCTCACTACCAAATCTGCCATTTTCCTTGCGCCTGCGTCTATGCCCACACACTCTGCTCTCCTTCCTGTTGCGCTGGATGAGGGGTCTACATGCCTGTCTCAGGCCAACCTCCCTTCCGTTGCCCTGAATCCCATCTCATCACCTGCTGAAGGACATTGCTCTTGTAATTGTCTTGTTCTCATATTCCATCACTCAATTTTCCTGCTGTAAATGGATCATTCTTAATTTCATACCAACATCTTATAATATGTTCAGTATTAAAAAATACCCCTCTCTTGACTCCACTTGCAATCCCATTATTATATTCCCTTTTATAACAAAGTTCTTTGGAAATTATTTGTGGTGAGTGATGCCTTCTTTTCCTCCATTCTATCTTGAATCCATTTCAATCAGCTATTGCCTCCCCCACTTGGCATTCTCTAACAATCATTCGTGTCAAAGTCATAAGTGACTTCCTTTTTGCCAAATGCAGTAGTCCATTCTCAATTCTCATCTTACGATAGCATTTCACATAGCACATACTTCTCTCTTTGAAACATTTTCTTCACATGGTTTCCCAGGATATCCAGGAGGATACCACCCTCTATTGCTTTTGTTATTTCATGATATAGTATGATATCCAATAGTTTAACACACAAAAGTAAGGTACAAGAAAATGTGTATATAACTGTATACTATTGGTGTAAAAATATGTATTTGCTTTTATAGGCAAAAATGTACTTGCAGGGAAACACAAGAGCATTGCTTCTAAGACAGGGAATCTGGGTAGCTGGGACAGCACTTATGTCCTTTTGTATCTTTTAAATTTTTTGGCATGTGTATTATTCAAGAGTAAATTAAATTAAAAACATATAAAACTATATCATCTGAATTGGCCAGTTATGTCAGAAATGGTAGCAAACTTGCAGCTGCTGTGAGTGTCTGGTGCCAGCAGCCTCCCTGCTGGAGTCACCAAGCAGTTAAGGACACAGAACACTGTGTATCCTCAGTGCTCTCTGCTCCCTGAACAATGGCACAGAGATTTCTAGGGTGAAAGATGATTTTGTCTGCAAGACCAACTAAGCAATTTAATCAACTTGTAAAACAATGTCAATGGGAAGCATGGCTGTATCTTTTCTGCCTTGGAAAAAAGAAACACAGGGCAGCGTTACATAAAGCAAAAAGTGGTCAAGTACTTGAGGTATTCCTCAAATTCTTGTATTAATAATACCAGGGCAATGAAAAGAGAAGCAAAAAAAGAAAAAAGAAAATTCACCAAAGAAGGAAAAATAACCTAGAAGAGTTTGATTAAAGATATAATTAAAAGGAATCTTGAGTGTATATTAATTTCAATTAAAATACTTTTTTCCTAGCAGACATCATTACTATTGCCAAAGTTTATTTATTTCAGGCACAATATTGTTATTATTTATTGCTCATAAAGTATGTAAATCTCATGTTCCTTATTTCCCAGCTGAAACAATCCTCTCCACTCACAGAAGCTGATAAATTTAAGTTCTTCAGTATTGTGTTCTATTATAATAGGGATGGTTTAAGGCGGTGGTTTTAAGGTGAATGTGTATCTATGAAGACTGCGTATGCGTCTGTGTAGGGGTACTGGTGGAGATTCCTTTTAAAAAATAACTAAATATCTAAATGAGTTACGGAAACTTCTGTTTTATCTGGTCCTATGAGAGCCCTCGCTTTTCTATTTCCAAACTGAATCTGACTCTACAAATTACTCTTCTATCTATTTCATTTTTTGAGGATGTGAGAATAAAATGGTAAGTTCCTTATTTATTAAAGCTGTCTTTGCTGATTCTAAATTCTCAAGCTCTTTAAACTTATGTCATTTATTTGGTATATAGGTAGTGAGGAGTGTGGGGAAATGCCAGATTTGCTAGGTCCATATCAATAGAGTTGTTAAAGTAAATTAAATGGTAGGTTTTTTTAAAAAAACCTTCAAGAGGATAATGACAGTAATAGCCCTCTCGATGCAGACTTGGCAATACACTGAGTATACTGTACTCTTATGAGGATATTTTTTGAGAAGGTTGGAAGAATGGTGAAGAGGTGAGAGCTGATACTTGCCTTAAAGGTTTTAAGGATGAGAATGAGGACAAGAGCTTAGACTTGAGATAAATGCCAAGTGGTGAAATTTGGACCAAATGTTGTAGGAAGGTGGAAGAATTTAGATCAAGACTTGTACAAAGTTGCAGGGAAAAGGATTTCCCCCAGAGATAGAATGAGAGAATTCCAGACAGAGCACACACTGGAGGTGCTCCAGCATAGGCTGTGGAGGTTTAATTTTCAGTTGGATTATTAGAGAAGATGGTATTTCATGTCTCTTCTGTTTCTATTTGTACTCTAGAACAGTAGTTCTTGATGTTTCCTGAGTCTTGGGTTCTTCTGAAAATCTAATAAATGCTATCACCTTCCTTCCTGGGAACAAATGCACATATGTTGCCATTTCTTCCTGTAAAAGATGTAAAACACACACACAGAGAAAACAGCTCTGGGGAAGAACCCCTAGGTCACCAAAGATCAAATTTTGAAAACTACTGCTCTGGGTTATTGCTTGCTTGCAGAGGGTTTGAATAAGGCTTCATAAGAAACTAAAAATGCTTTTTAATCTGCTTCAAGAAATAGCGTTTTCCTCCAAATTCATTAAACATAGCACATAGATCTTTGAAATTAATTTGTTTTAATGGGCTTTGGAACAAATAGATTAGAAATAATAAGATTAAATATTTATTAATGTGGAAGGCTTCTGGAAACCATTCTAAATTTAGCTGAGTTTAAGTGCTAGCTATTTATAGATAATTTATAATGCATTACTTCACCTATCTTGTTAATTGGTCCTGCTCAGAGAGCCCTATGCTGTCGGCAGAGTACAGCTGCTGATGCTTGAACAACATGGGTTTGAACTGAGTGAATACACTTACATGCGGATTTTCTTCCACCTCTGCCACCCCCGAGACAGCAAGACCAACACCTTTTCTTCTTTCTCCTCCTCAGCCTACTCAACATGAAGACGAGTGAAGACCTTTATAATGATCCACTTCCACTTAATGAATAGTAAATATATTTCTTTTGATTTTCTTAATGACATTTTCCTTTCTCTAGCTTACTTTATTGTAGTAATGTAGTATATAATACATGTAACATACTAAATATGTGTTAATCAACCATTTATGTTATCGGTAAGGCTTCCGGTCAACAGTAGGTTATTAGTAGTTAAGTTTTTGGGAAGCCAAAAGTTATATGCAGATTTTTGACAGTGCAGGGGGTCAGCATTTCTAACCCCTGGGTTATTCAAGGATCATCTATATTTATTTTATTTTAAAATTTATTTTAATTTAGATTCAGGAGACACATGTGCATGATTGTTAACATAGGTATGTTGTGCACTGGTGGGAACTGGGCTTCTCGTGCACTTATTACCCAAATAGTGAACATTGTACCTGATAGGTTATTTGTCAACCCTTCCCCTCTTCCAATGCTCCCCCTTTTGGAGTCCTAGTGTCTATTATTTCTACCTTTGTGTCCATGTATACCACAGTTTAGCTTCTACTTATAAGTGAGAAGAGTGGCATTTGGTTTTCTGTTTCTGAGTTAGTTCACTTTGGATAATGGGCTCTAGCTCCATCCAAGTTGCTGCAAAGGACATGATTTCATTATTATTATTTTTATTATTATTATTTTTTTTTTTTTGAGACAAAGTCTAGCTCTGTCGCCCAGGCTGGAGTGCAGTGGCTCGATCTTGGCTCACTGCAACCTCTGCCTCCCGGGTTCAAGTGATTCTTCTGCTTCAGCCTCCTGAGTAGCTGGGACTACAGGTGTGTGCCACCACACCCAGCTAATTTTTGTATTTTTAGTATAAATGGGGTTTCACCATGTTGACCAGGCTGGTCTCGAACTCCTGACCTCGTGATCCGCCCGCCTCAGCCTCCCACAGTCCTGGGATTAGAGGCGTGAGCCACCACACCCGGCTGATTTCATTATTTTTTATGGCTGCATCATATTCCATGGTGTATATAGAATATTGAAAATGCAAAAAAAACTTGTCCACCTCCCCCCCCTTTTTATTTTTTTAAAAATCTAGCATATCTTCTTTATCCAGTCAACTGTTGACAGGTTGGTTCCATGACTTTGCTACTGTGAATAGTGCTGTGATGAACATATGGGTGCAGGTGTACTTTTTATGTAATGATTTATTTTCCTTTGGGTAGATACCCAGTAGTGGGATTGCCAGGTAGAATAGTAATTCTATTTTTAGTTCATTGAAAAACCTCCATACTGTTTTCACAGAGGTTGAACTAATTTACATTCCCACCCACAGTGTATAAGTGTTTCTTTTCTCTGCATCCACACCAGCATCTGTTGTTTTTTGACTTTTTAATAATAATAGCCATTCCAACTGGTGTAGGATGATATCTCATTGTGGTTTTAATTTTCATTTCTCTGATGATTAGTGATGTTGAACATTTTTTCATATGTTTATTGGCAGCTTGTATTTCTTCTTTTGAGAAATGTCTGTTCGTGTTGTTTGTCTCATTTTTAATGGGCTTGTTTTTTTCTTGCTAAATTATTTGAGCTCCTTGTGAGTTCTGGATATTAGTCCTTTGTCAGATGCATAATTTACAAATATTTTCTCCCATTCTGTAGGTTGTTTGTTTACTCTGCTAATTGTTTCTTTTGCTGTGCGGAAGCTTTTAGTTTAACTGTCCCATTTGTCTATTTTTGTTTTTGTTGCATTTGCTTTGGGTTTCTTCATCATAAATTCTTTGCCTAGGCCAATGTCCAGAATAATTTTCCTTAGGTTTTCTTCTGGGATTTTAATAGTTTCAGGTCTTATGTTTAAGTCTTTACTCCATTTTCAGTTAATTTTTATATATAGTGAGAGATAGGGGTCCAGTTTCATTCTCCTGCATATGACTAACCCATTTTCCCAGCATTATTTATTGAATAGGGTATCTTTTTCCTGTTTATTTTTGTTGACTTTGTTGAGGATAAGTTGCTTGTAGGTAGGTGGCTTTATTTTTGGGTCCTCTGTTATGTTCCGTTGACCTTTATGACTGTTTTTGTACTAGTACCATGTTGTTTCAGTTACTAGAGCCTTGTAGTATAATTTGAAGTCAGGTAATGCGATGTCTCTAGATTTGTTCTTTTTGCTTAGGATTGCTTTGGCTGTCCAGGTTCTTTTTTGGTTCCATATGAACTTTAGGATTTTTTTTTCTAATTCTGTGAAAAATGACATTGGTGATTTGATAGAGATTGCACTGAATCTGTAGATTGCTTTGGGTAGTATGGTCATTTTAATGATATTGATTCTTCTAATCCAAGAGCATGGGATGTTTTTTCATTTCTTCATGTCATCTACAATTTCTTTCATCATTGTTTTGTAGTTCTCCTGGATTGAACTGGATTCAATTCCTAGTTCTCATGCATGACCTTAGAGAACGTAACATCCCTATACCTCAGTTTCCTCTTTTGTAAGTGGGTGTAATAGTAGTGTTAACTCTCTAGAGTGTTGTCAACCTTTCAATTAAATTTTTGTCTTTCTTACACATGGGCAAGGAGTTACTAAGGCATGTGTTCTAAGATAATATGTGTAAAGCGCTGAGCACAAAGGCTAGCTCACAGCAAGCAATTCAAAAATGTATATATAATTAATGAGAGAATTAAAACAGAACCTGAGTCTTTAGGCCGTGGATAACACAATGCCTTCTAAGACATACACAGTTTTAGTAAAAGTAACAAATCAGTTTTAATAAAAAATTTAATTTTGTTTAGCATTCAGAAAAATGTTATATGCAGGGATGAGAACAGAAACCTAAATTTGATTGTCAATATTGTTATTTACTAGTGTTACTGGTTACTATTTATTGTTATTTACTATTCTGAGCAAGTCGTTTAACCATCTGTTGTAGTTATCTAATGCTGTGCAACAATATCCTGAAAAGTCAGTGGCATAAAAAAGCCCTACATTGTGCTTCTGGTTTTTGGGTTAGGATTTTAGGGCACAAAGGGAAAGGCTCATCTCTACTCCAACCAGCTTCATCTGGTAATGTTTCAAAGACTGGGGACTGAAATCATTATTTCATTCATATCTAGTTGGTGACACAGGGAAGACTCAAACAGCTGAGGCCTGGGCTGTGGGAAACCTTGAGCCTGTCTCTATCTCTGCATGGCAAGTGGTCTTTCTAGATGGTATTATAGCTGCAGGGTAGCTGTACTTCCTGCACATCAGCAAAGAATTTCTAAAGCATGTGTCTTGAGAGAGAGTGCCAGGCCAAAGCTATGTCTCCTTTTCTAACTTATCCTCAGAAGGCACATAGTATTGCTTCTGCTGCCTTATTTTATTAGAAGCAAGCCACTAAGGCCACTTGTATTGAAGGAGAGAATTTGACTCTACCTTTTTATGGAAGGTTTTAAAACCATTATGCTCTTCAAGCCTCACAATAACCTCTTTATTAATTAATATCATGGGCAAGTTATGTAAGCACTTTGGGGTGGAGAGAGCAGCTGTACAAAAAGAAAAAAGACTTTATCTCTGTTCTCAAGAAGATTACATTCTAGTTGGGGAAGACAGTAGTTTCCTAAGAAAAGATAACTAAGACTACCTTTGAAGTAAAAAGTTCCAGATGATAGAATGTGCTTCTAATGTAGAAGATCTGTGCTTTTTTAGTTCCAGTCCTATACCTACCATGTTGTGTGACAATGACCATGCCATTCAGTGTCTCTAGATTTCCATTTCTTTATCAGAGTATATGGAGGTGGGATAGAGTCTGTGTGGAGACTGGGGAACCCTCTGCTACTTCTTTGGTGCTCCTCGAAGCAGTAAATCTGGCATGGTATGGACTATGAAAGAGGATGAACTTGAATTTACTAATTTCTTAAAGTTGATCAAGTATGCCATATGTGCAAGGTATTCTGCTAAGTGCTGTAGGGAATGAAGAGTTAAATTAATTCATATGTACTTAATGAACTGGTGCATATATATATTATTATATATATATTATGTAGGTAGTATACAGTTGTCCTTTGGTAACTCTTGGAAACCAAAATCCTTAGATGCTCAAATCCCTCATATTAAATAGTACAGTATTTGCATATAACCTATGAACATCCTCCTGTACACTTTAAAACATCTCTAGATGACTTATAATACCTAATACAATGTAAATGCTATGCAAAACTGTATTGTTTAGGGGTAATGTCAAGAAAAAAATCCGCATGTGTACAGATGCAATTTCTTTTTTGAATGTTTTCCATTTGCATTTGGTTGAATTCATGCATGTGAAACCCAAGAATACAGAGAGCTAACTGTATATATATTCTTACAAATATACAGGTAGAAAAGTGTTTATTTCTTTGCTATATATATTATATAAAACAAATATAAAAGGGAATGTGAAGAATTCTATGTACATATAAAATATAAAACATTCACAAATCTAATATATATACATAATTTATGTATAAATTGTATATATATAATGTATGTATAAATTTAACAATTATATGTCAAATAATAATCTGCAATGACTTATATCCTTTGGAGTAATATATAGTTGCTACTATCATTACCTAGTTTGGACAAATTGCTTATCCTCACTAAACCTAAATAGCCACATGTGTAGAATAACAGTCTTGAACTATTTACTTTACAAAGTTCCTTCAAACTCTTAAAAAAGCATTGATTTACTAACTTTGCTTTTTTGTTTATAACTATTTGTGACTCAAACACATGTATTAAAACGTTCTGATTTCTTTCTCATTTATTGAGTGTCTATGGTGTAAATGCTTGAATACATTATGATCTTTAGATAAAATTTTCTATTGAATACTCTATGAAGCAAAAGAGAAAACCCTTCTATAAGAACAACTCTGTACTGCACTCAGATTTTTTAATATTCTGAAGTGCATCATACATGTATCTACAAAACAATAGTGGTTTGCCTTATGTGTTCCTGGGCATTATCAAAGTGTTTCATTGGTTAGAATTCTGATTTTGTCTATATCCTGGGCTTCTCTGTTCCTGCCCTTTTAAGGTCCTTCTCCGGCCAGTCACAGCACTTCTGGGCCCCAACCCAAAACCTCCTTGATGGGTAAACAGTATATTCCCATGTAAGAGGGATGAGACTAAATCTTAGCAGGCAGCATTCCCAGAAAAACTATCTATTAGGGTCAGGCAATCAGTACTTCAGGAAAATTACTGAATTACACTCAATTATAGAATGCTGCGTTCCTTACATCGTGGCCTAGGAGTCTGCCTAGATTTTTGAGGAGGAGGGTAAAGACCAATGTATGTGCTTTGCTTTCCTTAATCCTCAAACAATTTTGTATGATGAGTACCATGGGGTGCAAAAGGGCTAGGTAATTTGCCTGAGGCAAAAAATTTAGTAAGAGTGCAGTGG
Organism: Homo sapiens; assembly: GCF_000001405.40. Classification (NCBI taxonomy): domain Eukaryota; kingdom Metazoa; phylum Chordata; class Mammalia; order Primates; family Hominidae; genus Homo; species Homo sapiens. The sequence goes on along the minus strand of NC_000001.11, from coordinate 192,920,266 downwards.
CAGGAAAAAAGGTTGAGTTCGGCATGGGCCCCACAGCGTCTCTGCAAAGGTGCCTGCCCCGGACTAGCAGCACCAGCAGCGCCAAGGTGTGTTTGGCAGGCAATTCAGTGGGGGTGTGTGTGTCCTGGTGTTGAGGTTGCAATACCCTTGGGAATCTGCAGCTCCTGGCAGGAGAAACCCAGGAGCTGTCATGCCCAAGGATAGCATGCACCCTGCAATTTAGTTCAGGAGCCTATGAAGGTCAGCACTGCCCCTTCATTATCCCTGTGCTTGAGGGATCATGACATTAAACAGTGAGTAAGAAATCACCATCACAGGTTGAGAGAGACCATGTGGATGAAAGGAAAAAATTGTACATTTCAGTACTTTTAAGGGTATGTTTTTCTTGCTTTTTAAACAAGGGGGTTTACATTTTCATTTTGCACTGGACTCTGCAAATTATGTAGCTGGTCCTGGTTATTATGCTTTAAACATCTTATCCACTTATAAATTCCAATCTCATATTCAACTCAACATGCTCTCCTTCCTCTTATGTAAGCTCCTTCAGGGTCAGGGGTGGAGAAAGGCAACATCACTTTAGTGAACATGGTGTTGAGGTAGGAGGTGGGACTTTACTCCTGACCAGATTGAAGACTGGCTGAAACAGGGACTTCTCCATAACATATGCCCCCCTAGTACCATGTCAGTTTACCATTGCCATGAAAACACCCAGAAGTTACCACCCCTTTCCATGGCAATGACCTGGAAATTACCTTTTTTCTATAAGTTCCTAAACAACCCACTTACCCCTTAATTTGCATGGAATTAAAAGTGCGTATAAAAATGACTGCATGACATCCCCAGACCTGCTACTCTGCCTAGAGGGTAGCCCTACTCTGCTGGAGCAGTCACAAAGCTGTAACGCTGTTGCCTCAATAAAACTGGTTTCTTCTACCACTGGCTAGCTCTTGAATTCTTTCCTGTGTGAAGCCAAGAACTTTCCTGGGCTAAGCCCCAGTTCTGGGCTCGACTGTCCCACATCAGTGGGATAGCCCCATGTCTGTGATGGTGAAGATGTTGTTTGGTTTCTGTTTTTCATCGTGGTTGCTCTAGCTGCTTGTCTACAGGCCTCTAGTTGGTAGTTTCAGGCACGATTCATCTGAAGCAGGCAGGAACAATTTGCTTGACCAGGGCTCCATTCCATCCTCTGTGGCCCCAACTCTGGAGACTGATGGCACAGACAAGTACTGTCTTGTGTACCTCCAGGGGAGGATTCAGTTCCTCTCTGCCATGCTAATTTTCTCCTATTCACTAGTACCACTGGGGTGGACTGGCCATTCTGGTGGCTCAGAGGATATCCAACTGGGTAACAAAGTACCATTATCACTGTCTCTCAGTTACCCAAAACTTCAGAAGCAAGTTTCCTTGAATTAAGCTCACATTTTTCGAGACAAAGCATTCATAAAAAGCTGTTAATAAAAGAAGACAGCCTCTCCTTATAAACACTGCCTTCCTCCTCCTCCCCAACATCCCTGTTTGGGGGCATAGAGTTCCCTCTTACATCTCTTATGGCTAAAGGATGTCAAAGCAGGTCATCCTCTCTTGTACCTGAGGGCAGAGCAGGGCTCTACCTGCAAAAACCAAGCCCTCTTTGAACTTGAATTGTGTATCTCTGCTTTCAACAAAACACCAACTCCTTGTCAATCCCTGCAATCATTTGGTAATCTCCTAGGCTAGGAAAAGATCTTAATAAGCAGTTCCTCACAAAATCCTGTATCATTTAACAAGTTAAATGCAGCAAATATACATGCCAACATGATTAATAAATATTTACTGAGTATGTGTCATGTGCATAATATTTAGGGAGATTCTGGGTAAGGCATAGTCCTTATCCTTGAGTACATTTAAAGGATTAAAGAGAAGGGACGTGAACATGAAGATAACAGGAAGAATGCATGATAATATATGAGAGGTGCTAAAAGAATAGCATAGGCAAGCAAGAGTTGTATAAAGTTGGAGAGAGGAGAGATTTCTGTGGCAGAGAGTCTTTCTGATGACATAGAGGATGGAGAACATGAGCACAGTAGTGTCTTGAAGGGTGAGTACCATTAGAGAAGCTGTAAGAAGGAAGAAGTGCTTTTTAGGGAGGGGAAATTATTGAACAAGAGTGGAGTTCAGATTGTCCGTTGTGTTTGAGAAATATTCCGCAATACACAGAATCTTTGCCCACCTTCTCCTTTAAGAGTTCTCAGTGCCTTCACACAGAGCTAGTCTTGCCCCCAGAGCTATCCTACTGTAGATGATCAGCAGGACACAGGGATCAGAGTTATTCATTCTAGATGGCTACCATGACAGTGGGACTCTGCAGGGCCCTCTGGGCTGGCCTTTGGCATTCCAAGGCCAGGACAGAAGGACAATTTGTCATGACCATCAGCAGTGAACTAGTGAGCCACCCACAGACACACATATGCTCGAAGATAGACATTAGTTCTCAGATACTGGACAATACAGATACTTGCTCAGGAAATAAAATCATTTCCTTGAGCCAAAAATATCTGTCTTAGATTGGGCTCCCTAGAAGGAGGGCCCGCGCCAGGGGCTGGAGTACCTGTGATTGAGGATAAGCTCTTCAGGAAAAACCTCTCAGAGACTGAGGGAGGTAGGGCAGGGGAGGCATGGAGCCAGGCAAGGATGTGAGCTCAGATGAAATCTGTCTCAGGCCTGATCCAGGAGATGGGGTGGGTGAGGGGGCTGGGCTCCAGAGCATAAAGTCACACTCCAGAGGGTGTCCTTCTTGAGGTATGATGGCTGTACTTTTGTAGCCAATGACAGTCATGGGCTGTGGGCTCTGGTAGAAGGATGGCAGAGACTAAGGTCCCGCACTCGACCCTACTGGGCAGAGGCTTGGAGTAGGGGAATAGGTGTGAGCTGCTGGCAGCCAATACTCCTAGCAGCTGGGCAATGGGTTTATAAGCTCAATGAAGTAGATGTGAGCAGAGCGAGGCTGGCACTCCATGTAACTACTTCAGTATCAGTACAGGGACTCACATTATTAAGCAGCTTGTTAAATCAAGTTTGGCCTGAAGCTGCCTCCTTACATATTTAAGTTCAGCCTGAAGGTTTTTCCATTCATTCTGAACTATAACAAGTGGTGGTATAAACTGACCATAGCCCACACCTATACCAATCACTGAGTTTTGGCCAATCAATGTAGTCAACTGTTCAGACCGTGTTCAAATAAGGCAAATGCTGATCCATAACAAATTCAGTTGTCTCTGTACCTCACTTCCGTTTTCTTACGTCACTTTCCTTTTGCTGTCCATAAATTTTCTTCCAGCACATGGCTGCACCATAGTCTCTCTGAATCTGCTGTGATTCTGGGGGCTGCCCGATTCACAAATCATTCATTGCTCAATTAAACTCTTTCAAATTTAATTCGGCTGAAGTTTTTCTTTTAACAAGCTCAAGGTCACTCTCCATCCTACTCCACTTCCCTGGGCCACCTCCCCAAAAAACCAGGGCCCATCACAAAGCCTTCTATTGGTAGCTATTCAAAGAGGCCAAAGCTGGCTCATACCTGTAATCCCAGCACTTTGGGAGGCTGAGGCGAGTGGGTCATGTGAGCTTGGGAGTTCAAGACCAGCCTGGGCAACACGGAGAAACTCCGTCTCTACAAAAAATACAAAAATTAGCAGGGCATGGTGGCTTGTGCCTATAGTCTCAGCTACTTAGGAGGCTGAGGTAGGAGGATCACCTAAGCCCCAGAGGTGGAGGCTGCAGTTGCCTGAGCTCACACTCCCGCCTGTGTGACAGAGAGGGGCACAGTCTCAAAAAAAAAAAAAAAGAAAAGAAAAAAGTCAAAACTTCAACATTTCTTTTCCTTGCTCTAGGCCAATGGCTCTTCTAGGCAAGGAAGGGTGTCCCCACCTCATTTTGTGTAAATCAAAACAAGGCAATTAACAGTTCTTCAGTACAAACAGCCCCCAAGGACCAGGAATTGGGACAATGTGTGTGTAGGTTTCCTCTTTTCCAGTTATACAAGGAAGTAACATTGGCCTTGAAGTTGCAATATCTATGATTTATAGTATTTCCAAAATTGATTCATTTTAGAGCATCAGACCAACACACTTCCTCATTAACTGGAAAAAAAAAAAACCAGGGAGACAAATCTACTTTAGACTCCAGATTTTCTTACTGTAATTGAACTACGAAGCTTTTAACATTAATTGTAAAAAGAAAGAGAATGATGCAGTTTTAAATTCATATGAATTCTTATGAGGACAAAGGAAATGGTGTCTTTGGGGAAGTAGGTGGCAGTGAAGTGGGGTAGGGAGAATGACAGGAATGAATTGTTCCGTATCAAAGAAAAAAATTAAAATACTTTTCTTGAAATTGACTTGATATTTCCAAAGTAATCAATTTTTAGAATTGTATACACACAGACATACAAAATGGGATCACAAGGTGCAAATAGTTCTGTAACCTTTTTAAAAATACTAATGAATGTTTTCATCTATTTTAAACATTTTTTTCTCAAAACACGTCTTTAAATGGATAGTCTTCCATTTTATGAATGTGTCACAATGTATTTAATTCATCATCTAGTGAACATTTCATTTATTTGCAGGGCAGTGACATTTTCATTTTAATTATGCACAGTACTAAACAAAGTATCCTGAATAAATAGACTGGATTCATATTGTTTGGTTATAGGATTGTCATTGCCATTGAATAAAATTTGCAAAAGTACGTTTACATTTCAGAAGAATAAAATTTAGTAAGTGGTTGTGTTCTTGACGAAATGCCTCCTGTGACAGAGACCAGTGCTATTTAAAAGTAAAATTTTATTTTAGAATTATCCAACAGACATGTGCTTCCACAAGCAGAATTTTCCATTCCACAGCTTTTGAGTCTAAGGAAATTGGTATAATCCTTATTTCCACAGTAAAATTAAAATAATGCCACAATAAAATCATTATACTAAGCTCTGAGTGACTCCAAGAAAATGATTTTTAATTACAGAAAACACACAAATAATGTTTAATCACTAGCTTTCTTTGTAAATCATTCATTACTAAGAAAATTGGGAAAACATCACTTGATCTGAAAGTCAATACAAGCCACACCATTGTTCAGGTTCTTAGATGTTCTAGAAACTGAGATGTGCCCCCAGCTCTGATGTTCCAGTTGGTATGTCTTGCCAGTTCTTGCCTGTAAATAGAGTAGGGTGCCGCTGTATGATCTCTATTTCCTTCTGTCCCAAGAACAGAAATTCTAATTACGAAAGGATGCAGAAATGCACATGGAGACAGGTCCAGGGCCAAGGGTACTGGATTTCTATGATGTTGAGCTCTTCAGAAAACACACACACTCACAGTTAATTTAAAACAAAATATTAGAAGACTGATCCCAAACTCAGCTAAATCATTAACTAGCTGCCTTAGATTTCACCTTTGTGTGTCAGTTTCTGCATTTATAAAATGAGGAATTAAACTAGAACAGATGTTGACTCATAGATGTTTAGTACTTGAAGATACCTTGTTGAACCAATCCAATCCCTTCCTTTTCCAAATAGGAAACTTCATGCTATAGAGATTAAGTGACTTGGCTGGAGTTGAACAGAGGAAAGGGCAAAGCTTAAATTCATGCCCAGATCATTTAATATCCAAGTCCAGCATTCTTTTTCCTGACCACGGAACTCTACATCTATTTTGCTCTGAAATTTATGAATTTAAGATGATCCAAATGAGGGTTTATTTATACTATGAACGTTAATGACTAGACACCTATAAATTTGTCATGTTTTTTAGGTTGCTCAAAATTGGCAATTAACTAGCCAGATCTGAGTGCTCTTTAAATAGGAGAACATTGTTTTGGTCTTCATCCTTTGAGAACAAATTTAAGCCATGATTTATCTTTCTTGAGTCCATATCTGCCTGCTTTCAGACTCAATCCTGTGGCTAAAAGCATAGCCAAAAATAGTAACAGAAAAATAGATACAAACAAATGGTAAGGCAGCAAATGATGGTAGAGCAGCCTGTGCTGTTTATTAGATTCCAATCTTAAAATAGGAGCAGGGATAATCTGTGGACACAGTCTTATTTTGAAATAAAATACATCATTTCAAACATCAGCTGTCCTTGGGACTAACGTTAATTCAACTTTGCAAGAAATTACTTTGTAGATGACATAGTGGATCAACAGATTTGCCTACAACTGAGAGCCATGTTAGGATAATTTTGGCTCCTTCTCTGGGAGTGGAAGGCCTCAAGCAAGTCTTAACGTGCAGACAGTGGTAGAGGCTTCTTCAGAGGCAGCAAAGTGGGTGGTGGGGGAGGATTCTCTGATTTCAGTCATCTTCTCTGATGTAGATGTTGTTGGGTGGATGAGGTGTTTTTAGCAGCTAGAATCAACAGTTCAAGGGGGTGGGGACCTGAGAAATATGCAGCAAACTGAGAACTGCAAGCTCCTTGGTCATGCAGAATTCACAAGGAGGAGTTGGGCCCAGCGCCAGTGGGTGGAGCTTTCTTTTCTGCCTGTTTATCACGCACAGGTGAATTTCTTTCTTTCTTGTTTTTTTTTTGGAATATATATTTAAATTTTTAAAAATTTATTTTTAGTTGAAAAATAATAATTGTGTATATTTGTGGGGTACAACTGAATGTTTTGATCTATGTATGCATCATAGAAAGATTTGATCCAGCTAATCAACGTATACATCACCTCACCAACACCATTTTTTTGTGTGTGTGGTGAGAACATTAAAAGTCGATTCTTTCAACAATTTTGAAATATACAATATTATTAAGTGTGGTTATCTCTAATAGAGTTCAGGGCAAGTTTATTTGAGAAATGAGAAAGTGAAATTATCCCATTCCCCATTCACTGATTAAGCTTGAGTGTGAATTTTCCTCCCACTCAAGGGCACAAAACGTTAGTTAAACAGACCATTACTCAATCTGCTAGAAAATTCCTAGAGAAATTGACTCCTCCTCGGTTTCCTATAAATTATGATGCTATGTCAACATGCCATAGAGAAGAACTCAGTAAACTTTTCTATAAAGGCCCAGATAGTATTTTCAACTTATCTGGCCATATAATGTTGAAACTACACAACTCTGCCGTTGCAGAGTGAAAGTAACCACAGACAATATGTAAACAAATGAGTGTGGCTGCATTTCAATAACATTTTATTTACAAAAAGAGGGGATATTTTATTTGCAACCCCTGCCAGAAAACATAAACCTATTCCATATCTGTTTTAAATATAGGTGGTGCCATTTTCTTGCAGTTACACAGACAGAAATCTTGGGATAAACTTCTATCTTCTTTTCTCCTTTATTTTCTACATTTAATCAATAATCAATACTGTGGATTCCACCTTCTCAATGTCTTTTCTGTCATCTGCTCAGTGGGGCCTTTTTGGACCAAACTATCTGAAACAGATTCAACTCATTTACTGTCCATCTCATCATGCTGTGTGTCTCCTTAAAAGCTCAGGTTATGACCTAAAGTTACCTCATTTATTTGTTCACTTGTTTATTATTTGTCCTCCCATAACTCCTTGAGGGCAAGGACTCTGCCTCTCTTCTTCACTGCTGTAGAATGCTACTTGGCACAAGACACAGGGCAGGTACTCGGTTAATACTTGCTGAAAGAGAAAGGACCCCAAACCAGTCCTCCTTCTTGTAAATTCTCATATTCTCCAGTACACCCTTCACATGAATTCTACAGTTATTACTTCAAGCAAGGCTCAGTAGTGAAAAGATGGAATATTAAAAATAGGATAAATCAAAGAGGGTTTCGTAAAGGGGCCACTTATACAGTGTGTGCAGGTGAGCAAAAGGAAAAGGAATATAGTGAGGCTGTTACCCATCCTTAGGCATGAAGTGGAAAGTGAGTTGTCAAAATGTGTCAGGAATTGGTGGGTTCTTGGTCTCGCTGACTTCAAGAATGAAGCCGCAGACCCTCGCGGTGAGTGTTACAGTTCTTAAAGATGGTGTGTCAGGAGTTTGTTCCTTCTGATATTCGGATGTGTCCGGAGTTTCTTCCTTCCAGTGGGTTCGTGGTCTTGCTGACTTCAGGAGTGAAGCGGCAGACCCTTGCAATGAATGTTAAGGCTCTTAAAGGCAGCGTGTCGGGAGTTGTTCGTTCCTCCCGGTGGGTTCGCTGGCTTTAAGAGTGAAGCTGCATACCTTTGCAGTGAGTGTTACAGCTCTTAAAGGTGGAGCGTCTGCAGTTGTTCATTCCTCCCAGTGGGTTCGTGGTCTTGCTGGCTTCAGGAGTAAAGCTGCAGACCTTCGTGGTGAGTGTTACAGCTCATAAAGGTAGTGTGGACCCAAAGAGTGAGCAGCAGCAAGATTTATTGCAAAGAGTGAAAGAGCAAAGCTTCCACAGCGTGGAAGGGGACCCCAGTGGGTTGCCGCTGCTGGTTCGGGTGGCCTGCTTTTATTCCCTTATTTGGTCCCACCCACATCCTGCTAGTTGGTCCATTTTACAGAGTGCTGATTGGTCTGTTTTACAGAGTGCTGATTGGTGCATTTACAATCCTTTAGCTAGACACAGAGTGCTGATTGGTGCATTTATAATCCTTTAGCTAGACAGAAAAGTTCTCCAAGTCCCCACCAGACCCAGAAGCCCAGCTGGCTTCACCTCTCAAAAAGAACCTGAGAAGAGAGCGTCTTGTGGAGAGACCCTCTGTTATAGGAACTGTATAACTTGAATGTGGGACGCAGCCTGCCAGAGGGAACTTCCAGGTGGGAGCGGGGGAGTAATTGGCCTCACCTCATTCTCATCACTCCCTCAGACCTCCTGCTGGGACTCTACAGGAACTCAACTGCAGACTAGGAGGCAAAGGAGCCGACGGATGTATTCCACACTGAACAGCATCCTGGGATCCAGAGGGGTAAACAAGACGTCTGGTACCATCACTCCTGGCCCCTCAGCATCTACTTTTCGTTGCAGGAAAAGTTTGTGTCTCCATCACAGGGGACACATGAAGTTCCATCAGCTACCAAATCATAACAGGGTAACATCAGTTGAGTAGCAGCTGTGCCTGAAATGAAAACATTAATGATCACTGAGTTCTCCACGTAAGGTAGCAGAGGAAAAAAGGAAAAACAAATAACACCAACAGTAGCTGATACTATCCCCAAATCTGTAGCTGGACACAGAGCATAATTTGGTAAGCAGAATTCCTTTTTCTACCATACATCCTATCTCTATGTTCTCCTTTCCCTTTGCCAGCACTATGGTTGGACAGGGATTCTCTCCTGGTAGGATAATCTGAACTTTCATTTCTCTAAGTCCTACAATAAATAAGCAAATTGATTCCAGCATCTTCTTTTGAGCATCTGTTTCCTGAGGTCATTTTTGTACTATTAATAAATGTAGCAGGAAATGTATGGCAACTCAAATGAAGATAATTCAAGGAGAGGTTAATAAAAGGACTATGCACAAAGGTATTGTACAGGGTATAAGGAAGTCCTAAGCTATGATTTTGGAGTTCCCCAGGCTACTTACAGGGAAACTCCTTGGCCTGAAAGAAAAAGACTCATTACTATAATCTGGAATGAGAGGGTCCCATGAAGAACACACCTTCAGAACTGTTTTCTTGGGTAGGGAGAAAGAACTATCTTGAAGTAACCCTGCAAGGCAGGCTGTAGGGGAAGTGCCCTTACCTCACTCTCCCTTCTCCAACACTGCTGGGGCTCCCCAGTGGTCAAAACCACACAGAATCCAGAGAACAGAAAAGCCTGTTGATGGGGTGCATACAGAGCAGGTTCTTGTGGGCAGGAAACCAGTTAGAGAAAGGTGAGAGAGGATCTTAAAGAGAAAACAAAGATCTCTGGCACCTTTTTTTTTTTTTTTTAAGTTTTAGGGTACATGTGCACAATGTGCAGGTTTGTTACATATGTATACATGTGCCATGTTGGTGTGCTGCACCCATTAACTCGTCATTTACATCAGGTATATGTCCTAATGCTATCCCTCCCCCCTCCCCGCACCCCGTGACAGGCCCCGGTGTGTGATGTTCCCCTTCCTGTGTCCAAGTGTTCTCATTGTTCAATTCCCACCTCTGAGTGAGAACATGCGGTGTTTGGTTTTTTGTCCTTGCGATAGTTTGCCGAGAATGATGGTTTCCAGCTTCATCCATGTCCCTACAAAGGACATGAACTCATCCTTTTTTATGGCTGCATAGTATTCCATGGTGTGTATGCTCTGGCACCTTTATTCCTAAAAACAACAACAACAACAACAACAAAAACAAAAACAGTCAAATGATTTCTAAGACAAAACAAAATTCCACCTTTGATGACTTTCCATGGATGCAGGGCAGGCAAGCCCCCAAACTGGGACTTAATCTGGGACGGTTCTTGGCTTCACCCAGGAAAGTATTCAAGGGTGAACTGGTGATGTTAAACAGCAACTTTTATTGAAGTGGCAGTGTATAGCAGCAGCAGAGGTACTGCTCCGTGCAGAACAGGGCTGCCCCATAAGTAGTGTGCAGCTCAGGAACAGTTCTGCAGTCATATTTATACCTACTTTTAATTACATGCTTAGGGGTAGATTATGCAGACATTTTTAAAAAAAGGGTGGAAACATCCAGGTCATTGTCATAGAAAGGGGTGGTAATTTCGGGTGTTGCCATGGCAATGGTAAACTGACATGGCAGTGGTGGGCGTGTCTTGTGGAGAGGTACTTTCACCTCTTGCCTGTTTCAGTCTTCAATGTGGTCCAGAGTTTGAGCCCCACCTCCTACCTCACCATCATCTGCAGAATAAAATCCCATCTGCTTAATATGCTATCTAATCCTCCAACAATCTCTCCTTATCACAACTTTCCCACTTTGACTTTTATAACTTTTCCAATCCATGCCATTATTTGGGCTTAATACTTTGTATTTTTATTCTCCTTTATAACTCATACCAGAAAGCAATTCTTCCTCATCTGTTCTTAAACTCAGTTTAAAATTATGTCCTTATGTCAAAGGTACATTCAAATGTAGTTACTTCTCTTCTCCCATTGGACTTATTCCAGATGAGGTATACTTGTCATTAATGTAGCCCTTACTGAATTCAGGAATTGCATTAGGTGCTTTGATTATACTATTTGTCATAGGAATCCAGCAGTATGGTTATTTTTTTACATTATTGCAAATAAAGAATCTGAGTCTCAGAGAGAGCTGGCTGTAACCACCTTACCCCACTGATGAATCTGAGCATAGCTAATAATGGAACGGCCTGAAGTGGTGAGCCTCTTTATGTGATGTAATGTGAGGCACAGAGCACCTCCTATGAAGGATTCTTGCCAAAATAGTTAGCCTGGATCTGGTCAGGTCTTTAGATCCAAGAACAAGTTTGCAGGGAATATGGAGAATAGAAGGTCATGTTAAAATACAACTTGAAGAAGAAACAATCAGACCAAAATATGAAATGGGACCTCCTGTCAGAATATTGCTCTAATTTCTGCCACAGGTCAATTTTACAGAAAAAAAGAGATGGAGAATCATTCTAGATGAAGAGACATAGCAGTTATAACCACCAACTACAATGTTTAGGGGTTGTTGGGATCCTTGTTTGCCCAGTCATAAAGCATATATCAGCAGAGGTGTAATTCAAGCTTATCGAGGTCTGCCCAAGGTTGTAGAGATGCTGTCCATGCCCTGCCTATATCCTCTTGGCATTCACTGTTCTCACACCAGCCTTTCTGTTTCAAAGGGTTCTGACTTCAAGCACCTGAGACTCTCTACCTGGGCCTTTCTTTTGGCCCATGCCTGGAGCAGTCCAGGAAAGATTGGAGCTATGGCCTTGAGAGTAGACCTCAGCCAACAAAGGAAGGAGTTGGAGTGTAAGTGTCTCAGCTTCCTCTTTTGTGTGGACAGTTCTGATGACTGGTCTCCACAATTTCCCAGAAGTCCCAGTAGGATTTATTCCCAGTTACAGAATTAACATTTGCATTAACACACCTTGTATGGGTATCTTCTTTCTGTCTTACTTCTTCAGCTCATCCAGCAGTGCTTCCTGGAATCACTTTCCAAATAATCCATGAACATATCCTTTCCTCAGGGTCTGCTTCTAGGGGAACCCATCCTAAAATAGAGGATAAAACTTCTGCTCTTTCCACTGAACAATTCTGCCTCCTTCATCCATTCTGTCTTGTGATGCAATTGATAAGAGGCTGCATGACGCAGTTCACATGAGGAACTCTGTAGGCACACAAACCCAGGGCTTCACCCTAGCTTCTGTACTTGTTAATCACCTGACCTTAGGCAACTGAAACTCTGAGTCTCAACATTCTCATTGGTAAAATAGGTCAACAATAGAGAAGTTCCTCTATTACACTTTCAACTGCTTCCACTTGATGCTGTTTCTAATACTAGATTTGTTTATGAGCACCTATGAAAGTTAATAAATCTAAGTAATAATAAAGAAGTAACTTGTGGCAAGATGTTAGTGATAGCTTGAATAAAGTCATTTTGTACTTTTGCATAAATGGACTTAGAACAGCCTCTAGGAACATGTCGTACTGGTGAGTCAGGGAGTTTCTGTGCCTACTGGGCAGAGATAGTGTGAGTATGGCACATATTTGTGTGAAGAATACAGCTTCATGTCTGACAAGAGGAGCTGAGTGAAAGAGAGTCTTTGTAGTTGCCTGTCTCACTCTAGATTTTACATTCCTAGATGGCAGAAACTGTTTTATTAATCTGAGATATTTCATTATAGCAACTGTGCAAAAATGAATAAGATAAATTTTACACTCCGCAATTCTTTTTATAACATATTTGCAGTATTCATAACATATGAAACAAACCAAGTAACCAGCAGCTCGCTGTACTGGAAGCTCACTTAACAAATACAATCTCATTCATTTCCACAGCTTCCTTACAGCAGATTTCCTTCTTTCATTTCTCTGTCCCATTATCACATCATTGGGCTTGCTTTAATTCATCTACTTTTTAAAATTTTTTAAATTTTATTATTATTATACTTCAAGTTTTAGGGTACATGTGCACAATGTGCAGGTTAGTTACATATGTATACATGTGCCATGCTGGTGTGCTGCACCCATTAACTCGTCATTTAGCATTAGGTATATCTCCTAATCTTGCCTCTTCTGAGAGCTTTCCTTCCCGGATTCTCAGCCTTTGGATCTCATCTTCTAACTATCAACTTAGTCTTCCTTGTCTCCTTAATGCACTGGGGTGGTTTCTGGAGTTGGAAAATTGTTTTTTTCACTTATATTACTGACTTCATCTAACTTCCAACTTCTATATATATAACAACTAATAACATATTCACAGCTACAAATAATTTTCTCTCAATAACAATTCAATAATATTACATAGTTACTGTCTCTTACTCACTTAGTATTTCCTGAACTCTTCTTCTCCGATAAATACAGATGGTTAAATCCCTTTTCTTATTCTTAAATTGTCTACTTTCACTATTTCTCTCCTTTCATCAGGTTAATTACCTACGTAAACCCAATGTTGTCTTACTCGGTGGGTTTTTATCTAGACCAGTGTTGCCCAATAGAAATTTCTAAGATGATGGAAATGTTCTATATCGGGCTGTGTAATAAGGTACTCACCAGCCACAAGTGGCTACTGAGCACTTGAAATGTGGCTTGTGTGACCACGTATTAATAATTGATAATACTTCATTCTCTATCCACTGGAAACTTACATTGAGGAGCAATATAGCTCTGTGGCTGGGAGGACAGGCTTTGGAGTGAGGTGGCTCTGGGTTGTTACACTGGATTTACTAGCAGAGTGACTTTGGTTTGAGCAAGTCAGTCCACCTCTATAGGTCCCCATTTCCTCAGTTAGAATATAGGCATAATAATAGTCCCTATCCCATAGGGTTGGTGTGACTATTAAATAAAATACCCAATGAAAAGTGCTTAACCTCGTGCTGGGTATGTAGTAATTATCAAATAAATGTTTTTGCTGATGTTATTATTTAAAAAATTATTTTCTAGAGCAAAATTACTTATATGCTCCCAAATGAATCTCCAAGGATAAAACTGCAGCAACAGTAGATAGTTTGGAGATAGATAGTTGTTGAATGAATGAATAAACAATGAATGAATGAATTACTATGACGAACAAATGTTCTGTTCTTTACATGCTCAGGGTCACTTGCTGAGTCAGAAGTAGAGGCAGCAGTAAGAACTCCGGCTATGGCCGGGTACGGTGGCTCACTCCTGTAATCCTAGCACTTTGGGAGGCTGAGGTGGGCGGATCACCTGAGGTCGGGAGTTCGAGACCAGCCTGAACCCATCAGGCTGAACATGGAGAAACCCCGTCTCTTCTAAAAATACAAAATTAGCCGGGTGTGGTGGCACATGCCTGTAATCCCAGCTACTTGGGAGGCCGAGGCAGGAGAATTGCTTGAACCTGGGAGGTGGAGGTTGCGGTGAGCCAAGGTCTCACCATTGCACTCCAGCCTGGGCAACAAGAGTGAAATTCTGTCTCAAAAAAAAAGAACTCCAGCTTTGACTAAATTTGTCTCTGTGCTCTCAGAAAGTTTGCTATATAAGATGAGCATAAAACTCTTACCCATGGCAAGTGTAATTGGGCAGGATGGGACTTTAAATTTCTACTTTATGTCCTGCCTTGTTTGAATTTCTTAGAAGCATGGATTATTTTTATAGTAAGAACAAGCAATTACTGTATATACAATTAATTATACTAATAAAATAGTCACAAAGTAGCATCAAGTACCTTGAATTAGTATTACAGTACCTTATGTGGGTAATGCCTGACTGAACAAGATTAGTAATATTTGGCAATTTTAATTAAAATGTTTGATAGGTTTTTGGGATTAATATTTTCTTTCTGGTCAGCAATGTAAAAAAAAGTAAGATTCACATGAAATTGACATAACAGACCCTCAATACACTCATACACACACATTCTTTTATAAAAATTTGATACAGGAAATTTTAGTCAGAACAGGTTAACATAGTTACCAAACTTCATAGTGATCAAAGCTTTGAGGTCATTATGTACTCATGTTTTTCTCAGAAAGAGACAAAGAGAGGAGAGAATAAAAAAAAAAAGAGACTGTCCTTCCTCAAAGCCAGTAGCTATTGCATAATATATTTTTTTCAATCCATGTGGAGTATAGTGTGAAAGAATTTTATTATTTGCTTTCAGAATTGTATTTGTACTTAGAAATGCTTTGCAATTAGTGGACTATGATATTTTAATAGTTGAATCAATTAAATAAACATGCTAATGTTCATATTTTCCACTTGTAGCTCCCAGATTTAATATAACAACAAAATAAGGAAGTTTATTATTTTATATTATATGCTTAAATTAAGAGAATCATTCATGATTGATTTGGATACATTTGTAAAACCTACATGATGTATCCCTGGTGAAGTCCTGTGAAACACAACCGCTGAACATTGCTAAACTGTACAAAACTTTTAAATAAAACATTCCTATCTCTAATATGTTTGCCAGAATAATGAATCACAGTAGGCTGCTGTCGGTAAGCTAGCAGCCAGTGACGTGTGTTCCTTTTGCTTTCCTTTAACTTTGAGCAAGTGGTTGCAGTTATTATCACCAAAACCAAACTATTGGGAGCGTTCTGATCTGTACGACAGTTTATGCCTCACATGACTGATCTTCTCAAAAAGGTTGTGATGGGCATGCATCGCTGACTCACTTACAATTTGTCAAAATCATGAACAAAACACACATACGCCCCCACTTCTGTTTCTTTAGACTTTTTTATAACCACACTTCATTTCCTTGGCATGTCAGTGTGGGGCTGATGGCAGGATTCAGTGAAAAGTTGGCAAATGTAATAAAGAGTATTCAAACTTTGGAGTAAGTCACTATCTCTACTTCTCAAACAGTTTTGCATTTGTACAATGAGGATATTTACACTTACAGAATAACTGAGCACTTACTGAAATACGTTAAGGCATTTTAAAATTGTTTTTTAATTTGTAAAATAGTACATATTCACCGTAGAAATTTTTAAGATACCAAAAAGCATAAAGAACAAAATAAAAGCAATGTATTATTCCACTACTTCGAGATTACCACTAACAATTTTTTTCTTTTTCTTAACACCAAAATATAAATATACAACTTTGTATCCTGCTTTTTTCACCTCATCTTATAGAAAGTTATTCATCCAAAGTCACTGAATAATAAAGCTTTATTTTTAAACTGTAAAATGCTACATAAATACAAGGTCCATGTGCCATTTGCTGTTCAATCTTCAGTTCTGAGTCTGAAAAAGACTAATGCGTTATCAAGGAGACTTGAAGTATCTATTGCTTATTCCTCAGTGCCCAAATTGACTATTTAGTTTGTTGAATTGAGATGGACTTTTTATTTTCATGTTAATATCAAATTGAAAAGTGCAAGACGTACTCACTATCAAGTAATGGTAGACCTGAACTAACACGGTAAAAACACATTCACAATTTAAGTAGAGAAGCATCTTTGAATTCTACTTTCAATTTCCTAAGCATTTCACCAAGTAGTATGGGAAGCATGGGTTTTTGTCAACAGCATCTCCATGAGTGAAGCTTTGCAAACAAATGAAATAACTTTTGTGAGCTATTAGCAAGACTAGGAAATTAGCAAATTAGTAAACAGGCCAAATTTAAGTTATAAAGTTTTTTGATTGAAATAAGACATTTGGGTAATTTGTAAATCAATAAGGACAGAGGAATAAAGTAGTTCCATACAAATTCATATATAGAATGCCAAGAAACTTCTTTATTTTCCAATATTATAAAAGAAGTAGAAGTGGTCTTAAGAAAGAGAAACCCTTTTAATTATGACTTGGTGATATAAACACTAACGAGACACGTGGCCCAGTGAAATCCCGATGTACCACAGCTGTCTGGCATCCCACTGCACACTGGCAATAGAACATTCCCTGTAGCCTATATTTAAACTTGGCACCTGCTGGGGAATCCCCTGGTGTGGTCCTGAAGTCAGTGGTGCAGCTGTTAATTTCCACAGTTTGCTTTAGTTACTAGGAGGCTGTTGCCAGATTAGGAAGACAGAGGGCCGTATGGATAAAAGACGTACCAGAGCCCTTGGAGTTGCTAGAACATTTCAGAGATCTAGTATGATAGGCCAGATGGACCAGGTTGTGTCACAATTTAGTTCTTGAATTTGGGGCAATAAGCATGGACATAGGGAAACAGCATGAAATGAAACATTCATTATTTATTCAAAGTCTATCAACTGAGTTCCCACTATGTGACAGAGACTTTCCATTTTCTGGAGATGTAGTAATGAACACGATAAATGATATGTTTGTTATCTTAAAGTATACAATAAAATAATCAGCTTTCTTAATGTTTGTTTTTGTATTAAATCTAGAAGATGCAAGTGAAAAATATGAACCTTAGCATGTTTAGTAGAAGAAAAAGACTGTAAATATACTACTGAAGAAACAAAACATGGAATATGATAAGTTAAATATAACAAAATTAAAACAAGACTATAAGTAATAGGGAGTAAATGGGTTGCTATTTTACACTGGGTGATCAGGAAGACCTTTCTAAGGAGATGGCATTTAAGGTGAGACCCAAATAACTCGAAGGATAGAGCCATGCAAAGATGGAGGAGTGAGAACAAGGGAAGATGCTGTCGGCAGGAGGAGCAGTTAGTGCCGAGGTTGAGGAACTGAACAGAAGTGTGGCTGCAGGGTCAGGAGAAGCAAGGGATGGTGTAAAATGAGCCCTAGGTGCCTGATTCTGAGAGCTTTATTAGCCAAAGTAAGGAGTTTGGGTTTATTCTAAATGGTATTGGATGCATTTAAATGGAGCCGTAATATGACAGGCCTCATTTGAATTCCAGCTCCACAGTTCATTTACTATGTGACTTGGGGTAAATTTAATTAATTTGTCCAATACTCAAGACAGTGTTAGCCAGACCTGGTACCACATTCCAGGGATTACACAGATGCATTAGATATAGTCTTTAAAATAGTTCACAGCCTAGTGGGAGACTTCATCTTTTTAAACCTCTTTCCTACTCTGGACAATTAAAATAATAACCTCCAAATTCTTTACAGTATTAGACATGATGCAGAACAAAAAAACTTCTTAATAAATGGTAGTTATGAAGTCTGTTATTATTATGCACTTCCAGTAGGTTATATAAAAGCTTTTAAAAGGAAGTAAAATATAAAAATGTGAGTATTTAATATTTCACATGAGTTTCTTACCACAAAAAGTAATAAAGTGATATCAGTTCTTTAGGAAATGTCTGAAATAAAACATGGAACTGGTCATATGAGGAAAGGTAGGGAATCTGTTTGCATGAGATTTGTATAATATTAGAAAATATATAACACATTTATACACACCACACACACACACACACATTTCCTAGGACTGCTGTGACAAAGTAAAACAAACTGGGTGGCTTAAAACAACAGAAATGTATCTTCTTGCAGTTCTGGAAGCTGGAAGCCCAAAATCGAGGTGTTGGAAGGGCCATGCTCTCTTTGAAAGCTGTGGTGGAGAATTTGTCCCATGCCCTTCTCTTAGATTCTATTATCACTGGCAATCCTTGGCATGCCTTGGCTTGCAGCTGCATGACTCCAATCTCTGTCTCCATTGCCAACTGGCATTCTTCTTCTATGTCTGTCTCTTCTCCTCTTCTTGTAAGGACACTAGTCATATTGGTTAAGGGCCCACTCTACTCCAATATTTTTTCCATAGTGAAAATGTCTTTCCAAATCTTTTGCCCATTTAAAAAAATTGGGTTGTTTGCTATTTTGTTTTAAGACTTCTTTATATATGTATTCTAGATACAAGTCCTTTATCAGACCCTGTACATGTTTTGCAAATATTTTCTCCCAATATGTGGCTTGTATTTTCATTCTCTTAGTAGTGTCTTTCAAAGAGTAGAACTTTTGAAGTCTAATCTTTGGTTTTGAAGTCTAATCTTCATTAATTTACTTTTATGGATTTAGCTTTTGGTGTCATATCTAAGAACTTTGTCTAACCCAAATATTTTCTCCTACATTTTCTTCTGGAAGTTTTAGTTATTTGTTTTGCATTTAGGTCTCTGATTCATTATGAGTTAATTTTTGTATAAAGCAGAAGGTTTGGCTTAAAGTTTATTTTTATTTTTTTGCACGTGAGTATCTCATTTGTTACAACACAATTTTTCGAAAAGACTATCTTTTTTCCATTGACTTGCATTTGCACCTTTTTGAAAATGTATTGACCATGTATGTGTGGATCTATTTCTGTTCCAAGAGTCCACATCCCCATATTTTTGCCAATGCCATAGTCTCTTCATTATTGTAGCTTTATAGTAAGTCTGGAAATCGAATAGTGTGGTACCTCCAGCTTTCTCCTCTTTTTAAAATAATTTTTTGGCTATTCTAAATATTTTGTCTTTCCAGCTTGTTGCTTTCTAGTTTTTTAAAAAAAGTCTTGTTAGGTTTTTGACAGAGATTGCATTGGATGTATAGATTCGTTTGAAAAGATCTGATTTTTAATCTTAAAAGTATAGAGTTTTCCAATTTATGAACACAATATGTATCTTCATTTATTTAGGTCTTTGCCGACTGTAAGACAAAGGAGGGGAAGGACGAGCATTTGCCTTAAGCTGTGTCTGTGTCTAAGTTGGGTACTATTGTAATAGAGGACACTACAAAGCAGAAACTTTGTGCCACTTTTTCAGTTAGCATATTATGTGATAGTCATTGCTCCTGAACATAGGGTTTTTTTTTTTTTGGCATTCTTTTAAACATTTTTGGATGGAGAATGTAGAATTGTAAAATTAAAGAAATAAGTTAACATGAAATCATTCTATACCATGTTTGACTATTTTTAAAAAATGATCACATCCACCTATTATCCCAGGTAGAGTTGACTATATTACTAACAGTAGCCCTGGGCTTGTGAATGGTTTACTTAGAAAATGAAATATGCTTTGGGAGGCCAAGGTGGGTGGATGACGAGGTCAGGAAATGGAGACCATCCTGGCCAACATGGTGAAACCCCGTCTCTACTAAAAATACAAAAATTAGCTGGGCGTGGTAGCACACACCTATAATCCCAGCTACTTGGGGGCTGAGGCAGGAGAATCACTTGAACCCACCAGGCGGAGGTTGCAGTGAGCCGAGATCACATCACTGCACTCCAGCCTGGTGACAGAGCTAGACTCCGTCTAAAAAAAAAAAAAAAAAAAGAAAGAAAGAAAATGAAATATGCTTACAATAATCCAGAATGAATTACCATTTCTGGTGTATCATTAGTGCTTTACTTTCCCTCAAACATTTTCATCCTGTAAATACCTTTGAATCTTTTATATCTTTTTTTTTTTTTTTTTTTTGAGACATAGCCTAGCTCTGTCACCAGGCTGGAGTGCAGTGGTGCGATCTCGGGTCACTGCAACCTCTGCCTCCCGGGTTCAAGCGATTCTCCTGCCTCAGCCTCCCGAGTAGCTGGGATTACAGGTGCGTGCCACCATGCCCGGCTAATTTTTGTATTTTTAGTAAAGACAGGGCTTCACCATGTTGACCAAACTGATCTTGAACTCCTGACCTCAGGCGATCCGCCTGCCTTGGTCTCCCAAAGTGCTGGGATTACAGGTGTGAGCCACCACGCCCGGCAAATCTTTTATATCTTTTAAAGCATTAGGAAATAATTGTCAACTAAGGCTCTGAAACTTATATTGTAAATTCAACTGTCATAGGAACCAGGCAAGTACAGAAACGGGACAAACCAGCTGGAACAAAAGACAATAAGAAGAGATGGAGACCCTGGTAAAGCAGGGAACACGTGTCTAAAGGCAGAGCAGCAAGTCAGTTTTAGTGATTGTTGCCAAGTGGAACTACAGTACCAGTGTTGACAGATATAATTTTTTTATGGAAAGAAGTTTTGATTATTGGTTATAATTTCTCAAATTAAAAATTTTAAATTAAAAATACTTAAATTACTGTTTGCCAAACAAATACATCTAGGATTGACTCCAGCCCATGATTGTCTGTTTTTAACTTCTGCTTTAAAACTTCAGTGAGAGCAGCAGCAAAGGATCTTATTAGGTTATGCCCAATATTTAATGAGTGCTTTTGTTGCAGAATAATGAGATGTCTGTTACCAGAAACCTTCCTGAAATAAGTGGATGCTTGTAATAGCATGCACTAGGTGGTGTAAGAAATTCAGAGGTGTCCTGCTGATGAACTAGTTTGGATCCTACCTTAGCAATTGAAATGATATTTGATGATAGTCTCTGAGTTTAATATCAAAGGGTTTGCCCAGGGATTTGATAAGATGTTTGAGGTTTGTCTATCTCTAACTGTCCTTGTGATCATAAGCAACTCACTTTAGCAGTCTGAGTCAGTTTTTACATCTTTTAGATGAGAAGATAGGACTATATGTTTTTCAAAGGTGCCACTGCCTTAATTTCAAACGTCAGTGGGACCTTAAAAATGGTATAGTCCTATCTTAGTTCTTTATGTCTCTGAGAAAATGTGGGCCTAAAAACAAACGTTACTGTCTCTGAAATTAAACACAGCTGTCTAAAGAAGATGTAGAGATGTTAGATCTAAACATATCTATTGTGTAGACTTATCTATTTATCCTTGAAACTTAAAGAAATTCCAATGGCATAGTCACCAAGCTATGAAATATACTTAATGATCATTATGTTGCTATCAAGTGGACTGATGAGGAGAACATCGTTTGGGGAGCACAGAAAGATAAACTTCTCACATGCTTTTGAGATAATGGAGACTTGGCAAAGCATTTTAGAATGGTATCTAGAAATCAATACCTACTTTTAATAGTTTTTGATGGACTGTTTATTGAATTAAGTGACAATTGGGAAATTTAAGATACCCACTGCAATGCAACAGATACATGAAAACTGCCTAGATGCTATTTTAAATGATTGCATCTTTAATTTGTCAAACACTAAACATTATTTTAATACTTCACTGATGGCTCTCTGGTGAGTGTTCCATTCACATGTGTGTACCTTCAAGCACTGCATGCATAAAAATCTCTGGAGCAAGATGATCACATTTACAAACTATTTATTTTGGGTAAGGTGATCTATGGAGAATATTTCAGGGACCACGAGTAGACTTTTCTTTTCCTTTTTGACTCTCATCACCTGGATGACTTAATTAAAAGTATTTTTACTACGCAAACATTTTAGGCCAACTATATCTTTAGGAAAATATAATTCTCTTCATTGAGAAAACAGAAAAGAGTCAGAGCAATATCAATATTTATCATTTTCCATAAATTATTGCTGTTATTAGGATGCTCTTCTGATGGTTGGATTTATTCAGATCTAGAGGAAAGAGTTATATTTCAGAATAGTTACTTAAACAAATGGTGAAAAGGTTTATTTGTTCTCAATACTATTAAGAAACAAAGAAAAATAGGTAATCTCAACTTAAAAGATGAGCTAGATTGTTCTGCACAGCAGTGAGGACCCAATGAAAACAGCCTGTTTAGAGATTAGAAATGGATTGGCTGTTGAATGGCACTGCCCTCCAATTTTTATATCATATCACACTTTCATGGACTGAGGATTTGTCCCTCATAAAACTGTCCTAAAAAACTGATTATCCTTATACATTACTGGTTGCTAAAAATTGCACCTCATCTAATAGGTATTATATTGCA
This sequence comes from Homo sapiens, assembly GCF_000001405.40. Lineage (NCBI taxonomy): Eukaryota > Metazoa > Chordata > Mammalia > Primates > Hominidae > Homo > Homo sapiens. The sequence continues at coordinate 192,897,637 of NC_000001.11, read as the reverse complement.
GTCAATTACACCAAAATTCCCAAAGTAAGGGCTATTCCACCATTATTGGAGAACCTAAGCATTTTCTCAACTTTCAAGGGGACTCAGAGACTGCACCTCTCTTGGCTCCTTTCTGCTATCTGGACAACAGCATCTGCTAAGCTAGAGATTATAATGAGTGCTAGAGGTTTATAATTGTTGACTGGAAGAAGCAGCTGATGAGAATTTTGAGGAAGCTGACACATTTTAAACTGGGAAGTCAAAACAAATATACACCTCAAATCATCAATAACAGGAGAAAACAATTATTTTAAAGTTTTGTTCTTAATTGTCACATAATAATTGTACCTATTTATGGGGTATAGTGTGATGTTTGCATATATGTATACATTGTGTAATGATCAAATCATGGCAAATAGCATATCCATCACCTCAAACACTTGTCATTTCTTTGTGGTGGGTGCATTCAAAATCCTGTCTTCTAGCTATTTTGAAGTATATAATACATTATTGTTAACTATTGTCACTCTACTGTGTATTAGAATGCCAGAACTTATTCCTCTTGTCTAACCATAACTTTGTACCTGTAGACCAACCTCTCCCCATCTCCCCTTCACTCTTCCAAGCCTCTGGTAACCACTAGTCTACCCTCTATTTCTATAAGATCAACTTTTTAAGATTCCACATAGGAGTGAGATCACATGGTATTGTGCTTCTGTACTTGGCTTATTTCATTTAACAAAATGTTCTCAAGGTTCATCCACATTGTTGCAAATGCAGAATTTCATTCTTTTTCATGGTTCAATAGTATTCCATTGTGTATATACATATGTATATATAATTTTAAAATATCCATTCATTTGTTGATGGATACTTAGGTTTATTCTACATCTTGGCTATTGTGATTAGCATAGGAATAAACATCACTCATCATCAGGGAAATACAAATCAGTACCACATAAAACATTACCTCACCCTAGTTAAAATGGCTATTATTAAAAAGATAAAAAATAAGAAATGCTGGTGAGGACATGGAGAAAGAGGAATTCACACATTGTTGGTGGGAATGTAAATTCCTATAGCCAGTATGATGAAAGTATGGAGGTTTCTCAAAAAATTAAAAATAGAACTACCATATGACCCAACAATCCAACTTCTGGATATATATTCAGTGGAAATGAAATCAGTATGTAGAAGAGGTACATCTGCACTCCCATGTTTGTTAAAGAAGAGAAAATTTCTATTTCTTAAAGACTAAGGTGCACTTTGTATGAATTTCCATACATTTTGACGTACAATTACTACCTAAATCTTTAGTGATTAGTGGTGATATTGTGCAGAGATTTTTCTGATCTGGAATTTTTGTGGTAGTCTGGATTCTAGTGACAGACTATCTGTGCCTTTTTAGTATTTCCCACAATACTCTTTTCTTGCTCTTCCCTCTTTCCTTTTTCTTATCCCCTTTTCTTCTATTTTTACTTCATTTTTTCTTTCTCTCTTTTTTTTTCTTTTTCTTTAATTGTAAAGCCTTAAATCTCTCCATTGGCCTAAGGTTAAAATTATTTTAAGCCCTATATTTCTTTTCCTTATAGCCAAATATAAGCCAAAACCTTCTGGTATTCACCATAAGAACTCCCTTTCATATTGTGGGTTTGTAAAACGCAGAGCTTGACTGTTACTAGTGAGAGGTGAAGCCAGCTGGGCTTCTGGGTCAGGTGGGGACTTGGAGAACTTTTCTGTCTAGCTAAAGGATTGTAAACACACCAATCAGCACTCTGTGTCTAGCTAAAGGTTTGTAAACGCACCAATCAGCACTCAGTAAAAATGCAGCAATTGGCGCTCTGTGTCTAGTAAAAATGCACCAATCGGCACTCTGTGTCTAGTTAAAGGTTTGTAAACACACCAATCAGCACTCTGTAAAAACGGACCAATCAGCAGTCTATAAAATGGACCAATCAGTGCTCTGTAAAATGGACCAGTCAGCAGGATGTGGGCAGGGCCAAATAAGGGAATAAAAGCTGGCCACCTGAGCCAGCAGCCGGAAGCCGGGTCCGTTCCCACATTGTGGAAACTTAGTTCTTTGTCTCTTCACAATAAATCTTGCTGCTGCTCACTCTTTGGGTCTGCGCTGCCTTTGTGAGCTGTGGCACTCACTGCGAGGGTCTGCGGCTTCACTCCTGAAGTCAGCGAGACCACAAACCCACTGGGAAGAACAAACAACTTAGGACGTGCCACCTTTAAGAGCTGTAACAGTTGCTGCGAAGGTCTGTGGCTTCACTCCTGAAGTCAAGCGAGCCCATGAACCCAATGGAAGGAAGAAACTGTGGACACGTCTGAACATCTGAAGGAACAAACTCCGGACACACCATCTTTAAGAACTGTAACACTCACCACGAGGGTCCATGGCTTCGTTCTTGAAGTCAGAGAGACCAAGAACCCACCGGAAGGAACCAATTCCGGACACACTAGTAGTTAATGACTGTGAGTTATGAGGCACATGAATCTGTGAAATTGGAAAAAGAGTATCTATTTGGGTTCAAAATTATTTCCGTCAACCCCTGTGGTTACTTCTGACTGATTTTTTTTCTTATTAAGACATATTAATGACTTTTTAACTTTGTAAACATTTAATTTCTTACTTTCTCATTTATTTCTTTTTCATTTGAAGCCACCAGTTTTCCAAATTTCAAGTCACCTAAGCTTGGCAAGGCAGAACTATCTATGATATCATCATTAAAAATATACTATGCAATATAAATTATATAAAGAAGTAAAAGATGGGTTCTGCCCTCAATGAGTTGATAATCTAGTTGTGATATACAGTATTTGTTTCCACTTTTAGGAGGGCCCATCCCCTTCTTTCCTATCTAAAGTCATTCGTTAGTTATCGGCTCTTCCAGAATGCCATTGGGGAGAAATGATCTCTTTCTTGGCCAACACCTTTTCGTCAAAATGGTCCCTCAGTTTTGTAGTTATTTACATATCAGTTTCACTATTAGGGTTTGAGCTCCTGGAGAGCATGTCTTTGGTTGTATTCATCCAATTCCTGGCATATAGTAGGTGCTCCAAAATGTTAGGTTTTAGAGTGAAGAAATAAACCCTGAATGATAGTGCTATCAGACACACAAAAAAGTTTTCAAAAATATTAAAGTGAATCAGAATTTCTTGACTTGTTATATTATCCCCCCAAAATCAGAAATCATAAGCATTCTTTTATGCTTATGCTTTTTTAAGCATTCTAACTCTTAGCTCTCAATTTTGTAGTTCTTATTAGAGGTTCCTTTATCAATATTTCTGTTAGCTCCAACAAATACTACATTTATATAGGTCTTTATTTGATTGTTGACATAGCCCTTTTTGAAGGTATTCATCTTCTTATTAAAAGTAATGCTTTTTTTTTTTTTTTTTAGTTTACTGGATATTGAGCAGGAGGCTGCAATGAGGTTTTGCTAAATTAAAGTTTGTACAATAAATCGACCTCTTTTTTTCTGTTCAAGCTTATAGAGCAGTTGACTTTGTGTTCTTTTAAGATTGATAACAATTGGTTTTTTTATACCCTATTATTAGATTGCATGTGTTCGCAGATGCTTCAGAAAATACTGCAAAGGGCCAAACAGTTTTATTTGGGGCATGTTTTATGTTTTATAATAGATTCTTCTGGACCTAGCATATGTATGTCGGGTTTAAATTTATTAGATATAATGCTTCCAACATTTTAACCCTTAGAAAGGAGAATGAAAGGAAAGCCCGATTAATTGCTGGTATGATGATCCTTTGGCCATGCTTGCTGAATGATTTACACTGGTGTTTTGTTAGACACAGCTGAACAAAGCCTCATTTGCTGTGGGTGTTCAATAAAAACAGTTATGGGGTTAGGAACTTACATTCTCAAAGAAAATATGGTACAGTCTGAACAAATGAAATTTCTAATTTAATGTCTTCAAGATTTTTCTGCCCAAATCATCTTTCTTTTAATCCCTTTGATCACATTTATTCTTTCAGAAGCATGGACTATCTATGTTTTAATGCCAAACTCAAATTAACTCTTTAGTATTCAGCATTCTTTGCTTGTTTAGCCATGTCTACATAATTCTTCTGCTTCTCATTTTCCAGGGTTTTCATTTCCAATAAACTTCCTTCCGTGCCCTTCAGAGGTAATCATCTTAGTGAGGTGATTCATGAGAAGATGCTCTATTCTACTTTGCTGTCCTGGGACTGGTCCATAGGACTGTTTTTAAAACAGATCACGTTTCTTGGGAGGAATTACATTTAGTCTTTTTTGTTCTTACCTTCTTTGGCCAGTCTAGACACGGCCCTTTAAATAGATCTTTAAATAACAAGTGCCAGCACACTTGAGAGGAGCAGAACATTTGAGGGTGTTGTTTTACATATTAATCACTCATGAATGTTTATTTGAGTATTGAGAAGTCAGTTAACCAGTTGGACACACTTTCGTTTTTTTACATGCAGTCACATGCCATATACTATTAGGTGTTGGAGGGAGAAAGCAGAATGAAACAGAGTTCTAGATCTCAAGGCCTAAGGCAGAAAAATGAACCAATGGTGACTTTGTGGTATAATATATCCTATGATGGCATTCCAGGCCAGCCTGGAAGACATGTCCCTGCAAGATTTTACAAAGAGATGATGTCCAAAGTGGACCTTGAAAGATGAGTAGCATTAGGAGAATAAAGAGGTGGATGTGAAATGAGCATTCTAGACAGGGTATAGCATGAGTAAGAATAGTGTGACATACCCAGGAATTATATGTATCTCAATATCACTGAGTGATGAGAGTAAAAAAGAGTGATAAAAATTGAAGCTGAAGAGAGAGCTGGAGGCCAAGTCAGGGACACCTTGGGAATTGTGCTGAGGGTGCTTGAGGTGATGGCAATGCTGGGCTTTAGAATTATGGTAAATAGTGCTATTTGTTACTGAACCATCAATATTTTGGGAGGAGGTGATATTTTGGTTCTGGTATTTAAAAATGAATTCTGAATCATTTATATCCAGAGTGTTATATACTGCAATAAAAGCTAAATGAAATTGAAGTGTACTGTTTTAGAAGGAGAGATGTTCTGACAACATCTCTCCTGGTGTTTTTTTTTCTTTTTTTTTTTTTTTTTCCGAGACAGAGTTCCGCTGTTGTTGTCCAGGCTGGAGTGCGATGGCCCGATCTTGGCTCACTGCAACCTCCGCCTCCTGGGTTCAAAAGATTCTCCTGCCTCATCCTCCTGAGTAGCTGGGATTACAGGCACCCACCACCATGCCTGGCTAATTTTTTGTAGAGACGGGGTTTCGCCATGGTGGCCAGGCTGGCCTTGAACTCCTAACCTCAGGTTATCCACCCGCCTCAGCCTCCCAAAGTGCTGGGATTACAGGCATGAGCCACTGTGCCCTACCATCTCACCTGTTTTAAACCTCTTCGGGGTCCCTTGATGTTTTAATTACAATTTTACTAGTTCTTAGATTAATGATGGCAGCAACTGCTCCAGACGGCCTGCTGCTGGCTGGCTGCAGCAGGGAGACACTACAGGGACAGCAGGCTCCATGGAGCCCACAGGAGCCGGGAACAAGCTGGAGACCCACCTTTTCTGACTTGGGGAGCAAGCTCCCTGGGTGCCACTGCAGTTGCCCAAACCATGGCTGCAGACCTGGGCCTCCTGCTCCACAGAGCAGGCAGAAGACCCTGCCCTCCTGGGTGGGGCTGTGGCCACCCAAGTTGTGGCTGCATAGCCAAGCCTCCCTGTGCTCTTGGGACTGGGAACAGGCAGGATTCCTGCCCTCCTGGGTGCAGCTGCAGCCACCCAAACTATAGCTGTAGACCTGGGCTTCCTGCTCCAGGGAGCAGGAAGCAGCCTGACCTGGGCGCAGCTACAGCTGCCCACATGGCTGCAGGCTCAGGTATCTCTGCACTCTTTGGAGCCCGGGAAGGCCCCAATGCCTTTGGATGCTCAGAAGTGCCTCTTCCCACTGCCTAACTTCTCCCTCCTGTGGGTGCCTGCTGGGATCTCACAGCAAAGACAGGGGGAGCCTGGGTGTCATGAACATCTGTGGGAGGCAGACAGATTCCTGGGCAGAGGGGGTGGTCCCAGTAAGGCCCCACCTTCAGGCCAGGGAGGTCTTGAAGGCTGGGGGTTGGGCTGCTATTCCACTGTCCAGAGTGGGGACTTGTGGTGCCTTTTCCAGCAGCCCATGGCTGCCTATGGACCAATCGGCATGCACTTCCTTCCCTCTGAGGCCCATAAAAGCCCTGGTCTCAGCCAGAGCAGGGCAGAGGATGGAGACCACAGGATGACCAGCTGCAGAGAGGAGCTACCTTCTCTTCTAAGAGCTGGGATGATCAGCTGCAGAGAGGAACTACCTTCTCTGCTGAGAGCTTCAGAGACCTGCAGAGGCACTGGGACTACCAGCTGCAGAGAGGAGCCACCAAATCCAGGGCCTCCTCTCTGCTGAGAGCTGAACACTGGACAGAATGACCTGCCTGCAGAGAGGAGTTACCCACCGTGGGTCTCCTCTGAGCTGTTCTAATACTCAATAAAGCTCCTCTTTGTCTTGCTCACCCTCCACTTGTCTGCATACCTCATTCTTCCTGGACACAGGACATGAACTTGGGCAAAGATGCCACTGGCTGCAGAGGTTTCCGGTGAGAAAAGCAACACCCCAAAGATCCTGTAACATTAGGATTATTTATTTAGTTGTTATCTGTATTGCTTCAAAGCCAGTGTGGGCCCTGGTTGACTACCTAGGTTTTAATTTAGTTTTGCTTTCCCCATGTGGTTTTAGGCCACCTAGCACAAGGGCAAATGGAATCTGCCTCTGGAGTACTGTGCCCAGAGGGGATGGAGTACTTGTGTGTTATGGAAATATTACTAGATAGAGAATGGAAAGAATATCGGCCATGGTTATATAACTGTGCTATTGACTAGAATGTGACTGTGGACAAATCACAGATTCCAGTTCCTTCATCTGTAAAATAAAGGGATTGTACTGGATATTTTCTAAATTACTCTTCAGTGAAGACTTCTGATCCCTATAATTGTGAAAATGAGGGCTCTGACCTGGCTGATCCCTAAAATCCATCTCAGCTCCAAAATTCTATAATATTCTCTTGAACTCATTGTCATGGATAACTGAAAGTTATTTTTAATTCATAAATACAGTGTCTGCTGGTGCTTCTTCAAAAGGAAAGGCAGGAAGGTTTGGTGGTTAAAAGCAAGGATTTTGGTGTCAGGCCAGGCACAGGGAGCTTAAACCCTGGTTCTGCTACTTATCAACAGTGTGACTTGGGACAAGTAATGAGCTCTCAGAGCCTTGGTTTCCTCATCTGGGAAAATGACGATGATAATAATAGTCTCATTGGGCAGATGGAAAGATTACAACAGACAACGTGTATAAATTTCTGGACCAAAATAATTATTCAAGAAATGGTACTTGTTATTGTATACGAACCAAATGACAAACAATTGTCAAGGTTGGGCCTAACCAGATTCAGCATAAGCCATTTGGACTTGGTAATGAATTTCTGCTCACCCTGTACAATGACCTCCAGCAAGATGTCTAAACTTATTGCTGCTATTAGGCCTTGTAATATGTTTCTCTTCTGTTTAGGGAGGATATCTACTACATGACTCTCAAGGTAAAAGTAGTAAATTTTTTTTTTAATGAATTAGAATTCTTTCCTCTCAATTCTAAATTATTTAGCATAATATGCTCACAAAGATTCATTTATTCTGGGAAAATTGGCCTATATTTAAAGATATATAAATACATCAAAGCAGATTCAGTTCATAAAACCAGAGATAGATTTATGGATTTAGGTAGAAAATACTTGATGAAAATCTTCTTAGAACCAAAGGAAAAATTATAATGGTGGAATTTCAGATTTTAGGAGAGTATCAGAAACATAATTTTGTGAAACAATAGTTAACATTTGTTGAGGAACTAGTATGTACTGTCTCAATCCATTACACATATTAATTCTTTTAATTTTTCCAACAACTGTGTAAGAAAGGTATTATTACTATGCTCATTTTACACATGAAGAAATTAAGGCACTAAGAGTTTCAGTAGCTTATGTAATGTCATGCAGATGGTAATAAGAACAGCAAGGATTTCAATCCAAACAATTTGACTCCTGAGCCCTCACACTTTTCTTTCTAATGAGTAAGGATGAATTTATCTTTTTCAAATAATACCACGTAGACAGTGTAGGTAGCCACTCCCATTAGATATTTAATCCTTTGGGTAATGAGGTTTTCGGTTCTAAGAAATGTCTACCAAAATTTATATACCCAGGAAGGCGTAACACTTGAACTCTGATTTCCTTTTAAAATTGTTTACTCCTTATCTCCAAGCTACCAGCTAGATATAGCCACTTGAGTAATCAGAAGAAACCACAAACTCAATGTGTCCAAACTAAGCCCTTCATCTTCCATTCCAATCCTTCTCCTTCTGGGTTCCTGCTATTGACTGAATTGTGTCTCTCTAAAATTCATATATTGAAGCGCTAACCCACCATTTGATGGTATTCAAAGACAAGGCCTTTGGCAGGTAATAAGATTTAGATGAGGTCATGTGGGTGGGGTCCTCAGGATGGAATTAATGCTCTTATAAAAAGAGACCAGGGCTCTTTCTCTTTCTAGCTTCCATGTAAAGACATAGCAAGAAGATGACTATCTGGGGGCCCAAAATTAGGCCCTTACCAGGAACCAAATTGGCAGCACCTTGATCTTGGATTTCCCAGCCTCCAAAACTGTAAAAAATAAATGTTTCTTGTTTAAGGCACCCAGTTTACGGTATTTTGTTATAACAGCCTGAATAGACTAAGATGGTTCTGCATTTCTTTCAGTGACACCACATTCTCAGTCAGGCAGGCTGGATGTTTGGAAATCATCCTCAACTCCTCCTGTTTCTGCTCCGACAATCCATTACTAAATTCTGTTAGTTCTCTTTTTTGGTATTCTTGCTCTGTGTTCAGTACCACAGCGCCTTGTCATTTATTGTCTGGATTATTTATATAATATCCTCATTGGTTCATTTTTTGTCTATGAGTTCCTGGAGACTTAAAGAAGAATTTGAGACACAATGAAGCATCCTTCTTCAAAAATTTCCAGTGGCTTTCCATTGCCTGAAGAATAACATTCAAACTCCTAAGCAAAGAATTTACAGCACCCCATGATAAGGCCTCAATCGCCTCTTCAGCCTCAGATCCTAATATACTTAGCCATATGCCTTTTACTGCAGCCATGTGGGTTCACCAAACATGTTTTCAAGTTCCTGGGTCTTTGCATCTCTGCTTGGTAGAGTTCTTGACTTTTCATCCTGTTCTGAGATCCTACTCATTCTTCAAGACTCTTTTGAAGTGCTTCCTCCCTCTAGCCACCCCATGATTTGTCTCATTAAATGCTTATGTTTCAAACACTGCAAAGTATTTTGTTTCTACCTTGTCATGTCACTTAATTTTCAACATGATTGTCATCTTGTTTAGACTGACAGGTTTGTAAGGACTGGGACCTTTGTACATTGTGTGTTGTACATTGAAGTTGCTCAATAAATGTTTATTGAACTTAATACCTTTGGAGAAAGAGTTAACAAGGACCTATAAGCAAGACGGAAATTTAGGTAAACGGGAGGGCATTGAAATAGAAAAAGAGTGTACTGAAGAGAAAACAGTTTTCTCTTTGTCTTTTGCCCAAGTAAGTCCTCCTTAGGATAGAATCAATGCTTTTTTACCCTGGAGGTACACATTCAAGTCACAAAATCTTTGTGTCATCTACACCAGACTTATGACTTTCATACTTCAGATGTGTACTATAAATAACAAACACAGAATTCTTATTTGTCTTTTAAATATTTGTTGGTTTTATGTCATTTTGCCATTCTTGGTTTAATGTCTGCTACGTAATAGAGGATTTGTCTGGTCTTTGCCCCAGGTTTCTGACATGAAGCTTCTAAAACCCTTGGAATTTCCTGAGAGATAGAAGTCTTTTTGTTATTCCTGAGCCTCCTGAATGGTTCCTGAGTTTATGCTAATGAGGTGACTCACGGTGGGCTATTCGATAGCTTTGGGACAGGGGCTGGGCGCCAGAAGGACCAACCATGTGATTGGAGGGTTGAAACTTTGAGCCAGTCTGACTTCCAGGGAGGACAAGGTGTGGAGATTGAGTTCAGTCATGTTGCTAATGATTTAATCAAGTATGCCTACCTAATGGAACCTCAATAAAAACTGAATACCAAAGCTTAGTGGTGCTTCCTGGTTGGTGAACACATCGATGTGCTGGGAAGGTGCCATGACTTGATTTGATAGGAAGACGATACAGAAATTGTGCACTAGGGACCCTCTCAGACCTTCCCCATGTGTCTTTTCATTTGGCTGATCCAGAATGTATCCTATATAATAAAACTCTAATCCTAAGTATTACACTTTCCTGAGTTCTGAGTTGTTCCAGTAAATTATTGAACCTAATGAGAGACAGGACTAGCTGGATTTCCTAGGCCGACTAAGAATCTAAGCCTAGCTGGGAAGGTGACCACATCCACCTTTAAACATGGGGCTTGCAACTTAGCTCACACCCAACCAATCAGAGAGCTCACTAAAATGCTAATTAGGCAAAAACAGGAGGTAAAGAAATAGTCAATCATCTATTGCCTGAGAGCACAGCGGGAGGGACAAGGATTGGGATATAAACCCAGGCATTCGAGCCGGCAACGGCAACCCCCTTTGGGTCCCCTCCCTTTGTATGGGAGCTCTGTTTTCACTCTGTTTCACTCTATTAAATCTTGCAACTGCACTCTTCTGGTCCATGTTTGTTATGGCTCGAGCTGAGCTTTTGCTCACCATCCACCACTGCTGTTTGCCACTGTCGCAGACCTGCCGCTGACTCCCATACCTCCAGATCCAGCAGGGTGTCTGCTGTGCTCCTGATCCAGTGAGACTCCCATTGCCACTCCCGATCGTGCTAAAGGCTTGCCATTGTTCCTGCACGGCTAAGTGCCTGGGTTTGTCCTAATTGAGCTGAACACTAGTCACTGGGTTCCACGGTTCTCTTTCATGACCCACAGCTTCTAATAGAGCTATAACACTCATCGCATGGCCCAAGATTCCATTCCTTGGAATCCGTGAAGCCAAGAACCCCAGTCAGAGAACACGAGGCTTGCCACCACCTTGGAAGCGCCTGCCACCATGTTGGAAGCAGCTCGCCACCATCTTGGGAGCTCTGTGAGCAAGGACCCCCAGTAACACTAAGAGGGTCATGGGAACACTAGTTGCTCAGAAGTGTGGGTGACCTAGGGACCGCCAAAGTACAGCTGGAATCTGAAGTAAGAGAAGATTTGTGAAGGATTAAGCCCTTAACTTATGGAGTCTGCACTAACTCTAAATGGTCAGTGCCAGAAATGACTTTTAGTACACCAATTTTGGTTGAAACAGAAAAATGTCACAGAATGAAAACCATTTTTGTAAATAGCAATAATTCAGTCATTTTTGGTGGAAATTCTTTGGTGTGATCTAAACCAAAATGAGATCAGCTTTGCTTCAAAAAGATTTTGCCAAATAAGAGAAACTGCTGAATATTTAATGTTTAAAATATCAATTTCTATGCATTTTTTCCTTTTTCATAGTGTTCAGGAATTAATTTTGATAGCAGTCAAGATTGCTTAATCTTCAGAGTTACATTTCCATTTTGCAAAGTAACAAATGGTTGGTTTTTACTCTTAGTTTCCCTTTCCCCACCCCGCATGTAAACAACCTACCATATTGTTGCAGAAAGGCAAATAGGGTTAAAATTGGAGACAAGACTTCCATCATTTTTGCCAAGCAGAGAGGAAAGAATTCAGCAATCACATAATTCTGCTCAAACTAAGTGTATCTGAGAACTATTCAAATGTTCACAGGAGGACATATCACCTCTCTCTTCCCCATTTCTCTTGGGATGTTACACTTTGTCATTTGTCATCAAAATTGGCCTTTTTCTTTATCTCTTTGTGGTAAAGCTTGATGGCATCTGAATTTACACTGTCTCCTTGACAGTTGTGCTGCTTCTGCTTCTTTCTGGCAGTTTCTACTTTTCCTTTCATTTTATTATCCTGCTTTTTATTTCAATTTTGTTTTTATAGTCTCTGTGTACTGTCTTGACCTTTAGATGGTCTTACCTTCAACACGGCAAGGATGTCACACTATCACGTACAAATAACAATGTGCTTTCTTAGCTCATTTCCCTAGCATGCCTTTTTTTGAGACGTCAAAAGCAAGTTTTTGAGAAACTAATTGCGTTTTTATTTTGCCCTAAGGGTTCTTAACCCAATGTCTCTTCTTTTATTCTTATTTTATTACCCAAGGGAAAAAAATTTACTTAGTTTATTTCTTTAAAGCCAGTACTCTGCTCGTCAATTAATGTTTGTTGAATTTATTCCCACTGGATAAGTAGTTGTATTCTTTTGAAATAATGTGTCAAATCTTTGTACCCAAAGATTAAGAAAATAAAAGTAAAATACATCTTACCAGATGTGCTTGGAAGATCTTATTTCTTTGCAGAGGACGACTTATTTTTTTCAGTGAATGTGTTTTTCTTTGGAAAATATAATTAGTTAACAGTAAGGGGTCAAGCTTCACTGAACAGAATTGCTCATCCAAGTAAGATGAATGAATTTTGGTTTGAGGGCATCAGAGTATGCTTTACTTATAGTTGACTAGGTTGCTGCAGTTACTGAAGAGCATTCATATGCCACTTAGTGTAGTAAGACAGTGCATAAACCCTGTTCATCACATTTTTTTTACATTATAATTCTGTTTTATTGTAAGCAATGGATTTGCAAACAGTAAATAATTTTACAGGTTCAAACTCAAAGCATTCATTGGTTTATTAAGATAAATTCGCAAAGCTAATATTGTTGGCTGCTTTCCTACTCTATGGTTTTGTTCTAGTTCTCTTAACTGTATTCTTTTGTCCACACTTTGTATAGGAAATATAATATTTTCTCCCCTTCTGTGTATTCTTGTGAAGAGGGGATAAATGTCAACAGTGATGGGATCCACTCTAATTATTTGCCAAGACTAAAAACCCATAAACAACTCTGTTTGTCAAATCAAAGGAATGCTGCATAAAAATTTCGTAGTAAGTTGATTTTTTTTCCCGATTGTAAAAGTAATACATGCCATCACAGGAAATTTAGAAACATAGCAAATCACACGAAAGTATATCATTCCATGAGAATATCTGGTCACTTCCTGTGCGTTTCCTGCCAGTCCTCTCTTTACGTGGATTTCTTTAATATGCACACAGATAAGCAGTTGCTTTTGCAACAGAGTTGAGATCATATTTATAACTACCTTTTAGTTGATTTTTGCTTTAATTACACTTTATCCTCAGCAGACAGAAAGAAGATTAGGACAAATTTACAAAAGCAATCTTTATTCTTCTTTACATAAAACTGCATACATAACTGCATTGAGAGAAGGTAATATAGTTTATTATTTTGCTATTTCTCTGTGCTCTGTGTTTGCTTTCTACTTTGTACTTTCTCTTCAATGGTCAGATATTACCCACTTGTTATCTAATCAGAATAAAATCTTCAAAAATAAAATTTGTTTCAGCTTTCAGTGTGACTCTGAGTCAAAACTGATCAAATTGCTGGAAGAGCTAAATATCTCACAGAATAAAGCCCACCTGGTACAATTATCTTCTGTAGCTGCATTAGCCTGAATAATCCATCTGTAATTTATGTGTGTGTCTGAAAACATTTGCTACAACATTGCTTTCCCTATGTCTAAATCATGTTTAAACATTGATTAAAATTGCTAGTCTATCAGCCACAACCAAGTATCCAATTCTTTGTGTGTATACTGTTTAAGTTTAGATAGCTTTCAAAGAAAACTAGAATTTGTGGTTTCTGACCTTAGGATACTTACTCCTAATCAGGAACAGGAAGAGAGAAGAAGGGAATTAACACCTATCGCTTACTTCTATTTTGGACATTGTTAGGTACTCGATACACTAAATCAACAGTCCCCAACCTTTTTGGCACCAAGGACTGGTTTCGTGGAAGACAATTTTTCCACGGATGTGTTGGTGGTGGGGGATGGTTCTGGGATGAAACTGTTCCCCCTCAGATCATCTGGCATTAGTTAGATTTGCATAAGGAGTGTGCAACCTAGATCCCTCGCATGCACAGTTCACAATAGGGTTCATGCTCCTATGAGAATCTAGTGCCGCCACTGATCTGACAGGAGGCAGAGCTCAGGCGGTAATGCTTGCTCACCTGCCAATTGCCTCATCCTATGTGACTGGGTTCCTAACCAGCTATGGACCAGTACTGGTCAGTGGCCCGGAGGGTGGGGTCCCCTCTGCTAAATCCTTACAAAAATTCTGCAAAGTAAGTCTCCATCCTACATCTACTAAATTCTGTCAGTTCTGTCTCTCAATAATTGCATTGCATTGCATGCATATTGGTAAAAAGATTTATTTATTTTAACCTAACAAATAATATTCAGGACAACAGTCCAGGACTGGCATAACTGTTTTAGGAAGTGCATCGCAAAGGCATCTGAGGGGTAAGTCTTAGTGGGCATAACTGTAAATAAATGAGGGTAATACTAATGATGAAGGAGAAAATGAATGCCTCTAGAATTTCTCTGTTATTATCACCCCTTATTCATTAGGATCAATATCCTCTTTTGCCTGAATTTCTGCAATTGTCTTATAATTTGCCACTCAGCGTCTCGTCTTATTTAACACCAGTCCACTCTTTTTTTTCTTTTCTTTTTTTTTTTTTTTTTGTTTTGAGACAGAGTCTTGCTCTGTCACCCAGGCTGGAGTGCAGTGGTGCTATCTTGGCTCACTGCAACCTCTGCCTCCTGGGTTCAAGCGATTCTCCTGCCTCATCCTCCCAAGTAGCTGGGATTACAGGCACGCGCCACCACGCTGGGCTAATTTTTGTATTTTTAGTAGAGATGAGGTTTCACCATGTTGAGGTTTCACCATGTTGGCCAGGCTGGTCTCAAACTCTTAACCTCGTGATCTGCCCGCCTTGGCCTCCCAAAATGGGGATTACAGGCGTGAGCCACTGCACCTAGCCCCCAGTCTACTCTTCATACTCTGGCAGACTGAGCTGTTTTCCTTGACACAAACAGGAGTACATCACTCATTTGCTTTAAGCACTTCAATGGCTCCTCATTGCTGTTAGGACTAAGTTCAGACTTTTTAAAATGGCATTCAAAGGCCTTCAAAATTTGGAGTTTATTACGTCTTCCATCTCTGTGTCACACATTATGCTTTAGCCAGACCACATTTTCTTTCTTTCTTTACTTATTTTTATTTTTTTTGATTTTATTTTTTCATAAGTTAATGGGGTACAGGTGGTATTTGGTTATATGAGTAGGTTCTTTAGCGGTGATTTGTGAGATCCTGTTGCACCCATCACCCAAGCAGTATACACTGCACCATATTTTGTTGTCTTTTAACCCTTGCCCCTCTCCTACTCTTACCCTCAAGTCCCCAAAGTCCATTGTATCATTCTTTTTTTTTTCTGATTTTCAGAGATACATTTTATAAATTCAAAAATGGCAATAGGTCCTCAAGTCCCCTCCTAACACCGTACAGTACCCATTGGCTTCCAAATAAGGATGAGGGAGGGAGGGTGAGTTTTTCCGAGAAAGTCTTTTTTTTAAAATATATATATGTCTTTTATATATATACATATGTCTTTTATATATATGTCTTTTACATATAAAATACATATTTTATATATAAATATATTCATATATAAATTATATATGAATTTATATACATAATATATACAATATATTATATTTACATATTATGAATATATAAATATATAAATAATATATATTATTTATAAATATAATTTTTTCTTTTTAAATATATTTTAATGATTTTATAGAAATGATTTTAATAAGTCATTTATCTATATATTTTTATAAATAATATATATTATTTATATTATTTACTATGAATTTAATTTAATTTAATTTAATATATAAATAATATAAATAATATATATTATTTATAAAAATATACAACTAATATATATTATATATTTATATATTTATTTATATATTATAAATAAATAAATAATATATATATTTAAATTTTTATTTCATTTTAAGTTCTGGGATACATGTGCAGAATGTGCAGGTTTGTTACACAGGTATACATGTGCCATGGTGGTTTGCTGCTCCTATCAACTCGTCATCTAGGTTTTAGGCCCCACATGCATTACATATTTGTCTTAATGCTCTCCCTCCCCTTGCCCCCCACCCCCCAACAGGTCCTGGTGTGTGATGTTCCCCTCCTGTGCCCCTGTGTTCTCATTGTTCAACTCCCACTTATGAGTGAGAACACGTGGTGTTTGGTTTTCTGTTCCTGTGTTAGTTTGCTGAGAATGATGGCTTCCAGCTTCATCCATGTTCCTGCAAAGGACATGAACTAATTCTTTTTTATGGCTGCATAGTATTCCATGGTGTATATGTGCTACATTTTCTTTATCCAGTCTCTCATGGATGGGCATTTGGTTTGGTTTCAAATCTTTGCTATTGTAAATAGTGCTGCAATAAACATATGTGAGCCAGAGTACTTTTTCAATTCCTTAAATGTACCCTAGCTCTTTCATCTTTCAGCCTTTATTTGGACTGTTCCAAGGAAAACAACCCCAAATGCCTTCAAAATATTGAATAAAGCAGGTTAGAATTTTGCATAGGCATGTTCCTCTCTTCCAAACATCAATCCATTATCTATATTTTTCTTGAAACTTGTAGCCCCTATCAGTCTATCTTTCATTTTCCTGCTGTTGATAGGCACATGGCTGTGGTATATAATCAGTTGGTGTCCTAATTCTTTTTGAGGTAAATAATGGAATATATACAGTTATAAAAGGCAATGTCTTTCAGTGTCAAGGTCCATAATGGAGGCAGTGTATAACTGAGAGCTAGAGTATTATTCAAATATAGCCATTTTTTTCTAATCTTTTAAGTATTTAAAGACAAGCTGGAATTACATGTTCTTAATGTAAATTTTGATTTTTAAACATGAGCCAACCCTGTGGCCAAATAAAACATCTCTGTTGATGAAATCCAACTCCAACTCAATAGCTGCCAGTTTGCAATCTTTGTACTATTCCTTTGGCCTGAAATATTTTTTTTTCTTCTTACTTCATTCACTTCACACCAACCCTTGATTTTTGCTTTTTGTTTGTCTAACTTCTCCATTTTCAGGTCATACTTTAAATATCATTTCCTCCCAGGAGCCTTCCCAGATCTGGGTTAATTCCTTCTCCCATGTACTTCAGCAATGGCCTGCTCTATCTGCATCAGCGTGTTACTGACACCTCATTATGTTTGGAAGTTTAGTGAGAACTGGGGTCATTTCTCTCTTAATGATTTATTTATTCCTTCAACAAATGTTTTAATGGGCACTTGCTATGTGCTAGTGCTATCCTAGACACTAGGGATTCAGCAACTAACAAGATAGAAAAACTCCCTACCTTCATGAGTTGGGGAGAAAGATAATAAACAGGAGAAAGAAATAAATTATACAGTAAATAATATAGTGACTGTCTCTGAATCTCTTCTAGGTAAACTGAAATAACTTACTCTATGCTAGGTCCTTTATCTATATGCTACTCTATAAGTAAGGACAGGCTTAAATGCTTCTCAATCTTTCTTTTTTTTCATTATTTGCATCCTTAAGGAGTCTTTCTAGGCTTTTTTTTTTCTCTAAATCCATGCCAACTCCCCCTTCCCCTCCAAGACATTTTAATACCACAAGTATACCTTACATTGGTTTATGTACTATGGTCTTTTGGAGAGCCATAGACCATTATATATTTTTTCACAACTCAAGAACAAATTTTTGTTCTTTTGAGGGGCAATATTGCCCCTGTTGAGAATGCATAGGTTATATTATGCTGCTATTGCAATTATTCCCAGTGTTGGTGGTCAAAAGCAACAACAGTATGCTACATAACCATCAGAGGTCAGCTGTGTGCTCTGGGACCCAGGGTGACAGTCACTATCTGTAACATTGCTAATCTCCAGACAGAGAGAAAGAGAGCATGGTGAGTCACAAAGAACTGTTCACAGCCTCTAAAGCTTCTGCTCAGCAGTGACACGAGCTGCTTTTCCCATTTCATGAGCAAACCAAATCACATGCCCATGCTTTATTTTTTGCTGGGGAGAGGTGGGATGGAAAGTACAATTTTACCAAATGGCTGCAAGGAAAATAGTTACCAGAATACTCATAAAGAGCCCTAATGACTATCATAGTTACCCGCCCAATAATCCTGTGAGGTGGGGAGGGAGAATCAACCAACACTTAGAGAATCAAAGTAATTTGTCCAAAAGCCCACAGAGGCCAAGCTAGGACCCAGGTAACTGTCTGGCTCTTACCTGTTTTTCTTATTCCTTGCCTCTGGGGTTCAACCTTGCCCCACACTGATGCACTTGGTTCACAGACTTCCCAAGAGGTCTTCAGATCCCTTCCTCTAGAGCCAAGCAAGCTACAAGGTCCCTGTGATAGGCCTTAGGAGAGGAGAGGGGGCTAATTTCAAGGAAGGCATTTTTCTCTTGCCAGAGATTTGGACCATGGAATTTCTTGTTCTGTTTTAGCAAGACAACATAGCAGAGGAGAAAATTTTGGATTTTCTTGTGTTAGAGTGTAGCTGGGTTCATTTCTGGCAGGCTTCATGATGATTCTGCTGTCAATGATCTTCTCTTCAGCAAGTCTACATATGGGGCCTGCTCAATGTTCATTTGGAAGGAACACGTGTTAGAATGATTATTTGCTGGGAGTTGATGGAAGCTGGGCATAGCATAGTTTAGGGTATGTCGGGAACCTGAACAGTAATCTGGTTTAACCCTACTTTTGGACCAATGAGAAAACAGTGACTGAGGTTCCCACAGTGGCCAGTGGCAGAGAAATCAATCCCAGGGCTCTTGCCTGTCAGTATGATGTGCTTCTCTTTTCCCCTGGGAGGAGGATTTTCTGTACATCCAAAGGGGAGATCCTCCTATGGATGCCCTTTGCTTCCTTGCCAAGTTCCCTTGTCCTTAGGCCCCCTTACTAATTTCTTCTTCTCAAAAGAGAAAGACATTGTGGTTTCTAGAGGAGAGTCTAGGTCTGAGCTTTTCCAAACTTGGCAGAAGCTCTTGGCAAGTTTCCTCTTGGGCTGTCTGGTTTAGTTCCGTGGGCTGTTCTGGGACATCACAGCTGGAGAGCAACTGGGCTCTCTCAAGGACTGGGAAAATGCCATGTGAATTCTCTGCAACTCATGGTCCACTGTGGATTTTCAGCAGCAAAACTGTCCTGGGCCCTGAAGAGTCCCAGTACCCAGAGTGCTTGCTTTTGAGCCCTCTGAATATGCTATGGGAATTCTGGAGCCACCTGACATGGCTTCTGCGGCTCTCCCCAACTCATCAAGCCTGGACCATACTGATTCTGTAGCTTTGTAGCTTTTTGTCCAGCACAGTTTGTGTATCTCATAAGTACTTACTGATTCAAAATGCACTGGATTTAACAGAATTGAACTGCAGATGAAAAAGAGAAAGCTCTGAGAATTTTAAGTATATTGATCAAAGTTGCACAGCGAGTAAGGAGTTGAGTTCAGAATTTGAATTCAGACTGTCTGACTCCAGTGCATTATGTTACCTCCATGATCCAGGTTGAATTAAACAATGAAGTTACTATGAGGAATACCTGTAGTAGACTGGGTGACTAGGAAAGCTCCTGTCTCATCCACACATTGGAATTGTTTAGAACAGTGAAGAAGGCAATGAGACTAGCCTGACTGCCCCTAAAATAGTCTAAATTCTTTATAGTTATCTTGTCATAAAGTAGTGAGAAGGGCCACATACAGAAGCAGGAGTCAGTCACCTCTGTGGTCTTTGCCTAGTAAACTTGCATTATGGTAATTGGCCCAATCTGCTTTGTGGTAAACCACTAGTGCCCTTTTCTCATGGTTTGTTTGTGCACAGAATGTGTCTAGTCTGAGGAACTAAACATATTAGGAAAGAGGGCTCAGTTCAGCTTGCTTCAGCCCAAAGCTTGACTGGTAGCTGAACTCCTAGGAGGTTCCCCAAGCTCCAGTTTAAATAAAAAAATGAAATAGCAAAGATCTTCCAACCCCCCGAAAAAACAAATAAATAATATGTACTCTTGCAATTCTTGTTTTCATTGGAGATCTGGATGAAGATAAGGTGGAAATCATGCCACTGCCTGTTTCTATATGATTTAGAGCCGAAATATAGTCACTGAATTTGGTGTATCTTCAAGAACTGCACTGGAAATTTATAGGCTACACTATAAACCCTGCATCTCATTTCTGAAAACCTGTTCCTGGGCTTGAACTACCTCAACAGATTCCTACAACTGTGGATGATTTTGTTGCAGCTAAGAAGCCTGATGTGCTTTATTCTAGGCATACTTTTTTTTTCTCCCCAAAGAGACTCAAAACAACCCTAGTGGTTCAAAGGCATTCATCAAAGGTAATTTTTTAGAAATGGGATTAATATTGTCACACTCTTTCTATTTGCATTATGGAAGGATTAACTTTGAATATTTATATGAAACCAAATTGTGCATATTTCTTCCCTTCAAGTACAAATTTCCTTAGAAAAGAAGACAGGTATATTAATATCCTGCCTGGCAGTGACTGGAAAAGCAGGAATTCATATAAGATAAAACACACTTATGGCCCTTACTTCTACATTAGGTTATTTTATCATGTGACAGATGGTATACAACAGACTTTAAGTCTGGTTTAGTTCCATGAGCTGTTCGGAGACATCACAGCTGGAGAGCAACCAACCTATTTCAAGGGCTGGGAAAATGCCACATGAGTTCTCTGCAACTCATGGTCCACTATGAGTTTTCAGCAGCAAAATTGTCCAGGGCCTGGGAGAGTCTCAGTACCCAGAGTACTTGCCTTCAAGCCCTCTGAACACACTGTGGGAATTCTGCAGCCACTTGACATGGTGTATGGACAACCAACACACTGGTTGGTATTCACCAAGACTCTTGCCAGGGTGCTTTGTTCTTTTCATTGTGACCATTTATCATAAGGAAATCAGGCAGTGTGTCCTGGTTATATCTGCTTGAAGGCACACAATAAGAAAATAAAAACAAAAGAATCAAAGATAAAATTTTTAAAAAATAAAGAAACTGGGCAGTATGTAGCGTGAAGTGACCAATCCTAGTTTCAAAGTAAGATTTAGGTAGAAAAATAGCAACTCACAAATTGACAGTTTCTGGGATTTGAAGAAAATGACAGCATCTCAAGCAGTCTTGTACTGAAATGGATAGCTGTGATTATCTCTTCTTTGTCTCCTGCAACCAGAGGGAAAGTTCTTAAAGAGATTCTAATAGTCAAAGATCCATGGAGCAACGGACACATCTTTCAGTTAGGATTTCTGGTTGGAATCCAGTTGCTTAGTGTTGAAAAGTGAGTTGTTACTGACCCTCCCACTGGCTGTACTTGACAGTGGAATCTACTGAAACACATCCAGGAATAGTTCAATATGCACCATAATAAAGTATTCACAGAGATTATTATTTTTTTCTTCTCATCTACCTCTTTTTTTCCCTAAAGGAGAGCTGATTTTAATTGGAATTCTAATACAATTCCATTACAGTCAAGGTCTGTAAAGGAAATAGAGGACCTTGCATGTGAGGGCGATCTGGCTGCAACAATCTTTCATGCCATTGATTGTCAGGGTTGATTTGGCTGCTCTGGCTACCTAGGTGAGTCTCCCCTTCCTTCCTCGTTGCTCCATGTGCATCCCTTCTGAAGCTGCATGCTTGGTCAAAGGGGAGGACCATTTCCAAGAGAGGACTGGTCTTTGGTCAAGGATATACAAGTAACTGCACTCCCCTGCTAGAACCTCCAAATAACCTCTCAAGGAAATACAGGACCCACAAGATAAGCCTCCTTCCCATTTTTTGTCAATTGACAGCAGCTAATTTTCTAAGCCTTTTCCTTAATCCTTTGTTTAGAAAGCTATTTCCCTGCTGCTGCTTTTCTGTCTTCTTTTTCCCTAAGATTAAGATCAAAGGCACAGTTCAGGTCACTTATCCTCACTCAACCGAGCTACTATTTTGATTAGAGCGTGAATATTCATTAGATTCTACCAATATGCGATGGCTCGTTAATCGTATTACCCTGAGGACTCATGTCACCTTGTGTACTTCACATTAATCCAGACTTTTTAATTTTGTTCAACTCATCTCTTCAGATAGACAATCTTCCAACTATCTCTTCATCTCTGACATAAAGAGCTGCTAACATTCAGCATTAGATTGAAGGAGAAGAGCAGAGAGCCTGTCTCATACATGAAGAAATTCCCTGAAGTGTTTTGCACAATTTGTATGCATTAGATACTCTATGAGTGTTCATTAAAGGAATGAATGAGAGAATGAGGAAAAGTCAGTATCCAGCTTTGCATCTACTCAGCCACTCACTGGCTGTGTGGCTTTGGGTGAGCCATTTGACCTCTCCAACCTCCATTTCCTTACCTGTAAATAAGTGAGGGGGTCAGATGATTCCTCATTCGCTTTCAATACTTAGGTTAGATATTCTTATCCACTTAACTTTTGACCTACACCCAACACAGCAGGGACTTAATATAGGGCTTGCAAATCTTTCCTAAACCAGCAGCAAAATCCCTAAAGGATGCTTAATGTGCATGTTTTTTTCTAACTACTTCATACAATATCTTTAAACTAGGACTAAGAAGAATTAATGAGAAAAAGTCAAAAGACTTTCAAGTTCCAGTAAGAGGGGAACTTGCCTTTTCTGAGAGGTGCTACCAAAGCTTAATATTTTTGAGAGAAACAAAGAACTCTGGAAGACAATTGTATTTTCATTCTCTCCCTGCAAAAAATATCTTTACAAATCATATTGTAATACTTTTCTGTTTCATCCAATATTGATAAACTACTCAAGCGCATTGACCAGGGCATTTTCAATTACTTTTGTATCCCAAGTACCTAGATTAGTGTCTCATGATAGGTGCTCAATAACGTTGAGCTACACTGTTAAAATGGAGGTTCAGAAAGGCTTGAAATAACTTGCCAGGATAACTTGGCTAGTGGTGGTGCAAGATTATGAAACTATTTTCTGATTCCAGACACACAGCTCTTTCTAATATGCTGCCTGATTACAATGAGCCGTTACCAACCTTTAATTTCTGAGCAAAGACTAGTTATCCGATGGTGGCACCAATTATGAGGACCACATACTGAGTCATTTTGATGGATTTGGGATGCACAAGATACAAGCTGCAGCCAGGGTGGCTCTGAGTAGCCAGGAGTGGGTACGGAGATTCCCTGTCTCAAAAATTTTGTTTAAATGAAGCAAGCAAGGAAGAGATGAGTTAAAATCTCCTACGGCTTCTCAAAAATAAGTTTGCTAGAGTGGAGACTGAATGACCCAAAAGACAATTTGAATTTCAACCCTGGGTGGATGCTAGACTAGGTAAACTGATGTGGAGAGATTTTCTGCTACATTTTTCTTATACACCCTTGAAAACAATGATTTTTTTTCAATCAAAAGAAGTGAGGAATGTTACATAAGTCATTTTGGAAATGGTCTGAAGCAATTTCATCTGAAGCAATAATTACTTCCAGTATGTAACTCATCAAGAAAAGTTGAAAACAGGAAAATAGCAAAACTACTGAGTATAAGAGCCAGGAATTGTGTGAAACAGGATCACTTACTTAATTTTATTTTTTGATGTGACTAATAAACCAAATCAAGCATTGCATCTTGAATTCTGAAAAAAAATGAAGCAAAACAAGTATATATATAAATGCAGCGCATTTTTTTTAGCTTTTGACTTGGTTAAAATTTAATGACATAAAAAAAATTTAGTGATAGATTTACACTATGATTTTGGTGAATATTGTTTCAAATTCATATACATCTCTATATATTGACAAAAATTTTTATCTGACTTATTGTATAATTTTAAAAGTAATTTGCTCTATGCTGTTTTCTATTATTTATGTAAAAACTATAGAAAAAGTGTTTAGAAGGCTTTTTTCTTTCTCTTGTCACTTTTCTTTTAATTTGAAGATGTGATGAGTAGACAGAAACCATGAAATTTGTTTTATAAAAATATTTGTTAAAATTCTTCAGAAATAGAAAATATAAATCATTGAAATAATCTTAAAAGTTATTAAAATTGTTTTCTTTTATATAAGGCAACAACTTGCTTTTTGGTTGCTATTTCAATTCAGATGATACAAAATTTTTTCTTCTTTGAAAAAGAAGCAATTTAAAATACAGCCCTATTATAATTCAAGTTGATTTGTCATCTTAACTCTGCTGTTCTCTTCCATTTACTACCTTTCACCCAAATAGAGTCAGGAAGCACGTGAGCCTACAGCTGAACTTCACTGTAGAAAGTTGTAAGGAAAAGGCCAAGAACTGAAGCAGAAGAGCAAGCAAGAAAGAAAATTCTCTGCAGGCTCTGTCTTGCACTGGAGTTGCTACCTTTAGCCCAGTGGATCACTGTGCTTGAAATTCCCACATTATTCATTCTGCAGAGTTAAGACATAAAGTAAGATCCTGACAAAAGAGTCTTTCCTTTGACCAGGTAATTCCAGTTTCTGAAGTTCACATTTTAAAAATAATCTAAGAGAAATAAAAAGCTAGAAGCACAGTGGTGCTCACTGAAATATTATCTCTAATAACAAAGAGAGGAAAATAATAAAAAGTAGCCAATATGAGGAGAATGGTGAAATGAATGATTTATGCTCTTTGTTTGTAATACACTAACAATAATGAACCATCACACCTCCGTCCTTCACACAGGGTGTTCCTCTGGCTTGGCATGTCCTCACTGCTTCATATTTGTCCATCTGTCCCCCTATTTGGGACCTTCTCTGATGGCCTTCAGTTAACCACCATCTTCTGGGTTTTCATCTCTTTCAACCGAACACATCTCTAGCATTGAACTTGGTACACATGTGTATATAGGTCAATCGATTCTTCAAAATTTTCAAATTCCTTTCTATACCCATTCTCAGCACCTGTGCACAGCTCTCAATAAGAGCCTGGGCACTCAATAAGTATCAGAAGAAATGAATACTAAGTAGATCTGTAAAGAATACTGTGTGATCTTCAAAGTGAAAATATAAAAATAGGTGATAGATTATTATGTGACACATAAAATATAAAATAGTATACACATTTTGACTTAAAGTTTGTAAAAAATACATGAGGATGGTTATATGCAAAAAGTTATATAAGGGTAGTCTGAAGGAAGATGATGAATGACTAAAACAAATATCTCTTTCGAACGGTTTTAAAATTGTGCTCACTCTCTGTAGGAAATGCTGCTGCTCATTTTTCATCCTTCACTTCAGGGCACAACGGCCCAACTTGCAACTGTCAGCTCCTGTATTTCTTTGTCTGAGGCATTGTCTGGTCATCTGAGTCAATGTGAAATGTGTGGTAGGCTGAAAGTGTCAGAGAATGAATGTTTCTTCAGGAGCAGCATGTAGGTGGTAGTTGGTGTATAAATAAATACCCCAGCTCCTGCTTTATTTTGAGGTGTGTCATCTACTGGTGCCCATGTTCCTCAGAGGGATTATGCACTATTTACACACAGTGGGGAATTGTCTGATAATTCACACTTTATTTGCTATCACTTCTCTACCCCTCACTCTTCCACTGCTCTACAATTTCTGGTATTACCTCCTGTATTAGCTTGTTCTCCACTGCTATGAAAACATACCTGAGACGGGCTAATTTATAAAGAAAAGCAGTTTAATTGGCTTATGGTTCTGTGGGCTGTATAGGTTTCTGCTTCTGGGGAGACCTCGGGCAACTTATAAGCATGGCAGAAGGTGAAGGAGAAGTAGGCACATCTTCACATGGCTGGCAGGAGACAGAAAGAGAGCAAAGAGGGAGATGCTACACACTTTCAAATAATCAGATCTCATGAGAACTCTGTACTGAGACAGCACTAGAGGGATGGTGCTAAACCACCCCCATGATTCAATCACCTCCCACCAGGCCCCACTTCCAACAATGGGGATTACAATTCAACATGAGATTTGGTGGGGACACAGAGCCAGACCATATCATCTCCAAAATTACTATTTGCACTTTAATCTTGTCTTAGGGTAAGGTTCTAAGATAATACAAATTAAGACACTCTCTCTCTTTTTTTTTTTTTTTTCTTCTGTCTTTTGGGATGAAGTCTCACTCTGTTGCCCAGGCTGGAATGCAGTGGCATAATCAAAGCTCACTTCAGCCTCAAGTTCCCAGACTGAAGCGATCTTCCCACCTTAGCCTTCTGAGTAGCTAGGACTACAGATATGCACCACCACACCTGGCTAGATTTTTTCTTTTTCTTTTTAAATTTCTTGTAGAGATGGGGCCTCACTACATTGCCCAGGCTGGTCTCAAACTGGGCTCAAGCAATCCTCCTGCCTTGGCCTCCCAAAGTGCTGGAATTACAACAGTAAGCCACCACATCTGGCCAACGCATGCTCTAATAACAAAAAAGTTAATAATAATGTAGCAAAGCGAATTAAAATGTAAATATTATTGGGAAGGTGTAACACCTTAGTTTCCAAAAGATGTTATGAAATTAATTACAATTAATGATTAAAGCTGGGCACAGTTTTTACACTTGATCTTAGCTGAAAGGCTGAGAAGTGATGGGCACAGTTTTTGTATGTTTTTCTAGTTTCTAATAGCTACCATCATCTGTATTGTCTTTCATCTCCACTGAGAATGTGAACCACCTAAGCACAGGAATTTTGTCTATCACCTCCCCTCCATCATGCCATATATATCATTGAGAAAGTGCTCAATAACTGCTTGTGGAAAAAAATTACATAATTTAATAAAAGAAAAGAAGACCGATTTTGATCTTCTCAGACTCACTTATTGCAAATCTTAAATTTGTGATTGATATAGTTATTTCAAAGGGTATCATGAATCATTTTAAGCTTAATGTCCTTAAATTAAAAGAAAATTACGCTGTCACAAAGTTTCTACTCAAAGAAGCGTTAGGATACATTATATCAACAAAGATCCCTTCTCTAGATTGTTCCAAGGTAGAATTCTTTGGAAAGAACATCAACATAACCTTTTAGATAATAATTTCCCAATTGTTACAATAACATTTTAGATTATTACAATACAATAATACAATAACCTTTTAGATAATAATTTCCCAATTGTTTAATAATAGTTTTATTCATAAGAGCAAATTTAGGCAAACAACTATTTAATTTTATTATCTGTACAGCTCAGTTCTATAATAGATTGTATACAACAAAAATTTTTCTGGATATATTTTTTGATAGTAAGAGGGCTTAAAAAAACGATTAAGAAAAGTAGGTGGGTGCAGTGGCTCACACCTGTAATCCCAGCACTTTGGGAGGCCAAGGCAGAAGGATCCCTTGAGCCCAGGAGTTTGAGACCAGCCTGGGCAGCAAAACAAGACTGTCACTACAAAGAAAAAATTCAAATAAATAATAAAAGTGGACCTTTTTTGTAGGAATCCACACATTTCAGCCATTTGTGTAATATTAGACATATCTAAATATCTAGAAATGTATGAATACATTTATGTTGTTACATACAGATATTTGGTGGTCTATTGATAGAAACTGGATAAAATACAAACATTTCTTTTATAGCATGCTTATTCATTACGGGAACTGGATTCATCATAATAAAATAATTCAGATGTTTCATTATAATGATCATAACTGGTTGTTATAAGATTATTAGCAACAACACCTCCCAAGGATGAAAAAAAAGTTAAATGCTGATGTATAAAAGCATGGAAATGAGATCTTTTTATTTAGTAGCTGGTATCTTGTTAGCGCTTTTGTTTTTCTGTTTACTGATGACAGTTGTGACTGTACTACAAGTAATAAGTCAAGGTCAGGGCCAACGGCCCAGCATGAGTATTTGAATCAAAGGACAAATGTGAAATTATTTTGATTTGTTTTTGTCAGCTTTGAGTATGCAATTTATTTTTTTAAAAAATTGATAAAAACCAGGATTCTCAGGCTCCATCCTAAGGATTTGGATACAATAGGTCTGGGATAGAGTTTAGGAATCTGCCTTTTTACTGAGTTCCTCAAATAATCTTATGCAAGTGGACCTCAAACCACACATTGAGAAACACTGTTCCAGACTCTAGCTGCCTTTTCAAAAAATAAATATATATGATTTTTTTCGCAAGAGATTCTTAATGAATACAGATATCATATATTATCGGAACAGACTGTAATGTGCTGCAGGCCTGTCATACCAGTGTTAATAAGATTTTATCTGAACCCTTCTCACCTTACCAGAGCAGAGAAGCTGTGGAACTAACAGCTGCTTTTGAGAAGAATGATCAAAATGAAGAAGCTGTAACAAAATCTTTAAAAACAAACAGAATACTTATTTTACAGTTTCCTTTAATTGCCTATCTTTCATAAGAATATGTTAATTCATTGTTTACTGGATACCTGGTTTCTTAAAGGCCTAATGGAAAAATGTGAGGAGTCTTTGCTGTCTTGTCTTAGAAGCCCAATGTTGGACTTTAGCTATGTATCTTGGAGAGGAATGGTGCCATGCTTACTCCACAGAAGTGTTTCATGATATAGCGGGTGGCAAGTCTTAACCAAAAAATGGGAGTGGGCTTAGACAGAGAAAGGGATGATGACAACCTAGAATGTTGCATATTTTTAAAGGCAGAGATAATTCTAGAATGTTGTTTGGTGTGGGAGGGTTCTACAGCCAAGCCCAAGCCCACCTGGCTTAATTGAAAGCCTTTCTTTTGGCCCTGAAAGCAACATTGTTTTCACTCAGTCCCTGCACTCTCTGCCCGCAAAGTATTATGATGATTAATTTTTAGTGCAATCATAAATATTTTACATATGTGTATAGAAATGCCAACATTTGGTGGGGAGCAGTGGCTCACGCCTGTAATCCCAGCACTTTGGGAGGTGAGGCAGGTGGATCACCTGAGGTCAGGAGTTCGAGACCAGCCTGGCCAACATGATGAAAACCCATCTCTATTAAAAATACAAAAATCAGCCAGGTGTCATGGTGGGCGCCTGTAATCCCAGCTACTTGTGAGGCTGAGGCACGAGAATCACTTGAACCCGGGAGGTGGAGGTTGCAGTGATCTGAGATTACACCAGTGCACTCCAGCCTGGGCGACAGACCAAGACTCCTTTCAAAAAAAAAAAAATGAAATGCCAACGTTTAGTTATCTAAAATTTAAACACAAATAGTCACCAGATCTTCTTTGAAGAGTCATAAGAAAAGCTACTTTGCTGGGTTAACTCCAGAATGTCAAAAAACATTATAAGCTTACAGAATTAGTAAAACCATGAAGTTAAATTTGTAAATTATTTTTCTAAATGAACCAATTCTATATTCTTTTCCTTTGGAAAAAAACTAGCATTTTACCACATCCTGAAACAAGTATCTATCCTCACAAAATGGTTATAAATCAGTTTACTTTGGGGATATGTTACAAACAAACAAATCCTGAAACCTTAAAAATTTAAAGCTAAACTAAATTGTAATGATTCCTTAATTCAACCTCTTTAGTTCACTACGGTCTCCTCAGTATACCAAGGCCTAAGTTAATTCACTTGCTCAGGTTCTCAAACCTCCAATTGCTAGTTATTCTTGTATTCTAAAACGTAAAAACAAAATTAAAAGAGAAAAAATATCGTTTTTTCCAAGAAACTATTTACTCTTGTGGCCACTTTAATCACCTCAGCATCGGTAAGTGATCATTGTTATAGCCAATGCTTTTAATTTGATGTCTTAATTTTGGTATTTCTAATTCAAAACATACTTGTATTCTATGTTTCTCTGGTTATATAAGATAGGAATAAAACTATGAAGAACTGGAAGGAACAAAGAACCTCAGATAGGGAGAAAAAGGGAAAACCTAAAATGTTACGTTTTTACATCTGTGTTTTAGTAGCATGCTTCATTTGTTTATTGATTCATTCACTAGTTTATTCCTCAAAAATGGCTAGGAGTACAGAGATGATTATGACAGTCTCTCTATTACAGAACTCACTATTTAGCCAGAGTCGGAAGGCAACAAATACTTGAAAAATGGCAGGTGCCGTGATGAGATGCAATAAAAGGAGCATCTTTAGTGCCAGGTGAGTTGAAGTTCTTCAGATTGAGAAAAGCAGAGGGCTAAATCTATCTGAGGGATGTGGTTTATGTCAAAGCACGTGGGTGTGGATAAACTGGTCAAGTCAGGGAATGGCTGAAGCAGTGTGTAGAGCCAGAGATAGGGTTGGAAACATGCTCTGAGGTCAGGTTACAGCCCAGTGCCAAAGACACTAACTACATATGGCTACTTTAAATTGAGAAGTGCTGTATGTATAAAATACACATTGAATTTTAAAGATTTAGTAGAAAGAAAAGAATGTCGACCATCTCACTAATAATGTTTTATATTGATTATATGTTAAAATGCCCATATTTTAGATATGCTAAAGAAAATACATTATTAAATTAATTTCAGATTTTTTATTTTTTTAAAATGTGGTTGCTAGAACATTTAAATCGCATATATGGCTCACATTATATTTCCATTTTAGTGGCATTGTTTTATGGACGATGATAATGTACTCAAATTGTAGGCTTTTAAAATTTACTTTTTGTTTTTAATTCTGTAGTACTTTAAAGTTGCCAATATCATAATTTTACCTACCATGATTTAGTTTGTATCTCTAAAAAAAACCATTTTTCTATATAAACAAATAACACTATCAAATTGTTAAATATAGACAACTCTTTAACATTGTCTATTGTTCAGTCTATGTTAAAAATATCTCAGCGGTCCCCAAAATGTCTTTATAGTTGCTTTGTCAAAATCAGGATCGAATCCAGGACCACTATTATATTTGTTGTTATGGTCCTTGAACCCGTTTTAACTTAGATTAGCTCCTTCCCTCCCGCTTATTTTTTGGCAGTCACTAACTTTATAAATAGACCAGTGCAGATACCCGTGTTTTACCTTCTGGGTTCTCTGGTTTGTTTGTATTGTTTAGCTTCTTACTTCATTCTTTGTATTTCATATCAAGTGTGAATTAGACCTATAAGCCTGAGTAGATTCTAGTAAAACATTTTTTTCTTTAATATAACACATGCAATATTGGGTACTTCCTGTTTTTCACTTCAAGAGATAAGACATGTAAGATTTCACCATGATTAGTGGTGCCAGGGCTGATCATTGGATTGCAGTGAGAGCAGCCTCATTCCCCCAGTACACAGTTATAATTTTCCCTTGGCAACCAGGAAGCTTTTAATTAAGAGAGTACTGTAGTTAGATCTTCACTGTGGAATAGTGTGGATTGTAGGAGGGACTAAGAGAAGAAAAGAGAAAGCAGTGAGACTATCAAAGTTATTTACTATAGTTGTCTACAAGAGAGAGATGATGATGATCTTACTCTGAGCACCCTGGGTACTATGCTAATTTCTCAGCATGGATTACCTTTTTAAATTCTCATATAGGGCTGGGTGCGGTGGCTCAGGCCTGTAATCCCAGCACTTTGGGAGGCCGAGGTGGGTGGATCACCTGAGGTCAGGAGTTCTAGACCAGCCTGGCCAACATGGTAAAACCCCGTCTCTACTAACAATACAAAAATTAGCTGGGGGTGGTGGCAGGCGCCTATAATCCCAGCTACTCAGGGGCCGAGGCAGGAGAATCACTTGCACCCGGGAGGCAGACGTTGCAGTGAGCTGAGATTGTGCCATCGCACTCCAGTCTGGGGGACAAGAGCGAGACTTCATCTCAAAAAAAAAAAAAAAAAAAAATTCTCAAACAGGGCCGGGTGCAGTGGTTCATGCCTGTAATCTCAGCACTTTGGGAGGCCGAGGCACTTGAGGTCAGGAGTTCGAGACCAGCCTGGCCAACATGGTGAAACTGTCTCCACTAAAAATACAAAAAGTAGCCAGGCATGATGGCGCATGCCTGTAATCCCAGCTAATTGGGAGACTGAAGCTGGAGAATCTCTTGAACTTGGGAAGCAGAGGCTGCAGTGAGCTGAGATTGTGCCACTGCACTCCAGCCTAGGTGACAGAGCGAGACTCCATCTCAAAATAATAATAATAATAATAATAATGATAATAATAAATAAATTCTCACACAGCCCTAAATGATAGTTTTCTTATCCCCATTATCTGTCCAAAACTTAGATTTAGAGAGACTGAATAACGAGTCTACTCTCACACCAGCAGTGGCAAAATGGTGATTAAAGCCCAGCTCTGTCTGACATCAAAATCCATGTGTTGAACCACTTTCCTGTGGTGACTGCATAACAATTTGGTTTGAAGGGCTGTGAAGGTTATGAACATTTTTCTTAATTTGGTGACCAATGGACTACTCAGTGTATGGAAGGAAATAACTCAGAAGGATCTATGTCTGATGATTAGAATATGATTTTGTTGAATTTAGGATGTCAGTTGGATAAGTCAACTGAAAATATAGGTCTGGAGTTAGGCAAGAGAAAACAAAAGTCTGGAGTTCATAAGACAGGTCAAAGAAAAAGTAGACTACAAAGTATAGATTAAAGAGTCATCTGCACAGAGATGTAGCTTAGACCAGGGGAGTGTATAAAGTCACCTGGTAAAATTCTATAGCATAGAGATACCTTCACTTCGTATTTGTAAGCCATTTGAGACTAGCAAACCAACATCAAAAGGAAGACAACTGCGCAAATTAAAAATACCATTTCTGATTTTCATAGTCCTAAAAAAGTTGAAATATCATTAAGAATTATTAGTATAATATTTTGGTATAAGTTCTTTATGCTACTGTACTAGGAGGTTAGAGTATTTCTAAGGGAAGGCATTTTCCATATGGTCAGTGGGTATCATGACATTATATCCAAATCATGGTCTGACAAGCCGAAGTTCACTTATTTATAGAATGGGACAGAAGTGTTTATATTAGGCTGGTCATAGAAAACCTAGGTTATATACTCACCATATGAGAGGCTAACCTATACTCTGAACAATTTTGAATTAAAAGACACCACAGTTGCCTCTGGAACACTCCTTAGTATAGGAGTATAGCATTCTGAAAATTTGTTTTACTCTTTTTGAGGTTATCTGCAATGGTATGTGTTGGTAAAATAATTGTTTGAATGTTTAACAAAAGATAAAAGTTATTTTCCTGCCATCTGAAATTATTCTTCTTCCTCTAGGGCAACATTAAGGATCCACTATTATTCATTTAATGGTCTTTTTTCAATGATCTTTTGTGGAATATGATAATTCATTTCTCTCAATGCTGGTTTAAATGGACATTCATCAAATGAACAGATATATTTGCTCCATATTTATAAAGCTATAGAAAGATGAACTTTTTTCCCCAAGTATTTTTTATTACTTTAAATGGCAATTACAGTAGGAAAAAAGACAATTTCTGGGACATAGGTCAGGTAAAATTAAATAGATTTTAGGAAATCCTTCAAGGGGAAAAAGTAATCAATTAAAAAAATACACATTGAGAACTATGTATGGAAAGTGAAGAGACACAGTACCCCCTCTGTCTTAGAGATGCTCTTCCAGAAGTGGGTGGTCATATTGGCTGATTATTTCCATACAACTGAGATCTCTTCCAGGCATAGGATGATCTTGGCTTGTCTTCGTCTCCTCAGTGTCTGGAAACGAAAGGATGAACTGAACATGAAAATGAAAATCGGCCGGACGCGGTGGCCCACGCCTGTAATCCCAGCACTTTGGGAGGCCGAGGGGGCGGATCACGAGGTCACGAGATCGAGACCATCCTGGCTAACACGGTGAAACCCCGTCTCTACTAAAAATACAAAAAATTAGCAGGGCGTGGTGGCGGGCACCTGTAGTTCCAGCTACTCGGGAGGCTGAGGCAGGAGAATGGCGTGAACCTGGGAGGCAGAGCATGCAGTGAGCCGAGATCGCACCACTGCACTCCCAGCCTGGGCTACAGAGTGAGACTCCGTCTCAAAAACAAACAAACAAACAAACAAACAAAAAACCTATTTATTCTTAAAATTAGAAAATTGCAGTGACAAGGACACTTTGGTTAGCCCAATAAATAGATTTCTTTAATTCTAACCTTCAGAAGGCTCTAAAATGCTTGCTGGTGCAACCCTATGTTTTATTGCAGCTTATTCACAAGAATAGTTTACATATTTTTCTATATAGAACACTACTGTAAACTTTATTAGCTTTAGCTAATATTTATGCATATCAGTGTTTATGGTAGTAAATCATTACTAAAGGAGTGAATACCACCATGGAGTCAACTATTGATTTGCAGATTTGAGAATTTCAACATTCTGCCAATTAAATTCTACATTTAGACCAACTCTTTTATAGATGATAAAACTGGAACACTACAGAGATAAGGAATTTATCCAAAGTCATACACACAATTAGAGCCAGAATTAGCCTGGAATCCAGATTTCCAGATTTCTGGCCTGAAGCTCTTCCTGTTGCCTTCACACTTACATGGGGTCAGTTTTCCCATGGGTTAGTTCTTATCTTTAGCATTTATGAAGTTTCTCTTCTGAGATGTCAAGTTATTTTATATATATATATAATATGTATATTATATATATTTTCTCTCTCTCTCTCTCTCTCTCTCTCTCTCTCTCTCTCTATATATATATATATATATATTTTTTTTTTTTTTTTTTTTTTTTTGAGACAGGGTCTCACTCTATCACCCAGGCTGGAGTGCAATGGCATGATCTTGGCTCACTGCAACCTCTGCCTTCTGGCCTCAAGTGATTCTCCTGCTTCAGCCTCCTAAGCAGCTGGGACTACAGGCACACACCATTACACCTGGCTAATTTTTTGTACTTTTTGTAAAGACAGGGATTTGTCATGTTGCCCAGGCTGGTCTTGAACTCATGAGCTCAGGTGATACACTCGCCTCGGACTCCCAAAGTTCTGGGATTACAGGCGTGAGCCACCATGCCCAGCCTCATTTTATATATTGTTAATAGCAAGATTAGATCAATTCTCTAGAATAATTTGTATTATATCTGTCTGGATGTATTATTTGTAGTCACTTTTGAAAAATGGTGGATTGTTTAGAGGCATTTTATTTTCCTGGAGCATTGGAGATACCTGAAAATAGCCAAATGCAGTAGAAGGAAGCCACACCCAGAAACCTGGATTATAGTTCTGTCTTAATCACTGATCCTGCAGAAGTTGCTTAACGTTATAGCATCTCAGTTTTTCAGCTTGTAGAATAGAGATCATAATATCTACTTAAATCTCTCATATGGTCAGTATGAAGATAAAATAGACTAATGATGATAAAAACATGTTAGACAGGTGTAATATGCTTTATGTCTATAGCAAAGCTAGGGAACTTTTAAAAAGATCATTTAAACTTGTAACATGTTTAGACTGGCCAAATGATAAGCCTATAAAGACATATTTATATTGTTTGCTTTGGGAGTTTCTTAGTTTCTTAGGCTGACTGCTATATCATTGATGACTACAGGTGTGGTGATAAAAATAAACATCCTATTTATTTTGTCATGCAGTTCTGATGAAATACATTGTTGTGAGCTTAAAGAGCAATGACTACTACTAATTAAAATTATGCCAAATTTTATAACATCCTAAGGAAGGTTGGACAGAACTGACTCACTTCCATTGTACACGGTGTTCTCACTTAGCAAACAAGAACACAGTGGACTCCTGAAGCTTGAGACGTGAACGTTTTCTATCAGTTTCAAGGAACTTGTACATTATTTGCACAGCTGTTCTGTCATATCGCTTTTACAGAAGACAGAAATTACTCCAAAGTCTCTCAGTAATAATAATGATAAAAATAATACCTATAATTTCTTGGTCTCCTATTTTATGTCAGTCATTGTGCAAAGGTTTTACATGCATTATTTCTAATTCTCAAAGCAACTCTATAAAAGGTGAGTATTACTATACCTACTTTACTTTATAATATCCCTATCGAAAGAAAGTAAGATACGTTATAATTTGTCAGTTTCCATTTGTATTATGGCAGGTATGCTTGCATTTCTTCTCCTGACTGTTCTCTCAGATAAGCAGATGCAAACATTATTAATTCCAGCTAGCAGATAAACTAAGACAAATGAAGCTAAATAACTTGCTTAAATATCAATAAGACTTCTGACTGGGACTTTAATTTTTTTTTTTTTTTTGAGACGAAGTCTCACTCTTGTTCCCCAGGCTGGAGTGTAATGGCGCCATCTCGGCTCACTGCAACCTCCGCCTCCCGGGTTCAAGAGATTCTCCTGCCTCAGCCTCCTGACTAGCTGAGATTACAGGCGTCTGCCACCATGCCTGGCTAATTTTTGTATTTTTAGTAGAGACGGGTTTTCACCATGTTGGCCAAGCTGGTCTTGGACCCCTGACTTCAGCTGATCCCAGACTCCTGACTTCAGCTGATCCGCCCACCTTGGCCTTCCAAAGTGCTGGGATTACAGGCGTGGGCCACTGCGCCCGGCCGGGACTTTAATTTTTATAGTTTCTCTGTAAGATACTTTTTACTTTTTCATTAGGTCATTGGTTTTCAAATTAATGAATTCAACAGTTATATGCTGGACATGTTTCAGATTGTAGGGAGGAAACAGACATAGCCTCCACCCTAACTGGGTGGAGATGAACTGCAATCAGAGCTCTTTGAGCAGGCCTACCTTTGGGGTTTTGGATGGTGTCATCTTTCACTTTCCTTTCTCCCGCAATGTATTTACACAGATTAACATAGGTTTAAATAGTTAAAATAACTCATCATCACTACCACTTATTGAGCATCTTATTTAAAGTGCTCTGCTTATATTATCTTATTTAATCTCTATGGCACCCTGGTAGAAAGGATGATACTACTTTTTTTTTGCCTGGGAGGAAGAGAAACATGAAGAGGATGAGCTGCAAGATAGCAAGAGGCAGAGGTCAGAGTCAAGCCTAATCTCCATGTTCCAAAGCCAGCCATTCTGTCTCCTACCTCATAGGGCCTCTTAGGTAACAGGCATCAGGTTTTTTTAAAGAGCAACTGGTGAAGCCATCATCTCTCTTACCCTGTAGGCTACAAGGGCAAGGAGAAGTGATGGATGCAGGGAGTTCAGAGAAAGGGGAAAACCTGGGTCCTTTGCCTATTTTAAAAAATATTTATAATAATAAATATTATTTATTACAGGAAAGTTTGTTTTTTGTTTTTGTTTTTGTTTTTCTTTTTTTTAAAGAGTTTAGTAGTAGCAGGCTAGCATTGTGAGCTTTATGAAAGGGGAGATTTGACTTTTGAACCCTCTCCATGAAGCGGCTTAGTTATGGCACTGAGAATTCAAACACCAAACTTGTATTATGTGGCAAACTGGAGACTTGGGAAGACTAAGGGAAATCTTGGGGAAATGATTGGATGAAAAGTTTCAAAGCCCCTAGCTAGGATCATTACTAGTTTTTCAATGTATTTAATACTAAGCTAAGTTCTATATTTGAAAAAGTTTAGCTAGTCTATATGGTGAGATTTCTTTCACATCATTTCTGTTTAATTTCTCATATTTGATCCTAAATGTCCAGCTCTCCTCACAACACCACTCCCTGTAAATGGATCATAGTTCTGCTTGCTGAAGTACAGCTTCTTATCTAGTAGAGCTCCAAATATATGTAATTAATGAGTAAAAGTAAAGATAAGGAATTCCAGTTAGCATGTTGTTGGCATAGTTGTTACTTTTGGCAGGTGTTGATGAATTGTTTTACCTTGTTGATTGTAGACTCACTTTCTAAAGAAGAAAACAGTGCTTAATCAATCATATTCTATTACATGTACAATGCTACTTCTCTGCTTTATATCTTGAAAAACAGATGTCAGTTTCTTATTTCTAGCAGGCAGCCCAACTTCTTGATACACTGATTTAAATTACCTATTAATCAGTTTTTGATTCCTAATTTTTCCACCTCAACAATAACGCAATAGATAGTACTTTGTTTTAAAGTCTGTTAGAATACCAGATGGATGTTTTATTTTTAAGTACCGAAAGAATGTAATAAAATAAAATGTAAATTATATAACCAACAATTGATAAAAATCAGGTAAAGGGATAATCTTACTCTAACTGTATCTTTATTCTATATATTTTAAATAGATAAACTGTATATCATTTTCAGGATTATTTATTTGATATTATACTACCCACTTGGAACTTTTTTTTTTTTTTTTTCGAGATAGGGTCTTACTGTGTTACCTAGGCTGGAGTGCAGTGGCACAATCTTGGCTCACTGCAACTTCCACCTCTCAGGCTCAAGCCATCCTCCCATCTCAGCCTCCCAAGTAACTGAGACCACAGGCACATTCCACCACACCCAGCTGATTTTTTTTCTTTTTTTTTTCTTTTTGTATTTTTGGCAGAGACAGGGTTTTGCCACATTGCCCAGGCTGGTATCAAACTTCTGAGCTCAAGTGATCCGCCTGCTTCAGCATCCCAAAGTGCTGGGATTACAGGCGTGAGCCACTGCACCCGGCCAACTTGGAACATTTTTAATGTACTACTATACTTTTGTCCTAAATTCATTTAAAATTTTGAATTTTAAGAGTATTTGTTATTTTATTTATTCATTTATTAAAAATGTATTAAGTACATACTGCTTGTCAGTCTTGGGTCACATTGCTTAAAGGCTTAAAATACATTTAGTATCAGGCTCTAGGGAATTATGATACGAAATGACATAGTTCAATGTTTACAGATACCTTTGTTATTTTATCACTTAGTATATATACAAGGCAATATTGAACATGTTTGAGTGGCTTATGAATGTTTAAAGATCACTTGGATCATTGATAAATGATTGGATTCTGCCTCACTGTCTTTACTGACAAAATATTCAGAAAAATAATTACCATGTTAGAAAATCATAACTAATGATACATTTTTCTATGCCCTAATATGATAACGGAAAATAGTTCAAGAGAAAAACCACAAGTTAAAACCAGAAAATGCTCAGTGCTTAGACATTTTTCTTTCAGTTCCTTTACTAATCTTGTCCAACAACTTCATTTTATAAATAAACCAAACCTGGTGACCAGTTGTTCAACCTGAAATTTCCTCATATTCTTAATCTTTTAAAAGTAAGAGTTTAAGTGACTTTGACTTTCAAAGAGATTTTTAAAGGCCTGAGGCCCAACCACACCCCAGATTGATTGGATTAGATTCCCCAGAGGTGGAATCTAGGCCATGGAATTTTTTTTTTTTTTTAAGTTCCCAGGTGATTTCTTTTTTTTTTTTTTTTAATTGATCATTCTTGGGTGTTTCTCGCAGAGGGGGATTTGGCAGGGTCACAGGACAATAGTGGAGGGAAGGTCAGCAGATAAACAAGTGAACAAAGGTCTCTGGTTTTCCTAGGCAGAGGACCCTGCGGCCTTCCGCAGTGTTTGTGTCCCTGGGTACTTGAGATTAGGGAGTGGTGATGACTCTTAAGGAGCATGCTGCCTTCAAGCATCTGTTTAACAAAGCACATCTTGCACCGCCCTTAATCCATTCAACCCTGAGTGGATACAGGGCATGTTTCAGATAGCACAGGGTTGGGGGTAAGGTCACAGATCAACAGGATCCCAAGGCAGAAGAATTTTTCTTAGTACAGAACAAAATGAAAAGTCTCCCACGTCTACCTCTCTCTACACAGACACGGCAACCATCCAATCTCTCAATCCTTTCCCCACCTTTCCCCCCTTTCCATTCCACAAAACCGCCATTGTCATCATGGCCCGTTCTCAATGAGCTGTTGGGTACACCTCCCAGACGGGGTGGTGGCCGGGCAGAGGGGCTCCCCACTTCCCAGTAGGGGCGGCCGGGCAGAGGCTCCCCTCACCTCCCGGACCGGGCGGCTGGCCGGACGGGGGGCTGACCCCCCCACCTCCCTCCCGGACGGAGCGGCTGGCCGGGCGGGGGGCTGATCCCCCACCTCCCTCCCGAATGGGGCGGCTGGCCGGGCAGAGGGGCTCCTCACTTCCCAGTAGGGGCGGCCGGGCAGAGGCGCCCCTCACCTCGCGGACGGGGCGGCTGGCCAGGTGGGGGGCTGACCCTCCCACCTCCCTCCCGGACGGGGCGGCTGGCCGGGCGGGGGGCTGACCCCCCCACCTCCCTCCTGGACGGAGCGGCTGGCCGGGCAGAGGGGCTCCTCACTTCCCAGTAGGGGCGGCCGGGCAGAGGCGCCCCTCACCTCCCGGACGGGGCGGCTGGCCGGGCGGGGGGCTGATCCCCCCACCTCCCTCCCGGACTGGGAGGCTGGCCGGGCGGGGGGCTGACCCCCCCACCTCCCTCCCGGACGGGGTGGCTGGCCGGGCGGAGGGCTGACCCCCCCACCTCCCTCCCGGACGGGGTGGCTGGCCGGGCGGGGGGCTGACCCCCCCACCTCCCTCCCGGACGGGGTGGCTGGCCGGGCAGGGGGCTGACCCCCCCACCTCCCTGCCGGACGAGGTGGCTGCTGGGCAGAGACGCTCCTCACTTCCCAGACGGGGTGGCTGCTGGGCGGAGGGGCTCCTCACTTCTCAGACGGGGCGGTTGCCGGGCGGAGGGGCTCCTCACTTCTCAGACGGGGCGGTTGCCAGGCAGAGGGTCTCCTCACTTCTCAGACGGGGTGGCTGGGCAGAGACGCTCCTCACATCCCGGACGGGGCGGCAGGGCAGAGGTGCTCCCCACATCTCAGACGATGGGCGGCCGGGCAGAGACGCTCCTCACTTCCCAGATGGGATGGCGGCTGGGAAGAGGCGCTCCTCACTTCCTAGATGGGATGGCGGCCGGGCAGAGACGCTCCTCACTTTCCAGACTGGGCAGCCAGGCAGAGGGGTTCCTCACATCCCAGATGATGGGCGGCCGGGCAGAGACGCTCCTCACTTCCCAGATGGGGTGGCGGCCGGGCAGAGGCTGCAATCTCGGCACTTTGGGAGGCCAAGGCAGGCTGCTGGGAGGTGAAGGTTGTAGCGAGCCGAGATCACGCCACTGCACTCCAGCCTGGGCACCATTGAGCACGGAGTGAATGAGACTCCGTCTGCAATCCCGGCACCTCAGGATGCCGAGGCTGGCGGATCACTCGCGGTTAGGAGCTGGAGACCAGCCCAGCCAACACAGCGAAACCCCGTCTCCACCAAAAAAATACGAAAACCAGTCAGGCGTGGCGGCGCGCCTGCAATCGCAGGCAGTCGGCAGGCTGAGGCAGGAGAATCAGGCAGCAGTACCGTCCAGCTTCAGCTCGGCATCAGAGGGAGACCGTGGGGAGAGGGAGAGGGAGACCGTGGGGAGAGGGGGAGGGGGAGGGGGAGGGGGAGGGAGAGGGAGAGGGAGAGGGAGAGTTCCCAGGTGATTTCAATGTGTAGAACTGGGGATAGCAACTCTGAGCTCCAAACTCTTATAGCAGTGCCTTTTCACAGTGTTTTTGGGGCTTCTCCTCCACATTTTACTCTTTTTCACAACTGATTCCTTTGAAGAGTAATTATTGTTTCTCTTTAAAGTCAATTTAGTCTATTCACTTTAGGATATTAGTGAAGGTTTAGGTGTGTCATTTCATAATTTTAAAAAATTTTGTTACTCTAATTTGAGTTTTTCTGTTTTCTCTTTTTTGCTATGCTATTCCACCCTATGAATGACAACTTTGACTACTTAGAGCAACCATAACTGTAAAATGTGTATGGAGGAAAGCTATGAGTTAGTAATATTTCATGCAAGCTACAAATTCCACATTAATAATATTATCTTAGGGTCAAGACATATAGAAGTCAATTTTAACATCCTAGTTAATAGCTCCATAGGTTTATAATCTTTCTTATTTCTTTAACAATAAAAGATTATTTAAGTTTAAAGTTTAAAATTATTGGCCAGGAGTGGTGGCTCACGCCTGTAATCCCAGCACTTTGGGAGGCCAAGGCGGGTGGATCACGTGGGGTCAGGAGTTCGAGACCAGCCAGACCAATGTGGTGAAATCCCGTCTCTACTAAAAATACAAAAATTAGCCAGGTGTGGTGGTATGCACCTGTAGTCCTAGCTACTGGAGAGGCTGAGACAGGAGAACTGCTTGAACCTGGGAGGCAGAGGGTGCAGTGAGCCAAGATAGTGCCATAGCACTCCAGCCTGGGCCACAGAGCAACACTCTGTCTCAAAAAAAAAAAAAAAAAAAAAAAAATCTTCAACATTTTCCATGATCTTGAAAAATAGTTTGACATTATGTATGCATTAAATTATAGATTTAGGCTGGTTGCGGTTGCTCATGCCTGTAATCCCAGCACTTTGGGAGGCTGAGGCAGGTGGATCACTTGAGCTTGGGAGTTAGAAACCATCCTGGCCAACATGGTGAAACCCCGTCTCTACTAAAATACAAAAATTAGCCGGGCGTGGTGGCGCACGCCTGTAATCCCAGCTACTGGGGAGGTTGAGGTGGGAGAATCGCTTGAACCCGGGAGGCGGAGGTTGCAGTGAGCCCAGATGGCACCACTGCACTGCAGCCTGGGTGACAGAGTGAGACTCCATCTAAAAAAAAAAAAAAATTATAGATTTAATTGTAATTGTATTCATTTACACTTCCAAAAAGACAATTTGATTCAATAGATTAACTACTAAATCACACCAGAATTATAACAACATGTTATATTATG
Organism: Homo sapiens; assembly: GCF_000001405.40. Taxonomy (NCBI): domain Eukaryota; kingdom Metazoa; phylum Chordata; class Mammalia; order Primates; family Hominidae; genus Homo; species Homo sapiens. The sequence continues at coordinate 192,855,027 of NC_000001.11, read as the reverse complement.
ACACTTTCTACTGGAGATCCCCATTAATCATTAGTTCAGAGCCTCCTTACCCTAAACTGGACTATTAAGAAAAGACAACATTGAACCATAAGCCATTTAGATACAACTTATACCACAATAAGAAACCTAGGTGGTTTGCTTGGGACTTACCTTACCCTCTCCTTAGGTGTTTTTTTTTTTTCCTCTTCCACTTTTTTGATCAGACCTTTCTGATCATTTCACTGTTTCTAGTCAGTCTTCTGTGATTCTCTTCTCTAATGTCCTTGTTTTCTCTTCTCTTTCCTAAGCAAGTTGTTTGCTTAAGGTAACAAGTCACCAGCTTCCATTTGTACCATCTTTTCTATCAATGTTAACCCACCATATAAACATCCTCCCTCCTCAAACAACTACTCTTGCTTTGTAATTTACTCTTCAGTCTCTGTAAACATTTGAGGATAAAAGTGTGCCAGTGGTCTAACAAGATTCTGACTAAAGCAGAGAAGGCCAGGTAGTATCTTGACTAGCTGCTATGGAACTTGGCCTTTCCTTTGAAGGCCCACGACATACTCTAGTTGATGTCCATGTCTAAAAGGGTCTTGAGAGACTAAGTAGCAATAGCTAAAATCCAAACAAAACTTAAGTAGATATCAAAATACCAATTTAATAATTTACTGTAAGAAAACAGCAGGAGAAGGGAGAAGCTAACAACCTTCATAGTCAGCTCATGTTCTTCGTGTAGTTATCTATACAGGAATCATAATTAGAAATTTCCTTTGGTGAGATTAAAGCCAAAATAAAAATAATTTCCATCAATTTATGAAGGGTATCTCTGTCATATAGAATAAGAGGCATCAATCTAGCTTAGGTAATGTAAATGGGTAAATTCAACCCGGAGGGGAATTTGGAAACTGGAGAAGTCAGGCCTCTTTGAGGTTCTCTCAGTCACTCTGATCCAAAGCATTATTGCCCCAGTTTTGCCAGAGCACTGACTTTTCAATAAAAGTCGGAAATCTGAATTTCAAAAAAATCACTGCGTTATGGCTAAATCTGTTTCAAATTTGAGCATTGAAATAAATAATGATAGCAAAATTATAATCCATTGTATTTATATGTATGAATTATGATCAATAGAATGAATTGATACTGATATGTAAGTAAATAAAATCAAAGGAGAGGAGGGAAAGGTTTTCCTTATAGTAGAAAGCTGACAACAAATGACAGTGGAATGGGGGAAATGACCATTTGGCAGCCATGATAATAGTGATTAACTCAGGCAGAAATCACTGATAAATGCTACCATTAATGTGTAAAAGTTTGAGAAATAATAGGATAGTTCCATATTATCAAATTAGCTCCCCATCAAATTTGTATTAATTACAAAGGAGAAAATAGTAATTTTACAGTGGAGAAACCTGGCAGAAAATACCTTAACACAGTGATTAAAGTTGACATCACCAATAATAGGGCAAATCAACATGAGTAGCTCCTGATATGATGCACTAGAAAGATAGGAACATCACTCTGCGATATTCTTCAAAACATGCTTAAAGGTAACCTAATCACAAACATCTGACAAATCCAAATTGTGGGTCATTCATAAAACAAGTGATGTGTATGATTTAAATGTCACTGCCATGAAGGACTGAGGAACAGTTTCAGATAAAAGGAAGCTAAAGAGACATGACAATGGAATCAATGCTTGAGCTGGGATTTGTGTTATTATTATAAAGGACATTAATGGGACATTAGTGAAATCTGAATAAAGTCTGTGGAAAAAAGGTGACAGTATTGAACCAATGTTAATTTTTTGATTTTGATAATTGTGACATGGCTAGATAAGAAATATACTCTGAAGTATTTAGAAGTAAAAGGGCATTACGTCTCAACTTACGATCAAATAGTTAAACAAAATTATACACATATACTGAGAAAGAAAGATGATAAAGCAAATGTAAAATATTAACATTAACATTTGGGTTAAGAGTAAACAGGAATTCTTTGTACTATTCTTGCAGCTTTTCTGTCAGTTGGAAATTTTATCAAAATGTAACTGTGAAAACAGTCACTAGTGTGAATCAATGCTCTCTACAAAGAACTTACACCCAGAAATGGAACTCTTGAAGTCCTTTGGGTCAATCTCTGGAGTTACAGTGTGACAGAATGCATGAGGATCAGGTAGCTGTATTATTCCTTTTCTTTTTGTTCTCTTCCTTAGATATCTTAATATGGTTGTCAATGCCACAGGTTTAAATACTGAGAGATCCCAACCAGAGCTGCACTCTGATTCAAGGACAATTTCAGCTTCCTATTTACAAGTCATTGCCCAGGACAGTGCCTGATATTTTTAGGAACAACTTCCACCTCTCAGAGTTATTTTCAGTTTAATTTTTTTCAGGAGGCAGTCCTGAATTTCAAGTTTTAGGGTATAACTTCCAAATATTGATAATATCTTTACCCTCTCTTCTCCTAGGTGGACTAAATCCATGGCAGCCACAGCCCTAACTAAATTGCTTTATTATTTAAAATTTTGAGTTCCCTATGGGCTAATAATCCTTACTGATTACTGGATTTCTTTGTCCCTGGCCTAGCCTTGGGCATACACAGGACTTCCCCTTCAATAGCATTTATTATAGTCATGTTAGTAATTACATATTACCTGAAAGCAAATGCTTTCAGTGAACACGTTAATGTACCATTCAGCAAGTGCCCTTGAATTATAACAAGGATTTCCATTTTAATAAGGCTTGACTAAAGTGCAGCAGTCTCTGCAAATTATCTAAAGTGGTACAGTACCTGCACTAGAAATTCAGTCATGCCTATGTTAGGGATCAACAGAGGCAAGCTTATTTCCACCCTCATTTCTCTTCCTTAAAAGGAAATAATTACTGGATAATCCACTTTAATAGCAGAGGAAGCAGCAAATTGATTTTTTGACAGGATTACTGAGGAGAATGATGAGGAGTGGGTGGAATTGACTGAGCAAAATGAGAGATGAATGATAATGGCCAAGGATAAGCCAGGATCCTGATAGTGAATGTTGGGCATAAGCTAAAATAACCAAAATACTGTTTTTGAAGTTGTCTGGAGGGAGGAAAACCACATGTAGATGGATTTTCAAACAATTAAATTTAAGACTTTTCTGTGATCGTCATAGAAACCATTCTGTAAAACAAAATGTGGCATATGTCAAATACTACCATGTGGAATATGGGATTTTAGCCTGAAGATTCGGATGGGAAGAATGCTACTTCTTGACAGAGAAAGATTAGAAAATATAGGTGGCAAAGAGAAGGAAAGAGAGTAGGCGGAAGAGAAAGGCTTTGATCTTGCTTTAGTAAAGACTGGGAGGACCAGTCAGGAATAAGGTGGAGAAATAAGAGGGGAAGTTAGGTGGAGGGAGGCTGGAAAGGAGAAAAGCGTTGTAACAACTGGCATTTCAGATAAATGGTTCTCTGAAACCGTTTCTAAATTTGACAGGAGCAACATTCACTGACAGCTTAAAGTCCAGTAAGGGTAAATATTTCAAATATTTCAACCAAGTGGGACAGGTTCTTCTCCCACAAATGGTGGGGAAGGAATCTGCCTGCTTGCCCTTTTTCTCAGAATAAAGAAAGCTATCTTCTTTCTGTTCTTTCCTGAAGTATCTGAGCAGTGACCCTGTTGAGAGGGAGGAACAAGCAGAAATGTCTCTAGCCAGGCTGAGGCAGAGTTATGGCCATTTTTGCTCTCAGAAAATAATGAGTTTCTGCAGAGACTGCTCAGCAGCTGAGAACAGTTGTGTTTTGTTTTGTTTGAGATGGAGTCTCATTCTGTCATCCAGGCTGGAGTGCAGTGGCGTGATCTTGGCTCATTGCAACCACCTCTTCCCAGGTTCAAGCGATTCTCCTGCCTCAGCCTCCTGAGTAGCTGAGATTACAGGCAGGCGCCACCACGCCCTGCTAATTTTCGCATTTTTACTAGATATGGGGTTTCGCCATGTTGGCCAGGCTGAGAAAATTGTTTTTAAGGCTGTTTTGTCAATTCAGTGGCCATGATGCTTTGTTGTAGAGAGACCTGGCTTCAGACTCTGGCTTTGTTTTTATCAGCAAATTTCTTTGTCTTCCTTCCCATTATCAAATTTACAAACCAATGCACATGTGCACCTGTTTTCTACTTCTTTGCCTTACAATACAGAGGCAGTGTTCCTCTTGTGTTAATGGCTATTCTCTGCATTTGAGTTACAGACCCTATTTTCTCTCGCTTTCTCTAGGAATGCACAGTGTTCTTTCAATATTTTCTACGACAGACACTGCTCCTCTCTACTGGGTCTTTTCTATTAGCATGAAGACAGGCCTTAATATCTCCTATGTTGAAAAAGACCTCACTTGCAAACACGTCTCTCCTCGTTTCTCAGCTCCCTTTCATAATCACATCCTTCCTCTCCCCACCTCTCATGTACTCTTCCACCCCCTCCAATCCATATTCTACTATTACTTTTGACAGGATTGCTGAGGAGAATGATGAGGAGTGGGTGGAACTGAAAGGGCAAAATGAGAGATGAGTGATAATGGCCAAGGATTAGCCAGTATCCTGATAGTGAATGTTGGGCATAAGCTAAAATAACCAAAATACTGTTTTTGAAATTATCTGGAGGGAGGAAAACCATATTTAGAAGAATTTTCTCCAATCCATATTCTACTATTACTTCCTAAAGAACTTTTTCGTGTTTGTTAGTGAGTTCTATGTAGCCAAATCCAATAGATGCTCTCTGTCTTTTTTCTCTAAATTCTTGTCAGCATTTGCATCTAGTTGGAATTTTTCTGTACTTGACACATTTTGCAATTCCTTTCCTTCTCTCTCTCTCTTTCTTTCCTTTTTTTTGTTAACATGATTTTTGCCTCTCTATACAATGCAAATGGAAAGGATGACCTTGTGTAGAAGGCAGGGAATGTGCAAGTAACAGAGTGGAACCACATAGCCAGAGTTTGAATCATCGATGTGTTCCCCTTGGTGTTTTTAACTTTTCTTTCTTTCTCTTTTTTTGTTTTTTCTGAGATGAAGTTTCACTCTTGTTGTCCAGGCTGGAGTGCAATGGCACGATCTTGGGTTACTGCAACCTCCGCCTCCCAGGTTCAAGCAATTCTCCTGCCTCAGCCACCCAAGTAGCTGGGATTATAGGCATGCACAACCATGCCCAGCTAATTTTTTGTATTTTTAGTAGAGACAGGGTTTCACCATGTTGGCCAGGCTGGTCTTGAACTCCTGACCTCAGGTGATCCACCCACCTCAGCCTCTCAAAGTGCTGAGATTACAAGTGTGAGCCACCGCGCCCAGCTATTTAACTTTTCTAAACCTCAGTTTTCTAATCTTTAAAACGATAAAACAAACCTCCTAGAGTTGGTGTGAGAAGTATATGAGACTATAAATACAGAGTTATTTGGACTATAAATACAGAGTTATTTGTATAAGGTTTGGTACATAATGAACATTCCACAACTCTTACCTAATAATTTTGCTGTTCACTTTTTATTCCCCAACAGCCAATCCAATGCTTGGAACCCAGTAGGCTCTTATTAATTATTTGTTCAATGATTAAATAAAGGAATAAGTTGTAGACTCAATTTAATTCATACAGTTGTTTTGAGGACAAGTCAAAGCATATATAAAGTGATTAAGACAGTGCCTGGTACACTGGGAGTGCTCAATAAAACCATATTATCATTAGTACTCAGAAAGGCTGCTGATCCAATCAATTAATATGATTAAGAACTATTCTCAGGGCTCTTATTTAAAGCAATCATCATTTTAAATTGTCCACGGGGCCCCAACCCCTCATAATAAAGGACATAAGCTCCTGCAATTGTCTGCCTTTTTTTCATTTTCCTTCCTCTCACTTTCCTGGATCCCCACCAAGAAATAAATTGGCTGAAACAATTTTTATTTTATTTTAGCAATCCTTGCCTTGAATCCTATCTCTCTCCAATTACCATCACATTTCTCTTCTTTTTATTACAATAAAACTATTTAAAGGAGTTGTCCATAATCTCTGTCTCTGGTTTTTCCTCTCTAATTCTCCCTTAAGCTATTCCAATCATACTAGCTTCATATCTCTCCACAGAAACTTCCTTTGTCAAGGTGGTAAATGACTTTACACAATTGTCAAATCAAATGTTAAATTCTGGATCCTTAATGTACCTGACAGATCAGCAGCATTGACAGTTACTTCCTCTTTTTTTTTTTTTTTTTTTGGTAAGTTTTTTACTTGGTTTTCAGGACACTGTTCCATTCATTCCTGATTATTCTTGTGCGTAACTTCTGCCTACTTTTTCTTAGTTTCGCCTTTGCTGGTTCCTCCTCATGTTTCCAACTTCTAAATTTTGTCTCAGTATTAGACTCTCACCTTCTTTATTTTAGTTTCTACATAACTTCAACCAATGCCGTAGCTTTAAATATCCTCTAAAAGCTGACGATTCCCAAGTTTATACTTTCACCTTCAACCTCTCTGCAACTCCATACATACAACTGGCTACTTGGTTTTTTCATTTGGGTATCTATTAGGCATCTCAAATGTAACATGTTCAAATCCATAGTCTTGATCCCAGCTTCCTCTTGCTCCCCCAGTTTTACCTCCTCCCCAGTTTTCCCATCTTGGTATGATGACTCCATCGTTTTTCAGTTGCTTGAACCAAAAACCTTATGCTCATCTTTGATTATTCTATGTGCCTTAGGCCATAAACAAATCTTTCAGGTCTATCTGGAAAAATAGATCATGAATACAACTACTTCTTATCACCTCAAGGGCACTTTCCTTTCTCTGAGCCAGGATCACCTCTGAATGTGATTACTGCAGTAGCTGTCTCTTTAGTCTCCCGGCTTCCCCTTCCTATCTTCCATACAGCTACCAGAATAATCCTTTTAAAATGCCACCTCATTACTCTCCTCAAAACCATCAAATCAGTTTCCATTGAGAGCAAAAGCTAAATAACTTACAAGGCCTGAATGTTCTATAGAATCTTTCTGCCCTTCTCTGGCCCCAGCACCTTTATGAACCTATTCTCCCACCCCTTTCCCTTGCTTGACTCCAATCACAACAGCCAGCTTCCTATATATATAGAACAGTCTAAGGGTAGCCCTGCTCCAGGGGTTTGGCATTGTTGTTCCCTGCCTGGATCTTTTTTTCGCCAGATATATTTACATGGCTCATTCCTCACCTTCTTCAAGTCTCCAGTGTCTCCTTTCTGAGAGGCCTTCTTTAACCATCCAGTATGAAATTGTACTCCCCCCATCACCATCATTATCATCCTTAACCTGTTTATTTTTCTTCATTTTACCCATCACCCACTGACACATGATATATTTGTTTACGGTCACTAGTAAATTCCATGAGAATAGGGACTGTATTCTATTCACCTCTTTACTCCTTGACCCTAGAATGGTAGGCATTAAAAATATTTGCCAAATCAGTAAATGGATTAGTAAATATTTTGATGTTCTACTGACTTCTAAGTTTTTCTACTTAGGTTAAGCTTTTGCTTATTAACAGTAACCTGATAGAAATGACAAATGCTCCCTTTGGTAGAGTGATTTGTATTATAGATAGAAAAATGTTGAATTTTTTGATGTCTCTCAAATTCCCCTAAGTAGGTGACTGTTCCTTTCTTCTATGCATATAACTAGCTCTACCTACTTCCAAAATCCAACTTTATTTATGGTAGATTTTGTTTCAACTTTAAATCACTCTACACATTGCAATGCATTTATATTATTATGGGATGACTCATTACAGGACTTTAAATATTCCCAGGCCCTCCTTTCTCGGCTCCTCCCTGTCACCTACTAATTGACTATTTAAAATGGGCATGGGGAAGAAAATCTTGTTTGAAGGCAGGACTTACTGTGATTCAGAGGTGATAAATGTGCCTTTTGGCTTTTTGTTCTCCCAGAGACACAGTGTAGCTTGTTTAATCTCCTGCTTCGTCAGTGACCAAGTGCAATCTGGTTTCCATTTGAAGCTAGTTGTGCTTCTGATGTGATGATTAGCATATCCATTGAGGGGTCACAGCATCCTCCTAGGAACAGAACAACACTATAAAATATAAAACCTCCCTAGTGACTTTCATTCCAAAGCCGGGCCTATATATGAAAGTTATTTGTACAATTGTGATGATGATCAACAACGATAAAACCAACTTAAATTTCAAACATTTCTTCCTTTTTCTTTATTTTTCCTTTTTATGAACCAGCTGTCTGGACATGAAGTGCCATGTTTGCCCTCAGTTTTTCATGTATATTGCATATTAGATTAAGCCTAAACTCCCACCAAAACCTTATTTAAAAGTTTCAGTATTTTGTGATGTATCAATAATAATAATTTAAAATTTAAAACATGTCTTCCACAGGAAACTTGAAAGTGTTTTTGCTTCTCTTCTTCCAGGAAAATCTTATAATTGAGAGCTAGTGAATACATGCCCTAACACTTTCTAAATGTGTTAGAAATGTTTGGTAGCAACTTAGATGCTACTGCTGATAATAATTACAAACATCATAATTACGACATTTATTTAGTACAACTTGTGTCCACATAGTCATGTGGTGAGCTAATTAGTATGTGAGCATCTTTGTGAATGCCAACTTAACTACCAGATTGCCTTTAAAAATTGGCCAGTTGCGGTGGCTCATGCCTGTAATCCCAGAACTTTGGGAGGCCAAGGTGGGAGGATCACCTGAGGTCAGGAGTTCAAGACCAGCCTGGCCAACATAGTGAAACCCCATCTCTACTAAAAATATAAAAACTAGCCAGGTGTGGTGGTGTGCACCTGTAATCCAGCTACTCAGGAGGCTGAGGAGGAGAATCATTTGAACCCGGGAGACAGAGGCTGCAGTGAGCCAAGATCGCGCCACTGCACTCCGCCACTGCACTCCAGCCTGGGCAACAGAGCAAGACTCCGTCTCAAAATAATAAATAAATAAATAAATAAATCCATAAGAGGTGATACTTCTAATAAAACAAATATAGAGTAGGGTTAACTTTCCTATTCATAAGAGGTCTCTTTACCATCAGCCTTTCCCCCATCTTGATCATCTAGTGTAGGTAGATAAATCTTCTTAAGACATTGTTTACTCATGCTGTGTCACTATTAAAAGCCTTTAATTGTTTTGCATTTCCAATAGATGCTAACTCAATTTTACACACACACACACACACACTGGGTGCCTACTCACTATTTTCTTATAAGAAAAGGCAGTAGGCTAAGCTAGCAGGAAACTACAAGAATAAAAAAGATACAGCTCCTGTCCTCAAATACAGTTTTACAAGGTTGGATAAGGGCAGAATTTGACATCTTTACACTCAATGCCTTTTAAAATCTTACCCTAACCTACTTTTCTAACTTTATCTTCCACTGAATCTTAAATAAATTCTCCACTTAAGACTAAATGTCTACTTATTCTCCCCAATTTGTGCATCCTTGATTCTTACCCAGTTCATATTTTTTCTAACCTATTTTCTCACTTTTTTTCCTGTAATTCCTGCTCAAATTATACCTTGTTCCCTCATCCTAGTCTACACGGATTTCCCCCTTTACTTCGACATCATACACTGCTTTGCTAGTGAAGTTTTTATGCATGTATCTTATCTTCCCAAGTTGACTGTGACCTTCCTAAGGACAGAACTGTGTCTCGTTTATTTTTATATGCCTCACACTGATCCCAGACCATGCTACCTTTGAGGGATTACTTTTCAGATGGTTTGCTCATCACTAACCACATTGTAAAGTGGTACCTTCTGGACCGAACTTCATGATGCAGATAATCTACTCTACAGGCTGAAGACTTTTATTATCCTTACACTTCTCCAATTTCTGGTATATATATAACATATTCTAAAAGTGGTTTGTTCATATTTATTGGTAATATTTACTTTTTACAAAAAGTAAACTTAAGGCTTTTAAAAGCTAATTACTTGGTTTGTATCCTTGCTTCTTAACAGCTATTAGGGCATGTGAATTGTGGCATTTATTATTAAAAAAATGAGCCAGCATTTATAATTTCTGGTAGTGACTGATAATAAGGGGACAAGTTAAAATATGCAACTCTAACAATAAATAAAAATAGTTGGAAAGAAGTTGGGGGATGAGAGAAATTCTTGTCAGTGTGAAGCTTTGTCAGTGTTAAAAGTTGACCACTTTTTTTGATATTCAATAGTTTATGATTTTTTTTCTCTAGCTACACTTTTATCACATTAAAAGAAACCCCTACTTTGCTCTTTAATTCCGCAGGAAAATTTGTTTGAAAATCTTTCAGATGTCAAGATTTGATATAGAAATACATTAATTGCTGTTGTTTCAATTGGGCATTGTGTTACAATAGAAGTTATTCTGTTTTAAAGAGTTGAGTCTGATCCTCCTCTAAACTATGCATTATTGGCAAATGAAACAAAATAAATAAAATTAATCTTTGAGGAGCTGCAGTAAAACAAAATCCTTCTAATATAAATAACACTAGAACAGAATGTGCCTGTTAAAACAATAACAACAAGAACAGCCAGACGCCTGCAATTCCAGCACTTTGGGAGGCTGAGGCAGGAGAACTGCATGAGTCCAGTAGTTTGAGACCAGTCTGGGCAACATAGTGAGACTCCATCTCTACAACAAATGAAAAATTAGCCAGGCATGGTGGTGCACACCTGTAGTCCCAGTTACTCAGGAGGCTGAGGCAGGAGGATTGCTTTAGCCCAGGAGGTCGAGGCTGCAATAAGTCGTGATTGCACCACTGCACTCCAGCCTGGGTAACAGAGTGAGACCCTGTCTCAAAAAATAAATGAATAAAATATCAACAACAACAGAACTGAACTGACCACAGTCATTCACAGCCAACCGAAAAATTCCTTTTCATGTTTCAGCAGGATTCCTACTCTATTGTATAAGGTGTTTAACAATAGAAGCAATGAAATCATATGGAAATTCTTACTGTTACTCAAGACACTTCCTATAACAGTATTAGCTGGCCAACATATAGATTTACAATTTACATACTGTTTTCTTGAATTTATTTGATCAAAAGAGGAATCGGTGACATAAGGAGATGGAAAAATATGAGCTGATTTTATAAAAAATAATTTTTAGGTTGTAATTATTCATTTAGTTGTCATGGTAAAATATTTTGTAGTAGTCCTAATTATGTCTTCACAAATACCTTATTTCCTCAACTAGATCATAAACTCATTGAAAGCTTTCCACAAATTTTATTTTTTTGCATTTATCTTATGTATAGAAAAGAAATTTTTATGTGTTCTGTGCTTAATAAATGTGTTTTGCATTTTTATTAAGAAAGGAGATGTGGGGCTTAAAGTATGATTTATGTACTACTTGGATTAGCAATTTACAGAAAATAAGAACATAGTAAAATATACTCTAAGTCTATTTTTAGCATATTTCAATAGATACCTCAGAGCCTAATCTAGATGCTAGAGAACGATGTTATTTTATTTTGTAAATGCACATGTACTAGCTAATAAAAGGCTCAAATTAACAGCACAGTAAATTAGATTGATTTTATCATGTACATAAACTGATGACTAATATATAAGCTTTTGTTATATAGGCAAATTTATCACAGTACAAGAAGTAAATCACAGGAGAATTAAATTAGGCAAATGAGTAGAAAACAAGTTAAAAAAAGTATATTAATAAAATGATCTGTGAGAGTTTTTTGGTAAAAATACCAGGGTGACTTAAAATTTAACAACTTCTAGAAACTTTTCCCTTTTATACTTTTTAAAAAAGGCAATATAGCACTAAACAGAGAGTGAGAGAAAATGTTTTATTTCCAAAAAAACTTTTTTAAAAAGTCCAATTTCTTGGCTATTTCTTTTTTAAAGCAAATGTAAATTATGAGGAACAAGAAGCTTTGAATAATGAGTCTTTGATATTGCATTACTGTACATTTAATAATTTAACACTGATAAGCTATTTAGAAGGCAACAACTTTATTTACAACTTTATTTTCTTAATGGCTATGATTTATATTACCCTTTCCTTTTGAATTTGCTGAAAGTTTATAATAACCATTGTGTGAATGTGTATAAAATTATAGACTCAAAATTTTTTAGAAACCTCCTTAAAAACCTCTTGGCAAATCTATTTCCCACCATAGCAATTCACAGCAACATGGCTTAACATAGCCCCTTAGCTATTGCACATACATTTGGAGCATCAAGCTTAGTGTTTTATAGACGATTCTTAATTTGGCAGTAAATGTCCCACATTCTATGCAATCCCACAATTGGTCTGTATTCTGCCCTGTAAAATCTGTTTTGCCCTTTGAATCAACCTCCCTCCCCACTCGCTTTTGTTCTGTTAAAATTTCTAGTTTCCCCCCAACAAAAACTCACATAGTTTTTTTTGGCTGTCAACCATCATTCTAGTAGATTTGTTTTATACTCCTTCAGTTTCTCAGGAGTGTCCTTCTTAAAGTTTTTGACTCCTGGAACTGAACACACTTCTGGGGGTGATATAAGCAACATGTTGATCTCATACCTTTCTTATTCTGAACATGAATTTTCTGGTAACACAGCCAACAGGACATTTGTTTTTAGCATCTACCTAACACTAATGCTTACATTAATCTTAATTAAATCACAGATCCATATCTCATTAACTATTAACCTGGTTCTTATGCAACCTGAGCTTGTGAAGTGCATATTTTGAAACTCAATTGCACAGTTTTACAAATACATTTTTTTGGATTTCATGTTGCCAGGATTGTTCTTAAGTCTTCTACATTTAGTCTTAGCATCTCTTCTTTCCGGTGCATCCTTACGGACTGCTGCCAGACTTGATATTTCCATTCTGTTTATGTAAGTCCTCTGCCCAAAAAACAAGGTAAGTCAAACATTTTGGCCTGGCATTCAAAATCCTGTGTAATAAGGCACTTTAGTAGCTCCAAAGTGCTTATGGAGAAAGCATGGCAGTGTGGACAGAGCATCTGTCAAATAGGCAGCAGGTCTAGTTTCTAGTCCGACTCTGATACTTGTTGTTTGCTAACTTAGAAAGTCACTCAGACTCAATTTCCTTAACTGTATTAAAATGAGAACAAAAGCAACCCATCTACCTACTTCAAAGTTTTGTGCATGTTAGGAAAGATAATGCATGTGGAAATGAAGGCCTATAAAACTGCAAGTTGCTGATAATACAGAGAATGCCAAGCCCCTATCATGCTGTTGAAAGTCTTTTATGTTCTCATCCTGACCTACTTTCCAATCTTGTTTTCTGCTTCTTGCTGCTGCATCCTTACCTGAACATTTAAATGCTTTTTATTTCTCACTAGTCCCTAAACACTTTCATATATTGATGCTTCTATGTGTTTGCTAAAACTGCCTGGAATATTTGCCCTAAACTTACTAGCTCTTTTTCTCTCTCCCTTACTTCCACTGGGAGAACTCCTACCCCTAATTCAAGGCCAAACTCAAATGCCATCTCTTTCTTAAAGACTTGATTTCCTTAGTCAGAATTAATATCTTCCTTCCTAATATTCCTATAGAAGTCAATCTATAACCTCAATATTTTATTTTCGTATCCTATCCTATATTCCAGGCAATTTTATTCCCATTCATTTGCCCAACATGAGGGGCAGTTGCATGTCTTACATACTCTATATTTTCGCAGTACTCAGAATTGTGCTTTCTTGTTATTGCCATTTTTATAAGATTGAGGTGTAGGCAAGGCAGAGAGGTCAAGTCATTTGCTAAACTTAAGTTATCTTAAAAAGAAGCAAGAAGATGCTTGTCTGTCTGATTTCAAATCTTGGGCTTTTTCTACAGTGCCTTACAGGCTTCTCCACCTCCATCTTGAGGACTCTCAGTAAATGTTTGCTAATATGAATTAACACTCAACTTATTTTTTTCCTGAGCCTCATCTTCCTCCTTTAGTGATCCTTTTAGGGAATTGTATATCTTTGCTCTGGAATTTTGAAATATACTTTCATGTCATCTGGAGAGCATCGTTTACTGTATCCATGTTGACCATCTTTTGCTTTTAAGGTTAAAGTGGTATTGTTTTTCTCTCTTAGGATTTTTATAATTTTCACATCCCCAGTGAGATAGTTCTTGCTGATCAGAATAAATCTAGATTATCAACTACTCAATGTTTCCTATAACTTCTTATTTTATTTATTTATTTAATTAATTAATTTATTTTATTATACTTTAAGTTCTAGGGCACATGTGCACAACGTGCAGGTTTATTACATATGTATACATGTGCCATGTTGGTGTGCTTGCACCCATTAACTAGTCATTTACATTAGGTGTATATCCTAATGCTATCCCTCCCCCACTCCCTTAACTTCTAAAGTATGACATTCAGTATCACATGTTCTGTTCTGATGAAAATCATGTTAAAAGTCTGCTGGTACTGAAGCAATGCCCAGTGCATGCTTGGAACACATCCCTGGGAGCTCTCCTTCACTCTGCTTGCTTGCTTACCTTGGACTGATTTTCCTGGATTGAACCTTTTCCAAATTATCCCTGCTTCTGATGTCTTACCAGTTCCATGCCATGAGGTAGCCAGATGCAGAATTTAGTTCAGCTCAGGTCTTGGGGTATTTATAACCCTATGCTTTTTACAACTAATCCATAGTTTTGAATCTGTGCCTGATAGACATATAATGAATTCTAGGGGTCTTTGACTTAATAGTAGTGCCCCAAATTGATATTTATTGAATGCTTATTCTGTGTCAGGCACTGGGTTAAGGTCTTACATATATTGTCTCTTTTCAGGTCAGAGTGCTGAAAGTATTCCCTCCTCAACAGGTGAGAAAGCGAGGCTTATAAAGGTTAATTGACTTGCTTAAGGAGTGATAGGGCTTGATTCTAAGCCTGTCTTGTGCCAAAACCCATAGCCTTGGGCAGGACCTCATCGTTTCTGTCTTTTCCCACCTGACAGCTAATCATGAACTGGCACTTATACCTATGCTACTGAAAATCATTTATTGTTTACATTCAATTTATATGTACCTGTATATTTGAATTGTACATAGGTGGTGTAAACCAAAAGTAAATTTCTAAGCCCCCCAACGGACTGAATGGACCCCTCTCTTGGCCAAGGGGATTCCAGGATTCCAAAAAAAAAACCTGAAAAGGGACCCAGGAGGTAGAGGTTGCAGTGCGCTGAGGTCGCACCACTGCACTCCAGCCTGGGCTACAGAGCGAGACTCCGTCTCAAACAAAACAAAACAAAACAAAACACCTGAAAAACTAGTTCGAGTCATGAGAGTAAAAGGGAGGAGATAGGTCTTGCCTCATTATACCCTCTCCCTGTTGTAGTTTAGACACAACTGACTAGCGTTAACATTAAAATAGAGATCCCAAGACTGACAGAACCGACTCTTTACAGCAATAAGATAGCAAATCCAACCTGACTCTAGTATCACATGACGTAACAGGCCCTAAAGGACATCAAAGTATTTTAACACAAAATATATGTCTTTGGCATATTTTGGAGTGGGCTTGCAAAGCTGTCTTTTATGAGAAAAATTTACATCCTGTAGAGAATCCTCTTTCCTTACTAGGATTTTCCCTGATCCAGGAGAGATTTAACTAAGAGTCTGACATGTTTTAAGGTCTGATAACCTATACTTACCATCTGTTCTCTCTGAAGCCTTCTACCTGGAGGCTTCATTTACATAACAAGAACCTTGGCTTCCACAAACCCCCATATCTTAACCTCAAGCATTTCTTTCTGCTGACTTCAGCAATTTAGGAAAGGCTTAACTCTTTTAATCCATTGCCTATCAGAAAATCTTTGAATCTACTTATGACCTGGAATCCTCTCTCTCTTCCCCCTTTTGAGATGTCCCACCTTTCTGGGCCAAACAGATATATACCACCTTAGGGGTATTAATTTATGTCTTTACCTGTAACTTCTGTCTCCCTAAAATGTATAAAATCAACCTGAAACCCGACCACCTTGGGTACATATTCCTAGGACCTCTTCAGGCTGTGTCACAGGTTGTGGTCCTCACAGATACCTCAGAATAAACCTCTTCAAATATTTTACAGAGTTTGCCTTTTTCTAATCAACAGTGACTTTTGTATTTTTCTCATAACAATAAGTATTATACTAATAATATGCAAATTATTCAATAAACAATAAAAATACTTGCAGTTATTTTTTAACCCTGGACTTTAATATTCATAAAAAGCATTGGTATACAGCATGAGTTTTATAATAATAATAGATAACACATAAAGAGTGTTTTCTAGATGGTAGATATTGTTTAAAGTGCTTTTCATGTATTATTTCATTTATCTTCTCAACCCAGCAAAACATGGTTATTATTCTTTTGTTTTTAAGTTAAGGAAACAGAGGTGCAGAGATAGGTGTCTTTTGCCCTAGAGCCTAGCTATCCATGAACCAGCGGCATCCGTATCACCTGGGAACTTGTTAGAAACGCAGATTCTCAAGCCGCACCCTACACCCCACACCCACAAAATCAGAATATGCAAATAACAATATTCTTAGGTATTCATACGCACATTAAAGTTAGAGATACACTAACCTAAATCACACAGCTATGAGACTTTGAAACCAGAATTCTCAAACACTACAGGAGGTTGTCTTAATCTCAGAATGAAAAAATATTTCTGAATGAGAGATATTTTATATGCCAATGGATTATGTGAAACGTAAGTAGGATTTTGCTTTTATAAATTATACTTAATGAAAATATTTCTCATAAATTACTTTTGTATTTGGTGACTTACCATAATCTAACTTTATTATTCTACTCTCCTCCTTCCCTTTTTAAATTCATTCTTTAAACATTCACTCATTTATTCCATAGGCATTTGTAGAGTGCCTAATATTGTCAAGCATTTTTTTTAGATGTGGGGAAACAAAGAAGAATTATATACAATTCCTGATCTTAAGACATTTAGTGGCATTGGAAGACGGACAATTACAAGTTTAAATGACTGACGTCGTAAAGTTACATACACAGTGCACAGGCAAGATAGCAGAAAAGATGTCTTAGTTGAGGTTCTACTGAAGCAGACCCTGAGATTCAAATGCAAGTAGTGCTTTTGGTAAGTAAAGGAAATGCCAATAGGAGGGTAGTTAAGGAAGATGGGAAAGGGAGAGTGGACAATGCAGGACATTATCAAGCCAGCTACTATGGATGACTAGAATCAAACCCCACTGGAGGGCTTGGGGGAGTCTGTATAAAAAACAAGCCCCAGACTTGTTTTCTATCCAACGGGTATATTTATACCTGAACTTCCATTAGTCGTAGGTTGAAGTTGCTCCCGGGAGTATTCCTTTGGACCAATTTGGGCTTGCTCCACAGGCAAACGACATGTGTCCTTGGGCAAAGAAATGCAGATACCAGGCCGGGCGCGGTGGCTCACGCCTGTAATCCCAGCACTTTGGGAGGCCAAGGCGGGTGGATCACGAGGTCAGGAGATCGAGACCATCCTGGCTAACACGGTGAAACCCCGTCTCTACTAAAAATACAAAAAATTAGCCGGGCGTGGTAGCGGGCGCCTGTAGTCCCAGCTACTCGGGAGGCTGAGGCAGGAGAATGGCGTGAACCCAAGAGGCAGAGGTTGCAGTGAGCTGAGATTGCACCACTGCACTCCAGCCTGTGTGACAGAGTGAGACTCTGTCTCAAAAAAAAAAAAGAAAAGTCCTCTACAATCTTACAGTCTAAAAGGAGTTGAGACATTTAGGATGAAAAATTTGGGCCCTACATTATCCATTCTTCCTCTTAACTACCATATAAAAACGTGCTAGATATTGACACCTGCAGCCAGTTCCAAGGATTGTCAGAGCCACACATTCCTAATCACCTCAGATTGGGAATGGCCTCAGGGTACACCCAATGGTCCAGACCAAATAATAGAATTTTATAAGTGTGCCATGATGTGAAAAATGTTGGGAAACATTTTTGTAATGTATGCTTAAAGTCAACATCATTCATTCATTAACAAATACTTATTGAAGTCTGCCTCTATTCTTTTTTTTTTTTTGAGATGGAGCCTTGCTCTGTCACCCAGACTGGAGTGCAGTGGCACGATCTTGGCTCACTGCAACCTCTGCCTCCTGGGTTCAAGCAATTCTCCTGTCTCAGCATCCCAAATAGCTGGGACTACAGGCGTAGGCCACCATGCCCAGCTAATTTTTGAGACTCCGTCTCAAAAAAAAAAAAAAAATGGTGTCCTCTCAGGGAACACGCATGGAAATAACTGTGATGATGCAGTAAGATGTGCTAACTGGCCTTGGGCAAAGTGTTTCTGGAGCAAAAAAGATGCTCAGAGGGTTTTGGCCAAGTGCTGAGGAAGAAATCTTTCTCTTGCTTCTTTCTTTGAAGTCCTGGATTTGATATTTTGTTCCTTTTTATATACATTTTCAATTTTAGAAGAAAATTTATGCTATAAATGTTTCATGTGACAAATATCATGCAAAACATGTTGTAAGGAGTAGAAAACTGCATGGTCTTCTTAGCCATCCCTTCTCTGGGAACTGCCCCATGGTCCATCCCACCATACATACGTCACAAAAGTGAACTTTTTGGAGTCATTCTGTAAAATATAACTCTACCTCATGATGAGGGACAATCACCAGATCCAAATTCAATTCGAATCTCTTTCATAGAATTCTACTACTAAGACCCACAGAATGAGATTCATTTTCTCTGAGAACTGGACATTTGTCTAATCAGGAGCCTTAGAAGTCTTACACTGCCATGTGGATTTAAGGATAAAGGAGACCAATTCAAACACAGAAGAGACCGTATACCAATGGAGAAGGAGAAACAAAGGATGGAGAGAAAGTTTCGGTGACCTTTGTACCCCTGGTTCCAGATCCTTCTGGTAGCATTCATACTCTTAAGCCTAAGTGATTTTTGGGAAGCCTTATAATAAAGTGCCATTTTCTGCTTAGGCTAATTAGAAATGGTTTCTGCAATTAAAAAAAATATCCTAAATAACTTGCAATGGGCATCTGTTGCTTACTCCTCAGAATTCTCCCTTGACTTCCACCCGCCTGCCTTCCCCTCTTCTACCAGCATCCAGCTATTTCTTTTGGGAAACTTCTTTAACATTCTTACCCATTTTAGGCCTGACTTCACCTTCAGGACCAGGGAGGGTCCTCATTGCCCATCTTCAAAGCCCCTTACTCTTTACTTATAGTAATTGGTTTAAGAGTGGGCCTGTGACTGTCTCCCTCCCTTTCTTCTTAACTGGATGAGGTAAGATGTCAAGTAAGAGATTTTGGAAAAATACTCCCGTTCTCTTTTGAAAGAGTGACTAGGAGAAACTTTCTCATTTCTTACAGAAAATGTGGCATGAGGACGTTAGGTCTGGAACTCCTGCAGGTCTTTCTTTTGGAAAGGAAGCTAGAAAGAGGACAAAGCTGACTCAGAAGGAGGGCGGAGCTGAGAGCACATGGAGAAACAGACATGGTGGACTTCTGGAAGTCAACATTGTTTCTGTACATCTATTTTTTCCTTTATTTCTTTTTGTTTGTTTGTTTAAGAAATTTGAATCAGATTTACTCTTATTTCTAATCAAAAGCATCATAACCAACATAATTTTTTTTTTTCTAACATCTTGGGGCCTAAAATCCCTCTGGCTTATGGACTCTGGGTTTATAAATTTAATCACCTCTGGGCTGCTCTTTGTGAAATGTTGGTCTTCTAGTGTTGCTCTTACTTACACAGCACAGTGAGACTCCATTTGACAGGTCACGATTACAAATGAGGAACAGAATGTTAGAGATGAGGGGAGAGAATGAGATGTGCTCTTTTGATCAGGGATATCCTAATACAGTGTTCTGTACTCAGGAATTGGAGTGACCTTAGAAACGTTAGTTTTTAGGACACTATTTTTTTGTGAATACTTTTGACTAATATTTTTAGATTTTTAGGCTTTCATTAAGGATTGGAAAGCTTCTGGCGAGGCGTGTTGTAAACTTCCCTCTCCTGAAGCAGGCCACGTCTCCATACATTGTTAAATGATAGTCTTTAACTTAGACAAGTATTTGTTGTAAAAAGGAGTGATAAAATTTTCTGACAACTTAAGATCAAACTGTCCCTCTGGAAGTACAGATATTCTATAATTGAGCTTGTCTTCCTAGCTAGCCAGTTGCATCTGAGAAAATATGAGAGTGAATTATGTGTTTCTTTGTTAGCACCAAGCATTGCATTTTTATTTTTCTGCTGGAGGAGTCAGAATTCTCATATTTCCTGTAAATGTAGACAAGTTAAAATTCTCCTCCCTTTCATTCCTCCTTTTCCTTCTTCTCTTTCTCCTTTTTCCTCTTTCTGCCTTTCTCATTATAATGAACTCAAAGAATATTTTTACTGGAGACATCAATCTCTCTTTAAACTTCTCATGATAAAACCAATGAATTGACTGCAAACTCATCCAGCCAAATATTTATTTATGTTTAACTCAAATTACCAGATAACTGTGAATAAAATAACAAACCTAAATTATCTGCTTACTGGCTTCTCTATTTCATGTTTTAGGCATCTGGCCTTTTATGAAAAAGCTATTTTTAGATTTCCAAGCCACATGATCATAAATATTAGCTGACTTTTCTCTCCTTGGAAGATAATTTGGACAAACATGTTTTAACTATTTTCTAGACTGTGTGTTCTTTTATTACAGTATCCTTCTGTGTATTAGCACCTCAACTACTTGACAAGACATGTTCTTAGTATTACTAGTTAAAAGCAGGTCTGAGCAACATTTTTTTACATAATGACATTTAGAAGTCACACTCCAGACAATAACTTTTTTAGTTTTTTTTTTTTTTTTTGAGGTGGAGTCTCACTCTGTCACCCAGGCTGGAATGCAGTGGTGCAATCTCGGCTCACTGCATCCTCTGCCTTCCAGGTTCAAGCGATTCTCCTGCCTCAGCCTCATAAGTAGCTAGGACTACAGATGCACACCACCAAGCCCAGCTAATGTTTGTATTTTTAGTAGAGACAGGGTTTTGCCATGTTAGCCAGGCTGGTCTTGAACTCCTGACCTCAGGTGATCCACCTACCTCAGCCTCCCAAAGTGCTGAGATTACGGGTGTGAGCCACCGAGCCCGGCCAAACAATAGCTTCTTAGAGTGCTGTGATCTACAAGACTTGTGACTGAAATAATCAAGTTTAGAAAAGAATCCGAAGATGTAGTGTTCTTTTATAATACATTAAATGAGAGCTGAATACAGTTGTCAAAGACATGGAAATAGGGCTACTGCACAGAAGGGTTTAGTTGTTAGCCCAAGGTCACACAGCAAGTAAGTGATGGAGCAAGAGTTTAAGCTCAGGTCCTCCTAGCCTATAGTCTAGGTCCTTAACCAGAAGAAGAATAATTTAATAATTGCAAAGACTCATTGAGCATTTCTTTTTCTTTTCTTTTTTTTTTTTTTTTTTTTTTTTGAGACGGAGTCTTGCTCTGTCACCCAGGCTGGAGTGCAGTGGTACGATCTCGGCTCACTGCAACCTCCACCTCCCAGGTTCAAACGATTCTCCTGCCTCAGCCTTCCGAGTAGCTGGGATTACAGATGTGCACCACCATGGCTAATTTTTGTATTTTTAGTAGAGATAAAGTTTCACCATATTGTCCAGGCTGGCCTTGAACTCCTGACCTTGTGATCTGACCGCCTCGGCCTCCCAAAGTGCTGGGATTACAGGTGTGAGCCGCTGTGCCTGGCCCTCACTGAGCATTTCTTATGAGCCAGGCACAGCCTCACACGCAGTAATTTGGCAGTCTCTTACTTTCCAGTGAGATTCTTGAGAGTAGAAATAATTTTATTTTTGTGTGTTTTGTGCCTGGACAGTGTGACATCGCAATAGCTGTTAGTTTAAATGGACCCTCACGGGCCTGCAAGACAGGGTGGGATTTTGACGGAAGGGAGGCTGAGGGCGGGAGTTTGGGTGGTGGGGAGAGGACCTGTTGTTGTGGGGAAGAGAATTGGAGGTTTTTTGTAAGAATAACTGCCAGATAACGCTGCTGGCTTTGTTCCACGTCAAGGTGCTCATACTTCACAGATTGCTGCAGAAGTTGGATGCCTTCTCCCCTTCTTCCATAACAAATCCCTTGATTTTTTTTTTTTTTTTTTGAACAGCAGCAAGATTTATTGCAGAGTGAAAAAACAAAGCCTCCACAGTGTGGAAGGGGACCTGAGCAGGTTGCCCTTTTTTTTTTTTAATCCCTTGATTTTTTATCTGGTCACAGCTGCAGAAGTGGTGTATGTGACTTCCAGGGAATGTTCTTAAAGAGTAGAAACTTGCCTTTCTTTTCTGCTTCTGCCCCCCTGCCTGGAATGGGGACTGAAAAACTGGAGCTCTAGGAACCATTGTGTACTAAGAGAGAATCTTTGGAATGAGTCAGTAAGGTAGGTCCTGATATGAAGGGCCATGCCTGTCTTGGAATGAAGATCTTTGGATCCTTGAATGTGAAAGTAAAGGAAATTTCTCTCTTGTTTAAATCATATTGATGACTTATTTTGTTTGCTACTCATAGCTGAAATACATCCTAACTAATCCATGTGTATCATTTAATGTGATCCTGAAAATGACCCTCTGAGGTAAGCACTATGATGATCTCCATTGACGGGGGAAGAAAATGAGGCCCAGAGAACCTAAGTCACTTTCTTGGGGTCACATAGCTAGTGAATGGTAAAGCTGGGATTCTAACACCCCTTCTTTAGCACTATACTATATTCACCATATATAAGTTGAACTGGACAAAAGAACCCTACTGGTCTTATGTCTGTATTTAGGACACAAGAACCCTGCTGGTCTTATGTCCATAGTTAGGACACCTTTCTAATAAGACTAAATGATGAATCTGACTCTTTAGTGGCCTGTTTAGTAAATGTGGATTGTTCAGTGCAAAGCCGTTGCATAATCAGATTCCTGGTAGAGAATACATGATGTTTTGGTTAGGATGTTTTTTGATGTCAAGTTACTGAAAATTCAACTTAAATTGGCTTGACTAATTAAAAAATTTGTTAGCTCACATTAAAGGAGATTCAGATGTAGGGTGGTCTTCAGGGTTGGTTGATTCAGCAGCTAAATGATGTTATCAAGAAAAAAGGTTCTTTTCACCTCTGCTCCATGACCCATAGCATCAGCGTCATCTGTAAGTCGGTTTTCCTTGTGGTAACAAGGAGGCTGGTTGTAGCAACCAGGATTACTCACTGTCTTATTCACATCTAGCAGAAAGAGAAAGACATCTCCTGTCGTTCTTTTACAATTAAGGTAGAACTTTCCCAGAAGCTTCCTGCCGACCTTCTCCTGTCCAGTTGGTTGTAGGTGTGGTCTCAAGGGGGACATCAATACATAAATGGTAATTGGCACCATGGGGGTGGGTGAGGTGCAGGGCTGCCTGCTGGCAAGCACATTAATTGTAATGTTTAGAAAAGGACTCTCCCTCTGGACCAAATAATTTGAAATTGCCCTACATCCCTTTTTCCCCTAAGATTGGCCCTGCTCTTGCATTAGGACTCCAGTGGTGAATAACTCCCCTCCCCCCTTGACCAGGTGTCTCCATACAGGAAACTCCCTTCATAACGATATGTGGCAACAGGGATGAGATGGTCCTGCGGAGTGGCAGACTGAGAAAAGAAGAGGGCTTTGGGAAGAACCCCAAGGACCACATCTTTTCACAGCCTGGTATCCAGAACTGTAGAGATGCTTCAGCCATGACAGGTCCACAGCAGAGTGAGCCTATCACTTCCTGAATCCTAAATACCCAGTCTCTGTTAACACAGCCTGATACTGCATCAGATTTTGGAGGATGACAAAAAGCTGTCAATTTATGCTAACTTGAACTCCTACGTGTTTTTCATATAGGCTACTTCTCAGATATATACCAATCAGGCTTGCTGTATGGAGGGCCATGTCTATTCTTATTACATAGTCCTCTGTCTCTCTGAAGCAGTGGAATGCATGAAGTGCAGTTAATTCTCCCCAAGCCCTGCTGTGAGGACTCGGCCCACCTCCTTTACCCTCTCCTCCAATGTGCTCTACCTTCCAGGACTCAGTACTTCTCTACCAGGCTCCTCAAGTGCATTATTTTCTTCCTTCCGTCCCTCCCTCCCTTCCTCCCTCCCTCCCTCCCTCCCTCCTTCCCTCCCTCCCTTCCTTCCTTCCTCTTTCTTTCCTTTTCTTCTTTCTCGATTTTTCATGAAGAAGGAAGAGTGTGGGTGAGAAGGGTTGCAGTCTCTGCCTGTGTCTGTAGAGAGAGGTAACTGAGGGGAGTACTGGGGAATAGTATCCTAGCAACCTCAGAAAACAGTACGCTGGTTTCCGTGCTGAAAGGCAGGCACAAAGAAAATCTCTACTTCTCTGCAGGCAGTTTTCTTCTTTTTCAGGTTATAAACCATGTATCATCAAAAGACTGTGATTCCTAAATCAGCTGCATGGGGCATTAGAATAGCAGAATTTCCTCTCAGAAGCTTGTAATAAATTGCCTGTCAATCATAGGTTTTAGTGTTTTGCATTATTATTATTATTATTATTATTATACTTTAAGTTCTGGGATACATGTGTAGAACGTGCAGGTTTGTTACATAGGTATACACATGCCATGGTGGTTTGCTGCACCCATCAACCTGTCATCTACATTAGGTATTTCTCCTAATGCTATCCCTCCCCTAGCTCCCCACTGCCCAACAGGCCCAGCGTGTGATGTTCCCCTCCCTGTGTCCATGTATTCTCATTGTTCAACTCCCACTTATGAGTGAGAACACGTGGTGTTTGGTTTTCTGTTCCTGTGTTAGTTTGCTGAGAATGATGGTTTCCAGTTTCATCCATGTCCCTGAAAAGGACATGAACTCATCCTTTTTTATGGCCACATAGTATTCCATGGGGTATATGTGCCACATTTTCATTTTCCAGTCTATTATTGATGGGCATTTGGATTGGTTCCAAGTCTTTGCTATTGTGAACAGTACTGAAATAAACATACATGTGCATGTTTCTTTATAGTAGAATGATTTAAAATCCTTTGGGTATATACCCAGTAATGGGATTGCTGGGTCAAATGGTATTTCTGGTTCTAGATCCTTGAGGAATTGCCACACTGTCTTCCACAATGGTTGAACGAATTTACACTCCCAGCAACAGTGTAAAAGCATTTCTATTTCTTCACATCCTCTCCAGCATCTGTTGTTTCCTGACTCTTTAATGATCGCCATTCTAACTGGCATGAGATGGTATCTCACTGTGGTTTTGATTTGCATTTCTCTAATGACCAATGATGATGAGCTTTTTTCCATATGGTTGTTGGCCACATAAATGTCTTGTTTTGAGAAGTGTCTGTTCATATCCTTTGCCCACTTTTTGATGGGGTTGTTTGTTTTTTTCTTGTAAATTTGTTTAAGTTCCTTGTGGATTCTGGATATTAGCCCTTTGTCAGATGGGTAGATTGCAAAAATTTTTTCCCATTCTATACGTTGCCTGTTCACTCTGATGATAGTTTGTTTTGCTGTGCAGAAGGGTTTTAGTTTAATTAGATCCCATTTGTCTATTTTGGCCATTGTTGCCATTTCTTTTGGTGTTTTAGTCATGAAGTCTTTGCCCATGCCTATGTCCTCAATGATGTTGCCTAGGTTTTCTTCTAGGGTTTTTATGGTTTTAGGTCTTACGTTTAAGTCTTTAATCAATCTTGAGTTAATTTTTGTATAAGGTGTAAGGAATGGATCCAGTTTCAGTTTTCTGCATATGGCTAACCAGTTTTCCCAACACTATTTATTAAATAGGGAATCCTTTCCCCATTGCTTGTTTTGGTCAGGTTTGTCAAAGATCAGATGGTTGTAGATGTGTGGCATT
Source organism: Homo sapiens (assembly GCF_000001405.40). Classification (NCBI taxonomy): domain Eukaryota; kingdom Metazoa; phylum Chordata; class Mammalia; order Primates; family Hominidae; genus Homo; species Homo sapiens. The sequence goes on along the minus strand of NC_000001.11, from coordinate 192,829,236 downwards.
ATTTCTGATGCCTCTGTTCCGTTCCATTGGTCTATATATCTGTTTTGGTACCAGTACCATGCTGTTTTTGGTTACTATAGCCTTGTAGTGTAGTTTGAAGTCAGGTAGCATGATGCCTCCAGCTTTGTTCTTTTTGCTTAGGATCGTCTTGGCTATATGGGCTCTTTTTTGGTTCCATATGAAATTTAAAGTAGTTTTTTTTAATTCTGTGAAGAAAGTCAATGGTAGCATGATGGGGATACCATTGAATCTATACATTACTTTGGGCATTATGGCCATTTTCATGATATTGATTCTTCCTATCCATGCGCATGGAATATTTTTCCATTTGTTTGTGTCCTGTCTTATTTCCTTGAGCAGTGGTTTGTAGTTCTCCTTGAAGAGGTCCTTCACATCCCTTGTAAGTTGTATTCCTAGGTATTTTATTCTCTTTGTAGCAATTGTGAATGGGAGTTCACTCATGATTTGGCTCTCTGTTTGTCTGTTATTTGTGTATAGGAATGCTTGTGATTTTTGCACACTGATTTTGTATCCTGAGATTTTGCTGAAGTTGCTTGTCAGCTTAAAGAGATTTGGGGCTGAGACAATGGGGTTTTCTAAATATACAATCATGTCATCTGCAAACAGAGACAATTTGACTTCCTTTCTTCCTATTTGAAAACCCTTTATTTCTTTCTCTTTCCTGAGTGACCTGGCCGGAGCTTGCAATACTATGTTGAATAGGAGTGGAGAGAGAGGGCATCCTTGTCTTGTGCTGGTTTTCAAAGGGAATGCTTCCAGTTTTTGCCCATTCAGATATTGGCTGTGGATTTGTCATAAATAGCTCTTATTATTTTGAGATACATTCCATCAATACCTAGTTTTCAGCATGATGTGGTGTTGAATTTTATCGAAGGCCTTTTCTGCATCTATTGAGATAATCATGTGGTTTTTGTCATTGGTTCTGTTTATGTGATGGATTACATTTATTGATTTGTGTATGTTGAACCAGCCTTGCAACCCAGGGATAAAGCCAACTTGATTGTGGTGGATAGGTTTTTGATGTGCTGCTGGATTCGGGTGGCTGTTTTGCTTTTTTAAAAAAAATTATTCACAGAAACTTTAGGAAGCATCGTGAGATACTGCCTCAAGGAGTGCTAGCCAGATGGTCATTTAAAACTGCATTCTTGGCTGCAGTATTTAAATAAGTACATTTATAAAGCCAATTAAAATAATTTTTCTATTTAAAATTGAAAAGAAGTTATCAATACTAATTTGCCTTGATGCCTATTTAAATGCCTAACTCCACTTTGACTTAATTACTGATTTTTCTATTGGAAGTTAATACATAATTTTTAAAGCAATACTTTCTCCTCAAATCTAAAATAATGCTGCCTAGCTTCTATAGAAAAGTATGTTGAGTGACCTGCCTATACCCAAACTTCTTTATCAAAGCATTCCTGATATCAGCACTTACTGTACGTGCCACAGAATTTCCTCTTAACAAGTAATATGGACTTGTATTGACAACTAACTTTATAAATATCTGTGTTTTGTATGCACTGTGCTTATAATATATCTAAAATGTGTTTTGTATTTTATCAAAACTTTGTTTACTTCCATTTTTGTTTTATTGTAATTCAAACCACAAATCTATTTTTATTTAAGCATAGAAATCAAATCATCTACCTTAAAAATCCTCTTTTCTTATCTATCTGGGCTGTGCAGAAGGTGTGCCCTCTGAAACCTGACTGGATCTATTAACTCTTCCATGGTTCTCATCTCACTGATGAAGAGTTCCGGACAGGTTATTCATTCATTACTGTCGTCAGCGGCCTCACTCACAGTATTAGCTGTCAGTTTCACTGCCAAGCTGTCTTTGTCATTGGCTTTAGTAAGACAAACCCAGATTTATCTTTTATGACAGTTCATAGGATGTCCTGTAAACCCTACCCAGATAGGAGGTGTGGAATGTCACCCTTCTTTACAAGTTGTCATACTTGATGCTGGTACCATTTCCTAACTCTTAGTCATTTCCTTTCAATTCCTGGATAATGTTCATTCCATTTCTTGAACTTATCTGGGTAGCTAGTTAACATAAGAAGTTAATTTTTTAAATCATTATTTGCTTTCAAGAAGACTTTGCTATGGAGTAGGGCTACATGGGTTAAAGATTTATGAGATTGCACTCAAGATTTTTATCTTTTTGTATTTTTGAACTCTGGCTAACTAAAGATATTACCATTAGTCACTGGCAGATCACTCTGGAATTTATCTGAATCCATTTTATTTCTAGGGTTATACTCTCCAGACTGTTGCCCCAGGACGTGTTTACCTTGGCCTTTTGAATGTGGGTAAGGAAGTGGAGGAGGGAAATGGCATTTTTGTGACTGGACCTGGAAACTTTGTGTCACTCATTAACATATCTATGAGGTAGCAACATGCATGACATCTGTGCCAGATGGTCTGTGAAATAGAGAAAATGTGCATACATTTTGTTGTCCAAATTCAGATTAGTAGTAGTAGATAAGTAAGAAGATACTAGAAATGTTACAGCCCAAGAAATAACTAGTAATAGTTGTTTTAAATAATCTAAGAATGCTTTTTTTAATTAAAATAGAAATACGCAAACATGAGGTATTTGATAAATCCTAAATATACCATTTTTCTGCAGTATAGACTTATTTGTTCATTTAGTAACATTGATTAGGCATCTGCCATGTGCTTTATACTCTGCTAAACACTGAAAATAAAAGGAAAAAATGAAACATAGTTCATTTCCTCTGAGGAATTCACCATCTAATGAAAGAGTAGATACACATTTAAATGCAAAATGGGTGAATAGTCCCTCTCATGTCCTGGTGTATGAGTTTTCCCTGCTGCTTCACCACTTGCCACCAGGATGACAAACACCTGTATCTCCTGTCAGAGTGGAAGGCATGCCTATGAATATTCTGGGCCATTGAAAGGGGATTTCCAATGTAGTGGAAATTAAGAAGGGGCTATCCTGGGGAATGGAAAGCCCATACCCAAAGTGATGGATGAATGGTTAACTTTACTTCTCAAGTGGGGTGACAGGTGGTGATCTCTGAGTTTTGAGGATGGTTTGTAGGCTTGGGCCACCAAGGCAACAGCCTTGCAAGACAATAAGACAATAGATGGCTCCCTACTCCTCTCCAAGTCATCAATCTAGCTCTAGTTACTCTTCTCCATGTGACCCTCGGGGGGTTAGAGAGGGTACCTGGAAGTTAGAAAGCCAACGTGTGCTCTAAAGAAGGGAGTTGTGCCCATTGCTTCATCTTGGAATATAATTCTTTGCTGCTTCTTTCTGGTCTCAAGCTTTTAATATTTTTCTCTAAAATGGCTCATGGTGGTTCCATGCCATGGACCTTGATGGCTATGTGGTGATTCTCAGAAAATTGTTTGTAAATGCATAAACAAAATTTATGGGATTGCAAAGGAAACCAGTTATACTGAAATATAGTAATCAAACTATTAAAAATGGTAATAGAGAAGACTTCTACTTTTTGGAAGATGGAATAGACATATCTTTCCTTATTTCTCCCACTAATTTCAACTAAAAACCCTGCATATTATGTATGAAACAAATATTAAAAACTCAAGAAAATGTAGAGAGGTAGAAGGACTGGTTGGAGACTTTGGGTCCCAATGAATGATATGGTGGTAAGTTCCTTAGACTGTCTTTTTGCCTTATATTTCTCAGACTTGGAGCCAAAAAACTGGCAATCCACAATAGCCCAGGAAAACAGAAAAAAAAGTCCCCGAAGAAAAGTCTTTTTTCTTCAGCCAAAGAACTAGGAAAGGGGAAGCCTAGCAAGACAGATACTTTTAAACAATAAATGTCCACCTCCACCTAAGCCAGTAAAGGCTGAGTGGGGAGTATAATCTTCTACCTTTGTCAAGCTGTAAGACACATGACCATCAGTGGCAACCTGCTGGGAAGCTGAAATTCTCACCCCTGTCAAAAAGTAAAAAGGAGAATCTCTTCCTATTGGGTATCAATAAAGGCCAAACAAACCTGGACTTATATCCCACCTGAAAAAATAAGGCAGCATCCCCCTTCTGCTGAAGTAGCATCAAATGAAGCCAGCTAAAACAGAAGTTTAAATATGATCCAAGGTCTCATCATAAAATACTCAAAAATTTCAAGTTTTAATAGAAAATCACTTGGCATATTAAGAACAAAGAAAATATCAAGTTGAATGAAACAAGACAATCAGTAGATGCCAACACTGACATGATAAAGATATTAGAATTATATGACAAAGATTTCAAAGAAGCCATTATAAAAATACTTTAATAAACAAATACAAACATACTTAAAACAAATGAAAAAATAGAAAATGTAAGCAAAGAAATAGGAAGTCTCAACAAAGACGTAGAAGAGATAAGCAACCAAATGGGAAAATGGGAACTGAAAAATACAATAACTTACATAAAAATACTTGATGAATGGACCTAACATCAGAATAGATGAAACAGAGGAAGCAGTTAGTAACATTGAAGATAAGGTAGAAATTACCCAATCTGAAAAAAAGAGAAAATAGACTGAAAAAATATACAAAGCCTCAGAGACCTCTGAGACTACAGCAAAAAAAATCCTAACAATTTTGTCACTAGACTTCTGAAAGGAAAGGAAAAAGAGAGTGGGTCTGGAAAAGAACCAAAAAAATTAATGGCTGAAAACTTCCAAAGTTGGCAAGAGAGCTAAACCTACATATTCAAGGAGGCAAGTAAATCTCAAAAAGGATAAACTCAGAAATCTACATTAAGACACCTCATGATCACACTTCTAAAACTAAAGACAAAGGAAAACATCCAAAAATATTTTGGACCTAGGGCTAGACAAAGAGTTCTTAAGCTTGACATTAGAAGCATGATTCATACAAGGAAAAATTAATAAATTGGAGTTCACTGAAATTAAAAACTTTTGCTCTGTTAAAAGGATAAAGAAACAAGCTATAGGTTGGGCAGAAAATGCAAACCACATATCTGATGAAGGACTTGTATGTAGAAAATATAAAAAACACTCAAGTCTCAACAGTAAAATAAATAATCCAATTAGAAAATGGACAAAAGATATGAACAGACATATCACCATTAACACAAACTGCTCTGAGGATGGGCAAAACCTCGATCACTCATAAATACATTGCTGGTGAGAATGTAAAATGGTACAGAGCCACTCTGAAAAAGTTTGGTGGTTTTCTCATAAAACTAAATATGCAACTAGTGTATGACCTAGCCATTGTACTCCCGGGCAGTTATTCCAGAGAAGTGGAAACTTATGTTGACACGGCAACATGTACATGAAAGTTTATAATAGTTTAATTTGTAATAGCCAAAACTGAGGCAGTCCAGATGTTTTTCAATGGGTTAAACAACCTGTAGTATAGTCACACTATGGAATACTAGTCAGCAGTAAAAGGAACAAGCCACTGATACATGCAACATCTTGAATGAATCTCCAGAGAGTTGTGCTGAGTGGAAAGGTCATCACAAAATGTTACATACTGTAGGATTCCATATCAATAACATCTGAGAAATGACAAAATTGTAGAAATGGAGAGGAGATTAGTGGTTGCCAGGGTTTAAGGATGGTATGGGATGGGAGGGAAGTATGTGAGGCTATAAAAGTGCAACACATGGGATCCTTGTGGTGATGAAAATGTTCTGTATATCTTGACCATATCAGTATTAAGATCCTAGTTCTGATATTTTACTATAGTTTTTCAAGATGTTATCACCTGGGAAAAGTGAGTAGCGAGTACGCAGGATCTATCTTTTTTTTTTTTTTTTGCAACTGCCTGAGAATCTACAATTATTTCAAAATAAAACATTTAATTAAAAAACTATGATAGAGCAATATACTGTTTGTACTTTATTAACACTTTAAACAAGATTTATTTTCAGATCTAGTTACTATTGAAGGTTGGAAATAACAATCTTTAACAATTGTAATGTGAAAAGATCTGAAAATTCTGTTTGTGGTAGTCACATGTACTGCTACTGCTGCTTCTTTCTCTCACTCTCTCTTTCCTTCTTTTCTTTTCTCCTTTCTTTTCTTCCTTCCTTCCTTCCTTTCTTTCTTTCATTGAGATAGAGTCTCGCTCTGTTGCCCAGGCTGGAGTGCAGTGGTGTGATCTTGGCTCACTGCAACCTCCACCGCCTGGGTTCAAGGGATTCTTGTGCCTCAGCCTCCCTAATAGCTGGGTTTACCGGTGCGCACTACCACGCCTGGCTAATTATTTTTTATTTTTTGTTTTTTGGAGTTTTACTAGAGATGGGGTTTCACCATATTGGTCAGGCTGGTCTTGAACTCTGGACCTCAGGTAATGCACCCGCCTCGGCCTCCCAAAGTGCTGGGATTACAGGCGTGAGCCACTGCACCTGGCCTGGCTTATTTCTTAGACTCACAAAGGAAGAAAATGCTACATTTAATTAGGGGTTAGAAAAAAGAATGTGTAATTTTTTTCTTATCCAAGGGCAGAGACCACTAAAAGGTCTATGGACAGGTCCAGAACTCCTTCCCTAGAGCCTATATTTTAAATGTTAAAAAATAACAAACAGGCTGGGTGCGGTGGCTCACGCCTGTAATCCTAGCACTTTGGGAGGCCGAGGCGGGCAGATCATGAGGTCAGGAGATTGAGACCATCCTGGCTAACACGGTGAAACGCCGTCTATACTAAAAATACAAAAACTTAGGCGGGCGTGGTAGCGGGCACCTGTAGTCCCAGCTACTCGGGAGGCTGAGGCAGGAGAATAGCATGAACCCGGGAGGCAGAGCTTGCAGTGAGCCGAGATCGTGCCACTGCACTCCAACCTGGGGGACAGAGTGAGACTCCATCTCAAAAAAAAACAACCAAACAAACAAACGAAGTGGGCACTGACCAAGATATAGAGTTCCTTTTCCTCCTCTGGAACAATTTGATTGACAAGGGAAATGTCTCTACAAGTAAATACAGAAAACACTAATGTTTTGAGATAGATGTTATTTCAATAAAAATGCTATCATGGAAGTATGAACAAAACAATGCAGGCAACCAGAAGAAGAAAGTATTCATTCTCTAGGGTTCATCTGTGAAATTTTGCAGAAGTCAAATTTTATCAAGGATTTGAAAAACAAAAGTATCAATCAGAGAAGAAAAGGGCATTTCAGGCAAGAAAACAGCACATGCAAAGGGCTAAAGGTATGGAGCTGCCTGGGAAGCTGTTGCTGTCAAGGAATAGTGAGATGTCTGCTTGGTGGCAGGCCAGAGTGCGTTAGTGGAGGGTGAGGAGGATCGTTAAGAAACTATGAAAGAAAGCTAGAAAAGGAAGTTGAGAGCCAAAATGAGAAGAGCCTGCTAGTAGGTTTGGAGTTGATTGTGTACGTTATTTGTGGTGCTGAACAGGTTTTCCTAGATGGAGAAATTAAATGTTCTGATGAGATTTTTAAGTAGACAAATTTGGATGTCTACTAACTGCCCAGCATAGTGATTAAGTACAACTTATGCAATATTTCTTACATTTCTTAAAACTGTTTATAAGGTTGATAGTGATCTAGGGTGAGGATCCATAATCTGAAAATCTGAAATAAAAAATACTCCTAAATCCAAAACCTTATGAGTGCTGATATGATGCCACAAGTAAAAAATTCTACACCTGGCCTCATGTGATGGGTTGCTGTCACAATGCGTGTGCACAACAATGATGATGCTGTTAACACTGCAGAAAAGTGCCCAGAGATGACATGGTGAACATGTGTGATGGGCTTATTGAAGGACTAGAGCAGCATGCATTTGTGACAGAAAAAACAAATCACGTCAGTTTACAAAAGCAAAGAGAGATGTCTAAGATAAAAACTGTTGTTAGTGAAGCAGATGACTCTGGAGGAAACATTTTAAAAAGCCATCCCGCAGAGTGCCTCCTCATCCCTAGAGGACCCACTTCCTGGTCCTTCAACTGCTTCTGATGTTTCTTCTCACCTAGAAAAATAAAATACAGTGCACAGTAACCTTTTAATACAAACATAGCATCATGAGTGGAGACCAAAAGCTTGCCATTGTTTGTTGCTGCGGTTAACAGCTGATACAGATATTCTGGGTGATGCTACTGCGCTGCTTAGTTCCCTAGAGTTCATTATTTTTTCATTATTTTTCACTTAGTTCCCTAGAGTGCATCATTAATAATGATATGTCATATTTTATACTATTACATAGTGATGTGTGAATAAATATTAGAAAATGATTACTTATTGCTAGCAGATAAATTCAGAGTCAGGAATGATAGTGATGCCAGACAACCATGGATTGTCCACAGGGGTGGCTGAGTTAGTGAAACCTTTGCTTTCTGATGGCATGTACACAAACTTTGTTTTATGAGCAAACTTATTAAAATATTGCATACAGTTACAGTTAGGCTATAAGTATAAGGTGTATATGAAACATAAATGAATTTCGTGTTTTACTTGTGTCCCCTCCCCAATATATTTCATTATGCATATGCAAATATTTGAAAATCCAAAGAAATACAAAAATCTAAAACACTTCTGGTCCTAAGCATTTTGGGTAAGGGATAATCAACCTGTTCTGTCCTCAATTAACAAGTAAGAAAACAGTCCTGATAGAAGCTCAGTATTGTATCAAAGGCTGAGCAACTAATTCAACTGGTGGAATCAAGATGACAGTAGAAGTCTTGACAGCCTTTCAGCTCCACGTTCTTTCCACTCCAGTCTTCTGGTGGGATGAAATGGACTCAGGTGTTTGGAGGCAGGAGAGGTTTCAGGCAAAAGTTGTAGTCAAGAATCCAGGTAATTCAAAAAGAGTAATTTCTATTTAAAGAAAAAAAAAAGAATCCAGATAAGAGATGGTGATGGACTCCCCATAGGTAGACTGCCTTCACATTAATTTAATGGAGGGGAATTCTCAGGGGAACCTCTGGAGTTTAGTAACTCAGTAAGTTTGAATGGCCGAGGTTTACAGCTTTCGAAAAAGTCCCTATATAGTGGCAGGTTTTTAGCTGGAAGGATAGAGTGGATGAAGACATCAGCGACATGACAGGGCACCAAAGAGAAGAATGTTAGATGGCACCTAAGGAAATACGCTGTTTAAAAAAACAATTAGAAGGATAAAGGTTATCTAGAAACATTAACCTGGTATATTATAATAACATTAGCAAAATATTTGGGTAGACCTGGTAGGCCTGGTGATTTGAGAGATACCTCCTCAAGGATTATTTATATTTTAGGGCTTTAATAATGCTGGGTGTAATGAGTTGCTGAAAAGATTATTCTTTTTATACATAAAATTATTTTGGAATTAATAGAAAATTATGGTTTAGCTAAAACAACTTTTATGTCTGTTCCATTCAAAGAATATTTATTATTGCAAAGCAGAAGAAGGCTTTACTTTAATTTATCAGTCAGTGAACACAAACTCACGCAACCTTTGACAACCCTCTGCACAGGTAAACATGTGCCTTTCTAGACCAGCCAGTGTCTTCCCTATCTCACTGCATAGCTTATTTCCTTCATCAGCGTTTGCCATACTCTAGAATTATCTTATTTGTTTATTTGCTCATTTGGTCATTATCTATTGACCCCAGCAGAACATAAGTTCCACGGGTGCAGGCAACCTCTCTTTTTTATTTGGCATGGTGTCCCAGTGCTTTGCACAGAGTAGGCACTCAGCAAGTATTTGTTGAATGCAAGATTGGATGCAGAGATTAATGAAATTTGTGTCATGGAAAGCTGAGATGGGTCTTGGGGAATATTAGGTTATGGGTAGAATAAATGGAGTAGGGGCCTATCCAGACAGAAAGTCAATATGAGTGAAATGATAGGAGTTTTGTTAATGGGAATAGGAAGGAAAGCAGATGGAATAAAGCGGTAATTTTATGTTAGATTGTTTGAGGAAAAAAAAATTAAAATTGTCAGGGTAGGGATAGAATGCAGAAAATAATCCAAAGCCAAGCAAGATTTTAGAGCTGGAAGAGACGTTAGTAATGCAATCAACTCCCTTACAGTGAAATAGCTGAGGTCCTAAGAGGTGATGATTCCCAAGTTAGCTAGAAAGTTAATGGCATTATGACCAGCATCTCATTCTGTTGGCTTTTAATCTGGTACTCTTTGCATGCTACTTTGGAAATAGGAAGGCAATAAAACTTTTTGAATGGAAAACAATATATGGTAAAATTGGTGTTTATGAAAAATAGTCTTGCTCCATATGCAGGGTGAATTGGACAGAGGAAACTCTAATTCCAAGAGAACAGGGAAAAGACTATGAAGTAATAGTGGTATGATACAAAGAAGGCCTAGATAATGGTAGCAGAGTGGTAGGGGGAAAGAACAGATAATCATTGGAGGACAAATAGGCAGAACTAAACTAAGTTATACTGTTTCTAAAATGGAACTTTCTGTGAGAAAATACTTAACTCTTACTCCTAAGATATTTTTATTCAGTACCATCTTGAATATTTACTTTTTAGAATGCATTTTGAGTGAGGAAGTGGTTAACAGTTTGCCTTTGCACAAGTCAAAAAAGAAATGTGTATTATATTTTAAGTAGTTAGAACACAAAAATAATATGCCAACATGAGGTCTACCTTAGGTTTTTAAATCATATCAATCATAATTGAGGGCTTATCAAATCAAAGATATAGGACTGGGGACTGCCTTGCCTAAAACTTGTTTAGTATGAAATGTGTCTGACATGGATCTGCATGGGCTGCAAGTGTAAAATATGCACCAGAATTTGAAGACCAAATAAAATAATTAAACTATCTCTTTCATAATTTATCATATTGATTACATGTTGAAATGATAATATTATAAATATAATGGGTTACATAAAATATATTATTCAAATCAATTTCACCTATTTCTTTTAAATTATTTAAATTTCATTATAATATTTGACATTACATATGTGGCATATATATATATATATATATATATTTTTTTTTTTTTTGAGACAGTGTCTCACGCTGTCCTCCAGGCTGGAGTGCAGTGGCGCCATCTCAGCTCACTGCAACCTCCGCCTCCTGGGTTCAAGCCATTCTCCTGCCTCAACCTCCCAAGTAGCTGGAATCACAGGCGTGTGCCACCATGCCTGGCTAATTGTTTTGTATTTTTAGTAGAGATGAGGTTTCACCATGTTGGCCAGGCTGATCTCGACTTCCTGACCTCAGGTGATCCACCCACCTTGGCCTCCCAAAGTGCTGGGATTACAGGCATGAGCCACCCTACTGGACTGCATATAGTCTTATATTGTATTATTATAATATACATCATAACACATATATGATGATATATAAATGATATATAAATTATTAATCATAATATATGATGATATATAATATAATATATCATAATATTATAAAATATTACTTTATTTTTTATTGTATAGTACTACTTTACTGCTTTTGTGGTCAATATTCTTTCTGAGTTATTTTTTACATTCTATGGCTAACTAATCTCTCAAAGTTCAGAAGCACTTCATTAGTATTAACATTTTCAGTGGTAACTGGTTTTTCTGAAAATGTGTGATGACTACAATTATTTCTGAAATAGTTGCATTATTCGTTGCTCTTAAAATGTTAATCATATTACTAGAACTTTTATAGAGTGTTATAGGAGTTGTCAAACTCTGGCATCTGAAAAACAGAAGTAGAAGAAATTAGAAAGAAGTAGAACTTTAAGTCCTGACATTTATGTCACAATGCTCAGTGGCCACTTTTGCAAGAAAATTACCCTATGTGAGAATATGTTGGTTTGTGCCAAGTGGAGATTTAATACTGTAAGCTTCCCGGCAAGCAGGGAAAGATCTACTAAGTACCACCTGCTTTTCAAACAAAAGTTTTATATCTGGTCTTTGTCAGACTATACCACAGCTCATGTAAACCGCATACTTTTCTTAGTTCTTTCAACAGTGCAGTTTCAAACGCACTCGTAGATTACCTGTGGTTGCATTCTGAAGCTAAAGACTGGGAGAGTAATTTGGGTTGGAGGTGGTAATAGTCCTATAAGACTGGAAGTTGCAAACGCATTAAAAAAAAAATCAACTCCCTCTTCACTCCAAATAGACAGCAGGGAAATAGTTTCTTCTCACTCTTCCTTTTGGCCCACTTTTCTTTTTCATTATTTTGATTTTGGTGTGACGTCTGTACATGTCTAAGATATACACCAGCTTAATAAACACACAGAATCACTCCTAAAGGAAGCTTCCTTATAGGTCAGTGCACTTTTAAAACCATACAAATATCAGATTAATTTGGGATTTGAGAAAATCTAACATTAGGATCTCATCCAAGATCCACATAGTTCAGTTTTACTATAAATTTGCAAGGCAAAAACGTAGAGCCAAGATTAAAATATGTAGACTTCTGAAAAAACTGTTATTTTTTACAAGTCAGTTTAGCATATTTAAACGAAATCATTTATATCACTGCATGGATTTTTACTGAAGAGTTTGTGAGTCAATCAACCAACCAGTAAGTTAATAAGATCATCAATGAGCAACGAGTATCAATAATATGGAACTTTATTAGTTACTTTGAAAATGGAGTAAGTCGGAATGGTCCGGTTAGTGACCACTTAATTGGAGATACGACTGATGCACCCATGGAAATATTTTATGGAGGTGAAACTTTGAGCCTTAAAAAATGAGTATAACTTAAGGGAAGAGAGAGAGGGTTTTGGGCAAAGGGAAATTTTTGATTTAATAGTAGGAGAATAATATATCTCAGAGGCAATAAGAAAAACCAGTATCAAATGTCTCATGTCAACAGTGGGAAATAAGATTGGATGGGCCAAAATTTTACAAAAATGGTAGAAATTTTTTTGCCTTAGGCATAGGAATTTCCCTTGATTTGGGAGATACCAGGGAATTTATGTACTTTTCTGAGCATAAGAGTAGTGTGAGAAAGTTAGCGTTCAAATGGCATTCTAGGGAAGGGATGAGAAGCAGAATACAGGATCTGAGGCCTATTGAGATAGGTGAGAGGAGGATGACCACGGTGAATAAGCACTTGGCTGTAGTAAGGGAAGGGAAAGATGCCTGGGAAATCATGAAGAAAGATTTGATAAAGCTTAATAACTGTGATGATGATCTTATGAAAATCAACTTTTAAGAAAAATTAAGTGCAGCTTTTAGTTGCATTTTGAGGTTCTAGTCTTCTACTCTTATAGACATGTCTTGCCCAGAGAAGTCCTTCATAAGTATTTATCTATATATTTACTTTTAATATTTGTTAAAAAACGAATCAATGGACTAGTTTTCAAATATACATCCCCATTAAAAATATCTGCCTACAAAAATATCACAGCACAATGCAACAGGTAATCCTACTTTTCCCCTTTCCTTCGATTTAGACTGTTTCTCCACCTTGAATAATCTCTCCTTTATCTCTCTGAAATTCAACACATTTATTAAATACCAACAAAAATGCCACTTCACTGTGTTTCTTGATTTATTCCAGCTAAAGGTATCTGCACTTTTATTTTCATAATTAATCAGCAATCATAGCTCACACTCTGTTTTAATTTGGTATATTTATTTCATCAGCTACTTAATTGGTACTTCTTGGAGGATAGGGAATGTGTCTCATGGGTCTTTATATTTATTCCCTATGTAGTTTAGATCAGTGTTCTGCATGGAGTAGGTGATGTATAATTTACTATTAAGTTACACTGAATTATTTGGTGACACTGTCCTGGTTCAGACACATGGCTGGTTCTCATGTGAGCTATTATTGCAGCCTGCTAACTCATCGCCCTGTCTCCAATCGAGCCTTATATTGATACCCAAGTCATTTCCATAAATTTTACTTGAGATTGGTGTCACATTCCTGCAGAATAATATCCCAACCACTAGTATTTAAGGCTATCACCTGGTGATTCCTTTTTCTATCCTTTAGGCCACAGGAGAAGCTCTTTTGAGGTGTTATCATTACCTCAAGCAGCCCCAAGCTGCTCTTTAGCTAAGATGTCAGAAATTAGATAAAACACTTGTGCTTATTGCCATTGGCCAAAATGGCTTCCTAAAGTTGTCAAAAAGCATCAAAGTCAGACCCAGGGAACGTGTATACATGTTAACACTTACATTCAATAGTGGTGATGTTCTCTGTAAAGTCAGGTTAAGTCCTTTAGCTGCAATTTTGAGCTAACATAGGAAAACAAAGAAACAGTCTAGTGGCTGACACAGGCAGACACTTCCTAGTCTCTATACTGTCCAAATACACAATGCACTCCCTTGCATAACACCTCTCAAGACACAGAGAAATGCACAATCACTGTTTCCCTTCACTGTCCAACCCCACAAGGTGAGAATCACTACCATACATGATCAAATACTGTGGTTAAACAACAACACAACACAAACACATCTACTAAAGATCTGCTTCCTATGACATTTTGGGTGACCACTATAGGTAATTTTATTGAAACTCATTTATTGTCTCCCTGTGCTCACATGACAGATAACATATAAGTTTCTATTTTTTTTAGTAAGATCATATGAAATTAATATATTTTAAAATATCATTGGGCTGAAAATATATGAACAATGAAATATCAAAATGAGTGGACTGTGGATCCTAAGTGTGTGAACTCTGGGAAACTGGAACATTAAGTAATATTTATTTGTGGGTGAATGTGGTTTCTAATCTTAAATCTATTTCAGTTTGTTCCACACTACAGAACATTGGAAAATACTACCTGAATATAGTCTGTGCTTTTAGCAGCCCTGAAAATAAAAACTTCTGTTTTTTGTTAGTATAATCTGGCCTCTTCTTTTATTAAAGGTCAAAAGTTATAGAGACTTTGCCAACTAAGAGGTAGTTACTTATTTTTGCCAAAGAAAAAAGTTCTACAGATATTTTCAGACATTTGAGCCAGTGGGGTTTAAAAAAAGTCTTGTCCTTAATTGCTTGTGCATTGGTAGATCCTTGTTTCATCAAAATTTGTTTGCAAGATCTTTTAATACTCATCCATTCATTCAACAACTATTTATGCAGCTCCCATTGTACAGCAGGCACTATGCTAGGTGTTGGGATTCAGTGGTGAGCGGAAAAAGGCCAAGGGTCCTCAAATTGTGGTTCCTACAATTTGGTGGAGGAAGATATAGAATTATTAAATAATCAGACAAATTAATGAGAACTTACAACTCCATTAAGTGCTCTAAATTAGAGAACCTGGTGCTATAAGACCATCTAAAAGGGGATCTGACCGAGGTAAGGAGGTCAGGGAAGCTTCCCTAAGGAAGTGGCAATTGCATTGATATGTGCATGAGTAAGAGCTAAAACTGAATTCCATGCAGAGGAACTATTAGGTGCTAAGGTCCTGTGAGGCCAGTGGGCATGGCACCTGCTAGGAAAGTAGGACAGTGTGGCTTAGCAGAAAGAGCTGGGAGAAATGTGGTAGAGTCAAGGTTGGAACAAAAGGAGGGGTCAAGCCATGCAGGTGTTAGGCCATATTAGAGATACTGTCTTTATCCTAATTGTTTGCAAAACCTGTCAAGGTGTTTATAAGCAACTGGAGACAAGATCAGATTTGTCTTGAAGGGATCCCTAGAGTTAAAAGGCAGGAACACATTGGTGTGGGAGAGGGGGAAGAGTGGGTGAGAGGAGATGAGACTATTGCAGTAATCTAGGCATCAGATGGTGGTGTCTTTGATCAGAGTGGTAACAGAGAGTAGGCTGTAGAGAGGTTTGAAGTAAAATAAATGACTTGGTGACAAATAGGATGATATATGGCATGACTCCTGAGTTCCTCTGTTGGTCAAAATCTTTCCAAATTAAGGATTATGCTAGACCTGACACATTTATTCTCCAAAGAAATATTTGTTTCAATGACTCTTTGGATTCATTTATTCAATCAATATTTATGGAGCACCTATTATGTATTATTCTGGCTGCTGTGATACAGTAGACAAGGCAGTCTCTCTAATAGAGCTTGTGTCTGTTGGTGCCAGAAACTCTGGCTAAGGTGAAAATTAGTGCAATCACAATGGAAACAGTAAACTACTGGAGGTCAATTTTTCTTCTGGCAAATCAGAAAAAAAATGTTCTTAGTGCTTTATGATTTCTAAAGTCCCTTACTACTTTATAAAACCAGAAAGGCAGGAAGGTCTAAAATGAAGAGTCAGAGAAGACAATGGGGACACCCAAGGTCACAAAGCTATGAGAAATGATTACTTTGCGTCAGTTCTTCCAACTCTAAAATCAGGGTTCCTCCTCCTTTTTTATTAAGACCATAATCAAGGACATTGAAAAAAACAGCCTGCTGAGGAAGGGGTGCTTTTTAATTAGCCAGTTTGAAAACAGATTCAAGGGCTTCCTCTCTCAAGTGGAAAAAAGCACATTTCTGGATTTAAGTCTAAGAAACGAAAGCGCACTTCTTTTGACTTTATCATTACCTAAAGTAACAGATTCTTTGTTGGCCAAATGAAGGCATGAAAATCAGGAAAATTCTGAGATTTTCTATTGATACATTATGGAAGGGAACAATTTCAGGTATGTATCTTGGAAGCCCATGCTGGTACTTGTGGGGGAGCTTGGAACCAATGGAAAGTAAATAAAGACAGGCATACATTGACCTTATTTGGCTTCTTTCTTCATTTGAGAAGCTTAATTATGTGAATAATTTTTGTGCTTGTCTCCATTACATTTACTTCTCATATTTAGCTGGTACTTAGATACAGAATCCTTTAGATCAGTGTTTCATTAACAAGCTTGATTTTTTTTTAAGATTAGAAAGCATAAATGCAGTGGTTCTAAGGATGTGACTTCCTTAGGTCTGCATAATGCTTATAGGTTTTAAAAAAAGAATTATCTGTCTGCAACTATCATTTCTCAGTTCTGAAGACTGTCAATTCTCACTGGGCAGGCACAAAAACTGAAATGTCTTTTACTATAAAGATGTTTTCCCTTTATCTGCCACATTTCCAGTTATCAAAAATAAAATCACATCTAGACTCCAAGTGTTCAATATTATTTATCAAAATAAATTTATTAAAAGTATTCAAAGACCACTTCAAAGTGTAGCTGCCTTCAAGACAGATTTTTGGCACTCATAACGGACACTGCAGTTTTCAACACCATAGCACTCATTCTATTTCACACATCATTTTTAACAATGCAAACACGGACCATTTCAGTTTTAGCATTACATGAGACAACAGTACTGATGATCTGTGGTCATAAGAACTTCAATACCGTTGCACATAGTAAACACTTCACTGTTACTGAATCCTAAACTAAAACTACTATGTGGTAACATGGATCGATTTAGGGAAAGATGTACAACCAGCTACCTAAGGCCACATAATCCCAGATCTATTGATTTTAAATGCTTTTGGACCAACAGTATTACATTGTCTCTTTCATCATCTTACATTCCTGCTTTTCAGAGTGAGACACCACGTTCAGACCACCTATTCCCTTCTTGCGTTCTGTACACAGTGAGGGAAGCTGTTCTGATACCAGCTTCTCCTAGTCAGTTACTGGCTTCCTGATTCACTACCCAACTTTGAATCAATAGTTCTGAGTGATGTTTCCTGAACACCCAGGCTGAATTCAAGGTCAGTCTTTATGGCAGGTCACAGTCCTTCCCCTCAGGAAAAAGAATGAAATGTCCTCCATTTCTGGGCTCCCTTTTACATTTCATGTAGCATGAGGCTCTGTGGTGATTTGTGGCTTTTTACACAAGTCCTGGTAGAATTCTGACTCCAAGAAACGAGGATAAGAGTTGTTCTCCATCAAGCTGTATACCCTTTTCTGGGCAGTTGTAAAGCAGCCACTTGTAGCTTCTTGTATATTCTGGGCAATCAGAGTTTTGGTTTGAAAATCTATGTTTATCTGAAATAAAACAAAAAAGTTGTTTATTTGGTATTCAGAGTTAAAGATTAAAATTTAGTATTTGAAAACAAAAAATAAAAATTATGTGTGATTAGCTTTACTAGCTAAGTCACAGGAGAACTTTAACATAACTGAAAGCTACAACGTGGAGGGACTTTTTACCCCTCCTAGCCCGCTTTGTCCTTGATTACTTTGTTTCACTTTTGTGCTAAAGATGTCCAGATTGTGCTGAAATTAGGAACTTGTTTCCTTACCTCTTTTGGAGCTTCCTTTTCTATGAAGTCAGTATATATTTTCCTTGCTTTTGAGGACAGCTTTTGGGGTGATTTGGTTTTTTTGAAGTCTTCACAGGCCAGCCAGAATTCAATATTTTCTTCACAGAATTCCGACTTTAAAAAAGCCCTGAATGCAGCAAGACCATCTGAAGGGGGGAGAAAAGAGAGCATGCAGAATGTGAAGAACTGAGAGACCAAATGATTCCTTATGTTTCTCCTATCCCTCACATTTTAATTATTTCTAAATGAATTTTCTAGATTTCGCTCAAACCTGTAATTCTCAAAATTTAGCTTTTTAAAGACTAAGATACCAGTAGGCAAAAGGCTTATGTTGGCACTCTGCTGCAAAAATATAAGTACTTTGCTGTCAATGCAAAGTAAATATTTATAGGGGAGCCATAAATTCTCTGGGAACTAAGCCTCTTGAAAACATTGTATGCAATGGAAAAACTGACTCAACCTTAACTATAAGCAACTGCCACTTTAATTTGTTTAGGCTGATTTTCTTCCCCACCTGGAGAGAATATATGCATTTATTTGTTAAACCCTGGGAAATAAAGGAAAGAAAAACAGGCTTTATCCTATAGTGACTGCAGTCTAATCCCCCTCAGGCAAGCTGCTCTTTTGTTAGGTGGACGCAGCCTTTCCAGGCTTTTGCGATGTTAGCAATGGCTCAAGCTCAAGAGTTAACTTACATTTGCTGGCTAGCAGCTCGTCAAATGCTTCTGACCACAGCTGTGCTTCCTCAGGAGAAGGCCTGCAAGAGAGGTTCTGTATGTTAGCTTACGCACATCAGAGTTCCCCTTTTCAGTTCAGCAGCTAACTATTGATATTTGCAAGCACAGGATTCTCAACTTACTTGATGAAAGCTTGCTGTTTGCTTTTTTTGCCGGTTTTGGGCTTCCCAGGAGTAGAGGAATTTTGTAAGAAGTAGCTCAAACGGGTCTTCCAATCTTTTAAACTAAAACAAAAAATTAAAAAGATAATTACTAACTAGCAACACTTGAATATGCTACTGCAGCTGAACGCATTTTTACCAAATAAAGTCACCCAGTAACTAGAGACAAACCGCATAAGGCAAAGCAAGAACTCTTCAAATAAGTCTTATCCACCTAACATTTAAACCTCATGTACTGAGCAGTTTCGTCCATTAATCTGACCGTATCTACTAGTTTTACAACTAAGGGCAGGGCTACCTATAATCACTAGGGTATTTTAAAGAATTGTTAATGAATTTAGTTCAAAAGGCAGACACTATTTCTGGCTCACAAAGGGCATCAGTTTGTTTGCAAGGTTAATTACAATTCCGAGACGTTTTGCACTTTAATGAAAAGGACAGACATGGAACTGTCTGGAGCCGGCCCACGCTTCTCTCTTTAGAGCAGGAGGTTCTGGACCACGCCAGAGACTGTACAAAGAGGTGGGTGACTGATTCCCCTGCGCTCTTCCTTCCCCACCTACGACACTTCTTTTAAGCAGACGCTGCATAACAATTATTTGTTCCACATTCGGACTGGGTGAGATCTGCTCTATAATTAAAAAACAAAAATGGATTTTAAACGAGTATATTCAGAACCAGCAAGAGCATCACCTTCCAGTAGCTGTGTAAGCTGATGAGAACTCATCATGCAACGTATGAATGCTGGGGACGCGCTTCAGCCGCAGGATTCTGATGTCATTTTGAATGCAGGAGGACAAAAAGCCAACCCGCAATTTCTTAGCGCATCAACCACCGCCCTCATATCAACTGTCTCCCTCGGTTCTTAAACTGTACCCGAGCATCACCCAGATTTAACCTTACTTAACAAATTGACCTTTTCGATTTTTTTTCCCTGCATAGGCTCAGGCTAGTTTCCTAACGTCAAAGGCGAGCCCGAAAGTACCGCGTTTGCAGCTTGCAGTGTGGGGCAGGGGGTGGCGGGAGAGGGAAGAAAGCCATACTCACAGGGTCCGTTTCATCTTTTCTCGCTTCTCCTCGCTCTTGTGGCCACTGCCTGCGCTCTTGTCCATGGGTCTGCAGTCGTGTTGAACAGCCAAGAACATAGCACTTTGCATTATCGTTCTCCCGCTGGAGCCCCGGCTGTTTGCGGCTGGGCGTGCGTCGCAGCATTTATGAGGCCTCGGCTTGGGGGCGGGGCCTCGCGGCTCCGGCCCCGCCTCAAGAGGACGCGGATTGGTCGGCTGCAGACTGGCACGGGGATGGGTCAGCGCCCGCCGGCGGCAGTCACGGCTGCTGCCGAAGGGTCTCGAAGCCGGGGCGCTGCTGACGTCTGCGGCCCCGGCTTCTTGCGCACTCGGGCCACATAGCAGCGGCCAGCTGGGGCAGGTGTGGGAGCAGATGGAGAGTCTTCAGTGTGGGCCGCTGCGCACGACCTTTTGCTGAAGCGTGGCGGCCGGGCGGGCTCGAGGGCTTTGCGACGGAGGGAGGGAGCCGAAGTTGGCGGCGGCCCGGCGGGGGCGCCGGCGCTCCCTCACCCACCCTGACGGGCTCCCCAGCCCGAGGCCAGAGCGGCGATTCCCTGGCAGGAGGAGGTCGCCCGCCACGAGGCCGGAGTGCAGTGGCCTGATTTCGAATGAAGAGTGGGATTTTTCTTCCTTTTTTGAGCGCGTTCCCTGACCCCGCGCCTCATTTCTTGTTTGCTGTCCTGCTGTAGGACTCATTCGACACCCCCTGGTCTGTGAACTGAGGCAATGGGGAGACCCTCGCCCGTTTCTCTCTGCCACTTAACTTAAGGAAGGAGTAACCTGAAACGTTGATTGCCCAGGGGCAGGGTGGGATCTGCTCTGCAGCTTGCTGGGGCGTCTTGGAACACTTTGAGAATGAACATTAGGGATTGAACAAGAGAAAGTGACTTTATCAGAAGACAGTGCTTTAATTGGGTTTGCATTTTTGATCACTACTAGGCACGTGGCTGGGTCTGTCTATAGGGTCATTCCTCAGGAGTCCTTGGTCACATCTCCTGCCAAAATAGAAATCACAGATTTCCTTATGGTGGGAGAGAAAGCTGCAGACATAGAGATTTCATAGCTGTAATGCACCAGAATCAGTGAGTTCAAGGAGTCAGGATTTCCTCATGAGTCATTCTTGTTGAGTTAGGATTTACCAGAACATTTAATAACTGGCAAAAAGTAGGGGGGAGAATGAGTTAACAGTTTCCTTGATTAAGTTTTATTTGTTAATTCTTCAAGTATCATCTCTACTCCTGAAGGT
The DNA here is from genome assembly GCF_000001405.40 of Homo sapiens. Taxonomy (NCBI): domain Eukaryota; kingdom Metazoa; phylum Chordata; class Mammalia; order Primates; family Hominidae; genus Homo; species Homo sapiens. The sequence goes on along the minus strand of NC_000001.11, from coordinate 192,807,915 downwards.
TTTAAAACGACTTGATTGGTAAAGACAAATAGATTACCTCAACCACAAAATGAGTTGATTTCGGATAATATTACCAGAACTAGCCAGTGAAATGTTTAAGCGGCTTTGCAACCAAGCTGCAGATATTCTCTCTACTTTGTATTCGACTTCTTAAAAGGAAATTGGAAATAATTAATATATTCTTACGGTGAGCTGCCAGTAGTTGGAGCTCCAAGTTTGACTTGGAGGGCAAAACCTGCAGTTATTATTTAAGACAACAGTTGTGGACTTTATTGTGGAAAGGAAAATCGTGTAGATTTCAGTAATAGATACTTTGAAACATGCTTGTTAACTCTAGGAATGCCATTTTTTCTTAAGCATATGCTCTTCCTCTCCTATGCTTTGCATAATAGTCCTACATCTATTTTCACTTTCTGATGACTCAATACGTATTTATCAGCTGTCTGTAATACGCAGACACTTGCTTTTTCTCACCACTGTAAACCTCAATATATTTTATACTTAGAACCTTAGATGTTAGAATTTACTCATAGACAGTTAAATTCGCTGGCAGGCCAGGAGTTCTGACAAAGAGGCAGCAGAGAGAGAGAGCTGGACTTCTGTCAGGAGACCCAGTTAGAGCCTGGGCTTATCCAGTAAATGCTAAGTAACTGTTGGGACACTAGCTTCACACCTCTTTGAGTCCCAGTTTCTCATCTGTAATAAGAGTAACATGTATTTTCTTGCCAGCCTCATAGGATATTATGTGACTCTTACATGAAAGGTCTTTTCTAAGCTCTAAAGTACTGTACGGAAGTTTATTACTGATTTGCATATGTGTGGCAAAAGGAAATGTTCAAATCATAGCTGTTCAAGATGGAAAAAATCGTACGAGGATTAACTCAGACGTAATTAGGTTATAAATATGTAGGTACTATTAAATATCAAGATGTTTCAATTTGTAGGTACACAAATACACAAGATACACAAATTTGTAGAAGATTAAGCTCATTATAGATATTTAATAAATGCTCACTGGATAATACGTAGGAAAAATAAGGAAACTGATTAACATTTAAACTTTTCAGGCTGGGTATTGTGGTTCATGCTGGAAATCCCAGCACTTTGGGAGGCTGAGGCAGGTGGAAGGCTTGAGCTCAGAAGTTCGAGGTTCAAGCATTCAAGTTACAGTGAGCTATGATTGTGCCATTGCACTCCAACCTGAGTGATAGAGTGAGACCCTGTCTCTTAAAATAATAATAATAATTAATTACACTTTTCAGATATCTCCAAGCCAAGGAAGTTTAATCATCTCAATATATTAATGAAAGTGAATATACATGTACCTGCATAAGCAACTGGTTTAAATATAGATTATTCTTGATGTTTTTGTGTTTAATATAATTCTTTGCTTTTTTCATAAACCCTTCCAGATCAGTGACTGATGTTAGGTGGCAGAAAATTAATTTTTCTCTGAAAATTATGTGGTTGGTTAATAAATCTGGATATAAATCAACTTGTAATTTTTGTATCTATATGTAATTTTAAGAGTTAAGGCAGTACCTGCTATAGAAACCTTTTCCTCAAAAACTTGCCATGTTAATGTCTTTTAAAAGACAGGCCAATATATGTATATTTACATATACATGTAATATATGTGACATGAATATATACATCATATATTTCACGCATATATGTAATATGTATTACATGTATATTTACATATGCATTACATATATTTACGTATATATAGGTAAAACAAAAGCTGGAATCTTTGATGACTTCCCTTTTTGTTGTTGCAACTGGCTTTTAGGTAAACAGAATTGCTCCACATAAAGATGACACATATTTTCCATCCTGTGGTAGAGGAAGAAACAATGCAGTGGGTTGTAAAAGTTGCACAACAAAACCTCAGTTTGAGAGTGGCTGATAACCTAACCATACATTTTCTGTGTTGAACCTACCATGCCCTCTACTGGAGAGATTGATTGAACAGATTAGTGGTGGAGGTTTTCCAGATAATTTATGAACTTTCTATATTTTTTTAAAAGTTTATAGAAGAAGGCAAAGAAAAAATACAAGTTTCTTGCATAATGTATCTGAGATTCTTGTATTATATATCTTGCGTGTCTTAAATTATGAAGAGTAAAAATTTCCCCTGTCATACTTCTCCCTTCTGCTCCCACTCTATGCTAACCATTATTAATAAAAGTTATTAATTCCTATTCCTATTAACTAAAAATATTTATATAAAATAACTCACCTACTTAAGCTTTAGAAATGTGAAAGCCATTGGATGCTGTGGCTCACGCTTGTAATCACAGCAGTTTGGAAGGCCAAGGAAGGAGGCTTGCTTGGGCCCAGGAGTTCAAGACCAGCTTTGGCAGCATAGCTAGACCCCGTCTGTACAAAAATATATTAAAAAAAAATTACCTACGCATGGTGGCATGCACCTGTAGCCCCGTCTACTCAGTCAGTTGAAGTGGGAGGATTGCTTGAGCCCAGGGACTTTGAGGCTACAGTGAGCCATGATGGTGCCACGGCCCTCTAGCCTGGGTGACAGAGGGAGACCCTGCCTCTTAAAAAAAAAAAATAAATTAAAAATAAAGAAATAAATAAATAAAAATAGGAAATTTAGGAACCAAGATACTTGCTTTTAAAAACACAAAAGTATCATTCTATGTATTATTCTGTGCTTTGCTTTTTTCAGTTAGTAAGATATTTTAGTTTCCAAATTTCTAAGAGCTGTAAACCTATCGTTTACCTTATGAAATGTTAAATAGGTGGGTTAGTTAAAAAAAAAAAAGGAAAAAATCAGGAAGTTACATGCTATATGGTGATGAGTAATTGGAAAAAATGAAAACTTTTATTACCCTAGTTGTTGAATATATTTAAAGAAGTATAATGCCTGTCTTTAAAAAATTTTTTTGTCCTATTTAGTTGGTGAAATATTCTTTTAACAGAATGAAAATATGACCTCATGAGATTTTGTACTATACTCCTTAACCCCTGATATGATCTGAGATTTAAAAATTATGATTAATTTTTGAGAATGTAATTTTCATACCCAGAAGCTGAGAGAAAATGAGTGTTTTGGTCAGAAATGAATCACAGGTTAAACCTAATACTTGACATGTATTATAGCTAAGTTAATAATTTTACCAATCCTTGTATTGATAATTCCAGTTAGTGTAATTCCATGGTTCTGTCTTAAATTTGTACCAAGTATATGCCAAGTATATGATATGGAGTATGTGATTCTTCCAATGCAGGCAGGTCCTGCTTAAATTTAATAGCCCCCTCTTTACAAAAACATCTAGATGCCCTTCATAAAGCAACAACAGGAGCATCATGAAGTTTTTTTTTTTTTTCCTAAAAAAATACTAATGTATATTGAAATACCTTGGATAGAATGTTGTAGCTATTAGGTCTGTAAGGTAAAGGACTGTAAGTATGAGGTCTGAGTAAGGGAATTGTTGTGTGTTCCTGCTGCTACACTCTTTTTGTGCATGGAATACCAGGGGAGAATAGGTGATATAAATACTTTCTTATAAAATAGGTTACATAGTTGGCATATTGTCTATGAGTTAAAGCTAGGAATTTCTTTTTTGGTGTTTTTTTTGACTGAGATTTTAATTTCTGTCCCTGGAATTTTGCCAAACCATTGGAGTGTCAAGTGTCCTATTGACTACTTTTTTGAAATTTGGGTATATTAAGTTAACAAAATATAAAATTTTAAATATCTATATGATAATAGTCACAAAGTCTTTTTTAAAAGTCTGAAGAAAGCCATTTTTCATCTAGTAAATAAGGAATCCGTTTACATTAGTATTTCTTTTTCACTATACTGATGACTATTCCTGTGTAGAGAGCATTAATCCATTTTAGACATTGGTTTTCACAGGTTTTTATTCGTGGACTACTTCCTAATAACCTAAAACCTTGTGGATTTCTCTCCCAAACACATTTTTGAAACAAAAATTCCAAAATCTCAACAGAATTAATTAAAAAAAATAATGCTTTTAAGAGATGTCTGTAGGCCTTGACACAATTACTATGTGGCACTAGTCCCCTCAAAAGTTCCCAGTTTCAAAAGACAGAATAATTTTGCAGTTCTTTTCATGAAGTACCCTTAGGAGAGTGGGATGGCTAGAGGGGTTGTCCATAATTGGGATATTTGCTTTTTGTTCCTAGTTTCTGCCCTAATTTACTTAGAACTCAGGCATATTGTTTAGCTTTCTTATGCTTAAGCTACTTATCTTTCAGGCACAAGTAGTTATAGCACTCTTCCTTTGTAGGAATTTAAAAGAAAACAATACTGGAAATGTCCTGGACAGCTTGGTAGATGATAGTACATAGTTCTCAGGACTGGCCTTGAGCTAAACTTTGTAGTATGACTAGTTTCTTCTAGGTGACTCTTTTGTCCATTTTTCTGTCTTGCTCCTATGCAGGACCCTCATTCTTTTTGGGGGATCTGTTTGTTTATGAAGTTTCCTGGTGGTCCTCTCAGGCCCTTCCAAATGCTCCTCTGGGCACATCAGCAATGTAAGGTTACTTTTTAATTTAAAGAGTATTTTTGTAGAGCAGATTACAGCACATTTGAGAGGAAGGTACAGAGGTAGCGCATATGTCTTCTGCTCCCATACATACATAACCTCCCCATTACTAATATCCAACAGCTCATAAACTTATATTGACACATCATTACCACCCAGAGTCCATAGTTGACATTAGGGTTTGTTCTTGGTGTTGTACATTCTGTGGGTTTAGACAAATTTATAATGGCATGTATCCACCATTATAACATCATAGTATTTTCACTCTGCCCTAAAAATTCTCTGTGCTCTGCCCATTCCTCCCTCCCTCCCCAATAACCCTATAACCCCTAGCAACCACCAATTTTCTGTTTTCTGTCTCCATAGTTTTGCCTTTTCCAGAGTGTTATAGTTGGAATCATACAATATGTAGCCTTTTCAGATTGGCTTCTTTCATTTAGTAATATGCATTTATGTTTCCTCCATGTCTTTTCAGGGCTTAATAGCTCATTTCTTTTTAGTGCTGAATAATATTCCATTGTCTGGATGTACCACAGTTTATCCACTCACCTACTGAAGGACATCTTGGTTGCTTCCAAGTTTTGACAAATATGAATAATGCTGGTATAAACATTCATGTGCAGGTTTTTGTGTGGGCACAAGTTTTCAACTCCTTTGGGCAGAGATTAAAGGGCATAATTGCTCAATCATAAGCTAAGAGTATGATTAGTTTCATGAGAAACCACCAACCACTTCCAAAGTGACTGTACCATGTTGCATTCCCACCAGCAACAAATGGGAATTCCTGTTGTTGCATATCCTTTTTGGCATTTGCTGTAGTCAGTGTTCTGGATTTTGGCCATTTTAACAGGTGTGTATTGGTATCTCATTGTTGTTTCATTTTGCATTTCTCTAATGACATATGATGTAGAGTATCTTTTCACATGCTTATTTGCCATATGTATTATCTTGGGTGAGATGTCTGGTATTTTTAGTTGGATTGTTTGTTTTCTTATTGTTGAGTTTTAAGAATTCTTTGTATATTTTGGATTACAGGTTTTTTAGAATCAGATACCCCCTTTGCAAGTATCTTCTCCCAATCTGTGGCTTTTCTTTCCACTACACTGATGTTGTCTTTTGCAGAACAGAGATTTTTTAAAAAAAATTTTAATGAAGTCCAGTTTATCAATTCTTTCTTTCATGGACTGGATCTTGATGTGATATTCATTTTCATATCCAAGGTCATCTAGATTTTCTCCTTGGCGATTCTCTTCTAGGAATTTATAGTTTTGCATTTTACATTTAGGCTGGTGATCCATTTTGAGTTATTTTTCTGAATGAAGTTACTTTCCCAAATATTTATGTTCTTCCTCAAAAATGTTTTGGAAATGTACAGCTCTTTACGTGTTAATCTTTTAATCTTTTTTAGTAGGCTTCTTCACTATCTTTACAGAGTGAATTATCTCCACGTTAGATATTTGGTGAAAACATTTCTTTTCTCAGTGCACTGTAGGAAGGACTTAAAGTTGCCACTGGAGCTTTTGTCTCTCCCTCTCTGACTGCATTTCCCCCCATTTCTGATTGTAGTGAAGATTTCTTACTTGGAGACTTATAATTTTTCAGTGCGTCAACTATTTTATCTCCTTCAGTTAATTTACAGTGAACATCTGGTTAAGAGTTTCTAAAATAAATTTGAAAACAAGCCCAGCTGAAGCCAGGATAGCCACTTGGCCTAGCCCAGCCTAGATGAGCTGTATTTAACTACACAACATTAGTCATATTTTTTCAGAATTCTTTTGGATTTATTTTTACAAGTACCCATACTCTGATGCATCCATTATATCTAATTTCAGGATTCCACTGTTCGTGTTTTCTTCTTCATCAACAGCAGGCTGATCTGTCATCTTTAGCAAATGGTGGATCTGACTTTATCATTTAAAACTTATTCCATATGCACTACTTTTTTTAAACTTTATTTTCCTGATTACTAAGTTTGCTCATCTTTCTATCCACTCTTTAGCTTCTTTTTTTCCCACTGTTTAATACAAAACATCTTATTTTAAAAACAAATGATCAATATTTTATTTATTGCATTTTCTTAAGAAAATCCAGAAAAGGGATCACTTCATATTTCCATAATAGTACAACATTGCATATTAAAAAAACTGTTTTGAACACAGCTGAACTTTCAGATAAATTGACTTTCACTTGGTTTGCAGGATTCAACATTTCTCAGATGTTAATACAGATAGAAAGTGGCAGATAGAACTTTTCAAATTGCTTATGTTTGTTCCAGCTGGTTGCACTGATGAACTCACAGGCTGTATTCATCACTGCTTGCATCTGTGTTCTTCAGAGCCAATAAGTGTTTTTCCACCCCAGACCATCATCATAACACACCATCCAGATGATTAAATATAGAACATGCCTATACAAAATATCATACTGATCTGATGTTGATACTTGTATTATATTTGGAAACTCCCATTATAAATTTTTCCTCCAGAGGAACAAGAGGCAACTTTTCATCTTGCTGGGCAACATCTATATAATTTATCAGGTCTAGTGGCCCTTTAAGACATCTTCTCTCAGAGAGTTTCAGTGTCTTAATGGCACCAACATATTTTATTTGAAATTCTGCACACGTATTTGAATTATTGTTGCTTTATTCTGAGCTCTTGGTGGAATCTGTATTGAGGCTGGCCGCAGGGCTGGACTATGAAAGGCCCCCAAGGCTAGAATCTACAGACTTGCTCTTAGTACTGATTTCACCACTTTGGGAACTGCTACTACGGTGTCTGTTTTTTTTTTTTTTTCCTTTCCAAAACATTTTTCACCATAGCTTCATCTAGAGAATATCACCATAGAATCAAATATTATTTTATTATCTTCAAAGGTTCTAAAGACAGGTCTGCACAGATAGCTTCCTTTCATTCTAACGCAGTCAGTTCTTTTTATGGAAACAATGTACATCAACGCCAAGCATAGGCAGAGGGCCGCCTATGCTGCTGTTAGAGTCAGAGCACTCCAAACCTCCTTAGTTTCTTGTGAAGACAGTTTTATACTTCTCATAATATAGGAATTTTCATCTGAAGCATCTCCTCAGTGCTGTCTGAAGTTGTTCTTCAGTCTTCTGATATATTTTGAAGGCTGTTTGCTTGTAGCTACTTGAAATTCAATGTGTCTTTAATGCATTGTCTATTATTTTGCTTGATAAATCTTCTGGATATTTCTTGTAATGTCAGGTTCAACTTGTTCTAAATGTTCAGGTCACTCTTTGCTAAGTCCTTTTCTAAAAGAATGTATTCTAAGTCCAAGCAAAGAGTTGGAGATTTTCAGCTCTTTTTTAATGCCTTCCAGTTTTTCCATTTCCGATAGTTTGTTTTTGAGCATGGATTCCATTAAAGTTAATTCAAGGCCTTCATGTTATTTTTGAATAAGGTTAAATGTGTAAAAAATTTGAAAGTATTTTCTCTAGAAGAACAGAAATATCAGTGGCTAGTTCTTTGTCTTTACTTGCATAAGATAGGCCTTTAATTATTAAAAATCTGACCATGACTATAAGTAACACCATCTTCCACAGCAATCCATGGGTATCAGGATCTGGTTGAAAGTCCTCTGGCAGGGCTGCCACTGGTGGGCACAGTGTCCCCTAGAACCACTGCAACACTGAGCATCATGGCTATGAACAGACCCTCTGTGATCCCCTAGGCTGTTGTGAGGCACTTCAGTTTGTCAGGTCTCGTGGACCATCATAGAGCACCAGAGAGTATTCTGCCTGGAACCAAATCAGTGCCTGGTAGATTTCAGTGGAGGTGAGAGAGAAAGAATAAATACAGTAAATTACTGGCTAATTCTTCTCCTTCTATTTTTTTTTTTTTTTTTTTTTTTTAGGGACAGGGTCTTGCTATGTTGCCCAGGCTGGAGTGCAATGGCTATTCCCAAGTACCATCATAGCATACTACAACCTCAAACTGGGCTCAAACAATCCTCCCACCTCAGCTTCCTGAGTAACTAGGAGGAGGTTTGCACCCCTGCACCTGGCTTCTCTTTCTCTTAAATAAACTTTTCTTTTTGTGGCCCTGGATCATTTTAGCCACAGAGCACCAAAAACTTCTTATTCTCAGAGCCTCTTCATGTCTGGCTGGCCTTGACTATTCACAGAGAGGGCAGAACACAAGTGGGGAAAAGATTATGGAGGACCCTACAAAGGATTTCAACTTACTTCACCAATTATGCCTTTAAAAACAAAGGAAGAAATGGCCGGGAGCAGTGGCTCATGCCTGTAATCCCAGCACTTTGGGAGGACAAGGCAGGCGGATCATCTGAGGTCAAGAGTTCAAGACCAGCCTGGCCAACATGGTCAAACCCCATCTCTACTAAAAATAAAAAATTAGCCGGGTATAGTGGCATGCACCTGTAGACCCAGTTACTTGGGAGGCTGAGGCAGGAGAATTGTTTGAACGTGGGAGGCAGAGGTTGCAGTGAGCCAAGATCGCACCACTGCATTCCAGCCTGGGCAATAGAGTGAGACTCTGTCTCAAAAAACAAACAAACAAACAAACAAAAAAAAAAGGAAGAAATAAGTTGGAATTTTAAAAAGTTTTCACACCTCCAGACTGTACTGTCCAATTATGAGCCAGGAAAACTCAATTTTTTCAAACTCTTTTTGCATGTGGTGAAATGTTTGATGATGCAGAAGCCCTTCAAGATATTTCTTTTCAGAATGATCATCTTTGAGGGTATTAGATGCTGATGCAGCTTTCCTCACAGGGGCTGATCCCTAGGAAGTGGGGGACCCAGGCTTTGTTCAGCTGAATTTAACAACTCAGTCTTGGCCAGGCTTGGTAACTCACACCTGTAATCCCAGTACTTTGGAAGGCCAAGGTGGGAGGCTTGCTTGAGCCCAGGAGTTCTAGATCAGGCTGGGCAACATAGCGAGACACTGTCTCTACAAAGAAACAAACAAACAAATGAAAATTAGCTGGGCACAGTGATGTTTTCCCATTGTACTAGCTATTCTGAGGCTGAGATGGAAGGATCGCTTGAGCCCAGGGGTTTGAGACCTCAGTGAACTATGATTGTGTCACTGCACTTTAGCCTGGGCAACAGAGTGAGAACCTTTCTCTAAAAATCACTTTATCAGGCCATTCTTGCATTGCTATAAATAATTACCTGAGACTAGGGTAATTTATAAGAGGTTTAATTGGCTCATGGTTCTGCAGGCCGTACAGGAAGCATAGTACTGCGACTGCTTATGGTGATGTCTTGGGAGCTTTTACTTATAGCAGAAGGCAAAGTGGGAGCTTGCACGTCACGCGGTCAAAACAGGAACAAGAGGGAGAGGGAGGGAGGGGAGGTTCCACACATTTTTAAACGATTGGATCTTCTAAGAACTAAGTCACTATGGTGAGGACAGCACCAAGCCATGAGAGATCTGCCCCCATGATCGAAATACCTTCCACCAGGCCCTACCTCCAACACTGGGGATTATATTTCAATAGGAGATTTGGAGGGCACATCCAAGCTATATCACACACACCATCTCATTGACAACAAATTGGTAGGAATTTTTAAAATTCCATTTATTTCTACCTTCTTCTTCTTTTTTTTTTTTTCTTGGAGACAGCATCTGGCTCTGTCACCCAGGCTGGAGTGCAGTGGCACGTTCATGGCTCACTTCAGCCTCAACTTCCTATGGTCAGGTGATCCTCCCTCCTCAGCCTCCTGAGCAGCTGTGACCATAGGTGTAAGCCTCCACGCCTGGCTAAATTTTTTGAGTTTTAGTAGAGACAAGGTCTTGCTATGTCACCTAGGCTAGTCTTGAACTCCTGAGCTCAAGGGTCCTCCTGCCTCAGTCTCCCAAAGTGCTGGGATTACAGATGTGAGCCACTGTGCCCAGCTCTTCCTTCATTTTAAAAGGTGAAATTGGTGAAGTAAGTTGCAACTCTTTGTGGGGCCCACTGGTTTTGGCAAGGCCAGGCTGGGCTGGGCTGTATGGCTCTGCAGGTCTGGCTGAGCTCCCTCATGTGTGCTGAGGTCAGCTGATATGGGCAAGTGCAGCTCCAGCCTTGGCTCTGGCCCACATATTTCTTACCCTTGTCTTATAACCTGTGTTATAAGCCTGGTCTTTTCTGCCCATGGTAACGGCAGATGCACCAGAGAGTCACTGGGGAGCAGTTATCCAATCTACATTTTCAAAAGTTCACCCTGACTGTGAGATGTCAAAGTCTCATTTGATTGCCTTTTCATGAAGTCATGATCCTCAGGGGGCCTGTAGGTTTTCTGAAAGTAGGATATAGAACAGGAGCTGATATAGTCACCAATTTCTTCTGTTTATATGGCTCACTTCAGCAGCCACTGTCAAGAAAAGCTGGGATACTTGAGCTGACAGAGATGAGATCACAATAAACGCCAACCCAGAGATGGCTACACATGTATTCTGAAATGACTGCACTCTGTTGACCAGGTTAGGAGTGACCCTCCACAGCACATACTGTCCTATGGGCAAAGCCACAACTTAGGTGTCCAAGATGCTGATGCAGCAAGGCCTAGTGCTGAATAACTGCAGGATTCCAGGGAACTCTTTATAGCTATAGGCCTCAGTTTCTTCTTTAAAGAGGAGGAAATGTGTGAATAGAATCCATATCCTGAATCAGTGGGGTTCAAGCTGGTGTGAATACTTCATCTTTGGAAGGGCTGAGATACTTTTTCTAGTATGTTTTATTTTATTTTTATTGATTGTAGAGTTTTCCTGAAAGAATAAATCAACACTGATGTCAAGATAGCAAGGAATGGTGGACCAAGTCTTTCCAAAACCTATTACCTTGCCAAAAGCTGATAAGCCATTACGTCTTGTCCTGAAATACCAGCAGCAATTAAGAGCTCCAGAATTTCAGCCAACATGACATTTTGTTTTTTATTTTCTCATTTCCATATCTGAGGTGGACAGCTCCTGGCTGTCCTGCCTCTTGGGGAACACCATGATTCCTTCCTGGGCTGGCAGATGACTGATAAAACATAAAGAGTGTCTGGAGGAAGTTGTCTATGCTTTGTGAAGCCCCTTTTTAATTTATTTACTTTTTCTTATTTTTTCATTTTTTAATAACTTGTTTTTCCCACATGACTTCTATCCTTCTGATCCCCCCTTTTTTAAAAAAAAATAAATATTAGGGTTTCTTTTTGCCATGTAGCATATAAATAGACCTCCTTAATAGACTGCTCTTTGATTTGAAAGAGAGAAGCAGTCAAGAACACAGGTTCATGAAAATAAGGAAGTGTGTTTGTGAGTATATGTGTTTTGGGGGAGGGTAGAGAAGAGGATAAGTGATGATGGTTATGAGAATTTAAAGGCTTAGCAGAGCTGTGAGTTTAAGGTGGTCAGGAAAATTTTCTCCATAGGTTTCTTATGTCTAAGCCAGGAAATGTTTCTAGAAATTTCTTTCTATTTGGGAAGAGGTTGTCTCCCTTCAATCTTCCCCAAAAAAAAAAAAAAAAAAAAAAAAAAAAAAAAAAAAAAAAAAAAAAAAAAAAGAAGGTAGAAATAAGTGGAATTTTTAAAATTCCTACAATTTGTTGTCAATGAGACGGTGTGTGTGATAGTTTGGATGTGCCCTCCAAATCTCATGTTGAGATATAATCTTATTTGTCGCTCAACTGTTGAAGTTCCTTAGATGTCTTCTCTTTTTGTTCTGCAGATTTACTATCCACTCCCATAAATTCAGGTGTGATCTGTATACTGACGAATCCTTGTGCTGATCTCTGCTCATCTCAGACCCTTACAGCTCACTGTCCTAACTTGATTCACTTAGATGACAAAAAGGCAGTTCAAAAGAAAAACCCCACAGCATTTAGCATTTCCTATCCTTGCCCCTAAATCTGTTTCTTTGCCTTTGTTCTGTGTCTCAGTGAATGGTACCACACCTGAGACAAAAAACGGGAGGGAGAGAGTAGTCACCTTTGAATCCTACCCTCTCCTAATCCCATATTGAATCTATCCTGCTTATTTCTGCCCATTATACAAATTTAAAACTTTGTAAAAAAAAGTTATATTTCTTTTTACAATTTTTTTTTAAATTAAAAAAATATTTTTTGAGACAGAGTCTCCTTCTGTCACCCAGGCTGGAGTGCAGTGGCACAATCACTGCTCACTGCAATCCTGGGCTCAAGCCATCCTCCCACCTTAGCCTGTGGAGTAGCTGGGACTTCAGGTGCATGCCACCACACCTGGCTAATTTAAAAAAAATATTGTTTTAGAGATGGGGTCTCACTATGTTGTCCAGGCTGAATTTTACTCTTAAATATGAACTTCTCCTTCTCTCCACTTCCATTTTCACTTTTCTAATTCTGTCCTTATCTCTGTTATGAATTGAAGCAAGACTTCTAATCTTCATCTTTTTTTTCTAAATTATGTATTTTTCAGTCAGTATGATTTTACTAAAACACTTATCATTGTTCCTTTTCTTCTTAAAACCACTAATGGCTTTTCATTGCCCTTAAGTTCTAAATTCCTTAATTTGAATTACAAAAGTCTTTATATCTGGCCCCTGAATGCCTTCCCAGCCTTATCTTTTAGTGCCTCTGCCTTGATCTCTATGCTATTATCCTATTAAATTGTTTTAGTTCCTTCTACATGCCATGCTTCCTGTTCCTCTGTCTTGGACCTTTTTCTTATTCATCCCATTCTTCATCTGACTAACTTCTATATTATTCATACTCCTTCAGGTATTGCTTAAATAAACTTTCTCTCCTGGAGACTTTTCCTCCCTCCACTAACACATCTGAGTGAGATGCCTCTCCTACATGTTCTCACAGCACCTATCAATTCTCACAGCACCTATCAATTTATTTACCGTAATGAATTGCAATTGCCTAGTGTCTTGTCAGTACCTCTGACTACACTGTTAGTTATTGTGTTTATTTTTGTATGTTGGCACATACACAGAGGATACTCAGCCATTGCTGAGGGAATGGATGGATGACAGTGTTACAAACTCAGTTCAGTTGCTCACTGCTTGCAGAGTCCAATTAACAAGAGGGAGGTCTGGTATAAACAAAGTGACTTTTTATTCCAAAGCTAGCTCAGGGAAGAAGTACAGGCTTCCTGCCTTAAGGGTACTGCTTTGTCTTTGGAGCAGAAAGTGGGTGTCAGGCCTCTGAGCCCAAGCTAAGCCATCATATCCCCTGTGACCTGCATGTATACATCCAGATGGCCTGAAGTAACTGACGAATCACAAAAGAAGTGAAAATGACCTGTTCCTTGTGAAATTTCTTCTCCTGGCTCATCCTGGCTTAAAAGCTCCCCCACTGAGGACCTTGTGACCCCCACCCCTGCCAGCCAGAGAACAACTCCCTTTGACTGTAATTTTCCACTACCTACCCAAATCCTATAAAATGGCCCCACCCCATCTCCCTTCACTGACTTTCTTTTAGGACTCAGCCCACCTGTGCCCAGGTGATTAAAAAGCTTTATTGCTCACACAAAGCCTGTTTGGTGGTCTCTTCACATGGACACGTGTGACAGTGGGTGCTTTTAAAGAGAGTCTATCATGAATGGCACACAGGAGTAGTAGTAAACAGGTGGGGACTCCATTGCCAGCTTGGTGCCTTATCTACTGGGCAGTCGAGTTGGTGTCTTCATGGGCAGAAATAGGTTGTAAAGGTGGCCAACTCTCCAGGTGAGAGAGAGTTTTGTAGCAGGACTTTGGGTTGTAAATCGACTATTACCAACCTACTGGTGGGTGAGAGTTCTGTTCTGGAGCTTCTAAGCACATCGTTAGATCAACTTGCCCTGTAGGGAGTATCTGGTGAAGGGAAGGTAAAAGGTTACCCTTTCATTTCTAAAAGGCTGAGTGGAAAGTGGGAGATAGGGAGAAATGGAGAAAAGAGGAAAGAAGAGAAAATAATTAAAAAATACTGTTTCTTTTTTTCTTAGAAAAATTAGGATACTTGGTTACAGAAGTATGAATGAATGATTACTTTTCTAGGGAGTCTGCTATCTGTATCAGTGTTACTTGGTTCAGAGGTTCATATGTTCATGATTTCATAATTAAATTCTGTTTGCAATTTTATAAGGTTTCCATATTAACACTGAATTTTGCATTGTTTACAAGTTAATTTTCTTTTTTATTAGTTTCTTTCTATTTGAGATTTAAGACAGAACTTATTTTTTTTTTAAAGAATGGTTCTTACCTGTTGTAAATGGAACACTTTGTTTGTTTACTTAACAGAGGTTCAAATCAAGGGGAAAATTGACAAGGCAGTGATATATAGGCTATTCATTTAAGCATTATTAAAATGTGGATGATCTCATCTTTCCTCTAGTAACAACATTTAAAAATACTCCACAGGATTAAAAAATCAGATGACATTATTATTTATTCTCATTTTTCTATCTTTTGTAATATATATTTGAATGAAGCTATACATCTTAATTAATTTAATAATTAATAAAATCAAATATAAAAGTAGCTTATTTCTGAGACTTTTAAAGAGTTTCCATTTTCAACCATTATATAATAGGTTAGTTATCTCTTTATAGCTTCTGTCAGGCAAATGGACCGAGGCCTAACACAGTACAGATTTTAGAGGACAGAACATTCCCTAATGGTTTTAAATCTTTCATAATTATAGAAAACAACTTTCTTCATACTTTTACTACACTTAAGCTCTGGATTTCCGTACTTCTAATAATGCACTATTGCATTATTTGGATTCAAATGCTGAAATCTATTATAGCAGTTATATAACATGCAAAATTATCAGTTTAGACAATGTACCGAAGTTCAAGAAGAGGAAAACAAATAGGAAAACCTTAAGAGTCGAGTCAGTTGATAAGGACTCCGAAAGAAAAACACATTGTGGATTTCTGCTTTTAGGTTTTTATCTGGAGCCTATGTACTTACATCTCCTCCTCTGCCTACCCCTCTTACAGTCCATTGAAAGAATAAAAATGGTAAAAAAAAGAAAACCGCTGTAGGACTACTGGAAAAGAGAGAAAAGGCTACTTTTTATACCATTGACATATAAGAAATGTAGAACTTCTGGAGTGTGTGAAACACAGGGAACCACACTGAAACCAAACTAATCAGACTTGCATAGCAGGTAAGTAGGGAGCCTCTTGAGAAGTAAGTAAGTGGGTAATTTCCTCAACTTATCCTGAAAGAGTTTTCATTTTGGAGCAACAGAGGTTTAAACAAGGATGTACTGAGGGCAAGAGGTGAGGGTTTAATTATTTTAGAAACTTTACTAGTGACCTATATCGTATGTTTCCTTACATATTACTTTATATGGATAGTGTACTAAATAAAAAACTAATAGGTTGAGGAGAAAATAAAAGTCAAAGACTATTTAGAAATTATTAGAAGTGGGATAATCATATATGAAAATCTATGGGATGTGTTCAAAGACATATACAGAAAATAATCCAAGTCAAATTAATTTCATAATGTAGCAGAAAGATTGAAAATAAATTAGCTAATCCACGCTTGTCACTTAATGGTTTTGAGGAGTGCTGCATTAAGAAGGATTCTAAAGATGAGTCTGTGCTGACCACTGAGTGTGGCTGTTAAAGAGTAGAGAAAACAGGGTTCAGTGGATTTTGTTGGATGCACTGTATAAAGCCATTAATAACCAGATTTTTTTAAAAATTTTAAATTATTTTTAAATTTTGCTTTAAGTTCTGGGATACATGTGCAGAACGTGTAGGTTTGTTACATAGGTATACATGCGCCATGGTGGTTTGCTGCACCTATCAACCCGTCATCTAGGTTTTAAGCCCCACGTGCATTAGGTATTTGTCCTAATGCTCTCCCTCCACTTGCCCCCAACCCCCTGATAGGCCCTGGTGTGTGTTGTTCCCTTCCCTGTGTCCATGTGTTCTCACTGTTCAACTCCCACTTATGAGTGACAACAGGTGGTGTTTGGTTTTCTGTTCCTGTGTTAGTTTGCTGAGAATGATGGCTTCCAGCTTCATCCACGTCCCAGCAAAGGACAGGCACTCATCCTTTTTTATGGCTGCATAGCATTCCATGGTGTATATTTGCCATATTTTCTTTATCCAGTCTATCATTGATGGACATTTGCGTTGGTTCCAAGTCTTTGCTATTGTAAATAGTGCTGCAATAAACATACGTGTGCATGTGTCTTTATAGTAGAATTATTTGTAATCCTTTGGGTATATACCTAGTAATGGGATTGCTGGATCAAATGGATTTCTAAGAACCAGATAATTCTTATATTGCTCCAAAGCACAGAGTGAGAGGAAGTTTCCCCAATTATTTTTTGAAGCAAGCATAATACTGATACCCAAATCTGAGGAATAAAGCATTTCAAAAGAAAACTAAAGGCCCGGGCACGGTGGCCTCATTCTTATAATCTTAGCACTTTGGGAGGCTGAGGCAGGAGAATCACTTGTGGTCAGGAGTTTGAGATCAGCCTGGCCAATATGGTGAAACCCCATCTCTACCAAAAAATACAAAAATTAGATGGGCGTGGCAGCGTGCCCCTGTAGTCCTAGATACTTGGAAGGCTGAGGTGGGAGAATCACTTGAACCCAGGAGGCGGAGGTTGCAGTGAGCAGAGATTGCACCACTGACCTCCAGCCTGAGTGACAGAGTGAGAGCCTGCCTCAAAAAAAAAAAAAAAAAAAGAAAAAACTAAAGATAAATTTGTAGACACCTCAAATAAAATATGTTCAAATAGATTTCACCAGTAAACATTGTAAAATAAGCAGAAACATTGTTTACAGTGAAATATAAAATTCTTCACACCTGCAAGTGATAAAAGAAACTCCTTTCAATTTCTGTTAATCATAAATTAAAGAAATTGTATTACAATTCACAGATAAGGTGGTGAATAATATCCATTCAGCTTTGTCCAGACTAGCATGGATGATAGTGATGTGGCGGAACTCACCTTTGTGGCTATTTAGTGACCTGTTATCATGTGGGCTGTGAGGAATCAGTAGCATCTAGACTGAAAGTCTGAGAATAGGTGAAAGCCGAAGTAGGATGCCCAGTACCTGATTTTTAATATGAAACTCTCTTTTGCCTCTTTATGTTTTGAGTTGGTTATCTGAATGCCTGTCTTATTTGCCTTTGCTTTCATGAGATAAGAACTATAATGATTCACCTTTGTTTCCATCTAGGACAGACTTTTCCATAGAGTGGGTGCTAAGAAAACATTTAATTGAATTTAATTAAAGAGGCTTTGGCATAGTAGGAAGTTCACTGATCTTGGAGACAGCGATTTGGTTTCAAGGCCAGGCTTTGGTCAGGATGCTTCCTTTCCAGCTCAACTAGGACTTTCCCTCTGGGGAGCCTCCTTGTCACCCACTCTACCCTGCATTCTGAATGAGCTCATTCTCTGTGTTTTCCCACAAACCTGTTCTTCCCTTTCTGGGGCACTTAGCACTATCCTGTGTCTCCTCTGTGAGACAGTGAATGCGCTGGGTTCAAACTCTGTCCTCTGAATCCTGTATTTGCAGAGATTAGTACCCCCCATAGTGCTAAAAAAATTGTTACATGAATAAATGGTTTAACTTCTCTGTGCTTAAGTTTTTTCCATCTAAAAATAATAATGTTAATAATACATAATATTGGGGTTTCCAAGAACCTCCCTTAGAAAAAAGGCTACCCCCCTTTCATAAGAACAGCAGTTGTTTGTTATTGAACACTTATTAGATGTTGACTGACCAGACGCTTCACATATATTACCATTATGTCCTACCCTGGTGCCACAATGAGATAGGTGCTATTGTTCCCATTTTATAGGTGTTTGGAGAGGCAAAGGCACTGCCCCAAATCAATAGCAAGCAAGTCAATGGCAGAGCTGGGATTTGAATTCCAAGTCTGTAATTTTTCTACTGTAGAATTTAGTCACATGCGTTTAGTGTTTCCTTAGGAAGCTCCTCTTGGTTTGCCATCAACAGGTCTCCTCATGGCTATCCTGGCTGTGTCATGATGGTCTCCAAAAGTTTGACTCTGAAAGTTAAGCTACTGAGATCCAGTCCCTAATGCATTACTGGGTACATAGTAAGTGTCTGCTCAATATACAATTGTTGAATAAAATAATGAATTAGTGAATGAAAAGCTTATAGATGATACTAGTAATTTATGAAATAAACCAAGAGACTCTTCATGTATGTGTGGCTAAAGAGTTTTTAAACACAACTAACCTGGGCAACATAAAGAAACCCTCTGTCTCCAAAAATACAAAAATTAGCTAGGAGTGGTGGTGTGTGCCTGTAGTCCCAGCTACTCAGGGGGCTGAGGTGGGAGGTTCATTTGAGCCTACGAGGTCGAGGCCGCAGTGAGCTGCAATAGTGCTGTAGGACTTCAGCCTGGGCGACAGAGCAAGAACCTGTCTCAAAACAAATAAACAAACAAACAAACAAACACTCACAACTTTAGATGACATACAAATATTCCTAGAAAGGTAAAACTGGAAGTGGATTCTCATTTAGTAGTGGAAAATGTGAAATAAGGGATTGATTAGTTAACTAGGGATCTTATTAAAAATGAACATTTCTACATTCCATTTACAGGGTTTGTTATATTTAAACCCTCCGTTTGTAAATGTGATATACAATGCTTTGTGAATTGTAAATTGCTAATGATACACTTAATATATTATTAAGGAATTGTTTTCTTTTATGTGAAAGTTGAAGAAAGAGTCCTTTGGGATTTGTTGAAACTCAAGGAAGAGAACAGTTTTGAGACTCAGGAAGATCTAAAAAGAAAAGGGCTCTTTTATGCAGGGAAAATAATGTTTTTCTGTTTTTCATTTTTATTTTTATTGTCAGTGTCTCCTTAGAAACAAATCTGGTTGACTAAGCTTTAACAAATAGATTCAACTGGAATATTTGGCTATTTCAGGGTAGCGACATCCTTAGATTCCGTTAGGTGAGAGTGGTGTATTGTCACGATGCACACGAAGTCTGAAAGGACAGCCAGGAAATTCTGAGCAAGCCCGCAGTGTTCAGGATGAGCAGCAGCTCTGGGGAGCCCGGGCTGATTCTAGTTGCCTGTCATGCTTGTGACTCAGCAGCCCTTTGCTTCCCTCAGTTGATTCCTTCCTGTTCCATCACTGATTCGTTACGCCTTTCTTCTCTCCTTGTTTCTGCCAGTGGCTTCTGCTTATTGCGTTATTTTAAAAAATACAAATAAGAAACCATTAGAGGCTTACTGTGTGCCAAACAAAGTCTCATTTTTACACTCACAGGGTATAGGGTGTCTTTCTTTTCTGATTATTCATTACCTTAGTCCCCAAATTGAGTGCACAGGGAGCCCCAAAGCCATCACATAAGAAAATATTCATGAATGAACAGAAGACTATATATTTCCCACCCAAAACTCCTCCCCACTTATTATTAGTCTTGGTGATTAACAAACCACTCATATACAATGTAAATGTAATTCAAAGCATAATAGTAAAATTTGCAAAAGATGTAGAATTTAATGAAGTTGTCAACAGAAAAGCCATTGATAAATGAGAATTTGGGAATGTGGCCAGTTAACAATTGGAGAAGATAAAATTGACGTGGATCACAACATAATAAACATGCTAAAAAAGAAAGATTTGAGTAGTAAAGTCTTGGAATAATTTTAGAAGTCATGGAATATATTCTTAAAAATGCGAAATGCAACGTGAACCGTATTATCCTAGCATTTTGTTTTGTCCTCCTAACTCCATGACTTGACACTTTGTTCATTCTAATACTTGGTATATACTGAAAGCTATAATCTAAATATTAGTAATATTTCAAAATACTTATTTTTATAATTCTAATTTTATTTTTAAGATAAAGTCATAATCATACTTTTGACCATTTGCTCAAAATTTCTGGACTCTGTTTTAGTGGATTTATTTTAGGTGCCAAACAATTATCAATTGCCCTTTTTTAATGACAACCTCTTATGCTATTATTTTTCTAATTTTACAGGTGAGGAAAATGAAGTCCAGAGAGGTTCACTCACTTGCTTTAAGGTTTTTTGTTGGTCACTGAGAGAACTGGGATTAGAATGTAGGCACTAAGACTTCACATACCACATTCTTAAATACTAAGTTAAACTGTCCTTATGCCCTATCAATTCCCTTTTTATATCTCAAATTCAAATTTTCAGGAAAGGTTCTTTTAGGCTGGATCATTACTATTTGGCCTAGAGTACCCCTGTTTGACACAGCTCTGGTTCCAGAACATTCCTGTGCTGCTGTCAGCCTCCAAGTAGCTCTTCTGAAGTTAATGCCCAAATCTCTGGTTCAATCAGTTGCCACTAGTTTAATGGCAAGGTTATATAATGCATGGCTACTTACTCTCAAGGAATTGTCTTTAATCATTTGGAAAGATACTTTGGTTGTGGCATTCATTTTATGTCTTCTCAAAAAAGGAACAAATAATACACAGGCTCCCGGCATGGCCTATTTAATTTCCACGTTTTTTAAATATGCTATCTAAATAGAAGATTTGCTCATAGCTTTACCTTCTTTGTTGGTAACTGAGAGAACTGGGATAAGAACGTAGGCACTAAGACTTCACAGGAATGAGTATAAACAGAAGACATCATTATTCTACCCACTGTTCCACACAGTCCGTCTCTCACTCTCAAGGACTATGTTAATTGTGCTACTTGAAAACTGGTTTTGCTATTTTGAAAACTGGTTTTGCTGTTCTGAAATACATTTTAGAAATCTTTGGTATGTTCAATATTATATGATTGAGTGTAGGCATTAACATAGGTCAGACTTTTATCTTTTTCAAGTCCCCAGGCTTTTTACGAAATAAGAATTAGGCTCTTGGTGATTTTTGAGTGATATATGTTCATGGGGTTAGAGAAACATGAATAGCTACTTGGAGCCCTTACAAACTGAAAGTCATCTAAAACTTATAAATGATAAAGTCTGTGACAAATTATTAATAGGCCCAAATAATCTCTTTAGCTTTCACTTTAAAGTCCTGCTAATAACACCTTACTTTTATATAGGATATTATGACTTGAGAATTTTCTTACATTCATTTTCTCATTCACGGTCACAAAACTATATGATGTAGAAAAGGGAAATGGCATTACTCTGTTTTTAAGGTGAGGATACTGAGGTTGTTCTGATGTCTAGCAGTGACAGTCCAACACTGGAATAATTCCCTCAACTCCTGGTTCAGTGCTTTTTCCACTCCCCATAATAAAGAAGGAGAATAAGACGATAATGAAGAAAAGAAGAAAGATACCTAATAATTGTTAAATACCAACCATGTGCTTAATATACTATTTAAGAAAGTTAATTTTCAATTATTTTGCATATTAAAGTTGCAGAATACATGCTTTAAATTCTTTTCTCTGTATCAGCAAGATCAATATCATATCTATTTTGTAAGTGAAGAAATTGTAGAATATTAAACAATGTAGACACATTAGGAAAATCAGTTGGGAAATTAATTAGAATAATTATGTGTTTATCATCAGGTAATTATTAAAATAATTAACAAAAGGGGATTTACCCAGACTAATTAGTTGTGTCTTTTATCCAGGGCAGCTGTTAGAATTTTGTCAGATTTTCTCATCTTGCTTCAGCAATAGGTTTTATTTTAAATTTTTCTTAGTTAAAATTGGCTTATTAATTATGGTAAATCACATAGGTCAGAACAGTTTTTACACTGCTCTTATTGGGAAAAATAATACTTTTTCCTAAGCATTTAATAGTAATAATTTTAAAAAAGTTAAAAACAAAACAAAATAACACCAGCTGAAGAAGACTCACCCTTGGGGTGATCGGTAGCTTATCATACACTGATTGCATCTTATGCTCAAAATCATTGGCATGCAGTATATTACATTTAATCATAGTTCAGGCTCCAGGACTTTTTTTTGTGGGGTGCTACGGAGAGAACAATAATAAAAAAAATGTGAGTCTCTGCATTTCTGACTCATTCTCTTTATTCTTCTTTACATCATGTATTCAGAAAAGAGTGGTTTCTGTAGAATGGTTGATTATGGCAATAATTATAACTCGTAGTTTTATTATAGGCAATTATTTGAGGTGGAAAATTCCTGAAATTTGGACTAATGTTATCCTATTACCCATTTCATATTGAAACCGAATTTATTGGCTGAAAAATTTAGCTTATGAACCCCTTTTAACAAGCTCCTGAAATAAATCAAGGCTTTTTTTAGATACATGTCCTTGCCATGAGTGCTTATCGGAATGACATTTTTGTGACTCTTGGCACATTAAACTTTCTGGTTTTCCTGACTGGTCATTTGAGGACAAATTAAGAAAAGATTGAGGATAAAGAAAAAAATGACTCTGAAGGCAGTTGTACTTAATTCTAAGATATAAAGAAAGGCTGTGGAAATATCATGTCTGAATTTAAAACAGAAATTACTTGTGACTTTCTGAGACTAATTGACAGGCAGAGAGTTTGCTTGGGATTTAAGTAGCCATTTTGTCAAGCAAAACACATGCAACAAAACATGTCATTCCACTGAATAGGACTTAAACATGGCTCAACTGTATTAATATCTTATACATAATATTTCATTTATCATTATTTTATCAAAATATTAAATTTTGGTCATATATTTGATTTATTTAACTTTATATAGCTAAATTATCCTAACATAGATTAAATAGAATTTCTGGCTAAGTTTTCAACTTTTATCACTCTTGCACGTTACTTTTTGTTAAGCCCATCAAAATCTTATGTTTAACAAAATGTAATTTAACCAGCTGAAAAACACTGAGAATATTTACCTTTAAGGTTTGTATTGTATTTTTAAATATTTTAAATAAAACGGTATTTGCTATATCAGCAATTTAGGCATAACAGTATTTATGACATCAAAGAAAAAATCATGCAGTTTGTTTAAGTGAGAGGTTCTGTAAGGTTGGGGAAAAAACATGAGGTTTACATCCTTATTGTATTATTTACTATCTTTGATATCTGAGGCAATAATTTAATTAGTCTGGGTCCATGTTCCCTCAACTATAAAATAATCTTTATTGCAGATGGTGCCTAGGCATATGCTGGATGTTCCATAAATATTAATTTCTGTCTTCTCGTGTATTTAATATATGTGATATTTTATTTTTTAAAAATGTGATTATATGAATAAATAGCCTTTTTAAATTCCAAAAAGTTATATATATTGTTCATATTATAGTTGTTTCATAAATTTGTTTTTAGGATCAATTAGTCAAAAATCCTGTCTTTTCAAAACTCTTTTTTTTCACTGTTACCAGTTAACTTTGTATTCATACTACACATATGGATTCACATTCTGGACTAGCAGTGCTTCTTAGCCATGTATCCTGCTAAAATCCATGTGTGTACATGCCACACATTTCGTACACCAGGTACGGAGTGTGGAACATACTCAATGGGCGGGTCAAGTCTATGCACGATGAGACTAGTTGGAAGACGTGTAGCTTCTGAATTTAAATGAAGGTATGGAGATTGCAGCTCTGACTCGGACAGACAGAGCAGCCTGCAGAGGCTCACATCATGAATTTTAGCTCCAGATCAACTGCAAGAACAAACCAGCAATCCTGAGAGGACCCACACATCCTCTGAAGGAAGCAGACTGCTCTTGCAGGACCTGGGAGACACCCCAAATACTGTGAATGCCCCAACTGCGGAAGTAGGAAAGGGAGATCCTCTTCTGAACACACACACCCACTGGCGAAACTGAAGGTGCTGGTATCCATGGCTGAGAGACCCACAGATGGTTCACATCATAGGACTCTGTGCAGACAATCCCTTCCCAGTACCAGCCTGGAGTGCGTAGACTTGCTGGATGGCTAGACCCAGAAGAGAGATAACAATCACTACAGCTTGGCTCTCAGGAAGCCACATCCATAGGAAAAGGGGGAGAATACTACATCAAGGGAACACCTTGTGGGATGAAAGAATTTGAACAACAGCCTCCAACCCTAGACCTTCCCTTTGACAGAGACTACCCAAATGAGAAGGAACCAGTTCTATTACCAACTCTGGTAATAGAACAAGGCTCTTTAACACCCCCACACCCCCACAAAATCAAACTAGTTCGCCAGCAATGGATCCAAACCAAGAAGAAATCCCTGATTTACCTGAAAAATAATTCAGGAGGTTAGTTATTAAGCTAATCAGGGAGGTACCAGAGAAAGGTGAAGCACAATGTAAGGAAATCCAAAATATGATACAAGAAATATTCAAGGAAATAGATAGGTTAAATAATAAAACAACCAAAACTTCAGGATACACTGAACACACTTATAGAAATGCAAAATGCCCTGGAAAGTCTCAGCAATAGACTTGAACAATAGAAGAAATAAATTCAGAGCTTGAAGGCAAGGTCTTTGAATTAACCCAATCCAACAAAGACAAAGAAAAAAGAATAAGAAAATATGAACAAAGCCTCCAAGAAGTCTGGGATTATGTTAAATGATCAAACCTAAGAATAATCGGTGTTTCTGAGGAAGAAGATAAATCTAAAAGTTTGGAAAACATATTTGGGGTAATAATCAAATAAAACTTCCCCAGCCTTGCTAGAGACCTAGACATCCAAATACAAGCAGCACAAACAACAACTGGGAAATTCATTGCAAAAAGATCATCACCTAGGCACATTGTCATCAGGTTATCTAAAGTTAAGATGAAGGAGAGAATCTTCAGAGCTGTGAGACATAAACACCAGGCAACCTATAAAGGAAAACCTATCAGATTAACGGCAGATTTCTCAGCAGAAACCCTCCAAGCTAGAAGGGATTGGGGCTCTATCTTCAGCTTCCTCAAACAAAACAATTATTAGCCAAAAATTTTGTATCCAGCAAAACTAAGCAACATATGTGAAGGAAAGATACAGTCTTTTTCAGACAAACAAATGCTGAGATAATTTGCCACTACCGAGCCACCACTATAAGAACTGGTAAGGAGCTCTAAATCTTGAAACAAATCTTGGAAACACATTAATACAGAACCTCTTTAAAGCATAAATTACACAGGACCTATAAAACAAAAACATGTTAAAAAGCAAAAACAAAATACAGAAAAACCAAAGTACACAGGCAATAGATAGCACGATGAATGCAACGGTACCTCACATCTCAATACTAACATTGGAGCCTAAGTGCTCCACTAGACGGGTTGTCAAGTCTGAAAGCCAACAAAGAAACAATGGATTTAAACGAATGAACTTTACACATATATACAGAACATTTCATCCAACAACTGCAGAATACACATTCTATTCAACAGCACATGGAACTTTCTCCTAGATAGACCATATGATAGGCCATAAAATGAGCCCCAATAAATTTAAGAAAATTGAAATTATATCAAGCACTTTCTCAGACCACAGTGAAATAAAACTGGCAACCAACTCCAAAAAGAACCTTCAAAACCATGCAAATACATGGACATTAAATAATCTGCTCCTGAATGATCCTTGGGTCAAAAACAAAATCAAGATGGAAATTTAAAAATTCTCCAAACTGAACGACAATAATGACACAATGTATCAAAACCTCTAGGATACAGTAAAGGTGGTGCTAAGAGGAAAGTTAGCCCTAAAGACCTACATCAAAAAGACTGAAAGAGCACAAACTGACATTCTAAGGTCACACCTCAAGGAACTAGGGAAACAACAAACCAAACCCAAACCCAGCAGAATAAAGGAGATAACCAAGATCAGAGCAGAACTAAATGAAATGGAAACAACAACAACAAAAAAATACAAAAGAGAAATGAAACAAAAAGCTGGTTCTTTGAAAAGAGAAAATTAATAGACCCTTAGCAAGATTAACCAAGAAAAGAAGAGAGAAAATTCAAATAACCTCATTAAGAAATGAAACAAGAGATATTACAACTGGCACCACTGAAATACAAAAGATCATTCAAGGCTACTATGAACATGTTTATGCAGATAAACTAGTAAACCTCGAAGAGATGGATAAATTCCTGAAAAAATACAACCCTCCTAGCTTAAATCAGGAAGAATTAGATACCCTGAACAGACCAATAACAAGCAGTGAGATTGAAATGTAATTTAAAATGTAATTTAAAATTTACCAACAAAAGAAGTCCAGGGTTAGATGGATTCACAGCAGAATTCTACCAGACATTCAAAGAAGAATTAGTACCAATCCTTTTGACACTATTCCACAAGATAGAGATAGGAGGAACCATCCCTAACTCATTCTATGAAGCCGGCATCACCCTAATATCAAAACCAGGGAAAGACATAACCAAAATAGAAAACTACAGACCAATATCCTTGATGAACTTAGATTCCAAAATCCTTAACAAAATACTAGTTAAGTGAATCCAACAACATATCAAAAAGACAATCCACCATGATCAAGTGGGTTTTATATCAGGGATGCAGGGATAGCTTAACATTTGAAAGTCAATAAATGTGATACACCACATAAACAGAATTAAAAACAAGACTCACATGATCATCTCAATAGATGCAGAAGAAGCATTTGACAAAATCCAGCATCGCTTTATGATTAAAACTCTCAGCAAAATCAGCATACAAGGGACATACCTCAATGTAATAAAAGCCATCTATGACAAACCCACAGCCAACATAATATTGAATGGGGAAAAGTTGAAAGATTCCCTCTGAGAACTGGAACAAGACAAGGATGCCTACTCTCACCACTCCTCTTCAACATTGTACTGCAAGTCCTAGTCAGAGCAATCAGACAAGAGAAAGAAATAAACGGCATCCAAATCAGTAAAAAGGAAGTCAAACTGTTACTGTTTGCTGATGATATGATTGTATACTAGAAAACCCTAAAGACTCCTCCAAAAGCTCCTAGAACTGATAAAAGAATTCAGCAAAGTTTCCAGATACAAAATTAATGTATATGAACCAGTAGCTCTTCTATACACCAACAGCAACCAAGCAGAGAATCAAATCAAGAACTCAACCCCTTTTACAATAGCTGCAAAATAAAATAAAATAAAATAAAATAAAATAAAATAAAATAAAATAAAATAAAATAAAATAAAATACTTAGAGATATACCTAACCAAGGAGGTAAAAGACCTCTACAAGAAAAACTACAAAACACTGCTGAAAGAAATCATAGATGACACAAACAAATAGAAACATATCCCATGCTCATGGATGGATAGAATCAATCTTGTGAAAATGACTATACTGCCAAAAGCAATCTACAAATTCATTTTAATGCAATCCCCATCAAAATACCACCATCATTATTCACAGAATTAGAAAAAACAATCCTAAAATCCCTATGGAACCAAAAAAGAGTCCACATAGCCAAAGCAAGACTAAGCAAAAAGAACAAATCTGGAGCATCACACTACTGGATTTCAAACTATACTATAAAGCCATAGTCACCAAAACAGCATGGTACTGGTATAAAAATAGGCACATAGACCAATGGAACAGAATAGAGAACCCAGAAATAAGCCCAAATACTTAAGCCAACTGATCTTTGACAAGGCAAACAAAAACATAAAGTGGGGAAAGGACACCCTATTCAACAAATGGGGCTGGGATAATTGGCTAGCCACATGTAGGAGAATGAAACTGGATCCTCATCTCTCATCTTATACAAATCTTAACTCAAGATGGATTAAGGACTTAAAGCTAAGACCTGAAACTATTAAAAATTCTAGAAGAAAACGTTGGAAAAACCCTTCTAGACATTGGCTTAGGCAAGGATTTCATGACCAAGAACCCAAAAGCAAATACAATAAAAACAAAGATAAATAGCTGGGACTTAATTAAACTAAAGAGTTTTTGCACCGCACAAGGAACAGCCTGCAGAGTAAACAGACAGCCCACAGAGTGGGAGAAAATCTGCACAATCTATACATCTGACAAAGGACTAATATTCAGAATCCCCAACAAACGCAAACAAATCAGTAAGGAAAAAAACAATCAATCCCATCAAAAAGTGGGCTAAGGACATGAATAGACAATTCTCAAAAGAAGACATACAAATGGCCAAGAAACATATGAAAAAATGCGCAACAACTCTAATGATCAGGGAAATGCAAATCAAAACCACGATGCGATACCACCTAACTCCTACAAGAATGGCCATGATCAAAAAATCAAAAAACAGTAGATGTTGATGTGGATGCGATCATCAGGGAATGCTATACTGCTGGTGGGAATGTAAACTAGTACAACCACTATGAAAAACAGTGTGGAGACTCCTTAAAGACCTACAAGGAGAACTGCTGTTTGATCTAGCAATCCCACTACTGGGTATCTACCCAGAGGAAAAGAAGTCATTTTCTGAAAAAGATACTTGCACACGCATGTTTATAGCAGCACAATTTACAATTGCAAAATTGTGGAACCAACCCAAATGCCCATCAATCAACAAGTGGATAAAGAAACTGTGGTATATATATATACACACACACACACACACACACACACACACATATATACACACACACATATATATACACACCACAGTTTATCCACTTGTTGATATATATATGTGTATATATATGTATATACATATATACACATATACATATGTATATATATACACATATACATATGTATATATATACACATATATACATATACACACACACATATATATACACATATACATATATATATACACACACATATATATATACACCACAGTTTCTTTATCCACTTGTTTATATATATATATATATATATATATATATATATATATATTTGATGGAATACTATTCAGCAATAAAAAGGAATGAATTAATGGCATTTGCAGCGACCTGGGTGAGATTGGAGACTATTATTTTAAGTGAAGTAACTCAGGAATGGAAACCCAAACATTGTATGTTCTTACTGATATATGGGAGCTAAATTATGAGGATGCAAAGGCCTAAGAATGATACGATGGACTTTGGGGACTTGGGGAGAAGGGTGGGAGGGAGGGAGGGATAAAAGACAACATATATGGTTCAGTGTATACTGCTTGGGTGATGGGTGCACCAAAATCTCACAAATCACCACTAGAGAACTTACTCATGTCACCAAATACCATCTGTACCCCAGTAACTTACGGAAAAATAAAAAACAAAAATAAGAAATAAATGAATTTATGATCATAAAAGTTGCAATGTCAGATAAGAGTTTCTAAATACTTTCACAGTTAGAAAGCAGCTCAAAGACTCAGGCAGAAGGACCAATTCTATGAAAAATGCACAGTGTTTCCTGTTAACATTTACCTTTGCAATGCATGATTGTGTTTTGTTTCATGGGTTTGACATAGTTCACTGCAATAAGACTAAAGGAAAAGAAATGTAGTTCACTGCAATAAGACCAAAAAGACTAAACGGGCCAGGCATGGTGGCTCACGCCTGGAAGCCTAGCACTTTGGGAGGCCGAGGTGGGCAGATCACTTGAGGTCAGGAGTTCAAGAGAAGACTGACCAACGTAGTGAAACCCCATCTCTACTAAAAATAGAAAAAATTAGCTGGGCATGGTGACGCATGTCTGTAATCCCAGCTACTCGGGAGGCTGAGGCATAAGAATTGCTTGAATGGGGAAGCAGATGCCACAGTAAGCCGAGTTCAGGCCACTGCACTCCAGCTTGGGCAAAAGAGCAAAACTCTGTTTCAAAAAAAAAAAAAAAGGCTAAATGGGAAAAGAGGTTTGGGGGAGAACAGTGTGATGTAAGAGAAGCATGATGGGTGTTAAAGAAAACTTATTGATCATATCAATCTTTGTTATGAAGGAATGGCCATATAGTCAAAATTCTTTATGTTGCTTCTTTTTGAAATTTGATTTCTGCTTGCTTTCCTTTGCTGCTACTTATCCACTGGATGAAAGCTCACCAAGTGTGCTGGTAAGACACACTCACAAAATAACTACCTGCCTTCACTGTATCTCCAAGGACTCTTGGTGGTATTTGAGTGGGGGTGAGTGGAAGTGAGGAACTTACATTTTTTCCTAATTGTTTTATGTTCTCTTTCCCTTGAGACTACTACTGGTAATATGGCATCTATATAATGGTCTGGTGACATTGACAATAAGGGTTAAAGTGGAGCTTGGGAGAAACAACGGTGATGACTGTAGTAACTCATGGACTTTGTCTTTGATGGTTAAGTTCTGAAATTAGTACTTGAAAGATCAGAGCAGAGATTTCACTTTAAAGAACTGGTTCTCAACAAGCCGGATTTTGCCCCTAGAAGATATTAGGCAATGCCTGGAGATATTTTTGATTGACTTACATGTTCTTACTCGTTTTTCCTTCTCAAATTCCTCCTTCTATTCTACCCTACCCCACCCCAAGCCAATCCTATTTTCATTTAGTCTTATTGAAGTGAACTATGTCAAAACCATGAAACAAAATACAATCATGCATTTCAAAGGTAAATGTTAACAGGAGACACAGGAGAGGGTATGTATGTGCTACTGGCATTGGGGCATAGAGGCCAGTGATGCAGTTAAACATTCTACAAGGCACAAGACAGCCTGCCATAACAAAAAATTATCTAGTAGAAAATGTCAATAGTGCTAAGTTTGAGAAACTTTGCTTTAAAAAGACCAACTGGCTTTGAAATTAGTGAGTCTTGACTATAAGGGATTGAAGGTATTAATATATCATGAAAAATGTCCTGATTAGAATAATGGAAATTAGAATTTTTTAAAAAGATAAACTTTGGCAATACCTATCCAAGCAGTGTTCAGGGGAACTTTCATTCCTTCAACAAATATTTATTGAATGCTTACTGTGAGCCATACTACATTCTAGGAGTTCAACATGAGTTATGGCATTATTTCGTGTCTTCTTCCTTATTAAGGAGATGGACCCATAAGTCCATTAGACCTGCTATTATCAAACATCCAAATAATAAAATTAACTGCACCTGCTTCCCATTCTGAGCCTAGGTTTACCAAGCTTCTTTGAAAATTTTGTTTCCATGAAGCATGTGTCCAAAAAAAGACTGTACTATTTAGGCCAATGCCCCTATTCGACTGACAATTACATTTATCTGTGTGAAGTAATCCATTAGCATTCGTTTCATATGGGTTTGTTTTGCATAACTTAGCATTCCTGAGTTTTATCACTCTGAGACATTGGTGAGATCCAGTTTCTGGTCCTACATGGTATGTGTGCCAGCGACCCCAGATAGTGAGCAATTTTCTGAGGTACGTATAAATGTGGGCCTCAGTGAATGGCCATCTTATTTTTTTCTAAGGTCCTACTCTTTCTCAGCATGTTCTTTAATTGAACTTCTAACAGTAAATTATTTATTCTTAAGAGGAAAAGAAGAATAGATGATGACATTAAACTTCTTAGTGCTTACATACTTATTTTTAGACATGTTGTTAACATTAATTTTTTGATGATTGAGATTTGTATAGCTTATTGCAATCACGAGCTCAATAATTTTTATAAAAAAAGGTATTACCCAGCTCAAAATAATGCCTTTTTTTCTCTAATTCCTGCAGCATTTATTATTGGAATATTTACTTTTAGACTTAATCACATTCCAGCTTTTGTTGCTATTCACATGTATATGTATTTAAGTTACAATCAAAGTGGAATGTCAACTTCAAGAGTGCACGAAACAGGGTCTGTAACTTCTTGTGAACTTCTAGGACTTTCTTTATACTGGGTACCACTTAGGTACTCAGTGAAATTGGCTACTGTTTACTCAGCATCTACTGGGCATCGAGTGCTTTGTAGAAATTCTCTCACTAGCATTGAATGTGTTCAGATTTATTATGTGTTTTGGAGATCTGAATATCAGTGAAATGACTCAGACTAGAGTTCAGAAAAAAATGCTTATATTATTTTATATAAAATGAATATGACTCCATCTCTATCTCACAATCTGCAGCAGCCTGTTTTTTTTCCTTTTTTCCCCCATCACCAGATATCCCTTTGGACCCCCAGGGTTATCTACTTAGTCTAATGAGACTGTCCCAAGTTTCTATCTCCAGAAAATTGAGAGAATTGGCTGAATGGCATCATTCTGAGTTGCTATTGCAAATGTTGCTGCTCTTGGTGTTACATCTGAAACCTAGGTGAGTCTGGGCAGACCAGAGCAAATGTCCTTTCACTGAGACTGTGGCCAATCCACACAGTAGTTCCTCAGAGGGCTGCATCAGGGTAGAAAGTCATTAGCCACAGTCTGTGATAGAACCAGATGTTTCTTACTAGATTTCTACAAACAGGAACACAATCTCACCCTAAAAGCACTGCTAAAGGAGACTCCAACATTCAGACAAGGTAAGCCCAGTAATCCACAGGATATTTTCCAACATCTTGCCCCACTGGCTAGTATACCAGAGGTAAAGAAATTTACTACATCTCTGACCACCCTCAGAGACCTGGAACACTTGGCTCTTCCTACCCTCTTCTGTCCCAGTGCATTACTTTAGGAAGAGTCCAACTTGATTGTTACTTTTCCTTTGAAAGCATCTGAAAAAAGAGAATGCTTATTGATAGTCACCTTTCAGATTTAGTCAATTTGTTAGAGTGAGAACTCAGTTTGCTGCACATGTTTCACACACTATTAGACAACAGCAGGGTAGCCACTGGAAGTACAAAGGGAAGATCTACCAAACCCATTTTGGCTTATTTTAATGCAACAATTAATAAGCCTTAGTTTTAAAACAAAAGATGAGTCTGAGACAAATGCTCAAGTGCAAATGCAAAAGTGAATAGGACATCAGAACAACAGGCAAAAACCTGGACCACTCAGGGAAACTGGGATGTAAACTCCCTCTAAGGAAAAGGGTCCTGGTGATATCCAGGAAAGAAAAAGAAGGTCAATATTGCTAAAATGCGTTGAGCAATGGTTAGAGCAGAAGGAGATGAGATCACAGAGGTGGGGATGAGCCAGATAGTGCAGGGCTTCTAGGCAATGGTAAAGGTTGTGGATTTTATTCTAGTTATAATGGAAAGTAATGGGAGGATGTTCACCAGGGAAGCAACATGATCTAATTTGCATTTTGTAAGCAAGTCAGCTTGCTTATGAAGTTCTATATTCTACACGAAAGCAAACTGATTCTTGCTTTTGTGTAGAATATAGAATTTTTGGTAAAAGAATGATGGATGGGCAAACAGAAGGAAATTTCAGCAGCCCAAGGTAAAGATGATAATGGCTTAGACTACCATGATAAAGAATGGAAAGAAATGGTTAGATCTAGGATATATTTTGGGGCTGCTGATGAGATTAATTTGGGGTGTGAGAAAAAAGGTAACCATTAGGTTTCCAGCTTGAGCAACTGGGTAAGCTATTGTGTCATTTGCTGATGAAGGGAAGATGGTGGAAGAACATATATGGCAGGGAAGCAACAATTCTGTTTTGGACATATTAAAATAGAAATGAATGCCATTTTTAGACAGAGAATTCAAGGGAGAGGCTGGAGCTGTAAATATAGATTTTTGAGAATGAATATAAAGGTTGTATCTAAAGATGTGAAGAATGAACTCACAAAGAGCAATTAGTTAGGCAAGAACACCAGAACAATGTGATGCTACAAAAGAAGAAAATTCTTCAAAGGGAAGGGAGTATTATAGTAGCTGTGTGCTGCTGAGGGCTTAAGGGCGGAGAAGTGACATTGGATTGGACACGATGGAGATTGTTGATGATCTTGCTTAGAACAGTTTCTGTGGAATGGTGGGGACAAAGTCCAGTTAGATCAAATTGAGGAGAGAATAGGAAGTGAGAAAATGGAGAGTATGACTTTAGACATCACTTTGGATGTTTCTCTTGGAAAGGAAGCAGAGAAATTAGGTTGTAGCTGCAAAGGAGGTGTGAACAAGGGAACATCTCTTTCTCCATTCATTCATTCATCCATCCATCCATCCATTCAACTATTTATCCATCCATTCTTCCATTAGGTATAATAATCCAATTGACAGATAGGCGGTAATTATATACATCAAGTCCTTGAAAAAGTCATAGGGGATCCAGAGCACAAGGGGACAATCATCTATGAGCAGGAATACCTCATCTATTGGGAGAGGAGGA
Organism: Homo sapiens; assembly: GCF_000001405.40. Classification (NCBI taxonomy): domain Eukaryota; kingdom Metazoa; phylum Chordata; class Mammalia; order Primates; family Hominidae; genus Homo; species Homo sapiens. The sequence continues at coordinate 192,773,442 of NC_000001.11, read as the reverse complement.
GGAAAGGTAGAATTTACTAGTAGGAAAGATATATTTAATGGTAGAAAAATGAGGGCGTTCCCATTGCATTCTTTCTCCTTGCTTAATGAGGTATGAGGTCATTAGCAAATACTGAGAGGGATAGTCAGGAGTGTCATATATTTGAGAAGGAAGAAAAATGTGTGAAATAGTAATTTGGATAGTAGGGGAACAAATATACCAGAAAAGTGTAGTGCAATGCCCACCAGTGTTGAATGTCCATTTAAGATTTGAGGTCATGAATGTAACAATGGAATTTTTAGCTTTATTGTGTGTTTTCTTCATTTCTGAGTTAGATGCAGAATATGCAAGATGCTGTATTTAAATAGGGCCAGGGCTGGGCGCCGTGGCTCGCGCCTAAATCCCAGCACTTTGGGAGGCCAAGGTGGGTGGATCACCAGGGGTCAGGAGTTTGAGACCAGCCTGGTCAACATGGTGAAACCCTGTTTCTACTAAAAATACAAAAATGAGCGAGGCATGTTGGTGGGCACCTGCAATCCCAGCTACTCGGGAGGCTGAGGCAGGCGACTTGCTTGAACACAGTGAGCCGAGATCACACCATTGCATTCCAGCCTGCAGCCTGGGCAACAGAGTGAGACTGTCTCAAAAAAAGAAAAAAAAAAAAAAAAGGCCAGCATTTTTGCTGAGTCCTACAGAGTGAAGAAGGTGTATAAGAGCAGTGGCAGCATTGGCAATATTTACAATCAGCAGCCTGTGGTAATAATAAACAGCATTTGGACTTTTAGTTGGTTTTATTATTGTTTTAAAATTCTCTTTAGGCAATATACCCTTTATTGCCTTCACCTGAGAAGGATGACTCCTACTATGAACCCTCCCTGGGCCACTATAAGGGAGTCACGAGAGAATGGAAAGGAGCGTTATGTTGACTAACATGGAATCCAAAGAGATGAATAAATCTTCTACCTCCAAAGGCCATTTCTTAATTAAAAAAAAATCCTTTCACATTAGTTACCCCTCATACTTATAATGCTATCTAAGAAATATTATCTCCATTTTACAAATAAGGAATGGAGGAGGTTCACAGATGTCATGTAAATTGCTTGGGCCAGTGGATGAGCACTAGGCATGGTTGTAAAAATCTAGACTCTTTTCATCCATGGCTTTTGTGCTTTTCTCTCCACTGGGGTACCTTTCCTCAGTGGAGGAAGTCCTTTCATTTTTCTCACGTCAAAAAGCCAAAGGCTATCATAGGAGAATTTATGATTACTATCAGGATTGTTGGTTAAATATAAGAATGTGAGGCTGGTAAATATAGTTTATTTATATAAATACACAGTAGGAGACTTTATCTCTTTAATATGTGATCCAGAAAATAGAATTTGTAAAGCTGATGATGAACATTTTACATCTACTCAGGGTTACAAGACAATCAGTTCCATGTGGCCCTTTCTGATGCCATTTCACCTCCTTCCCCTTAAGAGATGGTGTTTAGCATGTATGTATGTGTCTGTGTGTGTGTGTGTGTGTGTACAGCAGGTAGCATCTGCAAAACTTCATTGTACACTGTGAAGCAATGAATGTGGAAAAGCAAAACAATCTTAGTATTATGAAAATAGTTTTGATCTTGTAGATTCCCTGAAAGAAGAGTCTTAGGAAGCCTCTAGGGTTCTTCAGGCCACACATATATCCTAGAACCACTGCTCTAAGATACATATTGAATGGAATTTTGTGGTTGTATGTGAAGGACTGAATGATATACCATCCCGAAATATGCTGGGTTAATATATTGACTACGTTGAGTTGAAAACATTGGAGAAATGATAGTTTCAGAAAGGTCTAGCTGACCTGTCTCTTCCTGCAGGCAGCAAGCCATAAAGATTCCTCTGGGAGGAGTACCCTCCCAGTACCAGAGCTAGAAAATAGCCCTTATCGCCAGAGACTGGGAACTGGCGGCCTACAGTGAACCTGAATATAGTTACTGTCCCTAGCCAGATTTCCTTTGTCCTGTCATTTCTTCTAAAATTTATCATTATTTGTCTAAAAAGTATAGAAGCATCTTTTTTTGGCCACTTCTTTGGACTTTACTCTTTTGTGAAGTCCCCATGTACATGCAAAACTAATAAAATGTGTATGCTTTTGTTTTGTTAATCTGCCTGGTGTCAGTTTGGTTTATAGATTCAGCTGAAGGGCCCATGTAAGAGCTTAAAGATGGTTAGAGGTGATCTCTGACTCCCCTAATTATGGTGAGTACATCTTTCACACACTTCCAAACTTTTCCAAAGTGCTTGTGTCAACTTAAGCTCCCATCAGTAGTTTGTTAGAGTTCCCAGTTCTCTACATTTTCACAGGCACTTCGTATTATCAGTCTTTTTAATTTTTCCCTTAACCTTATGGGTTTTAAATGGTATGTTACTGTAGCTTTAATATTTATTTCCATAAATATTAGCAAAGTTGAACATGTTTTCATACATTTATTATCAATTTAGGTTTTTGTTTGTATGACTGATCTGGTCATTTTCTCATTTTTCCATTTTGTTGTTTGTCTTTTTATAAAGCTTCATTTAGGTATAATTGATAAAAATATTTCTATATATTTAAGGTATACAACTTAATGTTTTAAGTATACATTATGAAGTGATCATCACAATCAAGCTTATTAACATACCTATCACTTCAGAGTTACTCCCTTTTTTGTGAGGAAGACACAAGATTACCTTCTTAGCAAATTTCAAGTACACAATATAGTATTGTTAACTATAGTTACCATACTATACATTAAATCTCCAGAACTTATTCATGCTGCATAAGTGAAACTTTGTATCCTTTGTGTTGTCTTTTTTCATATTGATTTTTATCATATAAAGATGTTCTTTATATATTCTGTACTGTTTTTGTCAGTTATATGAGTTGCAAATTATTTCTTCTACTCTGAGCCTGATCATTTTATTATTTTAACATTGACTTTTGATATTTTAGGTAATTGAATGTAAAAGAAAATTTTACAGTTGTAGATTTTTGGGTCTTATTTAAGAAAATATTTTCTACCTTGAAGTTATCGAAGAATTTTTAAATATTTTCTTCTAAAGTCTGTAGAGTTTGATGGTTTTTATATTTAGTTTTAAAATCTACCTGGAATTTACTTTTGTGTATGGTTTAAGGTAGAGATCTTTTGTGTGTGTGTGTGTGTGTGTGTGTGTGCATGTGTGCATGTGTGCCTGCATTATTTATTGAATAGTGTTCTTTGCTTCTTTCGTATATGGCCAAATATCATTACACAATGGCATACAGCCCTCTACTATTGTATATATAAACATTTCTATTGTAATTTTATGTAAATTGATGCCTCTATTTATATGTTACATATTTCTTTATATATCTAAAAAGATTAGTATTTATGTATATGTATTTATTTATTTATAGTTAGGTCTTTCCCTAGATCCTATGTCTATGATTCACTCCAGACAACAGCCTGGGCTCTATTGTTTCTTTATAAAAAATTATTATTATTATTTTTATGAATACATAGTAGGTGTAAATATTTATGAAGTACACGAATTATTTTGATAGCGGTATGTAATGTGTAATCATCATATCAGGGTTAATGGGGTATCCATTACCTCAAACATTCATCCTTTTTTTGTGTTATGAACAACCTAGTTTTATTCTTTTAGCATTTTAAAATGTACAATAAATTGCTTTCAACTGTAATCACCGTATTGTGCTATCAAATACTAGGTTTATTGATTGATTGATTGATTTTTAATTTTTTTCAGAGACAGGGTCTTGCTCTGTCACTCAGGCTAGCGTGCAGTGGCATGAATATGGCTTACTGCAGCCTCTAGTTCCTGGGCTCAAAAAATCCTCCCGCCCCAGCCTCCTGAGTAGCTGGAACTACAGGCACATGTCACTAATCCTGGCTAACTTTTAAATTTCCTTTTGTAGATATGTGTCTTACTATGTTGCCTAGGCATAAGTATCAAACTCCTGATCTCAATCGATCCTCCCTCCTTGGCCTTCCAAAGCACTGGAATCACAAGTGTGAGCCACCATGCTCAGCCTTTAAATAGTAGACCTTATTCATTCTCTCTAACTACATTTTTGTCCCATTAACCATCCACTTTTTCCCTCCACCCCATCCCTCACTATCATTCCCAGCCTCTGGTAACCATCATTTTACTCTCTATCTCCATGAGTTAAATTGTTTTCATTTTGAGTTCCCACAAATGAATGAGAACATGTGAACTTTGTCTTTCAGTGCCTGGCTTATTTCACTTAACATATTGTTCTCCAGTTCCATCCATGTTGTTGCAGATGACAGGATCTCATTCTGCTATTATGGCTGAATAGTGCTCCACTGTGTATATGTACCACATTTTCTCCACTGTGTTGATAGAAACTTAAGTTCCTTCCTCTATTGTTTCTGGAGGAAAGGTATAATTCAAAATATTTTGGAGGCTGAATCAATATTGAGGCTTGGGAGTCAAATTACACAATTGAATAAAATACAATTAATTAAATATTTTTGACAAATGTTGATACTATAAAGTGTACCATAGGCATGTTTTAATTTATTTCAATGAATAAGTAAAATTATCTGAAGAAGAGAAACCCTGGGGGTGAGATTTAGAGCATTATATTTAGATAATAATATTAAAATTTTTATTTGCATTAATACTTGATGAAGACCTCAGTAAGAGGCATTCAGCATAAACCCTCCAGTACCATTGAGCATTCTGAGACATTGTTACCTAGAATGTGACAGTCAAGTGAGAAAGTTGTTACAGCTTGTTCTTTTCTAAGATAACAAAGGTGTGAAGAAGAATGCTCAGGATCATTTGGTTCAATCTCAGTCAGGAACATTGAGACTGTTCTGCTGATTACTTTGTTTTATTTGTTCCCTCAGGAGTCCACCTTTAAAAAATATTTCAGAGAAGTGTGTTTTCCTTCACTTCAGGATTTCTAAATGAGGGAAGGTGTGGGAACAGAACTGGATCACAGAGGCTCCAACAAGCTGCATCCCCCTCTCCACACCCCTAGGTCCCAAGACTCCTGAGGCACACATCAGACTCCCAAAGTCAGGAAGTGGGGATGTGAGGTAGTTTGAAAATTCTCCCTTGGTAATTCTAATATGCCTTCTTTCACCTTCCAATTTCTCACTCCCTACTCCCTCCTGAAAAATCACTGTTCCAATGCCAGTAATTAAGAACATAACTCTTCTGTGCTGAAAAAGGAATGCAGTTAAAATCTTTGGGGATTTATGTTGGGAAAAGGTGCTGGGCTGGAAAATGTAGCCTTACATATATCTGAATATATATATTACAGATTTTCATTAGACCTAAGGGCTGTTTTAAATAGGGGTTATATTTCTTTAGGAAAACATCAAGATGATGGGCAAATGCATGTGTTTTTGGTTGTCCTGGGAGACCTAAGTGTGTGCTTCCACTGCAACCACTTCAGCTTCACTGAAGTAGTGCAGAGCTGAATGACTTGGATTCCGAACATACTGGCGCATTCAGCTAAGTGAGACATATTAGCAATTAACATACACATTTGCACTTATAGACTTAGCCTAGTAGATTTTGATGCCAACTGGAGTTATGCTTACATGTTTTTTTTTTGTTCTATTTATTGTAGTTGATAAGATTCTGCCTTATACATAGTCATTTTTGGCACCGAGTGCCATTGCTTTTAATATGCAAATCTAAGAAACTTTCACCTTATCACATATACTTCTTAATGCAAAGAAACTGATTTCTGATACTTTTTGTATATTGTTCTCAAATGAACAAATGACATTTAGACCTCTGGCTGCTGTCCTTTACTTTCCTATTTGTGAAAGAAGTCACTTTAAAGCTAAAGAATTCCTTAAAGCTACTGCTACAAGTTAATGTAAAGAATCTCTATCTGCACACTCTTCTTAAATTCCTTGATCATTAGTTGCATCGAATAATACCTCTTGCCATAATCAGTCTTTCTCAGTTATGAAGGATATCTAAAATACAGGATAAACTTTTACCACAAACTTGGATTAAGAAGGTGACTTAGCCCAAATATCTCAGGGTGTGTTTATCAAATGCATGCATGATTGCATGCAGGCAATCAGAACTCTTAAATAATCTGTGACTGTCAAATTAATGTAAATAAACAACAGTCTTTATTCTCCCACAGGACCACATTCAAAACTGTGGAATGGTGCATCATATTTCAAGTCTCATAGCTTCCCTTTTGTCTTCACTTCCATCCTCATCAAGGTCCTTACTAGAAGCATCTTGGTCATTTGTTCCTCTGCCGAGGCTTGTTTTCATGTGCTGCTGACACTAAAACTTAAGGCCAGGCAAAGAACCTCCTCTGAACAATTCCAGCAGAACTGCCATTGTTCCGTGACCCTGCTGGAGGCGATATAGGGACCATTAGCTGCCTCTCACCTTCTTTGTTCTGTACCTTTAAACACATGACAACCCAATCCCCCTCCCCCTACAATCTCCTTTTCCATTTTTCCTTAGATAAATTTCTGAGATGGTCCTTGAGAATTTCTCTGTAGTATATTTTTCACTTCAGTCCATTATATACTAAGGTAGTTTTGCTTATGGTGTTTTAAACTGAACATGGTAAACATAATGTCTAAGGATAATGAAGAAAAGGGGAGAAAGTTTTGCTTAATCTATAGACTGATGACTATGGAGATTTCATTTTATAACATACAGCAAAATAAGGAAAATTCCTAAAGAAAAGTAATTTAGAAAATAGAATAGAAAGTCTAAATTAATATCATGGTGTAACAAAAAGTTTAGACTTTGATAAAAGTCATCCCAACACCATATCCTTTAGAATGTGGGACAAAAAGTCTATTAGAGAAAGGTCAGTTCAAATTTGCACAGAGCTTAAGACCCCAACTACTTTTTATTTTGATGTTCAACATCATTAGAACATCTCTCTTCACTGAAATGAGAGATGAGGAATTCAGGAGTTTGAACTGGTGACAGCCTCTCCTGGGGCGGGGATGGCTCTAAGCATTGTATGTGTCTGACTCAGCCACTATAGCATTGTGTACATGCTTTGGGATTAATGACTGAGACTTTAAATATAAAATAAAAAGCTGTAACATTGGGAGGCCACAGCTACAGTGACTTGGAACAAACACAGCTGAGACTAACCCTGGGAGCTGAGACTTTGCTTTTCCCTGTACACTCTGAGAAGCTACCATCTGATCAGAAGAGATATCACTGTTGCAGTGAATAAAGTCAGCATCTAATCTTCCTGTTTTCACAGCAGCACCATATGGCAGTGACAGCACCTTCTGCAAGAAGAGAAACTCTAAACCAATTACAACAATATCATTTCTGTGTTGAACCATAAGTCATTGGAAACCCACTGCAACCATGCTTCCATAATAGCAGCTGGAATCTCCAATTCTACAGAGAAAAGGTAAGAATTCCTCTTATAATCATAATAAACCTCAAAAATTAATTTCTTCTTATTAGAAAAACTATCATTTATGCTAATAGCACAAGGATAAATTTCCTAAATGAAAAGTCAAATGGAAGTATAATTGTTATCTATAAATATGATTTTTTGTGCCTGTTCTTATGATTATATACATAATTTTTCTTTTGAGATAGAGTCTTACTCTGTTGCTCAAGCTGGAGTGCAGTGGCACGATCTCAGCTCACTGCAGGCTCCACCTCCCAAGTTCAAGTGATTCTCCCATCTCAGTCTCCCAAGTAGCTGGGGCTACAGGCACACACCACCACACCCCGCTAATTTTTGTATTTTTTGGCAGAGACAGGGATTCATCACATTGGCCAGGCTGGTCTCAAACTCCTGGCCTCAAGTGATTGGCCTGCTTTGGCCTCCCAAAGTATTGGTATTACAGATATGAGCCACCACATCCATCCTCATGATCATATGTTAATTTGCAGACAACATGTAAAAATCAAACCATAAATCAACTTCTTTATGTGGAAAAAAATACTAAGGAGTAGTAATTTTCTTCACAGGGTGAAATGATAGGCAGGATAACCTCTAAGGCATTGCTAACTAAGTAACCTAAACATTGGGCATGAAATTTATTGATTTCTATATCTTTATGCATTAGTCTCTGAGAAGGTTTGCCCAAAGTGGGAGACTCCCTTGATTTGGGACTTTTCACTTTGGTTACAAGATCCCTCACAACATTAAGCATCACCACCGCCTGGCCAAGTACTAGCTATAAAAAGTGATAGAGCTTTCTAATTAGGGGTGCTGTAAATGCTCAACTGATTAATATGCAGAAGCTATATGCACTGGGAGTTGCATGGGATGGTTCTTGGCTTGTTGGTCTAGGTCTCAATGTTTAGTTTCAGTAGCATCAATGTAACTTGCCAACACAAAGTACTTCCAACTATGTGCCATGCTCCTTCCCACATACATGCTGTCTAGCTTGAGGCTGCTGAGCAGGCATGTGTGTCAAATATTGATGACAATTCACACAGACTTTGTAAAAGAACCACTTTTTCTTTCCCCTTAAAGGAATGTTGAAGTAACATACATGTAGCTTTGAGGAGGAGGCACGTGCATTCAAGCTCATGGAGAGGATTGACAGCCACAGACAGGCACTCATAAGAACTGAATGTAAATCATCAAAGAGAATATACTCAGGAGGCACTGTCTACCATAGGTAAGCATTGCAATTTTTATTTAATATGGGAAAAACATAAGAACGAAGCCTGACAGATACAGTCTTAACCAAGTGATCAAAGTTAAAATCACCAGAGATAAATCACATTAATATCATCTGTCCTCTGACATGATGCAATGAGAAAAATGCTTCACCTTGTGGGGTTCTTTGGAAAAATTCATAACCTCAGTGTAATCATAAGAAAATGTGAGGCAAATGCAAAATGAAGGCCATTCTACAAAATGCCTAACCAGAACTCTTGAAATCTCACTGTCACACAATGTGACTTTAACAGAGAAGTATTGTTTCTAAGGGTGAATGAGCAAATTTGAAACATGGTGAGGAAGGAATGGAGATGGCAGATTCTTTTAGTAAGGGAATGAAGAAATTGTTAGAATTATTAAAAATTGTAACAAAAATATCACCAATCTTTGTAACACCACATAAGAAGGATTCTGAGCCAGGAAAATGACTGTTCTCAAAATATATTCTCCCAATATACCACTGCCATCCTTAAAAGATGAAGGCAACTATTCTTTAAAAGCCCAAAGGATCATGAAGCTAAACCCTGGCATTTTAAAACAAAATGCTGCAAAAAAACTTTAGAGAGGCCACTAAATATTCTAGGTAGCCTCTTTTAAAGGAACTGACCTAGTATGATGCTAGTAAACCATGTTTATGCTCAGTGAACTTTGTGGATTCCCTAGGCTGTTTTTTTTCTGAAAATGTTATGTTCTGACATCATGTAAAATATGTGTAACAAAAACACTGAGGGCAAAGAATCAAAACTATTTGGACAGATAACATCTTTGAGACAAGCTGATATTACTTGCATTTGAGAATTGCAGAGGGAAGGAAGATGAGATGGGTCATTGGTGTCTTCCCACAACTTCATACATCTGCTGACAATTGCCAAATTTGGAGTCATGTGAAAAGAGACGGGCTGAGTAAGAAAGATCAGAGGATATCTTTGACAGTCACTTCTGGTAAGAGCTTTGGGAAATCTGCTCATCTGAAGTCTAGACAATGTGATACAGAAGGCTTTGTGCCTGGCAATTTTATCTGAAGTCAGGAAGGAAAAGAAGCCCCTGCTAAATCTTTGATAAATTGTCCTATGTCAGTGTGTTCACAAATTGCAGAACACATTTCTTTTACCAGCTGTGCAAATGTAATATATGATAGGCCATATATTAGTTTAAAGTTACAACTCAGTCACTTCAGAGACTCTTTGGAATATTTAAACACTATACCTATTTCTTTTCTATTTTTATGATTGGCTAGATGACTCATTTTTAGGTTAGTGTCCAAGCTAGACTAAAGGTGAGTTGTTCACTAGTTGGCAAAGACTTTAGCACTGGAGAGGAGTTTAACACTGGAATGAATCTTGGCAGTAACTTGCTAGCTGAGGAATCATGGGCAAGTCAGTTAGCTTCTCTAGGCCTCAGCTATAAGAGGAAGACAAGAATGGGTTGAGTGTTGTGTGTAAGACAAACACAGATATCAAGAATGATGCCAGCTTTTTGACTTGAGCAACTGGAAGGATAAAGTTGCCATTCATAGAGGTAATGGTTTGAGGCTGGGAATCAATGTTTGGGGTTGGTGCTCAGTGTTGGCTATATTAGATGTAAGATGTCTGTAAGACACCCAAATGAGGAGGTTGAGTAGGCAGTTGGATAAGTCTAGAAAGAGGTTGGGAGAGAGAGAAATATTTGGGAGTTGACAGCACATGGATAGTAATCAAAGCCATCACTAAGAGATTGAGTGCAGGTAGAAAAGAAGCATTCTGAGGATAAGACATTGGGGACCAAAGGAGGAATCTGTAAAGAAGTCGTAGGGACAAAATTTGGAGTGTATTTAGGACAATGAGAGGTAAAAGGAAAAAAAACTGGAGATGTTGAATATATATTTTAGGAGTTTGCTACAAGCAGCAAAGAATTGTTGCTGTAGCTGGCAGTAAAAGGGGCAGGCAACTTTTTTATTTTGTTTTTGGCTGTGAAAAATAGCAATATTGGTGAGCGGATGAAACATTTTAAAGGTTTTTGCATCCAGGCAGTATGGCTCCAGAGAGCATGCTTTTAATGTTGTGATCTACAATTCTAGTATGATAGGATATACATATCCAGCATGAAAGGAAGGATCAGTGATAGAGGACAGGAAGTGGAGAAATGCTGGGAAAAGTCCTTGGGCAGCCACAGAGGAGGGGGATCTAATTTAGTTCTGCTAGGAATAGAGACATTTCTAGATTTTTAACTGGAGAGAAAGAAGGAAATATGGGCACAGACAGAGTTAGGTGGATTGTTGTGGTGGGGGACATTCTCTTTTAAGAGAAACAGGAAGTAAGGTCATCATCTAAGAGTAAGAGTGAGAAAGAGCTGTTAGAAATTTGAAAAGAGGGCGGGTGCAGTGGCTCACGCCTTTAATCCCAGCACTTTGGGATGCTGAGGCGGGCAGATCATGATGTCAGGAGTTCTAGACCAGCCTGGCCAACATGGTCAAACCTCATCTCTACTAAAAATACAAAAAGTAGCCAGGCGTGGTGGCACATGCCTGTAATCCCAGCTACTCGGGAGGCTGAGGCACGAGAATTGCTTGAATCCAGGAGGCAGAGGTTGTAGTGAGCTGAGATTGCACCACTGTGCTCCAGCCTGGGTGACAGAGCAAGACTCTGTCTCGGAAAAAAAAAAAAAAATTTGAAAAGAGAAAAGCAGTTAGGAGAGTAGGGAGTGAATAATTAGGAAAATACAGTATCGTTGCTGGGCAGCTCTAAAGGCCCTCTCCAGGTAGTGATTAGAACATACAGATTATTAGTTCTTTTAATTTATGTAAACATTTCAGCCTTCCACATCATCTAAATAGCTTTCAAATAATTATAAGTCTTGAAACAGCTATGCTCTACTAAGACTAAATTTCTATCAACTTTACCACTTGTGTTAAAGTATACATTTGATCTGTACTAGAGCTAGAAATATAGTTTGAGCTCATGCATTGCAGTGGGCACCAGGCCTTGTCTTCAAGGTCAAAGACTAAGAAATACTTGATGTAAATAATCTCTATTTGGATGTGAATTAAACGTTTCCAACTCAACACATTCCAAACAGAACTATTTCATCTGTTCTCCCCATCCTCCAACCTTCCTGCCTCCTCTCCCATCCAGTTCCTTTCTGAAGCTCCTCAATTTCGGCAAATGTTACTACCATTCATTCAGTTGCTTTAGCCAAAAGACCTGTCAATATACACTCAAAATATTTCTCAAAAACTGTTCCTTCCTTTCATTCTCACTTATGTTACCATAACTCAAACCACTCCACTTAGATTACCATAAACTCCTAACTGATCTCTCTGCTTCTACTTGTGGCTCTGTTACAAGCCACAGACAGGTCAGAGTGGTCCATGTCACCCTGTTTGTTTATTGCCCTCCAGTGGTTTCCCATCATGCTTAGAATAAAATCTGTACTTTGCCCACATGGCCATGTCTGAGCTTGCTTTTCTGCCTGCTAACTTCAGCATGTCCCACATATACGTCTATTCACTAGATTTTAGCCATACAGATCACCTTTTTTTCTTTTTTTGTCCTTTCAGTACTTTGTACAAATTAAGTGCTTTCCTGTCACGAGGATTTCATAACTATATTTTCTTTGCACAAATCCCAATCTCTCTGCTCTTTGTATAGCTAGTTTCTTCCAATAGTCTTCCAAAGACAATTTTTTTCTCAGCTCAAATGCTATTTCCTCAAAGAAATCTTTCCTGACCATTCTACTTCCTGATCCTACTAGAAAGAAGTTCGGACAGGGATCTTAGACGTCTGAGTCTCTGTTTGTGCAGTTGCTAAAACAGTGCCTGGCACATGAGGGTCACCCAGGAAATAATTTGAAATGCTGATGAAAAGATGAAAAGCAACACATGGATGCTTTGTGCCGTTCAAATTTGTTATTTGATTTATCTGTCAGGAAACTTGCTGAGTTGTGAATGAGTGGTGGATGATTTTGTTGAACTGTAAATCATAGAGTTAAATGTAGGCTCTCTGGAGCTATACTGCCTGGATGCAAATGACTGGATCTGTATAACCTTGGATGAGTTACTTAACTTCTTTGAGCCTCAATTTCTTCATCTGTAGAACAGGTCTAGTGATAGTAATGCATACCTATAGTGCTTTTCTAAGGATTAAATGATTTAGTTTAGCATAGTGCATGGCATAGTAAGGACTCAGTAAATATTAACTAATATTAATTTTTAATTCATGAATAACTCATTATTTCCTATTCAAAAAATCAATAGCCAAGAGAAAATAAAAAATGATGTAAATAGCTTTTAATAGATATTTGAATATGCTGTATGTTAGGAAATAAGTGAATTTAAATTATCTTAAAAGTTCCCCTTTGATGAAACTAATATATTTATGCAGAAAAATCATTGGTTCAACAAAATATTAGAAGTCACATCCAACAATGTATAAAAAGAATTATATACCATGACCCAGTGGGATTTATTCAAGGTATGAAACACTGGCTTAACATTTAAAAATCAATTTATGTAATTCATCACATCAGCAGGCCAAAGAAGAAAAATGGCATAATAATATCAATAGATGCTGAAAAAGCACTTGATGAAATCCAACACCCTTTCATGATAAAAACTTTCAGTTAAATTAGAAATAGAGGGGAGCTTCCTCAATTTGATACATAAAGAATATTTACAAAAAACTCTACAACTCAAATCATACTTAACAGTGAGAAACTAAAAGGTTGTCCACTAAGACCAGGAACTAAATAAGGATGTCCCCTCTTAACACTCCTTTTGAGCATCATACTAGAAATCCTAACTAATGAAATTAAGTAAGAAAAGGAAATAAAAGTATACTTACTGGGAAGGAAGATATAAAACTGTATTTGTTTGAAGATGATATGATTGTCTATGAGGAAAATTCAAAAGAATCAACAAAAATCCTCGTGGAACTAACAAGGGATTATAGCAAGATTGTGGGATACAATGTTAATATATGAAAGTCAACTGCTTTCCTACTTACCAGCAATTAGTAAGTGGAGGTTGAAATAAAAATGCAATATCATTTATAATAGCGTCTAAAAAATACTTAGGTATATAGCTAAATCAAAAAAATGCACAAAATCTATATGAGGAAAACTAAAAATATGATGAAAAAAATCAAAGAGGAACTAAATAAATGGAACACCATTCCATGTTCTTGGATAGGAAGACTTAATACCATCAACATGTCAGTTCTCCCTAACTTTGATCCATAAATTCAGTTCACTTTAAATCATAATCCCAGCAAGTTATTCTAAAGTTTATTTAAAGAGGCAAAAGACCCAGAATAACAACACAATATTGAGGGAGAAGACATTCAATAGTCTGACACTACCTGACTTCAAGATTTACTGTAAAGATACAATAATCAAGACAGTGTGATAGTGACAAAAGAATAGGCAAATAGATCAATGCAACAGAATGGAGATCCCAGAAATAGACTTACGTAAATAAAGCCAACTGATCTTTGACACAGGAGCAAAGGCAATACAATGGAGCAAAGATAGTCTTTTCAACAAATGGTGCACAAATAACTGGACTGCCACATTAAACAAGTGAGTCTAGACACAGACCTTACACAAACATGAAATCAAAATGGATTACAGACCTAAATGTAAAATGCAAAACTATAAACTCCTAGAAGACAATGTAGGAGAAAATCTAGATGACCTTGGATATGGCGATGACTTCTTATTTACAACACCAAAGACATGATCCATGAAAGAAAGAATTGATAAAGCTGAACTTCATTAAAATGAAAAATCACTTCTCTGTGAAAGACAATATCAAGGGAATGAAAAGACAAGCCACAGACTGGGAGAAAATATTTGCAAAACATATATCTGATAAAGGACTATTATCCAAAACACAGAGAACCCTTAAAACTCAACAATAAGAAAACAAACAACCCAACTAACAAATGGTCCAAAGACCTTAACAGATACCTCACCAAAGAAGATATACAGATGGCAAATAAGCATGTGAAAAGATGCTCCACATCATATGTCAACAGAATTCAAATTAGAACATCAATGAGATACCTTTACATACCTGTTAGAGTGGCTGAAATCCAGAACACTGACAACATCAAATGCTGGCAAGGATGTGGAGAAACAGGAACTCTTATTCATTGCTGTTAGGAATGCAAAATGGTACAGTCACTTTGGAAAAGGATTTTCTATTACAAGTTTGACAGTTTCCTACAAAAACTAAACATACTCTTACCATAAAATCCACAATCGTGCTCCTTGGTATTTACCCCAGAAAAGCTGAAAATGTATGTTCACACCAAAACCTGCACATGGGTGTTTATGGTACTTTTTTTCATAATTGCCAAAACTTGGAAGCAAGCAAGATGTCCTTCAGTAGGTGAATGGATAAATAAGCTATGGTACATCCAGACAATGGAATATTATTCAGTGCTAAAACGAAAAGAACTGTCAAGTCATGAAAAGACATGGAGAAAACTTAAATTCATATTACTAAGTGAAGGAAGCTAATCTGAAAAGGCTACACACTGTATGATTCCAACTATAACATAACATTCTGGAAAAGGCAAATATATGGAGACAGTGAAAAGATCAGTGATTGCTAAGGGTTAGGGGTGAGGCAGGAAAGAATAGGCAGAGCACAGATAATTCTTAGGACAGTGAAAATACTCTGTATGAAGCTATAAAGGTAGATACACGTCATTATGCATGTATTTAAACTCATAGAATGTACAACACCAAGAATAAACCCTAATGTTAGCTATGGACTCTGAGTGATAATGATGTGTCAATGTACGTCATCACTTGTAACAAATGATGGGGGAGGCTGTGGAGGCAGGGTGTATATGGGAAATCTCTGTACCTTCTACTCAATTTTGCTATGCATCTAAAACTTCTCCAGAAGAGAGAGAGTCTATTAAAAGAAAAAAGATTATTGGCTCTCTGACTTCAGCTTTAAGATGAAATCACTGTAATTTGCTGAAAACTCTAACGGTGTCTGGCAATGTCCCATAAATGGCCAGTCCATAAAATTAAACTGATGATTAGTAAAACCATTTGGAAAATATTGTTAAAGCTTCCAATGGAGAAGCTTTCTATAAAGTTTATAGAAAACTTTATAGAAGTTTTTCTATAAGGTGCATTTATCTTGCTCAAAAGAAAGTACTTGAGAGAGGCTTATCTTACAAACTGACTAGGTTTAAAATGTTAACACTCTGTGAAGAAATAATTGCATATGTCTCTTTAAAACTTGTTCTACTACATGTAAATCATTGTTTTAAATTGTGCAGAGTGAATTAGGACTTGTTTTTTAAGAAAAGAAAGTCATTAATACTAGTCATCAGAATGTTACTACAAATCTTAATATTAGAGTAAAACATAATCATTAGCATTCAGCACAAACTTGTTTTCAAAATAGTTTCCAGTTTCAAAATTAAAGGAAGAAGAGAAAGCTAAAGCTCTGTCACCAGGGGAGCCTTCCAACTTACTTAGGTTTTCTTCTTTTTCTTTTTTGAGAATACAAGATGAAAAGACCTGAGGTACCATTTAGGACACAACCCTTGGGCAAAAAGGGTTTTCTATTACAAGTCTATATTGAAATTCAAGTGGGCTCAGAAAGTCAATGCTTGTTTTCTGAAAAGGCAGACAAAACGGTTCCTGGTGGCCTGCCCAGCATTCAGACTCTGGCCTCAGCCTCACAGCAGAGCAGCCTCAAGTCTCAAGAGTACTACAGGTGCCAGACCAAGCTCTACTTAGCTGAATAGGTGTTGAAGAGGTTTGCAGCAATACGCATTACCACAGCCAGGACAAAGGAAGCAGGAAGAAGATGGTAACTATGCAGAGATTTCCAAGCAATTGAAAATAATAAAAATGTATATAAACTTTCTTAAGTTCAGTGGTACCTAGTGTTGATATAGGAGTTAAGAAGAAATCACTTAGGCAGATAGTAAGGGTATGGGAGTCCTCGATAAGGCTTTCCTTTTTAATGAAAGCAGCTCAAAATCATTTTCTAACAAAGAGCAGCCCGTAAAGTCGGGCTGCAGACACAAGACAAGCAAGCTGGGAGCTTTCACAGGTGAATGCCAGGCAGAAACTAAGGACTAGACATGTTCAAGATGGTGGCTCCATCTTCCCTTCTCTTTGTCAGCTACATATACAGTAAGAAGCAGACAAGATGGTGCAGATCAACTGAAAAGCCCATTTGCATAATAAGATTAGGGTGGGTGGCCAGCCTTCCTCATGCTATGTTAACGTCATACCTCATCAAACCAATCTGTGAGTCCTATGTAAATCAGACACCACTTCCTCAAACCTGACTATAAAATTCGGGTGCATCCACCACCTGCTGGTCCTTTCCACTTGGAGACCCCTCTTTCTATAGAGAGAGCTATTTCTCTTCCTCTTCTGCCTGTTAAACCTCTGCTCCTAAACTCCTCGTGTGTGTCCGTGTCCTAAATTTTACTGGCGCATGATAATGAACCCCAGGGTATATACCCAGACAATGGAGCTGCTTTAGTGTTAACATAATTTTTATTGTATAGAAAATATCTCCTCCTATGGTTATATAAATTGTGTAACCAAGAGATGCATGTAGCATTATAATCGCTATTTTATATATGTAAAAACTGAGACCCATATTAATTTTGCAAAGATCTGGCTGCTGTAGGATTTGAACATATTCTTTTTCTTACTGAGTTATAATTAACACACAATAAACATTTCAAATCTTAAGTATGTAGCCCTGAAACTTTTTATAAATGTAACTTTCTAACATTGTAACCATGAGTAAAATCATCACCTTGAAAGCAATAAAAACTGAGTTCATTTCCTAAAGATAGAACACTCACAATGAAAAGAAAATAATATTTCAATCATTTACCTAAGGACAATTATTTTTGTGCATAATTTCCATTGCCTTATGCATTAACAGAATGTATGCAGTAAACATTGCAAGCCACATTAGTAATGTGGATGAAGAAACTGATCAGGTGTGAAAATCTCTTTGTTCTTATCTCCTTATTAAAGATATTCATTAAGCTCCTTTTTCAGATCAAGTCCTTTTTTTTTGTCAAAGGATTTTGAGAGAGCCAATTTGATGGATATGAGTGGTTCCTAAATAGTACTTCATATTAATGTGACCAAAGATCTGAGCATACTGAACTTTAAGCAACAGAGAAAAAAACAACTAATTTGTTCAAAGAAATGCAGGTATTCAGGCTGACACTAGGTGTATGGATTGACTAGGAGCTACTAGAAAGTTGAATTTTCTCTCATCACTTGAATGTTCTACCTCCAATGGAACAAAAGATTTTAGAAAAATTCAACAGTTTCCAATGAAAACAAAGCCACAGTTTCAAAGATGATGGAAAGTTTTGAGTGTCAATTACCTTCAATGTTTTGCAGGTATATTTCTTGAACTAGAAGCTGTCTGAATTCTCAGATACCCATCTTTGAAGGAAGAAAGGAAAACGAATCTTTAAATTCCTAGAATTTTACTTTTTGAAATGAGTGCATCAATCCTAGGAATATCCTTATGTTTTTGGAACATATGACCAGACTATAGACCTAAGTCCATGGTTTACATGTTCTCTTGCATGAAATTGCTGAAATCAAAGTAAAAGTTAATATGACTTATAAAAGAAACCTTGAGTCACAAATGAGATATTCTCTAATAGAACTCATTTCTTTCTACCTGCCACTAGGCCTCAAAAGTATTAAACTTTTTTTTTTTTTGGGTGACATGGTCTCGCTCTGCTACCCAGGATGGAATGCAGTCGTGCAATCCTAGCTAACATAACCTCCAACTCCTGGGCTTGGGATCTTCCACGTCAGCCTCCCAAATAGCTAGGACTACAGGTATGTGCTGCCAAGCCTGGCTAATTTTTTTTTCTTTTTTTTTTTATTATACTTTAAGTTTTAGAGTACACGTGCACAACGTGCAGGTTAGTTACATATGTATACATGTGCCATGTTGGTGTGCTGCACCCAGGTGTGCTGCACCCAGTAACCCGTCACTGAACATTAGGTATATCTCCAAATGCTATCCCTCCCCCCTCCCCCCACCCCACAACAGGTCCCGGTGTGTGATGTTCCCCTTCCCGTGTCCATGTGGTCTCATTGTTCAATTCCCACCTATGAGTGAGAACATGCGGTGTTTGGTTCTTTGTCCTTGCGATAGTCTGCTGAGAAGTCTCACTATGTTGCCCAGGCTGGTCTTGTAATCCTGGCCTCAAGCAATCCTCCTACCTCAGCCTCATGAAGCAGTGAGATTGCAAGCATGAGCTGCTGCACCTGGCCTAATGTTTTCAATAAACTTTATCAAAGTTAAATTATGAACAATATTGGTCCTATACGGTAAACTTTTGTATACATAAATTCAATTAAACTTTTGGAACCACTTTGCATTATTTATAAAATTCTATTATCAAGTAAATGAAAACATCCAAGAGCCTATGCTGAAAAAGGATTTTTGGTTGGGTAGCTCACTGTGAAAGACATTTGTCTGTCTTCAGTGAGAAACTGTTTCTCCTTTGATAAGTTGCTTTATATATTCAATAAAATTTAAGTCATCAAACATTATACAGTTCTTTGTCCACAAGAACCGGTATATATTGTTCTAATTAAGAAACGCCACTGAATAGCTTCTAGGAAGTTTCTGCATTTTAGCAACCTTGAAACAAGAATACCTACATTTAAGTGAAACATAAGTACAATGCCCTGAGTTGGGGAAAACATCCTGTAACCTATAACATGAAGATTAATTTTGAGTAGTACAAGGGAAATGTAAAGGTGGAACAAAGCAGTATCAGGAACTTGAGGAAAGAATCATTTAAACTGCTGTAGCCAGTCATCAAAGAAACGAAACTCTCTAAAAGAACAAATAATGCATGCTCAATCTCAAGCTATGAGCATAAATGAGTTTGCAGATACATCCCAGATTTTCAGTCTACGTGAACACAACAGAATAGCTGCTTCTAAAAACGAATCATTTATTTTCCGTACTTAGACTCACAACCCAATGAATATCATATTACTAAAGTAAAATAAAATTTCTACAAATGCGTTTTGAGAATATTTTTGTTTATATCTTTGTAGTTTTTAAAGGCAATTTTATATGAATCTTGGGGTGAATAAATTGTTCACTATTGAATCTTTCTATAAATTTGCCCCTTTTTCCTTGAATAGTTTTTCTAAATGTCATAACCCTGCATTCATTCATTCTGTAAATGTTTACTAAGCACTTACTAAAAGCTAGTACCTATGTGTTAAGATTACAGTGATAAACCGCTGGGCCCAGTGGCTCACACCTGTAATGCCAGCACTTTGGGAGGCCAAGGTGGGCGGATCATGAGGTCAGGAGATCGAGACCATCCTGGTGAACATGGTGAAACCGCATCTCTACTAAAAACATAAAAAATTAGCTGGGCGTGGTGGCGGGCACCTGTAGTCCCAGCTACTTGGGAGGCTGAGGCAGGAGAATGGCGTGCATCCGGGAGGTGGAGCTTGCAGTGAGCCAAGATCACGCCACTGTACTCCAGCCTGGGTGACAGAGCGAGACTCCGTCTCAAAAAAAAAAAAAAAAAAAAAAAAAAAAATTACAGTGATAAACCAAGTAAATTTTATTCTTGTAGTTATAGAATTTGGTTTGGCGTGGTTTTGTTTAACCTGTGCTCTGATAAATGCTGAAGGTTTTAGGAGATCCCTCAAGGGACAATTGGTAGAAGTAAATGAGATGGGAGGAGATGGGCTGGGAGTGCCTGTTCTCTCTCTCTTCCAAACTTCAATCAATTGCACATTTCCTTTTTACCCATTAGCTACTTTGGAAGATTTCAGTCGCATAAAAGATCCTGATGCCAACCCAGTGTACAATTCACAATTTAGTTAGTCTAACTATTGCCAATAAGTCCTACCTTCCCCAGTCTTTCATTTTTCATTTTTTTATTCAGTAAACATTCCACATTAAAGATTGTGTTGAATGTTACAATGGATTATAAGACATTGTCATTACATTCTTGAAATTTAAAAATCAAACGGTATTTTATATGGTTTCAACTACCATACGACTAGGGATACTGGGGTGACCCCTGCCAGGTTACAGCTATTCAGTCAAACCACTTGCAAAATTTCTGTGCTACTGAATTAGAGAGCATACTCCTGGGCCAGTGGAGAGACTTTTGGGAACAGTAGTTGCTGTGCACACAGGAGAATTATGGAGTATTTCCTACTTCGCCAATCAGTGGTACTCAACTTTTGTCATGTAGTGCCATCTATTCACGCATAATACCTGCCAGAGATTTATTGAGATTATGACCATCGAGACAAAGATGAACTAAAATTACTTTGCAGAGATGAGCAATTCCTTTTCTATCAGTCATAACTCCATCCTTTTCTCATGGTTGTGTGTCCGGAATGGGTGGGTTCTTGGTCTTACTGACTTCAAGAATAAAGCTGCGGACCTTTACGGTGAGTGTTACAGTTCTTAAAGATGGTGTGTCTGGAGTTTCTTCCTTCTGGTGGGTTTTTGGTCTCACTGACTTCAGGAGTGAGGCTGCAGACCTTTGCATTTGCGGTGTCACAGCTATTAAAAGCAGCAAGTCTGCAGCTGTTCATTCCTCCCATCCAGAGTCGTTTGCCTCTCCCAGTGGGTTCATGGTCTCGCTGGCTTCAGGAGTGAAGCTGCAGACCTTTGTGGTGACTGTTACAGCTCACAAAGGCGGCACGAACCCAAAGAGTGAGCAACAGCAAGATTTAATGCAAAAAGTGAAAGAATAAATCTGCCACAGTATGGAACAGGACCCCAGTGGGTTGCCTCTCCTGGCTCAGGCAGCCTGCTTTTATTCCCTTATCTGGCCCCACCCACATCCTCCCGATTGGTCCATTTTACAGAGAGCTGATTGGCCCATTTTACAGAGAGCTGATTGGCCCATTTTACAGAGAGCTGATTGGTCTGTTTTGACAGGCTGCTGATTGGTGAGTTTACAATCCCTGAGCTAGACACAGAGTGCTGATTGGTGCATTTACAATCCTCTAGCTAGACATAAAAGGTCTCCAAATCCCCACTAGATTAGCTAGACACAGAGCACTGATTGGTGTGTTTACAAATCTTGACCTAGACACAGAGCGCTGATTGGTGCATTTACAAACCTTGAGCTAGACAGAGTGCTGATTGGTGCATTTACAATCCTCCAGTAGACAGAAAAGTTCTCCAAGACCCCACCCCACCAGGAGCCCAGCTGGCTTTGCCTAGTGCATCCCGCCCCAGGGCTGCGGCGGAGCTGCCCGCCAGTCTCTTGCCACGTGCCTGCACACCTCAGCTCTTGGGCGGTGGATGGGACCAGGTGCCAGGGAGCAGGGGGCAGTGGCCGTCGGGGAGGCTCGGGCTGCAAGGGAGCCCATTGGTTGGGGGGCTCGGGCATGGTAGGCTGCAGTTGATTGCAGCAGGTCACTGTGTTTGGACAGCCATGCTGAAGTCTGCAGCTACTACCACGTGGAGTGCTTTATTTACTGCCCTTGGATTTTGAGTATATGTTTGCAGAACTGAACTGAATAGGAAGAGAGGTCCTTCCTATACACATCTTTCAGCTGTTTATTAAGGTGCATGAGTCAGCACCTAATTGGTGATTGTCTTTTATGTCATACCTGATCGGGGATAGGGATAAAGTTCCTTTATTGGCCAAGCGCGGTGGCTTACGCAGGTAATCCCAGCACTTTGGGAGGCCGAGATGGGCAGATCACGAGGTCAATAGATCGAGACCATCCTGGCCAACATGGAGAAACCCCATCTGTACTAAAAATACAAAAATTAGCTGGACATGGTGGCATGCACCTGTAGTCCCAGCTACTTAGGAGGCTGAGGCAGGAGAATCACTTGAACCCGGGAGGCAGAGGTTGCAGTGAGCCGAGATAGTGCCACTGCACTCCAGTCTGGTGACAGAGTGAAACACCATCTCAAAAAAAAAAAAAAAAAAAAAAGAAAAAAAAGAAAGAAAAAGTTTCTTTATCTTTAAGCATGGCTGACATCACTGGTAGAATGACTGGGTCATCTGAATGATTTGACTTGAGGGGACTCTGCTGGAAAGTGTCTCTCCTCAAATACTCTTCTGGTTCTTAGAGTCAGCAATTCATTTTTTTCCCCTAGCAGTTAAAGCAGTTTGTCTGTAGGCATCGCTATTAATATATGGATCCCTCAGTTCCCATGCCCTCCTAAGGTGTAGTTTATGTTATTATCATACATTTGAATCTTATGAGTCCTATTTAATTCATCAGGTTGACTTCAGTTAAATATTTTTAATCACAGACAAAACTATTTTAAAATTTGAAATGAAGTACATATAAGTCTGTGTTGACTTTGAAACTTTAAAGAATTTTATAATTTTAAATCTAGAAAATTCCATTTAAAAATTTTTAATATTTCAGAAGTCATAACATACATAAGAATCTTTGGCATGCCCTAAAATCGGCCTAAGTATTATGAAACTTAATTTGGCATGCTTATCTAATTAATGAGATCTGAAGAATTAATTGGAGTGATGTAACACTGAAGACATTTTCTTCAAGACTAGATGCACAGTTGACTCATAAAGTAATTTCTGTTTACTGTTGTGTTATTCTTCTCTACTTACAGAACTCAGTAGGCCAAGCATGCTTGCTATCCTAGTTAAAAATAGATTAGCTATTAACTTTTGCATTGAAAGTCAAAGAGCCTATATATTTATCTGAAAATGGAACATGAAGATGCAGATATATAACTATGATGCATGGCTTATAAAATCTAAACATGTTTCTAAAAGGGTCAATTCTTTCCCTTAATATCTTAGATTTTATTTTTGAAAGCATGGTGCCAAAAACTAGATTCTATAAATCAGTAGGACTATTTATTTATATTTCTTTGACAGTCTCTGAACATGAATATTTTTGATTAATATGCAAAACCAGCAACCAATTTACTCCCTATTACCTGTGAAGTGCAGATCATTTAGCCTTTTTATTCAAAGTGCCTCAATTTGGCCTCCACTCTTGTTTACAATATTACATCCTAGTAAACTGCAACCCACACCTTCTATTCTACTTAGATTGGTTCAGCAAACATGACATTTGTGTCTGTCCTCTGTTACTCCTCTCCAACAGACTGTAGTACTACCCTGTTTATCTTTGCCTATTTATATCCTGTCTTTCAAGCTCCCATTGAAGTCCTTCCCCATGCTTGATGTTTCTTTTGTTCTGCTGTGTACTACCTCTACCTCTACTCCATTTCCAAGTTCTTCTCCTCTTGTATGTATTACTCATTTGGAATCAAATAACAATAGACATTTCCTGAATGCTAAGTCCAAGCATTGTGCTAAGATTATTTCCTCATTTAATCCTCAAACCTCATGAGAAAAAGGTACCATTGTTATCCTAATTTTGATTAGGAAACATCTTAAATAATTTAAATGTAGGCCACCATCTTAAACTGGTGAAACCTAGATTGAAGTGCATATTCTTATTTATTAAATAATGTTACCTTAAATTAGGAGCTAACCTTTCTTCCATTTTAATATTTTCCTCCTCTAGATTTTAAGTCCTTTTGAATTTTGGAGGATTGCGATTTATATTCTCCAACCTCCCTGACACTGCCCGTCTCCTGCACATGGCTTCTAACATAGTGCTCTGCATTTGGTTGAATCTCAATAAGTATTTGTTCATTAAAGAAGGAAAATCACATATCAGTGTACTTCTACATAGATTTATAATTTGTTTCTTTACCTTTTTTAGAAACTTATATTTTTCTCTGTAATAAGTAATTACTTATTAATATACGTCAGTGACATGAAATATTCTGTCTACGGGTGCCTTAAATATGTTACCAAATTTTTTTTTTTTTTTTTTTTTTTTTTTAGTTGGAGTCTTGCTCTGTTGCCCAGGATGGAGTGCAGTGGTGTGATCTTGGCTCACTGCAAGCTCCACCTCCTGGGTTCACGCTGTTCTCCTGCCTCAGCCTCCCAAGTAGATGGGACTGCAGGTGCCTGCCACCACGCCTGGCTAATTTTTTGTGTTTTTAGTAGAGATGGGGTTTCACTGTGTTAGCCAGGATGGTCTCAATCTCCTGACCTCGTGATCTGCCTGCATCTGCCTCCCAAAGTGCTGGGATTACAGGTGTGAGCCACCGCACCCGGCCTGTTACCAAATTTTTTACCCTGGAAACACTGAAACATCCTCAACTCTGGGAAACTTTATTAATGTAATCATAAGATAGACTTAGTATAGGATAAACCTTAGGCAAAATCCTATTCAGTGCAAAGTATGTTTACATTGTCATAGATCAATAATTTTTTTTAAAGAATAAATGAATGAATAAGACCTAAAACCACAGAAGTCCATCTGTACCAAAGATAGCAAAGTTGAGTAGAATGGCTGTGTATATAACAATTTTTAATGACCTTTGCCAATAAAACCTTGATACCATTCTTATAGAATCCCTTTAAAACGTCTTACTACTTATCATTATAAATATGGAGCAAAACGTTTTATTCATCTGAAGCTAAAATGGGTGTATCTATGGTAGCACTGAAATATTATGTAATATAGTGTCAGCATTTCATCACATATGATTAATCTCATCTTATTTCCTCAGGGGCTGCTGTGGCCTCTTGTGTTGCATGGTAACTATCAACAAAAAGGTGTAAACAAAAGCACATTGCATTGCTTTGGCAGATAAAATATTCTTCCCTCCTAAGTCTATTTCTGATTCACTTTGGGGTGAATTGGTTATTAATTGGGTGGGTAGGCAGAACTTCTGCTAAAAAACATTTCCATATTGAATGCCTGTTTTAGGCTATTGGGGTGTCTTCGTGTGTGAAGAATCAGTATCTAAAGGCTATAATGGGAAGATTATTCATGCATAGGCAAATATGCTTACGTTCCACTCTAGAATTAAAACATTAAAGACTCTTAAAGACATATATAACAATTTGTGTTGAAAATGCTTTCTGGCCCTTAAGCTGATGGTAGTATATTATTTGTGGATACATCAGTAATGCACATGGACTACTAACTCTACTCAAATGCCAGAGCTTCCTGTTGGATTAATTCTAGGCTGTATATATCATTGTTAATAATTATAGAAGTAAAAACTAGCCTGTCACCTAGTTGGATATGAATTAAATACATCTGGCTGGATATGAGTTAAACTGTAAACCCATGGTAGTGAAGGAAATAATATACTCTAAAATCCCAGATGGAGGCCTCATTTATATTCACTGGGGGTGATTCAGCTCAGAACTTCATCTCTGATTCACATCCCTAACTCTCTCCATTTCACCACCAGATAGGAAATCTTGACTGTTAGCTCTCCTGCTGGGATTACTTATTGAGAAATCCTTACTTGATTATGGTAATACCACCTGATTCCCTTGGGAAGACATTCAGATAAGTCAAATATTCAAGAATTTATGAATAAAATGAAATCTGAAAAATGTTCATATTCATATGCTCTCCTCTTTTAAACAATATTTTTAAATAATGTGTCTTACATCTATTCTAACTTCTTTTAAACAAAGAGGAGACACAGACGTTCCATGAATATTTTATTTTTACAGAACATGCTTACTGGGAATAGAAATTGTATGATATTATGAGTAGCTATTTTTAAACTTATATAGAAAAACCTTTCAGATTATCAATATATTTTTGAGTCTTTGTACTTGAGTGATATACATGATAATTAAACTCATGTTCTTCTGAAATTATTCTTTGTTATAGACAAGTATTCCAAGAGTTTTTGCTAAATGTATTTACCACAGTTGAAATTGCATGACCTTTGTCTTTGAAATTTCATCTTAGGATAATTCAACAAAGTGTGTTACTCTTAAATGGCTGTGATGAATGGGAGAATATTACTTTTTAGCTTTGATATGAGTAACTTTGTCATATTTGGTGAGAAATAAAGTGAAAAGAACCTTGAGTTTGCCCCTCATTTGATAGAGAAAACAAATGAAAAGCTTGAAAAACAATTAAAGAAACACACTAAAACTGTTTTCTACTGAGTAAGAGGGTATATTCCAGGGATTCAAAGCAGTTACAGGGAAGATCATTCATTCTCAGATATCTTGTGTGTATCCTACTCACTTAGGTGGTATCCTACTCACTTAAATGCTGATCAAAGTCAGGAGACCCAGCAAGTGAGCGGAAGGAAAAAGTTGATTTTAGACCTCATATGGTACTTGTATGTACTTCATGCTAAGAGTATACTCTCATTTCTTTACCTACGAATTATATAAACAAAATTTTAGATCAATATCAGATTGAATTTCTGTATTTCTTTTAGTTGATGTAATACTTCGGAAATGTGTTAAAGTGAGGTAGAGTTTGTGAAAAATAATAATGAAAGTATATGTAGGCTGGGCGTGGTGGCTCACACCTGTAATCCCAGCACTTTGGGAGGCCGAGGTGAGTGGATCACCTGAGGTAAAGAGTTTGAGACCAGCCTGGCCAACTTGATGAAATGATGTCTCTACTGAAAATACAAAAAATTAGCCAGGCATGGTGGTGGGTGCCTGTAATCCCAACTACGTGGGAGGCTGAGGCAGGAGAATCACTTGAACC
The DNA here is from genome assembly GCF_000001405.40 of Homo sapiens. Taxonomy (NCBI): domain Eukaryota; kingdom Metazoa; phylum Chordata; class Mammalia; order Primates; family Hominidae; genus Homo; species Homo sapiens. Next base: position 192,746,193 of record NC_000001.11, on the reverse strand, counting down.
CTTTGCAGTGAGCCGCTGAGATTGCACCACTGCACTCCAGTCTGGGCAACAAGAGTGAAGCTCCATCTCAGGGTGGGGGGAAAAAGGAGGAGGAAGTATGTGTAGTATACAGTAGAAAAGGTATCACTTATTTGGTAGAATAGTTTGTTATGATGGAGTTGTCTATAAAATATATTTCTATGAAGTAATCCTATATATTTCTATGAGGCAAACTAACAGGATTCCCTACTGATTTGTATGTTAAACAATGAAACATTTTCATTATAAAATCCCTTGAAATGTGATGAGAAAAAAACTTGAGCATCTGGTAACATGCTGGTGACATTATGCCTAATGTGACTTTTGCTTAGTTGAACATTACAGGAAGTTTTATACGTGAGATATTGTAATTCAAATTTAAGAGTTTATCCTGTTTTTGCAGTACATTCCAATATCCCATTTCAACTATCAACTGCTTCTCTGCTCTTCCTTTTCCTCTTATGTCTCAGAAACAGTCAAAGCTCTTGAGCTCTTCTTCCTTGAGTACGAGTACAGTGACAAACAGGCCCAATGCAAAATTAGTCTTTACCGGTAGGTCCTATTCATTCAGGACTAGTAGGTCCTGGCCAGTTCATTGGCCAGGTTAATGAACTGATAAATTAGAGGGTCACCCACATAGTGTGATTAAAGAAGATACTGAGAAATAAATGCTCTCTGCTCGGAAAAGGTAGCTCACTCATTGTTTTTTCATTGTGTCTACATTTCTCAGTATGATTTCTTTCTTTGTATCTAGAAGGACTTTCAACTTTAAAGAGTCTATTACTGAGAGACAATTAGTAATACTGTCTATTTTAGCGATATCAACAACTATGGCCTGGTGCAGATGAGTTGAGAACTTTCTGAGAGTAAAACGTTCTAGGGAAGGGAACATAATTGGCTTGAGGGACTATTTTCATGTTTCTTTTATGAATGTTGTACATGACAATATTTAATTAGATATTTTTCAGTGGCTGAGAAAAATACCCTGAAGTGCTTATAAATTTTTTAATGTGTAGCTAGATGTTTTTAAAGAAATTACTTGCAATAATGAAACGTATGTTGTGTTTCAGGAAATGAAATGGAAATAGTCCAATTTCAGCCAACTCACAATTTAAAGAGGTCTTGTCTATTGTATTGTCTTTTATACATCACATCGCAAAATATTAGTTACTTTAAGATAGAGCTACCTTATTTAGAGTCAATGCCCTTGTTAATTTGATTTGGATTTACTTGCAGTAAGGAATAACTAGAGTGGATTTCTTTGGAGGATTGCTTGCTTTGATTTTTTTTTTTTTTTTTTTTTGTTAAAGCCTACTGGGCCAAGAAGCTTAACTAATACTTTCCCCAGGTGTAACACTTCTTTGTATTTATTCCCTGGTTTTCTCAGTTATTTTCTTATTGGAAGTCAAAGCATATGGTAATTATAGAAATAAGTTATCTGACCATCATCAGCCTTGTGGGCTTTGGTGGAACAAAGGAAAAGGTGATTATATCATTTTGTGGAATCCATGGATGAAAACTGTAGCTACGTTTGCATTAGGAAAATAGTTACCCGAAACAGATAAACTTACCTATGGGAGTTTCCAACTCACTTAAAGAGTCTACTCTAGGAGATCTAAATTTAGCAATCACCTTAAGATAGTTTTCATTTCCCTAGTTCTCGATTTGTATAGATCACTGCATCTTCCACAAGTTGATTCTATGTAGGTTTATTGCCTAAAATTGGCTTTCTCAAAAGTAACTGCTTTTACTAAGTTTACTTAAAAAACATTTGTTAAGTTACATGACAATAATCATTCTCTCAATTTTATCTTCATTTGTAGAATGACTCAGGATTAACAATAGAATTTAGGTATCTAATTGGAAAACCAGTGTGTGAAATTCTGGTAAACAAGCAATAAAAATAGTAAAGTGGTAATGTTGATTTTGGTAATGGTGCTTGTGTGTTTGGAAGGACTGTATACAAAAGCAACATTTAAATTATTAATATTTTTGGTACATAGCTTATTAAGGAAATAATTTTCAGCTGTTATAAAAGTAATCACTTGGATATAAAACAAAAATTATTTTTTAAAGAGCTCCACCTGTTATAGATTTTAAAAAGTCACTGTTTAGCCAATGTTTTAAAGTCTATTTATTTGAATAAATGAATTATGAAGCTTTTGAAGTCTATCAATTGATATTGATATCAATGTATTAAAAGCTCTAGACATTCTATTGTCTTATAATACTCAATTTTAATACCAGTTTCTAATTGATATAGGACAGAAGTCATTTTTATGACAATTTGTAGTTTAGGAAGCTATAGTCAATTATCTTTATAGGTATATATAATGTATCATTTCAATTCCAGAAAGTATCTTAGGCTCCTAGTTTAATTCGTTTCTCAGTCTGTAGTAAAATAATCTACATTTGAATCTTGGCTTTTGCTCTTACTTAGTTAATATTATTGTGACTTCAAATAAGCTAAGCTGTGGCTAATGTTTTCTCATCTATAAAACAGTTGATAAGAGTACCCATTTCATAGGCTTACTGTGAGGACTAAATGTATTAATTAGAATTAAGTCTAAATTTTTGAGTACCATGCCTGGTACATAGCAAGAGGGCATTAAAGATTAACTGTTATTATTATTTGATTATAGCAAATGTATTACTGAATAATGCTGGAGGCAGAGAGATTTAATTCCTAATCCTGTATTTAATTCCTAGTCCTAGAATTTTTTAGTTAATGATGTTGAGTATGTTAGTTAACTTGTTTGAGCTCAATCTTAACAGAAATCTAATAGAATTGTTGTGCTGAATAAGCTAGTTATTTAATGTAACTTATTAGTACATATTTTGTCATTATTAGATGTGTGGTAAATGATAGGTCAAAAAAGATTGTAATTAATGGCAGAGAAGTAAAGTAGTTGCAGATAACAACTGTAAAATGCTGGACTGAAAAGACACTGAAAACCATTGAAAAGCAAACAGAAGCCTGCAACTGGAATGGCTTTGAACACTTGCAATTGCAACGGTTTTAAATTGTCAATTTGCAGATTATGGGCCAAGAATGATGATCAGTTATCACAGATATGGCTGTGGAAAATGGTGGTGAAAATAAACTGCAGCCTTACCAGCTAATGATGCTGAGATCAATATGGGACTAGGTAAGTAGCCAGAAATTTAAAGGAAAATCCTGACAGCATAAAATCCCCAGAAAAAGTAAGACACAAATTCAGAACATAAGCTGTGTAAATTCATGGTTCACTACTGAGCTACATATGTACAGAGAGGAGGCTTAATGAAAAAGCAAGCAGATACTAAAGAGAAATCCACTTTAAAAAATATTGGTATACAGATTTGAGTGGGAAACTTTTCTTAACTGAATGCATTTCTTGGCTGTGCACAGCACAAATGGCAGAAAGCTGAATCTGGGTGGATTTGGAATATCATTATATAGAGAACAAAGCCAGCAGAGCTGTTTAAAATTAGAGAGGAATTAATAGAAGCACCAAACCAGACAGTGACTGAGAATCATCTCTGCTCAAATCCTTGACTTACCACAGAACTTTGCAGGAATCTAAAGACTTACAGAGATCAGCAGTCCTAGCTACTCGGGAGGCTGAGGCAGGAGAATGGCGTGAACTCAGGAGGTGGAGCTTGCAGTGAGCCGAGATAGCGCCACTGCACTCCAGCCTGGGTGACAGAGCGAGACTCTGTCTCAAAACAAAAACCAAAACAAAAAACAAAAAAACAAAAAACCGCTGCTATAAGATGCCATAGGCTACCTAACATAGGATGATGCAGTATTTTTAGTTTGAATCTAGGCAAGTTAACTGTGTACTAGAATAACACCCCAATAATTCTTAGAAGAACAATACAGAATTATAAGTAGCTATAACATACTATATACAATGTCCAGTTTTCTACCAAAATTTCTAAGACATGCAAAACGAAAACCAAACCAAAACAAAAATCCCCAGGAAATTGTGGCCCATGCTTAGGGAAAAAAGGTAGTTGATAGAAACTGACTCTGAGTTGGCCCAGGTGTTGAATTTACTAGAAAAAGACTTCTAAGCAGTGATTATACATTTTAAAATTAAAGAAAATATGGTCAAATACTTAAAAGAATGATTTCTAAACAGAGAAATGGTAACTTCATCAAAATGCAACATTTTAGAGGTGAAAAGTACAGTAACTGATACTTTTTAAATGCTAGATAATCAACAGAAGAGTGAAAGTAAAAGAAGACAAAAATTGTGAATTTGAAAAATGATTAATAGAATTTACACAATCCAGGAACAGAGAAAAGAAGGTAAAAAATATAAACAGAACGTCATAAACTTCTGGGACATTATGGAGCAGTCTAAGATATGTGTAATTGGAATTCCAGAAGAAGAGAAAAGAAGGGAATTAGAAAAATACTTGACTAAACAATGTCCCAAACACCACAGTTTAAGCAAACATTAATCTACAGTTTCAAGAAACTCCACAAACTTGAAGACGGATAAACAGAGAATGTTACTCCTGGACACATAATAATCAAAATGCCAAAATAAAAATATTGAAAGCAGCAAGTCCAGAAAAAAAATGGGAGATACATATAGGGAAATTACTGATAAGATAATGATTTCTAGGTGTAGTGGCTCATACCTGTAATCCTAGCTACTTGGGAGGCTGAGATGGGTGATCACTTGAGGCCAGGACTTTGAGAACAGCTGGGGCAACATAAAGTGATCCCTCCAAAAAAATAAAGAATATTAGCTGGCGTGGGGCATACCTGTAGTTCCAGCAACTCAGGAGGCTGAGGTGGGAGGATTTTTTGAGCCCAGGAGTTCTAAGCTGCTGTGAACTGTGATTATGCTACTGCACTCCAGCTTGGGCCCAGAGTGAGACCCTGTCTCCTAAAATAGTAATAACGATGACTGATTTCTTGGTATACTATGGAATCCGGAAGACATTGGAACAATAGATTCAAAGTGCAGAAGGAAAACAAAAAGCTGCCAAACAAGAACTATTGTTCAGTGAAGCTATTCCTCAAAAATAAAGACATCTACAGATAAACAAAATGAAATTTTCTACACACCAGCACTACAAGATATGCTAAAATGAAGTTCTTTAATGTGAAGTGAAATAATATGGGGATGCCAACCTGTATCTACAGGAAGAAATGAAGAGCACTAGAAAGAGGAAGTATGTTAAAAAATATATAACTTTTTTTTATATTTCTCTTCTTAATTTTTAAAAATATATATGCCTGCTTAAGGGAAAATTATTATATTTTATTGATGGTTTATATTGTATGTAGATGTAATATAGGTGTCAACATTTGTACTAAGAATGAAGGGTACATGGAAAAAAATGGAAGGATGGGGATAAATTTCTGTTTGTCTACATGCCTTTCACTAGTTTCCTGATGTCCAAGCCAACTGCTATTTGTGAGCCAGCTGGTGACATTTAGGGTGTAAATACCAGGAGGCTAATTTTGGAGTCATTGCCTCATTTACATCAAATATTAATTAGCTAAAGTCAACTCCTCTCTCTTTGTACACACACATATATACAAATATATGTGTGTATGCATTTTTGGTAGACTTTAAAACTTATGATGATTTCTTAAATTGTGGAGGAAATTTGTACATATATTTACAATGTTTATATGTATATATATATATACACACACATTTTCTGTATAATTTAAGAAATTATCACAATTTCTAAAATCTACCAAAAATATGATAATGCTATTAAAGAAAATTTGAAACACTCAGCAAAAAAAAAAAAAAAAAATCTGTGAAAGGCTGATAAGCCATTATCTAAATTGTAGTGATTGTAAATATATGACTGTATAAAAAAACACAAGTAAAAATCTTGACCATAATAGTGTGTGTGTATATATGACCTACGGTTTAAAAAATTTTTAATTGTCAATAATATTATATATATTTATGGGGTACAATGTGGTGTTTCAATACCTGCATACATTGTGGAATAATCAAATCAAGCTGATTGACATATCCTCCACCTCCTGTACTTATTATTTCTTTGTAGTGAGAACTTCTAAAATCTACTCTTGTAGGAAGTACATTATTATCAACTATAGTCCCCATGCTGTGCAATGGATCATCAGAAGTTATTCTTCCTGTATAACTGAAACTTTATACCTGCTGACTAAAGTCTCCTCTTTCCCTGGTCAGCCCCTTCTCCCAGCCTGGTAACCATAATTCTGTTACCAGTAGGGGGTCTTGACTGCAAATTGTCCAAGTTCATGGCGTTTTGAACAAAAAATTGGACAAAACGCACAGCAAAGCAAAGAAACGAAGCAACGAAAGAACGATAGCAGAGATTTATTGAAAATGAAAGTACACTCCACATTGTGGGAGCCACCGAGCAGCCGGCTCAAGGGCCCAGATACAGAATACCGGCTAGAGGTTTCCCATTGGCAACTTGGTGTTTAATCTCACGTAAATGAAGTAGTTGCCGGCAATCAGTTTGATTGGTTGTAGACAGCAACCAAAGAGGCTGAAGTGAAGTTACAAAGTTACACTCCTATGCAAACATCTGATTGGTTGCAAAAAGCAACAAATCAGAGGGACTTTCAATTTCCCATCTGCCCCGCAGAAAAGGTGGGGGTTTGCAAAGGGAGTAACTTCTGGTTCCTTTGTTACTTAGGTATGGAAAGTTAGGGTTTTCCTTTCACTTTAGTTCTAGGAAGTCAGCGTGAAACGCCTGAAGTTTTCTGCCTCCAGACTCTACTCTCCTGCCTCAATTCTACTCTCTACTTTTATAAGCTCGACTCACATGTAAGTGAGATCATGCAGTATTTGTCTTTTTGTGCCTGGCTTATTTCACTTAGCATAATGTCCTCTGGATTCATCTAGGTTGTTGCAAATGACAGAATTTCCTTTTTTAAAAAAGCCGATTTGTGTATATATGTATGTGTGTGTATATATATGTATATACATATATATATAAAACACATTTAAAAATTCAATTCATCTGTCGATTTGCAGTTCAGTTACAACCTAAAGTTATAAATGTGATGAGGAGTTTTTTTTAAAAACCTAGGGGTACTAGTGCAACAAATTTAAATATTTTTTTAAACTGAAATAGAACAATATTTAAATAAATATCAATTCTTAGGGATAATTAGTACTCTTTTCTTGCTAACTGTAACGTTTTCCAACAAATATTTAATATTGCCTTATATGAGAGGATACCGTGCCAGATTCTTGGGAGCAACACAACCTATAAATTGTGATTTTTGTTTTTAAGCTCATTAAATATATGGTGGAAAGAACATGCACTTAAAACAAAAAGGTTAAAAAATGTGTTTACTTAAGCATTTGTTTCAGTATGAAGTTCTCAGAGCACCTGCATTAAATTCACCTTGGGCATTTAGTTAAAATTCAAGTTTCTTGTCTCCAGTCTATCCCAATTGAATCTCAGTCTCTGGAGGGATGGTTTTGGAATTGGAAACGTTTTAAAGCACCCCAGGTGATTCCAATGTTCACCAAAGTGCTAATACCCTTGGGGTCGAGCAGTGCGAAATGACCTCCAGCTGGGGCTGTTTCATAGTCATGGTTGTACTTCACCTGGACCTTAATTGGTGGTTTGGATCTTCAGAGGTTGAGATGAGAGCAGGGGATATTACAAAAGGTTGCAGGATATGAACAGCATGCCATCTTATCTTCTTTCGGAAGAGTGAGTATTTTGGTTTGTCTCAGGTGTGGTGTTTAAAAACTACTGAAAAATTAAGTTAGGGTCATTTTGAGAGTGTCCTTGGTTTCTTTCTATGGATAAAAAAGAAAAGTATTTTTTATACCTGTTAACAATAAACCCTCAAGATAATGAAGTAATTTTGGAGCTACTTGAGCACCTTTGCTTTCGGGAGCTTCTTTCCCATGTGTATATATACCATAAATTTTGGCTATCTTTGCTTTTTCTTTGTTAAGATACTTAAAAGTAAATATTAAACATCCTACTTTTTATTCCAAATACTTCACTATACAGATCTAAGAAGAAAGAATGCTTTCTTACATAACTTTAGTATCATTATCAAAAGAACAAAATTAGTACAATTGTCTCATATTGTCTAGTACCCAGCACATATTCAAATTCCCCCACTTGTCCCATATTGCTTTATACAGCTGCTTTAAAAAAAAAAACAAGATCTAATTAAGCACCCCTTTGCATTTGCTTTTGAAGTTGCTTTTAATCTAGAACACTGATTCCCTGCCCAAGTTTTAATCTGGAACACTACTCTTTCTCCCTTCTTCTTCTTTTTTTTTTAATCCCCTGTGTGGTAACTTTTGAATTACAACTAATAAAATCAAAAAGATTTTACCTCTCCCCCACTCCATTCATCCATTCATTTCATTCATCAGCTCATTCCCTTTTTAGAGGATTATTTGTTGAGCCACTTCTGTGTGCCACACATTGCACTTAAAGCTGGACACGCAAGAGGATAACACAGTGTCTTCTCTATGATACACCAGGAATTATTTTGAAGAAAACATTGTTCTTCGGATGAAAATACAAGTTCCAAGAATGTCATTAAAAAATACACGCACAGATGCACACACATACCCACATGTTTAACAGATTGCAGCACGTTTTTAAACAGCATATAAAGTGGTTTTTGTTTATTAAAACCCCGTTTCTGAGTTTATAATACACAGCCATAACATTTCAGCTACAGTCCTGTCCCAAGTGCTGGAAAGCGTCAGGAAGTTGAGAGATGTTCTTTTGCTCTTGGAGTCTTATCGAGCTTAAAGAGAACAGCTAATTGAGGAAAGCTAGCAGAGGGAGAACTTTATTTTTGCCCTTAAATTATCTTGTTTATATGTCAAAACATTTTTACTGATGTTGAAGAGTGCTCTGGAATACCCTGCAGCCATTGTCACATTGGGAGCTGTTCCTTTCCTCATCCATCTGGACCTTGGGGAGCTGCCTCAGGAATGAGCAATAGGAGGCCTTCCCTGGGAAGGTGCTGTCACTCATCACATAAGGACATTTCGGTTCATGACAAACTGCAAATACAACAGTGGTCCCATAAGATGATAATGCTATATTTTTGCTGTACCTTTTCTATGTTTATATATATTTAGAGATACAAATACTTATTCTGTTATAGTTGCCTGCAGTATTCAGTGCAGTATCATGCTATACATAATTGTAGTTTAGGATTGGTAGGTTATGCCATATAGCCTAGGTGTGTAACAGGCTATACCATCTAGGTTTGTGTGAATATACTCTGTGATGTCACACAGAAATGGAACTGCCAAATGATACATTTCTTAGAACATATTCCCATTGTTAACCAATATATGACTATATTTTAACTAGAACTGAGAAAAGTATACCAGTCTCTGAGTTCACAGAATATGGAATGTAAGGCTCTTGGTATGTCAGCCCCATTTTTCTAGTTAAAATTTCAGAGAGGAAGAAACCACTTTGCAAAGAAAAAGAGAAATGAAGCTGATGTTGAAGAAAGTGATGGAGAGAGGATGATGGTATTTGAGTTGTTCTTGGTTTCACTGTTTACTGAGGCTAATCCATGAGACACATAACTTCCTCAAGTTCTCTAAGCATAATTTCCTTTTTTTAAAAAAGCCAGTCTCAGCCAGGCATGGTGGCTCACGCCTGTAATCCCAGCACTTTGGGAGGCCGAGGTGGGCAGATCACGAGGTCAGGGATTCGAGACCAGCCTGGCCAACATCGTGAAACCCCGCCTCTATAAAAATACAAAAATTAGCCAGGCATGGTGGTGGGCCTTTAGTTTCAGCTACTCAGGAGGCTGAGGCAGGAGAATTGCTTGAAACTGGAAGGTGGAGGTTGTAGTGAGCGGAGATCGCACCACTGCACTCCAGCCTGGGCGAAAGAGTGAAATTCCGTCTCAGAAAAGAAAAAAAAAAAAAAAAGCCAGTCTCAGTTGGGTTTCTGTCTCTTACAACTCAGGGCACAAGTTATCTCATATCTACCTATTTTTTTCTAATTATTTGAATGTTAAATCCAAATTAATATAAAAGAAATATTAGAACAATAATAGCTAGAACTTACATAATGCTGTGCTATGTCAGGCACTATTCTTTGCACCTTACTTATGTTAACTTATTTAATCCTTAAAATGATGTTGTAAAGTAGGTGTTGGTATGATCTGCATTTTATAAATGAAACACAGATGAAGTATTTTTTCTAAGTTTATCTGTAAACGTTGGAGTCAACATTCAAACCCAAACAGTCTGGCTCTGCCATGCCATTATGACTATACTCTCTGCCACTGATTGGTATGCTTTTTTCTTCATATATTTCTGTCTGTGACTGCCACACTATCTCACAATTAATAAATGAGCAAATGAAACAGAAGTGACTGTTTTGAAAGCAACAGCCCTGTTTCATTAGTTTATATGCTTGTGTTCAGCATTGGGCTTGTTCTCTGCATTACTAATTCCGTTTACATCTCAACCAACAAAAGTTTGATAAAGGCTCTGCACTGTGGGAGATCCAAACATAAATTGGGAACAAGAACTCACTCTGAAATCAGTGCCAAGTAGCTGTGTGAGTACCCTCAGAATTTTAACGTAAGCCCATCAACTCAGAATTAGAGTTTAGTGGAAGAGCATGTTTTAAACAATTTAGAACATTTTTTAATCTGGAAATGATCAGTCCCATGCTGATATTTTCTAGATTAAGAAATTTTCTAAATTGTTTAAAAATATTTTAGCCTCTCAAAAAACTTATTGTTTCTCTCTCTCTCTCTCCCCCTCCCTCCCTCTCTCCCTCTCCATCTCTCTCCCTCTCTCCCTCCCTCCCTCTCTCTCTCTCACACACACACACACACACAAACACACACACACACACACGCACACACAGTTATCCCCTCCTCAAATCTAACAACTGGGAATTGTCACAATTCACGCATCACCAGAGATTTGCTACAATGACCCTTCCTGCCATCATCTGGTAAAATCTGCATAAGTCCATCCGTACCTTGTAGGCTGTCCTTTTGTGGCCTGGTGAATTACACCATCATTATGTGATGCTCCCTATGAAAACCATTCTACAATTTTTATAATGGCCATTGATTTTAAAATGTATGATCATAAAAGATTTGTTTCAAGTGATTTTGTTCCTTGAATATTAAAGTTTTTACACTCCAGGTAGATAGTTACAATAATATAATGGATGATGTAATGGTTGAGAAGTTTTCTTTGGCAGTGATCTTCTAGGCGAGGTTTATTTGTGATGGTGGTGGTAGAAATTAGTACCTGTTGAGTGAATTATTTTATGAACTGTTAATAGGTCTGTTTTGTCTAGGAATTCATTTCTTTAAAAGTCGAAAAATTATTTTTGCCATCTTGTTCTAAAATATCACATTCATAGTATAGTGAATTCTTATGTTTGGGTAGTTTATAGAGTTGCGTTTTATTATAGAGTGTCTAAGGTCAGGTGCAGTGGCTCACGCCTGTAATCCCATCACTTTGGGAGGATGAGGCGGTCGGATCAACTGAGGTCAGGAGTTCGAGACCAGCCTGGCCAACATGGTGAAACCCCGACTCTACTAAAAATACAAAAATTAGCCGGGCGTGGTGGTGCATGCCTGTAATCCCAGCTACTTGGGGGGCTGAGGTAGGAGAATTGCTTGAACCCGGGAGGCGGAGGTTGCAGTGAGCCAAGATCACGCCATTGCACTCTAGCCTGGGCAACAAGAGTGAAAATCTGTCTCAAAAAAAAAAAAGTGTTTATGTAAAAAAAAAAAAATCTGCTGAGATCTTTCTGTCAGTTGAGTCACATTTAAGAGTAAGCGTTTGTATTATAAGGCTATGTAGTGAGAAGAGTTACTGATGGGAATGGGTTGTGTAGGAAAAAAAGGTTGAAAAACAGTATTTTAGGGAATAAGATAATTCCTAATGAGAGGTGGAAGATAAGGGCCTTGATGAAATTTAATTAAGGCAAGGTTTAGCCTGAAGTAGTAAAATATCATGAATATTTAAAAGAATCTATAATGTATCAATTGTATGGCAATCTAATTAAAGAAAGAATTTATGAACAAAAGGGATACAAAGGGGAATGATGATGCTTTTGAGGGTGGTGAACATATATGTTCACTATTTTGATTGTGTTGCTGGTTTCTCAGTAGAATAAATATGTCGAAACATGTAATTCTACATTTTAAATGCATGCAGTTTATTGCATGTCCATTATACTTCAATAAAGTTGTAGAACTGTCAGAGAAGAGACAAGGAAAGTTAAAAAAAAGAAAAGAAAAAATAGTAAGCATTAATGTCATAGAGCCTTCAAGTAAACTGCTCATCTGTGAGTCCTAACCAAGTAGCCAGAGGGCCTTCCCTCTGCCATCTAGTTTGTGAAATGTGCTTTGTTATACAAGGTAGACTTTTTATTGATTCCACAGAGGGGAACATATGAAATGTAATGGGAGTTCATCAAGAGGGGGATTTCTTAGACCATGGAACATGAGGACTGGGGCAGGGGGAGGGGATTGCTGGGAAACGAGTGAATCTCTAACTCAAGGGGGAAATAGTTTTAAGTTTTAGTGACGTTTCCAAGAGAGCACCATTTTCAAATGGAAAAATAAAGTGGCTTTGGAGAAAGGGTCATTGAGCAATTCTTGAAGGCCCTGTGGGCTTAAACATGTGTTGCTGTGAAAAAGGGCCTTGCAGCCAGAAGAGGCAGGTGACCAACATAAAAGCCAAAAAGGACAAGAAATGTATGGACAACAACATATTTAGTGAAAATAGACAACACGAAGAACAGCTGTGAGAAATACAATTAGAAACTTTTTTTAAAATGAAAGACTGATAGACTGAATGAACTTCTCTCTATGACCAAGATTCTACAGGGTGGATGATTGTTTTCTTACTTGACACAGATCACTTTCTATCCAAGGGTTCTTGTTATTTAATACAGAGGCATGGATCCATATGAGGAGTGTTATAAACTGAACATTTGTGGCCCCAAAATTCATAAATTGAAGTCCCAATCCTCCATGTGATGATATTTGAAGGTGGGGCTTTTAGGAGCTAATTAGGATTAGATTAGGTCAGGAAGGTGAGCCCATTATAATAGAGTTGGTGCCCTTGTAAAGAGGAGGAGGCATAGAATTTCTCTCTCTCTCTGTTCTCTGCCAGGTGAGGATACAAGGAGAAGGCAGCCATTTGCAAACAGGAAGTGGCCCTCACCAGAAACTGGATCTACTGCCGCCTTGGTTATGGTGGCAGATTTCAGAACTGCGAGGAATAAATGTTGTTTAAGCCACCTAGTCCTATGATATTTTATTATAGCACCCCAAACTGACTAAGATAAGCAGTTTGTATTTTGACTTGAATAAATCAAGTTGCAACATACTATGAAATGCTAGCATAAATGTTTCATATAAGAAATTAAATATTCCTTCAAGTATACTTACATAACTCTAAATGTATTTTTAAAAGGCCTGGAAGTATTCACACCAGATTACTTCCAAGGAAGACAGTAATATTGGATAAGGTCACAGGATATCTATTAAAAAGTGTTTTAACACAGAAAATATCTTTGTATGTTAATTATGTATTTTAAAAGAAGTTTCAACAAGATGCAAAAAAAGATACAATGAGAATCATTAAATATTTTAAGGCCTTGCAGCAATAAAGTAGAAATTAGAAGTGACTGGATTAAAACTGTTATAAATTGAATTAGCTAATAAATGAAATTAGAAAATAATGTTGTTGGTGACCAAATTTTTATAGTGGTAGCAAGGTTTAAAACACAAATGTATTAATAATTTAAATAAATCCACATATAGAAGACCTATCCTGGCTTATAAAGGAAGATCATATTTGGGTTGTATTCCTAAATTTGGGGGTTACCAAAGAAAATGACATTATTTTCAGAGATAAAATACTAGATCACATGATACATGAGTATTTTCCAGGACAGGGCTATCCTTATTCTTCCGTGTGACCTCCTTGGGCTTTTCTCTAAGTACTTGGGGGTGTGTCTTCTCAGCCCTAAAATAACAGGAGATTCAGTTTCACCATAGGACATTTTGGGCTTAGCTCTTTTGCTTTCTTTTCTCAAACCAGAAGTCATGTTATCAGATTTTACTTATTTATTTATTTTTGAGACAGGGTCTCACTCTGTCACCCAGGCTGGAGTGCAGTGGTGCTATCATAGCTCACTGCAGACTTGAATTCCTGGGCTCAAGCAATCCTCCCACCTCAGCTTCCTGAGTAGCTGGGACTAAAGTTGTGACCCACTGCACCCAGCCCTTTTTGTGATTTTAGTGTATCTAGTCCTAATGGCTTCCACAGCTCTTCCACATATTTAAAGGTATAATATTGGTTAACTTATCTGGCTTTTTCTAATTACTGAAGTGTTACCTTGCCATGACCTACTACATCCTTCATGGTGTGGATACTTTAAGTTGTGCATGCTTAAAACCTCATTTTGATGTTGTGTGTTATTACCAATAATGTATCTGACATGAAGTATTTTGCAAGTGATTTTTATTTTCCTGCAACTCAGAACATAATCACACCACCTATGAGCTGAATTTCCTCCCAGAGAATGTGCTGTTAGCATCCTGTTTCTTGTAGGGTTAGTTAGGCACATACTCTCTGCTGGTACCTGCCTTTTCTCTTTTTGCCAGAGGCCTTACCACATCTCTGTTGTTTTATCTCTGGCTGAATCCATAGTCTCTGTTACCTACCTGGATCCTGTAGTCACCTGTCTGTGATCCTCATCCACTGCAGCCCTGAGAAAATAAAATCAATCCTGTCTTTGTTGCAGCATCTTCTGAAGATGACCCTGTCGTCTTGAAGCACTTGGAATATTTAAGTTGTCATTTTGGTCTATCTGTGTAGAAACTTTCTGGTTGATATTTTGAAAATTATTCAAAGGGGCTTTAAGAATATGTTTCTTTTTTATTCAGCAATTCCCTTCCCTTTGCCCGTAACTTTTGATTTAAATTTAGTGCCAGAATTCTTCTTCTCTGAAGGGTTAATATATTTCTTCCTATGCAACAATGGTATAAGAACAGGCATAAAATTTACTATGTTCTATCTCTGTCTATCACCTATCTATCTATCTATCTATCTATCTATATATCTATCTATCTATCTATCTATGTGTTTGGCCTTATTAAGAAAATGTGCAGAGCCAATTTAAATTCCAGTGGCAGCAATGATGTTATTTGTAGTCAAAATATTTGCATCTTCTTTTAATTTTTTGCCTGGACATTTTCTGTTTTTCTTTTTTATATCTTTTGTTGCAATCTACTTTAAATTCTTTTAGAACAATGAGGGATATGTCATTTGACACATAAAAGTAAGTTTTTAGAAAAATAAAAATTACACGATTAATATGAATTTGGGCTTTGCATAATTAGCTTGCAGAGCACCAACCGTAATGCATATCTTTAAATGCTAACCAGCTGAACATTTTCTTATGGCACATTTCATTGTAATATTGAATTCTACTCTATAAACACAATTTATAATTCCTGAGGTAAATTTTTATTTCTATAACAAAACAAATAGAGCCAACATTTATCATCTGTTTATCTATGAATGTATCATTTATTTCTCTTATTCTTTGAAATAATCTTGGGAAATAAAAAATGTCCATAAGAAAACTGAATAGTGTATGTTGGGTTCAGGGCTCCACAGTTTGTTGCATTACACTTTAAATGAAGCCAAGATTATTTGCTATTTATACCTTTGTGGAGAGACAGAAATTGCTTCCTGTCATCATTTGTTCAGAAACAGAAGACATCTGGTAGTAGATTGTGTTGAAATCATTTGGCTGGAAAAAGGAAAAAACAAAAAAAGCATCCATTTAACAGCTTACCAGATGGTTGACAAAACATGCCTTTACTGATTTGTGAGACAATTTTTCTTTAATATTACACTGTTCTTGAGAATATAATGCTCAATGAACAGAGAGCTTCAGACAAAAAAAAAAAAAGCCATTCTGCAATAACTCAGTAGGTGTTACTGAACTTTTTAGCCCTCGGTGAATTCACTTCAGAGCACAGGTTTTCTGAGAGCAGGGAGAACAGAGTGCTGTGCATTTCAAATCTAAAATCTGTGAAATGTATTGTTATTCATTTTAAAGCATTAAAGCATTCCCAGTTTTCACATTTACCTGAAAGGGATTGTGATTTAAGATTATCCTTGATCATACAAAGTCCCCTCCAGAATCTTTTGAGATTGGCTGCAATATCCAAGTCCAACTTTGATGCTATCTTTTTATTCACATTGGATTAATTCAAAAGGGACAGTCATTTCACAAATAAGAAGCTGCTATTTTCTTTTGTCTTGGCAGGAGCTAAAAATAAGTGCCCTATTGTGTTTTTTTTTGGATGGCTTGAATCTAGGCTTTGTTTGCTGAGTTTCTACCTGCTATATTTCAGCAGTGCTGGAAGCTTTGCTACAAAAGTCCTGCCTTACCACCTGCTGCATGATGCCAGAGTGGAGTCAGGGGATTTGGAGTCATAGCTGGGGTTGACTCTGTCAGCCAGTTACTGCTGTGTGCTCTGGGGAAATTACCTAGTCTCTCTAGATTTCAGCTTCTCATAGGATTGTTTTGAGGACTAAATGAGAAGATGTTGTGTTAAATATTAGTAATTGGTAGCAATAGTAATATGATAATTATTATCTGTACACTAAACCTTCTCTATTAAAGGGCATAAGTATTTCTATATAGGATCTTTATGTACAACTTCTTCATCCTGTCTGAATTGCTTTCATGAACCCAGATATAAGTGTCTGTCCTGTCCTATCTAAGTCAGTGTCTATCTAAGTCAGCTCAGGCTACCATAGCAATATACCATAGACTGGGTGGCTTAAACAACATAAATTAGTTTTTTTCACAGTTTGGAGACTAGAAGTCCAAGGCCTGGACATGGTCAGTTTCTGGAGAGGCCTCTCTCCCTAGGTTGCCGACAGCTGCCTTCTTGCTTCGTCCTTATATGGCACAAGGAGAGACAGAGTGAGGAAGCTTTCTGGTATCTCTTCTTATAAGGGCACTGATCCCATCATGGGGATCCCACCCTTAGGAGCTCATCTAAACCTAATTACTTTCCAAAGACTCCATCCCAGTTCTCATCACATTGGGAATTAGGGCTTCAACTTACAGATTTTTGCAGGGATACAATTGCGTCTACAGCTGTGTCTGAGCACAAAGACCTCTCTCCCTATACCTTTGTAAGTTCTTGGCACTCAGTGCAGTGCTTCCCACAGAAAAGCTCATCAAAACTGTACTGATGCCTAAGTAGTGACCAGTTCAATCTTTGAACTGCATGGAGTCACACAAGAACTCTGCCACTGTGAACTGCAGACACTGCAAATCTGAAAAATCCTTAGGCCCCAGGATCACCTGAAGGAAGAGGAGATAACAACACCACCACTGTCCTCAGAAATGGTAAAACTTTCTCTGGTGACACTTCAGGGGAAATGATTTGAGGAGGGCCTTCCAACTGATGTCATTCTTGGGTAAACGTCCACTTTAGGTGGTAGGGTGTAGTGGTTAAAAGCACAGACTCCAAAGCTCAGATGGCCCGAGTTTAAATGTCAGCTTTGCCATTTTTAAGCTGTGTGACCTAGGAGGCTTGATTTTCCAATCTGTAAAGATGGGAATTAATAGCAACTTTCTCATAGAATTGTCAAGATTATATGATACACACTCATTCACACACACACACACACACACACTGCTTCGAGCAATGCCTGGCACACAGTAAGTGTTATGTAAGTGTGAGCTGTTATTATTATTATATTTTATGCATTTTGTGAAACAGAGCTGTGGGTATGTGTCCTTGTTAGCCACTTTCTTCTATATCTCCAGAGTGGACCAGAGCCTGGAATGCCGATGCCAGTTAGATTCCAATTGATTAAGCGTATTTTATTATTGAGTACCTTCTGTCTTCCAGTCTATTTGGACAAATGAAAGGGAGTTAGGATTCAGCCTCTAGACCTAGGATTAAAAGAAGTGTGTGGTCTTCTGTTTTGGTTGTAAGGGACTGAGGAGGGTATACACAAGCTACAAGCCTTTGATTTCAATTTATCCTACCTTTATGAGCTTTGCCTTTTTTTTTCTTTTTCGAGAATCTTTACAGGCAGAACAGTTCTGCTTACTGACAAGAAGACACACTGTTATCATTTTATGTTATTAGTCAACACATTATGGTTGTGTACTTGCAAAAGGAAAATTTAGAGATGGGAAAAATAGAAAGAATTTAACTTGGACTATTATAAAAGTCTGTGTTGTACTGATCTCAGCTCTGATTTTTCAATTAATACGTAGGAGGCTAAAGAAAGAAAACTAAATGCTGATTGACATTCTACGTGGTTATTCCTATATCCAGTTAGGGAGGTGCCCAGCAGAAACTGCACACTGTGCTATTATGTTTCTAATAACAATAACTACCTTTTGTTGAACACTTATGTGTGATGTGCAGGACATTTTATATATATTGTCTTTGAAAAAGCCATTTTAGCTGTGCCAGCGTATCTGCTTAGAATGTAGGGAGTAGATTTTACTCCACTTCTCTTGTACCTGTTGGACTATAGAGTTTAGTTCCTTCCTGGGGGGCACTGGAAGAAACCCTCCATTCTAGAATCCGTCTGTATCCATAAATTTACACAGATGTAGAGGAGCTTTCTCCAAGGAAAGGGGCCCACACTGATTCAATCCTTTTGAAATTCAAAGTTATTTAACATTTTTAATGAACTCATGTAAACTTTATTGCAGCTTGATTGTAAGAAAGAGCAGTGAGGATCCTGAGAGTGAATTTATCCTTGGACTGGATGTGGCCAGTGGGCGAGGCTCTGCCTCACGAGCTTAAGGTAGAAAGGAAGCACTGGTTCTGAGGCGATGAGTGTCTTTGATAGTGAATCAAAGACCTTATCACACTTTGTACTCAGGCCAATTTTGTCATGAAATGCTCCTGTCTGAACCTGTCTTTTAGAGAAGGAGCATTTATCAAACCTTGAGGAATTACTATATCCTGAGGAAATTGCTAGGGGCTGCCTCCCAGCTGTTGGAGTAGTGACCAGGACCCCAGCTTCAGTGACTGTGACCACAGGCAACAGTGGCTATTGTTCTGATGAACCCACACCTCGGAGGCTTCCCCAATTTTAACAAATGATGACACTCAGCTTCTACTTTAGGGACAATGAAATGGGAGGCACCGAGAGATGTTCTTTGCCAAGCCTCATCTTTATGGCAGATGGTCACTGTAGCAACAGCCATGTCATTACACAGCACTAAGGTCACTTTGGGTCACCAACGATCTTGTTCCTAGATCACCAACCTCTCCTCTTGTTATTCTTTGCTTTTTTTTTTTTTAACAGGTTATAACTCAGAGCTCTCTCCTTTCTCTGTGGGAGCAATTGCTGGACCTCAGGATTGGACCCCCACAGCAAAATGGAGATGTGCTAATTCCTGGGTGGCAGGAAAATATGGTAGTTCATGGGAAACCTGTTGCTGGAGTGGTCAGTATTTGAGCAAGAAGTTAAGTCCTCCTCCCAGAATATCATCCATCTCAGTTTCTGATTTTTTTTTTTTTTTTTTTTTTTAGAGGGAGTTTCACTATTATTGCCCAGGCTGGAGTAACAATGGTGCAATCTCTGCAACCTTTGCCTCCTGGGTTCAAGTGATTCTCCTGACTCAGCCTCTTGAGTCGCTGGGATTACAGGTGCCCTCCACTACGCCTGGCTAATTTTTGTATTTTTAAGTAGAGACAGGGTTTCACCATGTTGGCCAGGCTGATCTCGAACTCCTGACCTCAGGTGATCCACCTCCTTGGCCTCCCAAAGTGCTGGGATTACAGGCGTGAGACACCATGCCTGGTGGTGCAGTTTCTGCTCTTTTTGCAGCTGTCAAGAATAACCAGCATCAACCCTGGGATATGAACAAGTAACTCTGAAGATGCTGAAGCTTAAAGGGCTAAGAGAGTTGGAGCCTGAAGAAAAGAAGGTTTCTTTTCATTGGAACACATAAGTGCTCAGTGTTTCATTTGGAATATCATATGATACTGTTTCCCAACTTTATGAAAACTAGATGTTTTGGCTGTATTTCTAAACTTTATAACTGTTATATAAAATGTGTATCTATTTTACCTATGGGGAAACTTAGATTAAGCAAGGTGAAATGATTTACCCTTTGCTGGTAAGTAGTAAAGCCAGACTTGAAATCAGCAGCTACAAAGCCAGGCTTTTGCTACCATACTGTCTGTTATTTACCTGTTTTTTCTCTTCATACATATGTTTGGTGTGTTAGAATAAGACATTGAAAAAACAAAAAACCAAAAAAGAAAATGAGAATTTTCACACCTGCAACTTGAGATCCAAATCCCTGGCCCAGAAAACATTTTCATATTAAGCTAATTCTGTATTCTCTTATGTCATTTTTCTGTGAAATACAACTGTAATCAGTAAAATTTAGAAATTAAATACTCCTTTCCAGGAAATGCTGGAAGATAATATTTACAGAAAGTGGGAAACAACAAGATTATATTATATCATATTACATTATAGATAGATGGCTGAAATGCCAATTTGTTACTTTAAAAATATCCTTAAATGGCAATTTTTTACAATGCAGCATTACAACTCTTGGGGTCATTGGTAAGAATAAAGAGTTCTTAGGAGAACATCATGCAATGATATGGTTGGTAACAGAGACGTGTTATAGAGGGAATGAAAATGTTCTAAGAAAATTGACAGCAATATTTTACATTTGTACAACACAATTTTCAAATGTATGCATGGTTTGAAAATAAATATATACTTGAAATATATATATATTTGAAAATAAATTAAATATGATTTATTATATTTAATTTGGTCAACAACCAGGTACAGTAGTAGGACAAGTACTATAACGTTCACCTTTTAAGATAGGGAAGTTGAGGTACAGCGAGGTCAGGTGCTTTTACTCAATGTCACTCATCAAGTTAATGATAAACTGGGATTAGAATTTGAACTTTCGGTCTTTCAGTCTCATGCTCTTTTCATAATCTGGAATTTGTTACATTATTTTTTTCACAAAAAATATGAATGAGCCTCTGTAGGTTTCATTGTGTTAGAATTTTGCAAAACATTTGAGCATGCTGTTAATTTGGAAAGGGTTATGGTAATCTTTAAGCAGAGAGTGCCGTGATTCTTGAGTTCATCATTTGTATATGTTGCAGTTTGGGGAGAGGGTCAGACATGCGATTATGTAGTGTCTTAGGAGGAATTTGGCTTGGCCTTAATTCTCAGTCATGAAGCTACAGTGACTCAGGGATCTGCTGGAACAATGACATGGAATTTACTCATCAATGGGCCATTAAAAATTAGACACACATAGCTGGGTGCCGTGGCATGCTGTAGTTCCAGCTAGTTGGGAGGCAGAGGCAGGAGGATTACTTGATCCAGGAGTTCCAGTCTGTAATAGGCTGTGATCACATCTGTGAATATCCATAGCACTCCCGCCTGGGCAACAAAGTGAGACCCCTACCTCTAAAAAAAAGATAGACAAGTAACTGATATTTTAGTGTATTTATTATAGGTTGAACAGTATACAATATTTTTCCCTATTTTAATTATTGTTATAATTTAGTAAGATTTAAGTATCACACCTCATGTAAAGGAGAAAGAGCTTCTATTGAATTAATGCCAGAATAATTATGATGTTGAAATTAAACTGGTACATAAGTGAATGATTGTCTTGGTAAGCACAGGGCTCATATTGTCTATTATTTAAACAATAGAGGGCTTTTCAAAGCTGATTTATTAAAAATACGCTGCAAAAATTGATTTAGGATACCACTTAAAATACAAATGTTTTCTCTGATTTTTGAGAAAAGCATTATTGAATGCATCGTTTCTCCCACTATGACTGAGCATCCTGAAGCATTCTGTTAGCTCCAGTACACACAGAAGAAAGCAGTTGCTTTTGCCCCTTAGAGTTCCTCCATAGACAGTACACTTTGGTATTTGTTTAAAAGAACCAAATTAGTTAAGAATCATGCAGATTTTGCCTCCTCTAGTTTGCCAATTTAATCACATACAACATAACTTGAGTTGTACATCTTGTATTCCATAGATTTTATGGCAAGACTTGTAGAATAAAAATGAAAAAGATACATGAGGGAGAAACATTGTGCTGTTTCAGTCACTTTACTAATGGTTTTATGTGGGCAATTTCATTTAATCTTCAGAACAATTCCATTATGGTCCTCATTTTCCCATACATTTGGAAGAACCAAGGTATGGAGACTAAAGAGCTTCCTCATGGTCACAGAACTGGTCATTTTCTGAGCCAGGATTTGAACTGGGCAGCCGGACTCCAGAGGATGGCTTTGTACCCAGGCCTGTGCAAGCGTAAGCCCTTCAATTGTACACTATTTGGATACTTTCTTGGAGTGTGGAAAGGAGGGTACACTGGGCCACAGTCTTAATATACATTCTGGAGAATGTCATTGTAAAAGTTAGTGAAATTATCAAGCTGGGAATTTACTCTCTATTTTTTTTTTCTTGTGGGGATTTAATCGACAATAGAAAGCAACAACTTTATGAAGTTTTTCAACAGGAACTCTGACCATAACTCTATAATAAACTTGTGAGAAACAGCCATGGTATAAGTTGACACCAGCTTGAATACGTTTTGGATCGTTGTCTGGTTCTGAGGAATAAGCCCCATTTGTCAGTGTGTGCCTCAAGAGGTGCGCATGGCAGCTTGGTGTCCATACGGCATCCATTCACAGGGAGGATTAGAAAACAATTTTGGGCCGGGCGTGGTGGCTCACGCCTGTAATCCCAGCACTTTGGGAGGCCAAGGCGGGCAGATCACGAGGTCAAGAGATCGAGAATATACTGACCAACATGGTGAAACCCCGTCTCTACTAAAAATACAAAAAATTAGCCGGGCGTGGTGGCGGGCGCCTGTAGTCCCAGATACGCGTGAGGCTGAGGCAGGAGAATGGCATGAACCCGGGAGGCAGAGCTTGCAGTGAGCCGAGATCGTGCCACTGCACTCCAGCCTGGGTGACAGAGCGAGACTCCGTCTAAAAAAAAAAAAATTTTTTTTGGAACAATATCAAGTGTTGTCATGAATAGACTCTTCAATCTTTCCGAGCAGAAGTGAAGCTCAAAGAATAATTTAGCTCCCCTAATATTACGTCAAGACTGGTTCAATGTCGAACTGAGTTGGTTGGTAGGAATTAAAACCATGCAGTGTTTATGATAAAATGCATATTGTTGAGAGCTGACCCTTTTAGCACCTATTTGTGAGATCTAAATTTCTTGTGTGTGTTATTTATGTGGAGAGAATAAAAGGAGTAGAATAGGAGACGTAGATACTCTATTCTGACAAGTTCACTCTGTTCTGGCTCCTTGCAATGCCTGAAGCAGAGATTCCAAATGTGGTTGTTTATGATACAGCCTGACTGGGTACCAGGAAGCATTTTCAAATAGTACTCTATTATTTCTTATTTCCTGAAAACAGATGCCTTATTTGAGACATATATTTAGATATCATTGTTATTTTATTTTCCTTCAAAGGAAATAATTAAAATTCAGTCTATTTTTGGATCTGGAGTGTCATTGTAATTCACATTCGCTAATTTTGGCAAGCAGTCTCCTACTGTTATGATTTTCCATTTCCTTACTTGGTACTTTCTGACATGAGAAACAGAGGGAAAGTTTTGATATTAAGTAAATGTGTTCTTCAGTCACATGTACAGCAGCAAATAATCAGTGGAACTTTTAGATAAATGAAGGCTTCATAATCGGACTTGACTTGATCTACTATAACAGATGAAAAATGAAGCAATATAAGGGTAAATACCAAAGATGGGTCAACTTTTAGTCCGTAACAAAGAACTTCTTCCCATGTTTTGGGGAACATGTGATATTTTGGGGAAGGCTGTCTGGTTTCTGGCTTATTACCTTACGGGCATGATAAAAAAAATCAGGGGAAAAACCAGATATTAATCACAAGTGACACTATTCATAGGTCATTTGGAATTATTTTCCATTATTGATTTGGAATTAGTGATGATATTTAGTTCAGCATTTTTATTACATTACTTTCTCTGTTAAACAATTCTAACATTTGGCACAGTGTATTTAAAAATTAATTATAATAAACTCCAGGAAGCTGACATGATTATTAGTTTCAAGCTTGATTATATAATCTAGTATTGAATAATAGAAACTCGAGAAGTTAGTTTTATAAAAAGAGAATAAATAAAAATATTAAGCATTTGAAAATATTTAATTGGAAACCATAATAAATATTAATATTGAAAGCCTTCCATTAATTAAAACATTGTCATTATTTTAGAAATGTACCATTTTATAGAAGATTAATAAAAAGTATTAAAAATTGAGTTGTGATGTAGTTTTAAGATATTATGTACTCTAGGTCAAAATGTTCCTTTAAATTCTCAAGACAACATAAATCTGACTCACAAAAATATTGTGTGCACTTTTGTGAAAAGGGTACTATTGTTAAAAAATATGAACTTTCTCTCTTCTGGCTATTGTAACATTAAAATATGGTTTAATTTTCTGGACACTTAATTTTCTTTATCTCAGATCCCTTGATTATTACTTTTTTTTTTTTTTTATTTTGAGATGGAGTCTTGCTCCGTCACCCAGGCTGGAGTGCAGCGGCGTGATCTCAACTCACTGCAAGCTCTGCCTTCTGGGTTTGTGCCATTCTCCTGCCTCAGCCTCCTGAGTAGC
Organism: Homo sapiens; assembly: GCF_000001405.40. Taxonomy (NCBI): domain Eukaryota; kingdom Metazoa; phylum Chordata; class Mammalia; order Primates; family Hominidae; genus Homo; species Homo sapiens. The sequence goes on along the minus strand of NC_000001.11, from coordinate 192,721,456 downwards.
TGGGAATACAGGCGCCTGCCACCACGCCTGGCTAATTTTTTGTATATTTTTAGTGGAGACAAGGTTTCACCGTGTTAGCCAGGATGGTCTCGATCTCCTGACCTTGTGATCTGCCTGCCTCAGCCTCCCAAAGTGCTGGGATTACAGGCATGAGCCACCGCGCCCGGCCACTTATTACTTATTTTTTATATTTTGTGTATTTACTATAGGTTTTTTGCTTTGTGGTTAACATGAGACTTAAAAATCATCTTGTTATAAGAGATTATTTGAAGCTGATAATACTTACCTGATTATGTTTAAAAAAAAAACAACTCTATACTTTTACTCCACCCCCACCCCCACATTTAAATTTTTCAATGTTACAATTTACATAGTTTTATACTGTTACCCTTAACAAATTATTGCAGCTATTATTATTTTTAACAGTTGTGTCTTTTATACTTTATTCTAAAGACACAAGTGACTTATATACTTTCATTACAGTATCAGAGTATTCTGAATTTTATTGTGTACTTACTTTCTCTAGTGAGTTCTATACTTTCATATGTTTTCATGTTACTTATTGGCATTCTTTTCTTTCAGATTGAAGAATTCCTTTTAGCATTTCTTATAAGACAGGTTTGGTGGTGGTAAACTCCCTCAACTTCTTTTAGCCTGAGAAAGTCTTTATTTCTTCATTTCTGAAGGGCAGTTTTGCTGGGCACCAAATTCTTGGTTGGCAGTTTTTTCCTTGCACTTTGAATATATCATCCCACTCTCACCTGGCCTTTAACATCTCTGCTGAGAAACCCACTGCTAGCCTTACTGTTATCCCCTTATATGTTTTTACTTCCTTTCTCTTGGTGCTTTCAGTATCCTCTCATTGTCCTGATTTTGAACAGTTTGATTATTTTGGTGTAATCTTGTTTGGATTAAATCTGATTAGAGAACTTTGACCTTCATGTACCTGAATATTTATAACTTTTTCCAAATTTGGAAATTTTCTGCAATTATTTTTATAAAATAATTTTTTTACCCCTTTGTCCTTCTCTTCTTCATGCACTCTTATAACTCAAACATTTGCTCTTTTAATGCTGTCCCATGAATCCTATAAGCTTTCTTCATTCCTTTTCATATTTTCTCTGTGATTGCATATTTTCAAATAAATTGCCTTTTAGTTTACAGATTCTTTTCCAGCTTAATCAGTTCCGCTACTGATGCCTTCTATTTTTTTAGTTCATTATTTATAATTTTTAGCTCCAGAATTATTGCTTTTTTTAAAAAAATTTTGATCTCTCTGCTAAATTTCTAATTTTGGTCATTTTTTTTTTTTGATGTCATGAAATTGTTTCTCTGTATTTTTTGAGCCTCTCTGAATGCCCCTAAAACAATTATTTTAAATTTTTTGTCAGATAGTTTACATATCTCCATTTACTTAGGGTCACCGAAGTCTTTTGATGGTGTTATATCTCCTTAGATTTTTATGTTTTTTGTTGCCTTACATTGATGGCTGTACATTTGAAGAAGAAGAGACTTGTTTTAGTCTTTAAAGACTGACTTTGTGAGAGCTCTTACAAGTTGAACCATCCTTGCATCCCTGGGATAAATCCCTCTTGCTCGTGATGAATGATCTTTTAAATATGTTGTTGAGCTTGGTTTGCTAGTATTTTGTTGAAGATTTTCGTAACCATATTCATCAGGGATATTGCTCTGTAGTTTTCTTTTTTCTGGTGTGTCTTTGATGGTTTTGGCATCAGGGTAATATGACCTCATAGAATGAGTTTGGAAGTATTCCCTCCTCCTTTATTTTTGAGATTAGTTTGAGTAGGATTGGTATTAGTTCTTTTTTAATCTTTTACCTGTTTAGAAAAAGAAAAGTGCAGCTCACTGCCAGCGCTCATTTAATTTTATTATACATAAACATGCTTTCAGAGGCTGAAGACAATCTGACTAATTTTCAAGGTGAAAATAAAATATGTAACCTGTTCATGGAGTTATTTGTAAACAGAACTATATCAGAATAGTCTGAATTGTCAGAATCATCTATTTCAGAATAATTAGATTCATCAAATAAATCTTCAGCCAACAACTGTTCAAGAATGATGTGAACATCATGCATAGGAATTTCACGTTTTCTAGGTTTTGACATTTTTAGCAGTCAAGAATTACTTTATTTTGTAAATGGAAATACCACTACTAAAACCAGAATGCTATAAATAGAATGACATTTTTTCTTTCCAAAGTTGATATGCTAGAGTGTTGCAAAAATAATAATGAAAGCAAGATATTTCGTGGCAAAATTTCAGGGTAAACACTGTTAGCTGCAGGTGCTGCTAGTGAGTATTCTTTGGGCAAATGGGAAAAGGATTAAATGGTTGGTAGAGTTTAGCAGAGAAGCCATCAGGTCCTGGGCTTTTCTTTGCTGAGAGACTTTTTATTATGGCTTCAATCTTGTTTCTTGTTATTGGTCTGTTCAGGTTTGGGATTTATTCATGCTTCAATCCTGGTAGGTTTTATGTGTCTAGGAAATTACACATTTCTTCTAGATTTTTCAACTTATTAGTATATAGTTGCTCATAGTAGGCAGAAATCCTTTGGATTTCTGTGTTATTGGTTTTAATGGCTTCTTTTTAAACTCTGATGTTATTCATTTGGGTCATCTCTTTTTCTTATTCTGGCTAAAGGTTTGTCAATTTTGTTTATCTTATATGAAAACAACTTTTCATTTCATTGATCTTTTGTATTGTTTTCTTTGTATCAATTTCATTTGTTTCTCCTCTGATCTTTAGTATTTATTTTCTTCTACTAATCTTGTCTTTGGTTTTATCTTGCTTTTGTAGTTCTTTAAGATGCATTGTTAGGCTATGTATTTGACGTTTTCCTTCTTTTTTTGCTGTAGGTGCTTATAAACATAAATTTTTCTCTTAGTACTGCTTTTGCTGTATCCTATAGGTTTTAGTATATTGCGTTTCCATTATCATTTGTTTCAAGACATTTTTCAATTTCCTTCTTAATATCTTCATTGACCCACAGATCATTCAGGAGCATATTGTTTAATTTCTGTGTGTTTGTGTAGTTTCCTAAATTTCTCTTGTTATTGATTTGTAGTTTTATTCCATTTGTGGGCAGAGAAGAGGTTTGATATTATTTCAAATTTTTTGAATGCTTTAAGATATTTTTGTGACTTAACATATGGCCTACTCTTGAGAATGACCCATGTGCTGAAGAGAAGAATGTGTATTCTGCAGCTGATGGATGAAATATTTGGTAAATATCAATTAAGCCCATTTGGTCTGTAGTGCAAATTAAGTTCAATATTTCTTTGTTAATTTTCTGTCTGGAAGATTTGTCCAATGCTGAAAGTGAGGTGATGAAGTCACCAGCTGTTATTGTATTGGAGGCTCTCTCTCTTTCTCTGATAATATTTGCTTTATCTATCTGAGTGTTCCAGTGTTGGGTATATATATATTTACAATTGTTATATCCTCTTGCTGAATTGACCCGTTTATCATTATATAATAACTTTCTTTGTCTCTCTTACAGTTTTTTGTCTTGAAATCTCTTTTGTCTGATATAAAGTGTAGTTACTCCTGCTCTTTTTTTGTGTGTGTTTGTTTCTGTTGGCATGGAATATCTATTTCCATCCCTTTATTTGCAGCCTATGTGTGTCTTTGAAGGTGAAGTGTGTTTCTTGTAGGCAACAGATCAGTGGGTCTTAGTTTTTTTGTTTTTTTTTTTTAATTCATTCAGTCACTCTATGTCTTTTGAGAATTTAGTTCATTTACATTCAACATTATTATTGATAAGTAAGGACTTACTCCTGCCATTTTGTTATTTGTTTTCTGGTTGTTTTGTGGTCTTCCCTTTCTTCTTTCTTTCCTTCCTATCTTCCTTTTAGTGAAGGTGATTTTCTCTTGTGGTATGATTTAACTTTTTGCTTTCTATTTTTTGTGTATCTGTTGTATGTTTTTTTTATTTGAGGTTACCATGAGGCTTGCAAATACTATCTTGTGATCCATTACTTTAAACTGATGAGAACTTAACACTGAGTGCAGAGACAAACAAATGCAAAGAAAACTAATAAAAACTCTACATTTTGACTTTGTCCCCACACTTTTAACTTTTTGTTATTTCTATTTATAGTTTATTGTGCTGTTTGTGTTTTGAAAAGTTATTGTATTTATTATTTTTGATCAGTTCATTGTTTAGTCTTTCTACTTAAGATTAGTTTATACACCACAATTACAGTGTTATAATATTCTGTGTACCATTACCAGTGAGTTGTGTACCTTCAGATGATTCTTATTGGTTGTTAACATTTTTTTCCTTCTGATTGAAAAACTTCCTTCAGCATTTTTTTTGTAGAACAGGTCTAGTGTTGACGAAATCCCTCAATTTTTGTTTGGGAAAGTCTTTATTTATCCTTCATATTTGAAGGATATTTTCAATGGATATATTATTTTAGAGTAAAAGTTTTTTTCCTTCAGCACTTTAAATTTTTCATGCAACTCTTCTGGCTCATAAGGTTTCCACTGAAACGTCTGCTGCCAGAATTATTTGAGTTCCATTTTATGTTATTTGTTTATTTTTTCTTGCTGCTTTCAGGATATTTTCTTTATCTTTGACCTTTGGGAGTTTAATTATTAAATGCATTGAGTTAGTCTTCTTTGGGTTAAATCTGCTTGGTGTTCTATAACCTTCCTGTACTTGGATATTTATATCTTTCTCTATGTTTGGGAAGTTCTCTGTTATTATCCCTTTGAATAAACTTTCTTTCTTTTTTTTTTTTTTTTTTTAGTTCATGTCTTTTATTAAGTCATACAGTTACTTGTCTTCTGGTTTGTTGAAACAGTAAGTCAGACAACATTTGCCACAATAATGTCTGTCAAAGTGGCTTGCCATAAACACCCCAGCACCACATTCATCAGAAGGGCACTCTCGATGAAGGCAACTAATTTTGCCATTCTCATCCACCTTATAATATTTCAGGAGAGCCAGCTTAACCTTCTTTCTCTTGTGCTTATTCTTCCTGGGAGTGGTGTAAGACTTCTTCTTCCTTTTCTTAGCACCACCACGAAGTCTCAACACAAGATGAAGAGTAGACTCCTTTTGAATATTGTAGTCAGACAAAGTACGTCCATCTTCCAACTGCTTGCCAGCAAAGATCAGTCTCTGCTGATCAGGAGGAATTCCTTCCTTATCCTGGATCTTGGCCTTTACATTATCTATTGTATCCGAGAGTTCAACCTCGAGGGTGATGGTCTTCCCCATAAGGGTTTTCACGAAAATCTGCATTTTGGTGGCGGCTCCACTGCAGATGGCGGATCGAAAAGCTGAATAAACTTTCTACTCCTATATCTTTCTCTACCTCCTCTTTAAGGCCAATAACTCTTAGATTTGATTTTTCGAGTCTATTTTCTAGATCTTGTAGGTGTACTTCATTGTTTTTTTTTTTTCTTTTGTCTTCTCTGACTGTATTTTCAAATAGCCTGTCTTCAAGCTTACTAATTCTTTCTTCTGCTTCATCAATTCTGCTGTTAGGAGACTCTGATGCATTCTTTAGTATGCCATTTGCATTTTTCAATTCCAGAATTTCTGCTTGATTCTTTTTAATTATTCCAATCCCTTCGTTAAATGTATCTGATAAAATTCTGAATCCCTTTTCTGTGTTATCTTGAATTTCTTTGAGTTTCCTCAAAACAGCTATTTTCAATTCTGTTTGAAAGGTCACATATCTCTGTTTCTCCAAGATTGGTTCCTGGTGCCTTATTTATTTCATTTGATGACATCATGTTTTCCTGGATGGTACTGATGCTTGTGGATGCTCTTCAGTGTCTGGGTACTACTGAAAGGTTAGGCATTTATTGTAGTCTTCGCAGTCTGGGTCTGTTTGTACCCATCCTTCTTGGGAAGGCTTTCCAGGTATTTGAAAGGACTTGGGTGTTGTGATCTATGCCATATCTGTATCAGTGGGTACTCAAAGTCCAGTAATGCTATGGTTCCTGCAGACTCATAGAGGTACCACTTTGTCAGTCTTGGATAGGGTTAGGAAGAATTCTCTGGATTACCAGGCAGACACTCTTGTCCCCATCCATCCCTTGCTTTCTCCTGAAGAAACAAGGTCTCTCTCTCTCTCTCTCTGTTATGAGCCACCTGGAGCTGGGGTTGAAATGACACAAGCAACCCTGTGGCTACCACCACTGGGACTGTACTGGGTCATACCTAAAGCCAGCACAGCACTGTGTCTCACCTAAAGCCTGACATAACCACTCCCTGGCTACTGCCTATGTTTGCTGAAGGCCCTAAACCTCTACAATCAGCAGGTGGTGAAGTCAGCCAGGCTCATGTCCTTCCCTTCAGGGTGGTGAGTTCTCCCAAGCTTCAGGTGGGTCCAGAGATGCCATATAGAAGCCAAGGACTAGAGTCAAAAACCTAAGAAATCTACCTGCTTCTTTATTCTACCAAATAAGATGAAGTTCTTCCCACTCTTTCCTCTCCTTTCCATAAGCAGAGGAGCCTCTTGCTGTGGTCACCACCATGACGGAACAATGGTAGGTATTACTAGGCTATCACCAATGTGCACTTAAGGTCCAAGTGCTCTTCAGTCAGTTTGTCATGAATGCTGCCAGGCCTGGGACTTACCCTTCAGGGCAATGGGCTCCCTTCTGGCACAGGGCAAGTCCAGAAATGCCATCCAAGGGCCAAGTCCTGGAATCAGGAACCCTAAGAGCCTGCATGGTGCTCTACCTCACTGTGGCTGAGATGGTAACTAAGGTGAAAGACCAAGCCTCTTTAAATTTTCCCTCTGCTTTTCTCAAGTAGAAGGAATCTCTCATAGTAGCTACCATACCTCAGAATGTGCTAGGTCTCACCTGAAGCCAGCACATCCCAGAATCTCTCCCCAGGCCCACGACATGCTATTTATGGTATTGCTGCTGGTTCTTTAGTGCTCAAGTGCTGTTTAGTCAGCAGGTAATGAATCCTGCCGGGACTAGGTCCTTTCCTTCAAGGCAATGGGTTCCTTCCTGGCCCAGGGTGTGTCTAGATATGTTATCCAAGAGGTAGGCTGCTCGACTCTTGTCCATTGCCATATTTTTCTGTGGGGAAGCTGGTATCCAAGATGCAAGACAAAGTCCTCTTTATTCTTCCCTCTCCTCTCTTCAAGCAGAAGGAAAGAGGCACCTTGTTGCTACGAGCTGTGCTGCTTAGGATCGGGGGAGGCATGGCACAAGCACTCCGTTAGCCTTCCTGGCTGCCTAAAACAAATGTCTCACTAGGTTCCATACCCCTGACATCCACTGGCTCTGAGCCCAGCATAGCACTAGGACTTGCCTCAGAATTGCAGTCCTTGTGGCCTAGACTTCCTTTTAAATTTATTTAGAACCCCAGAGCACTTTAGCCCGCAGTGGTGAGGCTTGCCAAAACTCAAGTTCCAACCACCAGGATGAGTGGCAATTCCCCTCTAGCTAGGGCTGGTCTAAATGTTCCTCCCATGGGTGAGTTGTTGGCTGAGTTTAGCCTAGTGTTGCTTTCTGCTGTGACAGGGCAGCACTGAGTTCAGTGCAGGGTCCCACACTCAATGCATTCTCCCTCCCCCAAATTCTTCATGCTACATGGCCACTGCTGGGGGATAGGGGCAGGATGGTGTTGGTGATTCGAGGCTGTCTTTCTTACCTTCTTCAGTGGTTCTTTCAGTGATACAAAGTTATCACAGCATCAGTGATCACAGCACCAGTGATCTCAGGTGCTGTGAGATTGTTCACTTGATTTTTGGTTCTTAGGAAGGTGCTTTTGTGTGTGTGTAGATACTTGTTAAATTTACTGTTCCTGTGTATGTATGGGGTGGGGAGGCAATTGGTGAAGGCTTCTATTAGCCCATCTTGCTTTACCTTCTTTTTTTTTTAATTTTTAAGAATAGAACTCGATTTATTGATAAGGGAATCAAGGAATTTTTAACTTTCTTTCCTACAAAATCAACTAAGTCAATAAAAAGAATTATAACTAGAGAAAAAAATGACCTGAGAAATGGCCACAATTCCAAATTAGAAACTGTGAACTCTGTTTATTGGTCATATATTGTGAAGATTATGTTGTAAGCCATCATATACTTGCTTGGACCTTGAGGAAGTTACATATTTGTCCTAAAAAAATAGTTACAATTCTGAAAAGAGCATTCAGTAATTTTTATGTAAGGAAAACTAGAATTGTTCCTAGAGTGACACAATTTGACACCAAGGAATACCAAGTGAGGCAGATCCCAGGACAAATGACGTTTTATTACCTGGGAACTAGGCTTCTTGTTGGAAGTAAAATGGATGAAGGGGGTGCTAAAGAGGGTCTTTATTACACTAAGCCACACTATTTACTTGAGTGCTAAAAATTGAGGAAAGATGTGCCCCCATTGCAGAGAAAATAGCAGTTTTAGTGAGATGGTAAGTATTGTTGGGGACAATGTATAATAATGGAGGCTGTCTTTTGATACATTTAGGCCGCTATAACAGAATACCATAGACTGGGTGGCTTCTAAACAACAGAAATGTATTATTCACAGTTCTAGAGGATGGAGAATCCTATATCAAGGTGCCAACAAATTCCATATGTGATGAGGGTCTGCTTCTTGGTTCATAAATATTTGTCTTCTGTCTGTGGATGGAAACGTGGTGGATGGAAAAGAGAACTCTTTGTAGTTCTTTGTATAAGAGCTGTCAACCCATTCATGAAGACTTCATCCTCATGACCTAATCACCTCCCAAAGACCTCACCCACTAATATTATCACTGGGGGTTAGGATTTCAGTGTATGCATTCTGGGAGCACACATACTTTCAGTCTTAAATAGAGGCTATATAATGTCCCAGAATACTCATTGCCTGTTACCTATTCTAACCCCTCTTTCATATAGTTTTAGAACAATTAGCAGATCCATTTATTAAAAAAGTAATAATTAGAAATGACTAGGACAGTACCTATGCATACAAATGCAAAAGGAGGAAATGAATATAATTAAAACTAGATGAAGAACATATATTGTGAGGGGAATTACCCAGAATAACAGAAAAAATAATTTTTGAATGATGTTAAGATAAAGAATTTTCCTGTATTTTAAACAAAGCAGAGAATACAATATCTCCAAAATAATATCATAAAGAAAACAGAATGAGGTGGAAGTAAGCTGGAAGAACTTATAAACAAAATGGAATAAAAAAGAAAACATAATGGAGATGAAAAACATATTAGAAGCAATGAAAAGAACATATACACAGTTGAAAACAGAATCAGTAAAATGGTAAGTAGATTTAATGAAATGATCTAAAATGAAATGGAAAAAATAAGGATATAAAGATGATTATAGGGAGTCCAATCCATGCATACATTTCTATAAGAGATAGAATTTTAATTCAATATTAATTATTTAATTCCAGTTTCTCATTTTAGGTTTTGATGTACTAGATGATAGATTAGTTATCTGCTGCTGTGTACCAAATTACCCCAAACTTTAATGGCTTAAATAACATTTACCGTCTAGCAGCGTCTGTGGATTAGGAATTCAGGTGTAGTTTTGTTAAGTCCTTTGGCTCAGGGCCTCTCAGAAAGCCACAATCAAGGTGTTAGTTGGGGGCTGCAGTCATCTCAAGGCTCCAGTGGGGAAGGATCTGCTTCCAAGCTCAGTCACATGATGCTTGGCAGGATTCAGTTTCTCAAAAGTAATTGAACTTCCTGTTTATGGTACAAACTTTATGCCTTGTTTCTTCATGGCTTTGCCTCTCGAAGTCCAGATCATTGGAAAATGAAAAAACTCTTGTGTCTCTTAAGTGCCTTGCTCTTGAAACTAAAATATTTATCTTTCAAGACAATTTTCCAGGCTGTAAGTTTAATATAAATTTACTTAGCAACTTGACTGACTTATCTTTTTAACAAGTGGAACAATCAATTATCTATATATATTTCTACCTTTTCTTCTCTCTCTGTACATAGGAAAAATGTCCAGAGTGTTAATCAATAAACTTTCAGAAAATAATTTCTAAATGTTAAGATTTTAAGGGATTTAAGAATATTTTCTTTTGTACTACATTGTTTTATTTTTGGTTACTTATAATGAGCATATACAATTTTTGTAGGGGTAATAATGTTATTATCCTTAGCTAAGAAAATAAAAATAAAACCAAAGGGACATGTGTACCAGAATATATTTATAGTATTCTTGATATAAAAACTCACACAAATAATAGCTGCATCATTACTATTTTTAAAATAGCATCATATAAATATACACTTGAATTCATTAGAATTTTTGCTTTAATTAAGCAAGAATTTTATTTTTTTGGCTAAAACATATGAACACATATTTTTATCACAGATCATTTATTTCACTCAATGCATATAACGTGATTGATTGAGTTTTAATTAAACCTCTGAGATGTGGTCCACACTCTGTAGTTTATTTTTGGTTCTATCTGATGAAGCTTTAAAAACTAACATTTATACAGGTGCCCACAATGACCACTTTCCCTTTGCTTAAGAATACAGAAATATTTAAAGTTACCTGATCTGTTAATGATAAAGAGAATGGTAGTTTAATGAATGTTTTGTGATTAGGAAGCCCAAGAGAGAATTGAAGAATAAAAGGATAATAAGCAATGTACCTCCATCCTAAAAAATGCTCTCTGAGCCAAAATAACTCAAAGTTCCAACTTGTTAGCAAAATTCAGTAGGGCTGAGGAGTAAAAGAAACAAAATGTTATTCTGTTACTCTTATAACAATTCTGATATATCACAAGAATTTGAGTTTCCGAGGGAATCAAAAACGCTTCTAAAGGGCTATGGTCACAAGTAGTTAATCTTTTTCCTTACTTGTTCCAAGTTATATAGCGAATGCTAAAATGATATGTACCCTTTGGATAAATGCAGACTATCCAGGAAAGGGTTGGAAACTTTTTCTTTAGATTATTAACCTGATTAACAGTTTTAAAAAAGAATTTCAAAATAAGGAATGACTGAAAAGAAGTATCTCTATTTGCCCACAGCACAGATTTACCTATATAACAAACCTACACATCCTGCACATGTACCCCTGAACTTAAAAGTTGAAGGAAAAAAAGAAATATTGCCATTTGCTTCTTTAATGAACTATCATTTTAAAACTATCTTAATATTTAATTGGCACATAGTTTATTCTCGTGATTCTGAATTTTTCTCATGGTTAAGCTCTCATCATAAAGGGCATTGATAGAAGGAAAGTAGCAGTCATAATCTGATACTCTGTTGCTTTATTTGTTTCAAATGTTGAGAAGCTTAGTTTGTTGCAAAATGTTAGAAAATGTAGGGCAGAGATTACTTCTTGATCTTTAATTTTGAGCAATCTTCAGATGATTAGTTTGTCATTGAGATAATATCTTTTTAGTCCACAAATTGCCTTTCTATTCTACTAATTTGTGAAATCAAAGTTTGACAGTTTAAGGTTTGGAAAATATTTAGAAGGTAAAATTTATCTTTTTAAAAAGTTAGTCATACAATTTTTAAAATTACTTTAAATTGTTAATGTTTAAATCATGTTCAAAAGAATCCTATGGTTAAATTATTCATGAGTCACATTCTATTTAGATATTTGTTACACTGGATTCTAAGAATAGGTGGAATTTGTAGCATTATTCAATCAAAGAAAATAGAGTCAGCCTCAAGGCTGAGAGGGCACAAGGGCTCCTTTGTGTGTTACTCAAAAGCACCTCCTCTGGGCTCCCAAAGGCCAATAGATGCATGGCTTAGGGAGTAGGCTAAGGCTGGCTTTCAGCCCCCACTCACCAGCTTGACTTTGTGCCTATGTGCAGAGAAAAACCCGTAGAACCCTTTGGAATGGCCCTGACCAGCTTCATTTAGAAATGGAGAAATGTGCGTCCCATGAATGTTCTTACTATTAGTTGACAGCTTAATTGGAAGGATCATCATCATTTGAACAAACTGCTTTAACTGCTAACCTGGTTTTATTTATACTGCTTTAATGACTGAGATAAATTAATGGTGTGGCAATTAAATCTGTTGCTTTATGCACAACTATTATAATTAAGAAAGGGAATTAACAGTCAATTCAGTGGTGCTAGGTTTGTTTTGTGTTTTCTTTAATAATTTATATCAACTAATGAATTTTGCAAAGTCAATTGAGAATTTTGACAATGGTATTTGCTGCTCATAAACATCTGTCCTGCGTAGCCAGGACATGGTGCTAATGAAGTTTTGGCCTCTGATTTGAACCTCATGAGTGAGTATGCCTCATTATTTTCAGTGATCATAGACAGTGTCTAAGTCTAGTAGTTTGTCAAATCCTAATGGTAATTTAACATCATTCATTTGATAATTTATGTTTAATTTTATTTACAACTAATTTGTTGTATTTTATATTTTGTTCACCATAAGTAACATTGTTTAACATTCTTTCTATGGCATAGACTATAACATAGGTTTTGCAATGAAGCAGTAGGTTTGTACTTATTTATTTAATTGAACAAGAAACCTGAAAGTTATGCATATATATTTTAAAGGGACATAGCAGGTCAGGTGCGGTGGTTCACGCCTGTAATCCCAGTAGTTTGGGAGGCTGAGGTGGGAGGATCACTTGAGGTCAGGAGTTCGAGACCAGCCTGGCCAACATGGTAAAAACTCATCTCTACTAAAAATACAAAAATTAGCTGGGTGTGGTGGTGTATGCCTGTAATCACAGCTATTTGGGAGGCTGAGGCATGAGAATCACTCAAACCTGGGAGGCCGAGGTTGCAGTGAGCTGAGATTGTGCTGCTGCACGCCAGCCTGGGCAACAGAGTGAGACCTGTCTAAAAAAGAAAAGGTCATAGCAATAAAAAAAATCTAATAATTATGTATCATCAATTTAGGAAGATTTCATGGGAATGTACTCTCAAAGAAAGTTCAAATTCAGATCTATGTAAAGTATAAATTTTAGTGGTCTGAAGAGCTCAAACTGGAAACAAAGCATAAAACTATTAATAACCAAGAAAGTTACAAAAGGGGATGTTATTCAAGCTACTTCCAGTGTTTTAAAATGCCTACTAGAATGATGCATTTATCTTCATTATGATGGCATAGATTAAATGAAATGTCAAGCTAATCTCACCTTGATGGAATGTACAGTCAAGTATACACATGCACGCGCACACACACACACATTTTCTACAGTATATGGGAAAATGTTTTTATTGTGTTTGTCAGATTAAGCAAACAAACAAACACAATTAGCAACTTAAATACTTAGGGCCCAATGTAGGGGATAAATAACAAGGAAGTACATTGTGGCAAAATGATAGTGCTTTCCTGATACAGCCCGTGTTTCAACATACACAATGTCATAACTCTCCTTTGTGGCTATGTAAACCTCACCCAGTCAGAGGGTTATATTTGCTTTTACAATGTATAAACCTATATAAATTAAATAGCCTATTTTTAAATTATGTTCTTATTTTCTAGATAGTTGTCTGTGTGTTAGTTTCACAACAGACATTTATTTTCTTCTAGTTCTTGAGCCCAGAAGTCCAAGATCAAGGTGTTGGCAGGTTTCTTTTCTTCTGAGTCCTCTCTCCTTGGCTTGAAGATAGCTGCCTTCTTGCTGAGTCCTCATCTAGTCTTCCTCTGCATGCCACATCCCTGGTGTCTGTGTGTGTGTCCAAATTTCCACTTCTTATAAAGTCACCAGTCAAACTGGATTAAGACCCCACCTAATTTAACTTAATCACCTCTTTAATGACTGTCTCAGTTCAAGCAGCCAGGCAGAGATAGAGATAGAGAGAAAGAGAGAGAAGAATTTAACTTTCTTCTGCCTTTTTGTTCTATTTGGGCTCTTGATGTGTTGGATGATGCCCACCCACATTGAAGGAGGGCATCTGCTTCACTCAGTCTACCAATTCAAATGTGAAATACTAAAAAACCCACCCAATCCCTAGTAACTCAGAGTGTAGCTATCTCCAAATATAGTTATATCTCCAAATATAGTTATACTCTGAGGTACTAGGGATTGGGTGTTTTTTTTTTTAGGATTTCAACATATGAAATTTGCAGGAGTATAATTCAGTCTATAACATGCAGTAAATCTATTTTGATTGACTTACTGAGTTAAAGAATTAGCATCAAAAAATATTTACCGTGACATACACAATGGTTGTGGGGGGGGTGTGTGTGAGAGAGAGAGACAGAAAATGAGAAATGTTTTTTGACCTTTTGTGGAAAAGATAGACATAATAAAGATTTACTTCATTTAAGCCTTCACAGCACCTTGTTTGTATCTTTTTTATGGTGCCAAATCTGCCTGCCATAGTTCAGTGTTTCGTTTGTAAATTTTTGAGGCGAGACATTGTCTGACTCATTTTTTTCCTCCTAGTACTGGCCTGGTACAGAGGAAGACATCAATGAATGTCTGTGAATTGAACTGTACCTCATATCATTTAAAATTGTATGTAAATAGGTACCATGGCAGAGATGTAAATGAAGAGTAATGAAGAAAAGAGGAAAAAGACAATCATTCTGACTCAAGAAATTGAGGAGAGTTTCTTAGATGACATTCTAGTTAGCTAGGGTTTCAAAATGTGAGGGTAGGAGAAAATGAATATATATATAAACACACACACACACACACACACACACACACACACACACACACACACACACACACATACACTCTTTATGTATTCTCCTTAACCCCAGATCTATGTGTCTAGTTTTCAGCTGGACCTCCATAACATGAATATTCCCAGAAGCAGATCAAATGTCTCATATCCAGAATCAAAGTCCTCCTCTCCTCCCCAAATCCACTCTTCCTCCTGTGTTTCACATTTCATTTTATGGCACTATCATAGTCTCAACTGCACATGTCTGAAATCTCAGAATTTCAAATTCTCTGCTCTCCCTTCTTTCACTCTCCTCATCTAATCAGTTTCCAGTCTCATTACTTCTACTTCCACAGGGTTGCTTGCCTTCATTTTCTCACCATTTCCACTGTCACTTCCCTAATTCAGCCCTCACCATTTCCCGTCTCACTTCACTGAGTTTCCTACTATTCATCCACCTTGAGCGCAGGCCTCTTCCCCATTCCTTTATCCTTCATGATGTCATGGTTACATTCTATAAATTAAAATTTGGCTACTTCACTTTTTCCAAAACTTGCAATGGTCCCAACATCCAAAGGGTAAGATACAAATATCTTGTTTGAATATTCAACTATCTTATTTTGGTATTCAAGAGCTTTCCCTATAGACTCAAAACAACTTCTCAGCTTTATCTAATAGTCTCCTGATTTTCCCTTGTTCTCTACTGTGAACTAATTATTATTCCTATTACATATGTTTTACCACCTGTCTCAGATTCCTTCCTTCATCTTGCAAGGCATTACATTCATTCCCTGTATCCATACATCTAATTTCTATCTATCTATCTCTCTATCTATCTACCTACCTACCTATCTATTATCTCTGTCTCTCTCTCTCTCTCTCTACTTTCTATCTATCTCTCTATCTACCTACCTACCTACCTATGATCTCTCTCTGTATATATATATACACACACATATATATGTATATATATGTACATACACATATGTGTGTGTGTTGAATGAGATTTATTGTAAAGAATTCGCTCATGTGATTATGGAGTCCGAGAGGTCCCATGATCTGCCATCTGCAAACTGGAGACTCAGGAAAGCCAAGAATGTAAATTCCAGTCTGAGTCTAAAGGCCTGAGAACTGGGAGCACTCATGGTGTAAGTCCCAGTCCAAGGGCAGGCAAAGACAAATGTCTCAGCTCAAGCAGTCAGGCAAAGAGAGAGAGAGAGAGAATGAGAGAGAATGAATTTAACTTTCCTCTATCTTTTTGTTCTATTTGGGCTCTGGATGGGTTGGATGATGCCCACCCACTTTGAGGAGGGCCATCTGCTTTACTCAGTTTACCAATTCAAATGTGAATCTCTTATGGAAAACACTCTCACAGACTCACTGAGAAATAATATTTAACCAGATATCTGGGCATCCTGTGGCTCGGTCAAGTTGACAGAAAGTTAATCATCACACAAGGCAAGAGATGTAGATTTAAAAGTAGATGGTGAAGATTTAACAATTGGAGATGAAATTGTTCAAAAAGAAGAAAGAAAAGTACTGAGGTTCAGATAAAATTGTTAGACAATTAATCAGATTCCGTGTGTGTATACATACACATGAGTTTGTAGGAATATAGATGAGGTTGTTAATACAGAAGAGGTTAAAAAGGAGCAAACTGTAATTTCAAAGTACTAATTTGTGGCTTACTCAAACTGTTTCAGGTGTGAAAGAGAATAGATCCATCTGATCTATTTTCAAAAATAAATTAAGTATATGTTTATTGCAGCAATATTCACATGAGCCAAGATATAAAATCTATCCAAGTGTTCATCAACAGATGAATGAATACAGAAAGCATGGTACATATGCAAGTGGAATATTATTCAGCTATATAAAAAGGAGTGAAATCTTGCCATTTGCAGCAACATGGATGTAACAAGAGGTCATTATGTTAAGAGAAATAAGCTGGGCACAGAAAGACAAATGTTACAGGTTTTCACTTATATGTGGGAGTTTAAAAAGTGGATCTCATAAAGTTAAGAAGTAGATTAGTGGTACCAGAGGCTAGAAATGATAGGGGTAGGAGGATGAAGAGAAGTTGGTTAATGGGTACAAAATATCATTTTTATGAGTTAGATAGAAAGAATAAGTTCTAGTATTTGATAGTATAGTAGGGAGGTTATAGTTAACTATAATTTGTCATATGTTTCTAAATAGCTAGAAGAGAAAAATCAGAATGTTCTCGACACAAAGAAAAGATAAATATTTGAGGCAATGGATATCTCAATTGCCCTGATTTGATCATTAAGTATTGTGTACATGTATAAAAATGTCACATATACTCCCCAAATATGTACCATTATGTCAATAAAAGACATAACAACAACCAAATAACAAGTAGTCAATCCATGCTGCATTTTACTGCAACATCATCCTGTTAGTATCAATTAAAGATCAAATTGTTTAGGTTCATGGCATTCCAGAAATCTCTGTGTAAGGCCTAAATTCCATCATGTCAGTTTTATAAAAATAAAAAGGCAGATAGATGACTGTGTTAATTTTGTTGATGGATTTAGACTTTATTTAGACCTTGTGATATAGCTATTGCTAAAATACACCTAGAGATGGGGGAGAGTAGAATTACATATATTGAAATTGCGAAAACATTGCATATACAAAAAAATTGCATATATAAAAAAAGATTTTTGCTAAAAATCTTAAGACAGGCCTTGTTTTTCTGCTTCTTCTATGGTCAATGACTACAGTAGCACTCTTTCACCTGTGGTTTTGCTTTTCATGATTTCACTTACCTGTGGTCGACTGTGGTCCAAAAATATTAAATGGAAAGATTCCAGAAATAACTTTCAAGTTTCAAATTGTATGCCCTTAAGTGGCATTTGGAAATTTTGTGTCATTCTGCTCTGTTCTCCTTAGGGTGTAAATCATCCCTTTGTCCAGTGTATCTATGCCATATATGCTAACCACCAGAGAGTCACTTGGTAGCCATTTGGTCTATCAGATTGACTGTCGTGGTATCCCAGTGCTTGTGTTCAAGTAGCCTTATTTTATTTCATAATGGTCCCAAAGCACAAGAGTAGTGATGCTGACAATTCAAATATGCCAAAGATAAGCTGCAAAATGCTTCCTTTAAGATAAAAGGTAAAAGTTCTCAATAAGCAAAGAAAACAAAATAATATACTGAGGTTTCTAAGATTACTAAGAACAAATCTTCCATCTGCGAAATAGTGACGAAAGTGAAAGAAATTCATGCTAGTTGTGCTATCGCACCTAAAACTACAAAAGTTTGCAGTGCATGCAGCCATAGTGCATGATAAGTGCTTAGTTAAGATGGAACAGGCAGTAAATTTGTGGGTAGAAAATATGAACAGAAATGTGTTTTGATTGATTGACAGCAATTGGATTTGGTACTATGTTTTCAGACATCTACTGGGGGTCTTGGAATGTATCACTTACTGTATTACTCAGCAATTGTAAACTTTCAAATATGAGGGTAACATGTTTATCATTGAGACAGAAATCTATAAAGAGTGGAATGAAATCTATTATTTAATAGAATTAATTATAATCAAACAGGCAAAACTTATTACTATTAGACTGGCATATGAAGAAATATGGGGATAATCTTGTCTTATAGAACCACAAAATAATCATAAAATACAACAGCTGTGTTCCCTAAAGTGCAATTTGATTTGTGTCTTTATTGATTTATCTCCATTCTTAAGCAATGCTTTATGCTCCTTTTTGATGGGGCTTTTTGATGGGGCTTGCCTTAGAAAGTGCAAAGGATCTAGTCTGGGACCTGAGTTTAATTCCTGTGAAACACTTCAATTCTTTTTTTAAGACAGGGTCTCACTCTGTTGCCCAGGCTGGAGTGTGGTGGTATGATCTTGGCTCACTGCAACCTCTGCCACCCGGGTTCAAGCGATTCTCCTGCCTCAGCCTCCCAAATAGCTGGGATTACAGGTGCCTGCCACCTTACCCAGCTAATTTTTGTATTTTTTAGTAGAGACTAGGTTTCACCATGTTGGCTGGGCTTGTCTTGAACTCTTGACCTCAAGTGACCATGTTGGCTGGGCTGGTCTTGAACTCTTGACCTCAAGTGATCCGCCTGCCTCAGCCTCCCAAAGTGCTCGAATTACAGCAATAAACTACCATGCCTGAACCACTTCAATTCTTTTAATTATTGTTTACTCCTTTATAAAATAGATATAACAATAATACTCTCCTCAAGGAAGGCTATAAAGATGACATATATTCATGCATGAGAAAGACAATGTAAAGTTATAGGAGAACATTAAGTATTAAATTTATGCTATATGACACTTGAATTTAGTGCTTTGAAACCAAAGACGAGCATTCTTTCTTTTTTATTAGAATACACTGAATTTCTGCTTTTTATCTTGTTTTGCCTATTACCCTATGATTATCTCTTTTAGCTAGTGAGTCAGTTTTACTGATCTTTATCAAGTTATGTAAATAGAAGTGGTTTGGAACTTGGAAAAGGTTGTGAAAGATACCGTGATTACAAAAGTGCATTACAAAGTAACACACAGGAAGTATAGAATTTGAAAATGTAACAATTAACTAGCTTGTGTTGGAAAGTTGCTAGGCCTCCAATAATTTATACAGATATGATTTAATCTCCCAAATAAGATGGGATTCCTCAATCTATATTTAGCATTTCTCTTCTTCCTGGCAGGGATTTTAGAAGATTGTCACTCTACTCACCCTATTTTTAGAAATAATATTAATACTGTATGTTCTAAAATGCCTTCCAGCACAGGAATCTCTCCAGGTAGAGGAAATATTTAACTGTAAATAGTAGATGTATTCATCCCTAGCCAAGTATGTTCATTTTGGCTAAAGCATGCCCACATGTCTATTAAATGTTGTATTATGATAAATCCCTTATATGTGACTTCTAACATACTCCTTTATAAATATTTAGAAAAGAAAAATTGACCCAATATCCACTGGGTAAATTTGTACTACAAACCCAATAATTATTGCATGATGATTCCTCTAGGCATATAGACTGTCAGACTAAATTTTCCTTGCTTTGAAAATTAGCTAGTATAGTTGGTTTTAGAAGGTGTTGAGAAAATTGAGTTTGTGAATTGGAGCTCAGGTAGGCCAGCTAGCTTCATAATATTTTAGGATTATATTTTTACAAGTGCCTGTCATTGCTTTCAGCAGGAACCAGGTGAGATATAGAGACAGATTAGCAAAATCCTTCTTCCCCCTTTTTCTTGAGAAACTCAATATAGCATATTGAAAAGAGGTCACAGAAACTATCCTTGTACAATGAGATATTTTTCAGTATGCAAATTATAACATTTTCCATTAGAAGTTCAAATCACCACTTAAAGCATTTTTAGGGCTCTTTAATATCCTTCAATTTAGGACAAGTTGGACTTAAGGTGAAATTAAGTTCTATGTAACTCAGTTAATTTATTTTATACAGCTAAAATTATTTTATATTATGCTCTTAAGGTGATGTTAGCTATGTAAGTTGTAGTACTTAATTAAATATATAAATTGTATAAAATATATACATTGATAAAACTGATAAATTAATAAAAATATAACTTCTATTTAGATAGAACTAAGAATTAACTAAGAACCTCCCCTGAGCACTATAATTGGAAAACATGTAATGCTGTGGTATAGGAAATGCTTGCCCAATGAATCATCCATTTTCAAGTTAATCATTAATTTGGAAATTATGCTTTTCTCCATAGAAAACAGCATTAGCCTTATTTCCTCCAGAAAAAACTGAATAAAACACTTTTTTTGTGGCACAGAGAATAGTTGCCTTACCCAGAGCTCAGAAAACCACATAAACAGAGGAAGAATGTAATCTTGGTTAGCATGTAAAGCATGCAGCTGACATTTTGCAAGGCTTGTTATTAGAACAACATTCCCTCCTCAGCTGTAAGGTGGGTGAGTATGCAGCTTAGAATTAGACAGTCTGCATCTGAATTACAGTTCACCATTTCCCAACTGTGTGAGTTTAGAATTTACAAAATCCCCATAAGCTTGAGTTTTTTCAACTACAAAAGGAAGTAAAAATATCTACCTTGCAAGGTTTTGTAAATAGGATATAAGACAGTAAATGCAAGATATTTAACATAGTGACTGGCAAATATTTTCATCATGAGTAAATATTATTGCCATGTAGTGATGGATCTCAAACTTGAACTTTCAGCATGTGAAAAACTAGATTCTGAAAATAATATCTGGATACTCAAGAAATCAATGTTCATAGTAGATTAGGATTGCACAAAACCAGTGAATTACCCACTAAAGAAAAACAAGATGCTAAATAAAAGAGAAATTCACACCAGAACAGACTATTTTATTAGCCATTAGTATGGCTAAGTGTTTTACCAGTTACTGTTTTACCAGCTAAAGTGTTTTACCAGTTCCACTGTGAGAAGGACATGGAAGTTTATTCAGATCCTCATTTTTATCTACCAAATACTTATCATGAATGCTATGCATATGACCTATTTGTTTAATGCATTCATATATATAGAAATATTTCTAAACATATCAATATGTAACTTATTAATACTTAGGATTATTTATTATTTTCATTATCAATTAAAGTTTTGGGTATCTCATAAAATGCTGGAAAAGGGAATATTTGGGGTATTATTTAATATACAGATAACTGAACTAAGTGGACCCGACTGACCACTATAGGCAAGATTCTTTTGCAAAGAAGGAGAAAACTGATGACCGGTATGAATAGTTCAAAAACCAAAGACTGGAGTCAGATATGCTTCAGTTGAATTCCACATTTTCCATTTAAGAGATTAGACAATATTCTTAAATTCTCTGAGACGTCATTTTTCTATCTATAAACTGAATGTAATACTGCCTCTCTCTGATGATTATTGTAAGGTTATAAAAATTTTTGAAGGTGTCTTACATAGAACTGAACACAGTAGGCACATGATAAGTATTAAGTTCTTTTGTCCTTCCCTTTTCTTTTGAAAAATGCCATATTATCTAAAAGGAAATTTTCTCCTTTTGGGGCAGGGGGTGTATAGCTTTGCTGAAGCACTGTAAAGTGTTTGATATAATCATAGAAAAAAGGAGAAGTAGAACTATTTCAGTTGGAAAACTAAAGGAGTGAGATAATCAATGGACATAATTTATATTTACAAAAATCCTGATAGTTAATAAAGATCTTCACACATATATGGACTTTCCTAATATATATAATTCAGTTTGGAAAGTGCTTTTTGTCCTGTTAAAAAACTTTTGAGATAAAATAAATATGAAGGTCATATCTTAATAAAGTATTGCTAAATTTTTATCTCAATTGTATTTTAGAGAAAACTAAAATCTTACATGTTATAAACTAGACTCAGGTAGAATCTCTTTTAAATAATTTAACACACATTTATAAATATGCACAGATATATCACTACATTTTCACTGTGCTTTATTTATCATTAATTTGTTATAACTTCTACTATGTTTATTGAGCCTTTTTGAGAACAGCCACTGTTCACCTAACTGTATTTTGCCAACATTTACTTATGATGTTCTTGATTTAATATGATAGGGTTTATTTTTAGGGACTAAAGAGAGTTAGAAAAAAAAAGAGTTAGTAGTTCACAGAAAAATCATCACCTTTATATACCCTTTGCCTATTACACACAGGTTTATATCTGCTTTGTAAAAGAACACTCACACAATACTTGTTAAGAACCTTGTCTTTGGCTGGATGCGGTGGCTGATGCCTGTAATCCCAGCACTATGGGAGGCTGAGGCAGGTGGATCGCTTGAGCCCAAGAGTTCGAGACCAGCCCGGGCGACATGGCGAAACTCCGTCTCTACTAAAAATATAAAAATTAGCTGAACGTGGTGGCATGCGCCTGTGGTCGCAGCTACTCAGGAGGCTGAGGTGGGAGGACTGCTTGAGCCCAGGAGGCGAAGTTGCAGCCCAGATTGCATCACTGCACTGCAGCCTGGGTGACACAGCAAAAAAAAAAAAAGCTCTGTTTTATGTGGTCTTTGGTCTTTCAAAAATTGCAGGATGGCTCATATTGACCCAGGTGAGCATTTTTTTTTTTTTTTTTTTTGCCAGTCTGATAACATAATTTCTGTGACTATTTTAAAGAACAGCTGACTTTAGTACACTGTTTTAATACTTTGCTTCTCTTAACAGGAGCCATTAAGTTGTGAGAAATTTTAGTACTCGAGTTGTGTTGAATTTTTTTAGTTTTCTTCATAGCATAAAACTTCTCCTGAAAAGGAAGAGGTCAATATGGACATCACAGTGGACAATTTCTTGGAAGGATGATTTAGGCTTATTATGAAGCTTATTAGGCTTATTATGAAGCTTATTAGGCTTATTATGAATTAAAACTTATTATTAAGTATTAATGTAAATTCTCATAGGGCCAGGCAGATAACATAAATGAGATAAGTAGGAAGAATGAGAAAGTGTAATACCCTAGAGCTGTGAGGTCTACAGAAATCTGTAGCCCACATTTACGTGGTCCAAATAAATCACTTCTGAGAGCTTCATTTGCTTTTTGAAATTCTTGGTGCTGTCTTGTCTTAAAGCATGGGTCACATTTGAGTAGCGCAGTGGAGAAGGTATCTTCTAAGACTGGGGACCACTATAAGTAAAATTAAGAAAGAAAAATATCCTGGTAAGTGGGGTTGGCTTTAGGGGGTCAGCCACACTGTAGGGCAATAATGTTCAACAAGGGGTGATTTTAAGAGCATGTGATACTTGTCAATGTCTGTAGACGTTTTGCTTATCACAACTGGGGAGGGATGCTACTGGCATCTCATGGATAGACACCAGCAGTGTGCTAACACCTTATAATGCACAGGTCATCCCTTCACAACAGAGGATTATCCAGTCCAAAAGATCAGTAGTGCCCAGATTGAGAAACTCTGCTCTAGATGAATGTGTGTGTTGGGAAATAGGGGGAGGTAAAGTTAGATATTATATTCTGCAGTTTTTGGAGTTTTTTGAGACAGATCTCACTCTTTTGCCCAGGCTGGAGTACAGTGGTACGATCTTGGCTAACCACAACCTTAATTAACTTCCCTGGCTCAAGTGATTCTCCCCTCTTCAGCCCAAGTAGCTGGGAATACAGGCTCATGCCACCATGCCCAGCTATTTTTTTTTTTTTTTTTGAGATGAAGTCTTGCTCTGTCGCCCATGCTGGAGTGCCTTGGCTCGATCTCAGCACACTGCAACCTCCGCCTCCTGGGTTCAAGTGACTCTCCTGCCTCAGCCTCCCAAGCAGCTGGGATTACAGGCACGTGCCACCACACTTGGCCAATTTTTTTTTTTTTTTTGTATTTTTAGTAGAGACGTAGTTTCACCATGTTGGCCAGGCTGGTCTTGAACTCCTGACCTCAAGTGATCCACCTGCCTCAGCCTCCCAAAATGCTGGGACTACAGGCGTGAGCCACTGTGCCTGGGTAATTTTTGGATTTTTTGTAGAGACAGGGTTTTTGCTATGTTGCCCAGGCTGGTCTTGAACTCTTAAGTTCAAGAAAACTACCCGCCTCAGTTTCCCAGAGTGCCGGCATTACAGGTGTGAGCCACCGTGCCTGGCCTGCAGTTTACTATTAAAACACCCAGCATAGAAGGTGGTAGTCAACTTAATCTATACTTTAAAGTCCGTTAGTTAACATGTTAGGTACCTTAATCAGGAATATGCACTCCAGGGATGATTAGTTAGTACATGAAAATTTCTAAGTAGAGGCCCAAAGACCAGAGGCCTGGGCATTCAGAAGGTTTCAATGTCTTTATTTTAATTAATATCAGTTGCCTTATTAATTAGTATAATGGGTGTTAGATATTACTTTTAATCTGTGAAATGAGGGCTGATCAGGCTAGAAATTTGTATGGGCTTGGGAACTGGTGCTTAAACAAGACAGAGCAATCTAGTAAGCCCAAGAAATTACATCCTTTGGAAAGGCATCATAGGTTAGAATTCTGAATCTTTCCTGTGTTCTGTTGTTTATCAGAGGATATTGTTGTGAAACCCTGAACAGAAGGATAGTTAAATTCCTCTATTAGAATCTGCTTCAGGTGAATTTTCCACACAGGCCACTATCTTAGTCCATTCAATTAAAGTATATTAGACGAAAATACTGTAAATTGGGTAGCTTATAAAGAACAGAACTTATTTCTCACAGTTCTGGAGTCTGAGTGGTACAAGATCAAGGTGCTGACAGATTTGGCATCTGGTGAGGGCCCCGTTTCTCACGGATGGTGCCTTCATCCTGTGTCCTCACGTGGTGGGAGGAGCAAGGAAGCTTTCTGGGGTCTCTTTTATATAAGCACCAATCTCACCTATGAGGGCTTTGCCTAAGGCCTTACTGACTCCCAAAAGGCCCCACTTCCTAATGCCATCACCTTAGGGGTTAGGATTTCAACATATGAATTTTGTGGGGCGCAAACATTCAAACCAGAGCAACCACTGTTGGGACACCTGAAAAGCTAAGAGAGATGAGCCTTCATGGAGCTTAAAGAACTGGTGGTATGGCAATTTAGGGGTAAAGTGACTATTTGCATAAGTAGCAGAGTCAGCTCTGAGTCTTGCTTTCACATTGGTGTATTCTGAGTGGCCAGGCTGTGGGAGAGAAGACCCACAGGATACATCTTCTTCTAACCATTGGTTACAGCTGAAAGCTACCAAAATGAATCCAATACTTGTGAATTAACAATGTTCTTAGTTTAGTTTAGTGCATTCAGTCTACAAAAAACCTCGAAAGAGGGGTAGAAGAATGTGTATAAGCCAGGAAGTTGATATGATGGGAATTTGGAGCAGGGAATACTTTATTACTTATGTTTAAGATTAAGAAGAGGGAAAACGAAGGGGTAAGAAAAGCAGTGAGAAAACTGTTAAAATAAAAGGTGTGAGGTGACAAAAGTCACGATTCTGTTGGAGTCAGGAGCAATTGAGGAGAGACAAATTGGAGAGATGTGTTGAAGGAATGGTAATAACAATATAGCTAAAATTTATAGTTCTCTATTTTTTCGTTACTATGCTACACTCATTTCATGCATTTTCTCACTTAAATCTCAGAACAATTGTACAAGTTAGATACTATTGTTACCTCTATTTCATAGGTGAGAAAAATCAAGCACCAAAAATGTAAAGGGCTGACTTAGGGTCATAACATTAGTAAGTGATGGGCCTAAGCTTTCAAGACAGATTAGTGCAGGTTTACCTGGTGAGCCTTGTGTGATGGCGATTTCTAAAATGGGTATGCTGGAGACGAAGCCAGTTTTCATCAGGAAGGGAGAAGTATGCATGTGGACCTGCCTGATTTGAGATAGGAGAGGGAAGAATTTAGTAGGAGTTGTTGGCTCATGGAGGATCTGTGCTGAGGATCTGTCAAAGCTGAGCCACATAGAGCCAAAACCATAATTCCATCAGTTAAACTGCCTTATTTTCCTGGACCTGTTTGAGTTTTCTGAGCAGATTTATTTAACTTTTGCTACCATAATAATTCTTCAATAATTTAATTTTTACTACTTCAAAAATTCTAGGTTGCAACTCCTGATGATGTGGCTTGCCTGCAGGGGCAGTGTAGGAGTCAGGCCCTTTGGTATCCAAAGGCTTGTATCAAGGAAATCACACAGGCATGATTTTTTTTTTTTTTAAATAGATGGAGTTTTGCTCTTGTTGCCCAGGCTGGAGTGCAATGAAGCAATCTCGGCTCACCACAATCTCCACCTCCCAGGTTCAAGCAATTCTCCTGCCTCAGCCTCGCAAGTAGCTAGGATTACAGGCATGTGCCACAACGCCTGGCTAATTTTGTATTTTAGGTGGAGATGGGGTTTCTCCATGTTGGTCAGGCTGGTCTTGAACTCCCGACCTCAGGTGATCCACCCGCCTCAGCCTCCCAAAGTGTTGGGATTACAGGTGTGAGCCACTGCACCCAGCCAGGCATAATTCTTAACATGAATCTCTGATATTCAAACCTACTAAGATGCAACATTTACAAAAACCAGGGCATAGATTTCTGCTGATTATAATCCTAGACAATTTGGTTTAAGTAGATTAATCATTTTTAGATTATAACCTTGATAGCTTTTACTCCTTGATCTCACATTTGCCCTCACAAACTCAAGGGTGAGACAGGGTCTTCCTGAAAATTTTTTGAAAGACTGCTGCAGTACCTCACTGGGTCTTAACATTATCTGAGACACAATCTACAAATCCCTCCAAAGTCAATGAAAATGGGCTAAACTACCTCAACCCTACTTTTACCTTCAAGCCCTAACATTGGAAACTAGTGAATATTCTCAGGGATCCTTTCTGATGGTTTTAAAATGAGGAGCTCCCCTGCACAAGTTCTCTCTCTTTGCCTGCCACCATCCATGCAATTTGTGACGTGCTCCTCCTTGCCTTCTGCCATGATTGTGAGTCCTCTCCAGCCATGTGGAACTGTAAGTCCAATTAAACCACTTTCTTTTGTAAATTGCCCAGTCTCAGGTAGTCATTATCAGCAGTGTGAAAATGGACTAATACAGTAAATTGGTACTAGGAATGGGGAGCTGCTGAAAAGATACCTGAAACTGTGGAACAATAAGATCCAGGCTGAGGTGGTCTCAGATGGAGATGAGGAACTTGTTGGGAACTGGAGCAAATGTGACTCTTGTTATCTTTTAGCAAAGAGACTGGTGGCATTTTGCTCCTGCCCTAGAGATTTGTGGAACTTTGAACTTGAGAGAGTTGATTTAGGGTATCTGGTGGATTAAGTTTCTAAGAAGCAAAGCATTCAAGAGATGACTTGGGTGCTGTTAAGGGCACTCTGTTTTATAAGTGGAGCAGAGCATAAAAGTTAGGAAAATTTGCAACCTGACAATATGATACAAAAGAAAATCCCACTTTCTGAGGAGAAATTTAAGTCAGCTGCAGAAGTTTGCATAAGTTACGAGGAGCCAAATGTTAATCCCCAAGACAGTGGGGAAAATGTCTCTAGGACATGTCAGAGGTCTTCATGGCAGCCCCTCCCATCACAGACCCAGAAGTCTAGGAGAAAATGGTTTCGTGGGCCAGGCCTCAGGTCCCCATGCTGTGTGCAGTATAGGCACTTGATGCCCTGCATCCCAGCCACTCCAGCTGTGACTAAAGTGGCCAAGGTACAGCCCTAGCTGTTGCTTCAGAGGGTGAAAGCCCCAAGGCTTGGCAGCTTCCATGTGGTGTTGAGCCTGTAGTTCCCTGCATAGAAGTCAATAACTGAGGTTTGGCCATCTTTGCCTAGATTTCAGAAGATATATGGAAATGCCTGTATGCCCAGGCAAAAGTTTGCCGCAGGGGTGGGCCCTCATGGAGAACCTCTGCTAGGGCAGTGCAGAAGGGTAATGTGGGGTCAGAACCCCACACAGAGTCCTTACTGGGACACTGCCTAGCGTAGCTGCGAGAAGAGGGCCACTGTCTTCCAGACCCCAGAATGGTAGATCCACTGACAGCTTGCACTATGTGCCTGGAAAAGCTGCAGACCCTCAACGCCAGTTTGTGAAAGCAGCAGGGAGGGAGGCTGTAACCTACAAAGCCACAGGGGTGGAGCTGCCCAAGACCATGGGAACCCACCTCTTGCATCAATGTGACCTAGATGTGAGACATGGAGTCGAAGGAGATCATTTTAGAACTTTAAGGCTTGACTGTCCTGCTGGATTTCAGACTTGCACGGGGCCTGTAGCCCCTTTGTTTTGGCTGGTTTCTCCCATTTGGAATGGCTGTATTTACTCAATGCCTGTACTACGCCCATTGTATCTAGGAAGTAATTAATCTGCTTTTGATTTTACAGGCTCATAAGTGGAAGGTACTTGTCTTGGATGAGACTTTGGACTGTGGCCTTATGAGTTAATGCTGAAATGAATTAAGATTTTGAGGAACTGGTGGGAAGACATGATTGGTTTTGAAATTTGAGGACGTGAAATTTGGGAGGGGCCAGGGGTGGAAAGATATGTTTTGGCTGTGTCCCCACCCAAATCTCATCTTGAGTTCCCACATGTTGTGGGAGGGACCTGGTGGGAGGTAATTGAATCATGGGGCGAGTCTTTTCTGTGCTGTTCTCGTGATGGTGAATAAGTCTCTCGAGATCTGATGGTTTTAAAAAGAGGAGTTCCCCTGCACAAGTTCTCTCTCTTTGCCTGCTGCCATCCATGTAAAATGTGACTTGCTTCTCCTTGCCTTCTGCCATGATTATGAGGCCTCCCCAGCTATGTGGAATTGTAAGTCCGATTAAACCTCTTTCTTTTGTAAATTGCCCAGTCTCAGGTATGTCTTTATCAGCAACATTAAAATGAACTAATACAACCTCAAAATCATTCAGAATAGGTTCTATGACCCTATATACCCTTTTTAAATTTTCTTTCTTTGGATATTCTAAGACTTTGTAAAGATAATATTTTTGCTTGCTGCATTGCAGTAACTTTAAGAACCTCACCTTTTCTTGATCAGTAAGTGCTTCTAGTTGTCTCCATGAGGACTTTCAAACTGAGCTAGCACATATTTGTTGGTTGAATAGGTAAGAGATAACTATTGATATTTCCCTTTAATAAATATGGACACTAAAGCTCAGAAAAGTAAAGTACTTCACTAAAGTATGTAGATTGCAGGTTGAAATTCATTCAGTCTTTCTGCAAAGAACAATTTGTATGGTTCTTTTGAGATTTCTTTCTTTTTTCAAGATTGCCTTAATGTTGCTTGAGCCTGATTCAGCATGCATTAATTGGTGGGGGCTGGCGGGGTGAAGAAAAGGGATAAAGTGCATTTGTACTAGATGTGTTGTTGTGGGGTGGACTTAGACATGGGGGTTTGTGTGTGCCTATTTCACCAGCTCATATGAGAAATATGAGATATAGAGAGGTTGATGTATCTGAATGAGAATATGTAACTTAGACAATGATGAAGAGTCAGTAGAATGAAGGCTCTAGTAAATGCATTCTCAAAGGGAGTGATACTGCCCCCAGGAAGTAAAAACTGGTTCTTGGAAAAGTAAACAAAACAAAACAAAACAAAACAAATCCTTAGATGTTACAATGGTTTGTGGCCCTTCAAAGGGCCATAGAACATAACCAGACATACAGTATATCCATGATATTAAAATTTCAAGGGGAAATGGCAATTAGGGAAAAAACACTTAAAAAACTCCTTAGGGGGACAATAAAAAGTTGGAGAAACACTGCTCTGGTGGTAATTTCCTGTAAATGGCTGTGATTTAAAACTCTTCACATTTTGTTCAAGGCTTTCAAATCTAATACTGGAAGTATTTTCAGTATTTCTGGTACAACCACTCATGGGCTTACATAAAGGTATTTGGTTACTTAGAACAACAACCATGGTTTAATGATATATTCTTAAGTAGGAAGATAACTATGTACATATGTAGCTAGGATTTATTTTTACCTTCATGGGTTTGGCTGTATATAAAACTGGGGGTTGGGGGGTTGTGTGTGTCAAGTTTTCTGAGACAGAAAACTCAGTGAACTCACCTGACTTGATAATGGGTCTCCTAGTGTGATATTTACATGGAAATTCACTTGGTAAAGAGATTAACTTGGCTCTATCAATACACTTTGGCAGATTGCAGATAAAGCTACAAATGGGGCAAGTCATTGGAGACCGTGATTTCCTAGCCCTGGAACAAATAACAAGCCCTAATATTTACTGTACTCCATTACATTAGCAAGATGTACCAGTCAAAATTAATCAATTAGAGCTGGTAGAAAGCAAATAATTAATGTGTCTCATTACATTATTTATCCTCTCAGCTGGCAGAAATACTTGATAATGGGTGTTGTGTGCTACATGACTGTTTGCATTTAATTTGAATTGTTATCAGAAAATGATCAAAGATACTTAAAACATTAGTTGTAAAAAGACACTAACCTGGGCTTATTGACCCAGTGTCTACTCATTTCTTTCTAAATAATCAGAGCTTCCAGGAAATATTATGTACTAAAGTAGATACTATCCACATAAACATATTTACAGAAATAAAATTATCCTGAAAATTGGTCCTTGAAACACCTCAACATAGTCTAGGTGTGATATGGGTGTGAA
Source organism: Homo sapiens (assembly GCF_000001405.40). Lineage (NCBI taxonomy): Eukaryota > Metazoa > Chordata > Mammalia > Primates > Hominidae > Homo > Homo sapiens. Next base: position 192,690,799 of record NC_000001.11, on the reverse strand, counting down.
GATTTAGTCCAGAACATAATGAAGCCCATACTAATCTTGGTTTGTATGAGGTTATTTTATATTTTCTACACAACCCCAGGTATAGATGAACATCTAACATGATTATTTTTTAAAATGTAAACTAAGAGGCCTGTATTTGTTTCTTTTTCACTTTTCAGACTAAACAATATTGTGTTTGGTACCTGTCAGATGACAGTATTGAGTGATCACACTCTCTAGGCAGCTGCAATTTTCCTTTTACAGAAAATAGAATGGGAACAATAGAAACAAAAATGTGTTTTTGTGAACATTTATTGAAGGCCATAATAGGCTGGTTAGTTTGTTAGATACTTTACATATGTTACTGAGAACAATATTACTATAGCAACTGTGAACCCAAGAGTATCTGAGACCGTTCTCAATCAATTTAGAAAGTTTATTTTGCCAAAGTTAAGGACATGCCTGTGATGCAGCCTCAGGAGGTCTTGATGACATGTGCCCAAGGTGGTCGGGATACAGGTTGGTTTTGTACATTTTAGGGGACCTGAGACATCAATTGATACACATAAGATGTACATTGGTTTGGTTCAGAAAGGCAGGGCAGGTTGAAGTGGGGGAATTATAGGTCATAGGTAGATTTAAAAATTTTCTTATTGGCAATTGGTTGAAAGATTTATTATCAATAGAAAGGATTATCTGGGTTATGATAAGGGGTTGTGGAAACCAATGTTTTATCAAGCAGATGAAACCTCTAGGTAGCAGGCTTCATAGAGAATAGACTGTAAATATTTCTTATCAGACTAAAAGAGTCTGTTCTATCAGTAATTCCAAAAGGGAAGAGGGTATAATGAGGCATGTGTAGCTCCCAGTTCCTGTTGTGGCTTGAACTAGTTTTTTCAGGTTAACTTTGGAATGCCCTTGGCCAAGAGTGGTCCATTCAGATAGTTGCGGGGGCCTTAGAATTTTATTTTTGGTTAACACAACTCTGTGAATTAATTTTAACCATGATTCCTACTTTTAATCCCTAGCCTTTGTCCTCATCAGTCCCAGTTCATTACATCCTTCATACTTCCTTTCTTTTCTAGTGATAAGAAAATGGAGGCTCACAGGCATTAATTTCCCTAAATTTGGCAAGGGTAAAAAAGTGTTACATTCCACATATACATGAGATTGTGCAACATTTTTCTTTCTGGGTTTGGCTTATTTCACTTAGCATATGTGGAATTTTTTTTTTTAAGTTCAAATAGATGGAGATATAGAATAAAAGAGTGGCTATCAGGAGCATGGGGAGGCAGAGATGAAATGGGAAGATATAGTTCAAAGGATACAAAGTAGGAGATATGTAGAATGGACATGTCTGGAGATCATTAGTGCAATGTGAGAACTATAGTTAATAAAATTATAATAGAGACTTTTGTTAAATCAGTAGATTTTTAGCTGCTCTAGTCACAAAAAAATGTAACTATCTGAGATGATTAATTAGTTTCATTGTAGTGACTTTTATGATCTACTTATATCTTATACTATATTATAAATCTCACATATACACAGTAAGATTTCCTGGAAAAAAGTTATAGAATACAAGTAAAAATCCAAATCTGGATAAACAAAATCTATGCTCTTTTTACAGGGTTTTCCTAGTATTTTGGGAGCTAAGGCTATTTTTTAAACACACACTTAGCTGGTCATTTTGCATACTTCTCAACAAAGTCTTGTTCTTGGGGAGATTGTATCTAATAGAGATTGACAGAAAATAAAAAATAACGTGTTGGGAGTGATGAGTGCCTTGAAGAATAATAAGGCATGGAAGATAGAAAAAGATGGCAGTGGCAATGTTGCTATATTATATAGGGTGATCAGAGAATGTCTCCCTAAGGCATATGAGCAGAGAACTGAACTGAGAGCATTGCAGGCACAGGGATTGGCAAGTGCAAATGCCTTGTGGTAGAGAGGGAAGAAAATGATGAGTTTGGGGAAGTTCCAAGATGGCCAAATAGGAACAGCTCCAGTCTACAGCTCCCAGCTTGAGCGACACAGAAGATGGGTGATTTCTGCATTTCCAGCTGAGGTACCAGGATCATCTCACTGGGGCTTGCCGGACAGTGGCTGCAGCCCACAGAGCAGGGAGGGGCATTGCCTTACCTGAGAAGTGCAAGGGGCGAGGAATTCCCTTTCCTAGCCAAGGGAAGCCATGGCAGATGGTACCTGGAAAATCGAGACACTCCTACCCTAATACTGTGCTTTTCCAACGGTCTTAGCAAATGGCACACCAGGAGATTATATCCCATGCCTGGCTCGGAGGGTCCCACGCCCATGGAGCCTCACTCACTGCTACCACAGCAGTATGAGATCTAACTGCAAGGTGGCAGCGAGGCTGGGGGAGGGGCGTCTGCCATTGCTGAGGCTTGAGGAGGTAAAAAAAAAAGCGGCCAGGAAGCTCGAACTGGGTGGAGCCCAACACAGCTCAAGGAGGCCTGCCTGCCTCTGTAGACACCACCTCTGGGGCAGGGCATAGCTGAACAAAATGCAGCAGAAACTTCTGCAGACTTAAACATCCCTGTCTGACAGCTTTGATGAGAGTAGTGGATCTCCCAGCATGGAGTTTGAGATCTGAGAATGGACAGACTGCCTCCTCAAGTGGGTCCCTGACCCCCGAGTAGCCTAACTGGGAGACACCTCCCAGTAGGGGCCAACTGACACCTCATACAGCCAGGTGCCCCTCTGAGATGAAGCTTCCAGAGGAAGGATTAGGCAGCAACATTTGCCATTCTGCAGTATTTGCTGTTCTGCAGCCTCCGCTGGTGATACCCAGGCAAACAGGGTCTGGAGTGGACCTCCAGCAAACTCCAACAGACCTGCAGCTGAGGGTCCTGACTGTTAGAAGGAAAACTAACAAACAGAAAGGACATCCACATGAAAACACGATCTGTATGTCACCATCATCAAAGATCAAAGGTAGATAAAACCACAAAGATAGGGAGAAACCAGAGCAGAAAAGCTGAAAATTCTAAAAATCAGAGTGCCTCTTCTCCTCCAAAGGAATGCAGCTCCTCACCAGCAACAGAACAAAGCTGGATGGAGAATGACTTTGATGAGTTGAGAGAAGAAGGCTTCAGACGATCGGTAATAACAAACTTCTCTAAGCTAAAGGAGGATGTTCAAACCCATCACAAGGAAGCTAAAAACCTTGAAAAAAGATTAGACGAATGGCTAACTAGAATAAACAGTGTAGAGAAGTCCTTAAATGATCTGATGGAGCTGAAAACCACGGCACAAGAACTATGTGATGCATGCACAAGCTTCAGTAGCCGATTTGATCACATGGAAGAAAGGGTATCAGTGATTGAAGATCAAATCAATGAAATGAAGTGAGAAGAGAAGTTTAGAGAAAAAAGAGTAAAAAGAAACAAACAAAGCCTCCAAGAAATATGGGACAATGTGAACAGACAAAATCTACGTCTAATTGGGGTACCTGAAAGTGATGGGGAGAATGGAACTAAGTTGGAAAATGGTCTTCAGGATATTATCCAGGAGAACTTCCCGAACCTAGCAAGGCAGGCCAACATTCAAATTCAGGAAATACAGATAATGACACAAAGATACTCCTCGAGAAGAGCAACTTCAAGACACATCATTGTCAGATTCACCAAAGTTGAAATGAAGGAAAAAATGTTAAGGGCAGCCAGAGAGAAATATTGGGTTACGACAAAGAGAATGCCATCAGACTAACAGCAGATCTCTCAGCAGAAACTCTACAAGCCAGAAGAGAGTGAGGGCCAATACTCAACATTCTTAAAGAAAAAAATTTTCAACTCAGAATTTCATATCCAGCCAAACTAAGCTTCATAAGTGAAGGAGAAATGAAATCCTTTACAGACAAGCAAATGCTGAGAGATTTTGTCACCACCAGGCCTGCCTTACAAGAGCTCCTGAAGGAAGCACTAAACATGGAAAGGAACAACCAGTACAAGCCACTGCAAAAACATGCCAAATTGTAAAGACCATTGATGCTAGAAAGAAAGTGCATCACCTAATGAGCAAAATAACCAGCTAACATCATAATGACAGGATCAAAGTCACACATAACAATATTAACCTTAAATGTTAACCTTAAATCAGCTAAATGCTCCAATTAAGAGACACAGACTGGCAAATTGGATAAAGAGTCAAGACCCATCAGTGTGCTGTATTCAGGAAACCCATCTCACATGCAGAGACACACATAGGCTCAAAATAAAGGGATGGAAGAAGATCTACCAAGCAAATGGAAAACAAAAAAAGCAGAGGTTGTAATCCTAGTCTCTGATAAAACAGATTTTAAACCAACAAAGATCAGAAGAGACAAAGAAGGCCATTACATAATGGTAAAGGGATCAATTCAAGAAGAAGAGCTAACTATCCTAAATATATATGCACCCAATAGAGGAGCACCCAGATTCATAAAGCAAGCCCTTAGAGACCTACAAAGAGACTTAGACTCCCACACAATAATAATGGGAGACTTTAACACCCCACTGTCAACATTAGACAGATCAACAAGACCAAGTTAACAAGGATATCCAGGAATTGAACTCAGCTCTGCACCAAGTGGACCTAATAGACATCTACAGAACTCGCTACCCCAAATGAACAGAATATACATTCTTCTCAGCACCACATCACACTTATTCCAAAATTGACCACTTAGTTGGAAGTAAAGCTCTCCTCAGCAAATGCAAAAGAGCAGAAATTATAACAAACTGTCTCTCAGACCACAGTGCAATCAAACTAGAACTCAGGATTAAGAAACTCACTCAAAACCACTCAACTGCATGGAAACTGAACAACCTGCTCCTGAATGACTACTGGGTACATAATGAAATGAAGGCAGAAATAAAGATGTTCTTTGAAACCAACGAGAACAAAGACACAACATACCAGAATCTCTGGGGCGCATTCAAAGCAGTGTGTAGAGGGAAATTTATAGCACTAAATGCCCGCAAGAGAAAGCAGGAAAGATAAAAAATTGATACCCTAACATCACAATTAAAAGAACTAGAGAAACAAGAGCAAACACATTCAAAAGCTAGCAGAAGGCAAGAAATAACTAAGATCAGAGCAGAACTGAAAGAGATAGAGACACAAAAAACCCTTCAAAAAATCAGTGAATCCAGGAACTGGTTTTTTGAAAAGATCAACAAAATTGATAGACTGCTAGTAAGACTAATAAAGAAGAAAAGAGAGAAGAATCAAATAGACACAATAAAAAATGATGAAGGGGATATCACCACCGATCCCACAGAGGAGGTGGTACCATTCCTTCTGAAACTATTCCAATCAATAGAAAAAGAGGGAATCCTCCCTAACTCATTTTATGAGGCCAGCATCCTCCTGATACCAAAGCGTGGCAGAGACACAACAAAAAAAGAGAATTTTAGACCAATATCCCTGATGATCATCGATGCAAAAATCCTCAATAAAATACTGGCAAACTGAATCCAGCAGCACATCAAAAAGCTTATCCACCATGATCAAGTTGGCTTCACTCCTGGGATGCAAGGCTGGTTCAACATATGCAAATCAATAAACTTAATCCAGCATATAAACAGAAGCAAAGACAAAAACCACATGATTATCTCAATAGATGTAGAAAAGGCCTTTGACAAAATTCAACAGCCATTCATGCTAAAAACTCTCAATAAACTAGGTATTGATGGGACGTATCTCAAAATAATAAGAGCTATTTATGACAAACCCACAGCCAATATAATACTGAATGGGCAAAAACTGGAAGCATTCCCTTTGAAAACTGGCACAAGACAGGGATGCCCTCTCTCACCACTCCTATTCAACATAGTGTTGGAAGTTCTGGCCAGGGTAAAATCAGACAGGAGAAAGAAATAAAGGGTATTCAATTAGGAAAAGAGGAAGTCACATTGTTCCTGTTTGCAGATGACATGATTGTATATTTATAAAACCCCATTGTCTCAGCCCCAAATCTCCTTAAGTTGATAAGCAACTTCAGCAAAGTCTCAGGATACAAAATCAATGTGCCAAAATCACAAGCATTCCTATACACAAAACAGACAAACAGAGAGCCAAGTCATGAGTGAACTCCCATTCACAATTGCTTCAAAGAGAATAAAATACCTAGGAATCCAACTTACAAGGGATATGAAGGACCTCTTCAAGGAGAACTACAAACCACTGCCAACGAAATAAAAGAGGACACAAACAAATGGAAGAACATTCCATGTACATGGATATGAAGAATCAATATCGTGAAAATGGCCATACTGCCCAAGGCAATTTATAGATTCCATGCCATTGCCATCAAGCTAGCAATCACTTTCTTCACATAATTGGAAAAAACTCCTTTAAAGTTCATATGGAACCAAAAAAGAGCCCACAGTGCCAATAAAATCCTAAGCCAAAAGAACAAAGCTAGAGGCATCATGCTACCTGAGTTCAAACTATACTACAAGGCTATAGTAACCAAAACAGCATGGTACTGGTACCAAAACAGATACATAGACCAATGGAACAGAACACAGCCCTCAGATATAATACCACACATCTACAACCAACTGATCTTTAACAAACCTGACAAAACCAAGAAATGGAGAAAGGATTCCCTATTTAATAAATGGTGCTGGGAAAACGGGCTAGCCATAAGCAGAAAGCTGAAACTGGATCCCTTCCTTACACCTTATACAAAAATTAATTCAAGATGGATTAAAGACTTAAATGTTAGACCTAAAACCATAAAAACCCTAGAAGAAAACCTAGGAAATACCATTCAGGACATAGACATGGGCAAGGACTTCATGACTAAAACACCAAAAGCAAAGGCAACAAAAGCCAAAATTAACAAATGGGATCTAATTAAACTAAAGAGCTTCTGCAGAGCAAAAGAAACTACCATCAGAGTGAACAGGCAACCTACAGAATGGGAGAAAATTTTTGCAATCTACCCATCTGACAAAGGGCTGCTATCCAGAATCTACAAAGAACTTAAACAAATTTACAAGAAAAAATCAAACAACCCCATCAAAAAGTGGGCAAAGGATATGAACAGACACTTCTCAGAACAAGACATTTATGCAGCCAATAGACACATGAGAAAATGTTCATCATCACTGGTCATCAGAGAAATGCAAATCAAAACCACAATGAGATTCCATCTCACACCAGTTAGAATGGCTATTATTAAAAAGTCAGGAAACAACAGGTACCGGAGAGGATGTGGAGAAATAGGAACACTTTTGCCCTGTTGGTGGGCCTGTAACCTAGTTCAACCATTGTGGAAGACAGTGTGGCAATTCCTCAAGGATCTAGAACTAGAAATACCATTTGACCCAGCCATCCCATTACTTGGTATATACCCAAAGGATTATAAATCATGCCCATATAAAGACACATGCACATGTATGTTTATTGCGGCACTATTCACAATAGCAAAGATGGAACCAACCCAAATGTCCATCAATGACAGACTGGAGTAAGAAAATGTGGCACATATACACCATGGAATACTATGCAGCCATAAAAAAGGATGAGGTCATGTCCTTTGTAGGACACGGATGAAGCTGGAAACCATCATTCTGAGCAAACTATCGCAAGGACAGAAAACCAAACACCGCATGTTGTCACCCATAGGTGGGAATTGAACAATGAGAACACATGTACTCAGGGTGGGGAACATCACACACTAGGACCTGTCATGGGGTTGGGGGAGAGGGGAGGGATAGCATTAGGAGATATACCTAATGTAAACGACAATTTAATGGGTGTAGCACACCAACATGGCACATGTATACATATGTAACAAACCTACAGGTTGTGCACATGTACCCTAGAACTTAAAGTATAATTAAAAAAAAAAAAGAAAATGATTAGTTCATGGAAGAAAAAGGAGGCCCCAGTGTTCGGAATAGAGGGAAGGGGGACGGGTTGTTTTTGGTAGTGTTGGAGCAGGAGAGAGTGGTGGGAGATAAGACTAATTAGGTGGCGGTTGCAAGGGGAGGTGAGGTGCTGATAGACCCAGTTGACTGTGGTAAGGATTTTTGATTTTTTTCCTTGAATGAGACAGAAATCACTGGAAAATTTTGAAGGCTAATATAATCTAACACATTTTCAAATGAACACTCTGAATTGTGTGTACCTGAGTATGCATGATGTTGGGGAAGATTGGCAAGTAGGAGGTGGAAGGCCAGGTAGGAGCCTATTGCAGTGGTCCAGCCACAGTAAGACAGTGGCTCGGGGGTGGGTCAAGCTGTGAAAAGTGATAGGATTCAGGATGTATGTCAAAGGAAGAGATGACAAGATTTACTGATTAATTGCATATGGGGCAAGACAGGAAGAGCAGAGTTCAGGAAAATATCAAAGTTCATGGCCCAAATCACTGGTAGATAATGTTTCTTCAGATGAAAAAAACTGTAGAGAAATAGGTTTTGGCAAAGATCAAAAATTCATTTTTGTACACATTAAGTTAGCAATGACTTATTAGACATCCTATTTACAATTCCTCAAACATGCCATACTCCCTTTGTTTGTAAGGGTTCTTTGTTTTTCAGAAGCAGTAAATCAAGAGCAGAGGTACTGTACTTAAAGTACTTTATAATCTCTTTGTCCTTGTATTATTTATGATTCACGTGTAGATGATTTTGCCAATTCTAGATTCTACTGGAAGATTTTTCAGAAACACTTACTCTGTCTTAGTGATTTACTCGATAATAATTCTTTCATACCATGTTGTACTTTTTAACTGCCTAGTTGTTTCTCAGGATCATTGCTAGCTCTGATATGCAGAAATCTTTGTCTAGTGTTTATGAAATCATCATTATTTGTTGTAGAGTTCTGATGCATTATATTTTCTTCTAGTGTGATTTAGTTTTTCCCTTAAAATGTATATTACTTCATTAAAACCGTGAGCCAACTTCAACATCATCCATTTTTTTACTTTATGAAACCTACATCAGAAAGCCTTCTCTTTGCTCTTGGGTGACATAGTTACTTGAATGTAGATTTGTTATTGGTAAGGAATGCTTTTCCTAAAACAATGACATCAAGAAACAGATAATAAAATTTGTCTACCTGAGGATGTACTAGATTCCTACAAGTAAAAATTTAGTATGGAGGACCAAACTAAGTTCTGGGTTTTCCACTTGTAGCTGTGTGGCCTGGAATAAAGTACTTAACACCTCTAAAGTCTTAGTTTTATCAGCTATACATTAAAGGTAGTAATAGAACAGAATTTATTGGTTTGTTATGAGAATGAAATGTGATAATCCACATGAAGTGATTTGCACAGTGCTTGGTATATAGTAAATGCTTAATAAGTGATATAATTATTACCATATTGTTGTCATCACTAAAGGATACAATACTGTATCAAATGTGCTTATAGCACTTACTCCTGGCAAACCATTGATGTGGTCTCTGGTGAATATAAAGATAAATAACACAGTCAGTTCTTTCCAAAAATTTAGAATCTATTTGCAGAATTAAGAGTACTATTCTTGAAAAGAATGTGATAATAAAAATATTATAAAGTAGTTCACGAAGGAAGAATTATGACAAAACAATATGAGATTCATGGCCCATGAACTGCATTGATAATGCTTGCTCCATGCATTCAGAGATGAAAGACAGATAGTTTCCTAACTCAGAGTGATCAAGGAGGACTTTGGGAAAACATGATGGGATTTGAGATGGATATTTGGGGAGGAACAGAATTTATTTAAGCAAAGAGGGATGAGGAGAAATTTCAGTTAGGGGAAATCTAACAAGGAATAGTACAGAATTGGAAGAGGCAGGTGTATTTATAGAAGCAGTTTTTTAAAGAGTGCTAGGATCTCTATCAAAGCAAAGTAGATTTTTCTGATGAATTGTTTTCTAAAGTTCTATTGGCAAAATAAAGTAGAAAAACTAGAAAGATAAATGAATAACTATGACCTAGAGGAAAAAAACTTAAAATTTACTTTGCAAAAGACAAAATGTTTAAAAAAATTTAGTAAAGACTACTTTGTAGTAATATATCTCCTTATTATTTGAGATCTTTTTAAAATTAATTTTCCTAATGACAATTTTATGCGTTTTTTTTAAGACAACCATTTTAAAGTAGAGAAAACTTTTCACTTGCAAATAAAAGGCTTTTAAGACCTTTATCAGTTCTGTAAATTTTAGGACTTTATTTTGGAACTCAAAAGCCAAGACTTCGATCATTTGTTTTCTGGGCCATTTTTAAGTGCTCACTTGAGCTACTGTTTGCTCCAGACAAAATAGAAATGCAAGAAAAAAAACTTGATTAATATCACATACACTTTTTTCCTACAAATGCTTCCTAGTTATAAGAATCAGATTATCTGAATTACAAAATAAAAACAGATAAAATACTAGGTGATAATTTGTCCAATCCAGAAGTTTCCATATTTGGAATGTATGAAATTAGTTACACATATATTAATGATTAGAAGTTCTCTGTGGAGGTACAAATACTGGAAGACTGTGACTTTAAAGGGATGATAAATGCTTAACTCTTGACTGGTCTTGTAATTAGTAATTTCTGAAGTGAATAAATTGAAAAAGGACAGTGTAAACTGCACACTGGAAAGAGGCCATGTGAATTTAAAGGCCTTGTAAATGTGTCTGAGTGAGAGAGACAGGGATGGAGAGAGGGAGGAACATTAGAGAGTGAACAAATAATGAGATTAGACTGGTAAACAAAACTAAGACATTTGGAGAGACATATTCATCATGCTAGAGACATAGGAGTTCCTAAAGAGGTTTTAGCTCTAATCATATTTGGTAAGCAATGTTATGGACGTGAGTTACCTTGGAGACAAGGAGTTTCCATCTTGCAGAAGGTAACTAAATCCAGGCAAGAATGAGGACAGCTTCATGAGGCATTTAGAATAGAACAGACTGGACTTGGTTACCAACTGGTAGTGGGGGCTGAAGGACAGGAGGGAATCTCAGGTGACTTCTAGGGTTCTGACTAAGGTAACTGGGTGACATCATTTATTTAGCAAATACTTATACATTAAGTGAGTTTTACACTATTTTTCAGGCTCTGTGATAGGTTCTGGGCACACACAGGTAATTGATAGTTTAGTGTAAGAGACGGACAAGTGAGCATCCAATTATATTACAGTTGAGAAGTGATGCCATTCATTCTGATAAAGAATATAGGATGGAAAGAAAGCAGAGATGTCAAGTGAGGGAAAAAAATGTACTCAGCTCTAGACATGAAAAACATTAAAGGAACATCAGGACCGCAAGTGGGAATCAGGGCTTATACTGAGAGGCGGTGATGACTGGAGGAACAGGAATTAGCCTTAGGATCAGAAAGACCTGGGCTTGAATTGCTGACTGGCTCCATCACTTTTTAGATTTGTAACTTCAGGGAAGTAACAATTACATTCAGGAAAGAAAACATTACAGAAAAATGAGATTCAGGTTACCTACCCTAAAGAGTTATTGAGGATGAATGATGGTAACATATTGCATATCTCAGCACAATAACTGGCAAAAAAAATAGCGTACAATAAATGGTGGTTCTGATATGTGGTAGTATTGCACAGTTTAGGTCTGGAGTTCAGGTAGGAGCTCTAGGCCGGGGAAACATAGATCATTGATGATGTTTCAGTGGGCAAGAGACTACTCTGGACAAGAGATGCTAGCAAGCAAGAGATGCTAGCAAGCAAGAGATGCTCTGATGATTTCTGAATGTCGTCTTGTTATTTGAATGATGATTCATTTCAGTGTTACCTGAACAGTTTCTCTGCCTTTCGGTGATGACAGTAATCTCTTTTAAAATTAAGCCTTTATGATTTTTTTTCTTGGAATGTACATATCAATGCTGCTTGAATATTGCATAGAAAGAATTTTCTAACTTGCATATCCTTAAGATGATGACCGCAACCATCTTCATGATATCATTTGAATGTTGAAAATAGCTATTTAAAGATTTATCAAGAAAATCAGCATTAGTCATGCAAGTATCCCCTCAATGTCAGAGGCTACCCTCTGTGCATGTGATTGAAAAAAACAGGTGCAATTAAAGCAAAACTCTCATTTGATTTATGGGAAAGGGTGACTTTTGGAGTCAGAAAGTTTAGTTTTAGTCTCAGCATGGTTTCTTAGCTCTTTGAGTTTGGACAAGTTTTTAATCTCTCTGAATCCAGTTTTTTCAAGACTAAAAAAATATACTTAATAATAACTTCTTTACATATTTATTGTGAAACTTAAATGAGATAAGAAAAGCAAAATGACTATTCACCGTGCCTGGTACCTAGTAGCTTCCAAGTTTTTTCCTGTACACAAAACCTCGGAATCTTATTTTCTCTCTCTCACCTTTCAAAGAATAAGAATGTATAACACTTTTCACCAAACTTTTAAGCTGATAATAACATTAATTTGTGGCACCTCTAGATAGAAACTGCCAAACTGAGACATAAAAACTGTGCTAGCACATGCACTCCAATTTTAGATTGAATTGCCTGGGATGTAACTTGCATATGAATCACCAAGGGGCTGGGGTGCTATCAGACAGCATTACAGCATAAAACAGACTATATTTACCTTAGCTATCTTTTATTCTTTTCTCACCATAAGAGGCCTGTGAGAACTCAGTTACAAGTGCTGCCAGGGAAACACATCTAAGTGTCTAATAATATAGCAAAATGCATTATTAATTAGAAGCAGCAAGATGAGCTGTAATCCTGTCAAGCAGTCAAATTGCCAAGTAGATTTTCCCACCTCTTTCTTTACACGATTCCTTTTAAAGTATAAATTTCAAACTAAGTATGTTTCTAGATCTGGCATATTCCTTTCTTGTATTGAAAAGTTTCCTTTCCTTATTAAGAATGAAAGTTCTCTAATGAAGGATGTTTATGATTAAAAACGTTGCTTATTTACCATCACAACACTCTGCATTGTGCTTATTTGTTCATTTATCTCCTCTCTTTTCTAATGTCTAAGCACATTGAGGGTTTGGACCATATTTTATTTGCCTACTGCATATTGCCTGCAACTAGCCCAATACATCATACCTATTAAGTATTTAATGAAACGCTAAGGAAGCAATGAATAAATTTGAGCTTAATAAATTGAGACACACTGGATCTGTGAATACTGTTTGACATCTAAGGCTGATACTCCTTTCTGCCTACTTTACTGCATATTTCATTACGTCTCTTGTATCCTAACGATTGTTTTCATCCATTTTGGTTCTTACAAGCCATTACTTTCTAAAATGTGCTCTTTTTTAATAACCATCTCTTTAGGATGACAATTATCTACCAGGTAATGTGGTCTGGGATGCACGTCCATCAGCTTCCTGGATTGAGGCAGCACTCCTGCAGGGCAGGTTCTGTTTTCACCCTGTTGTCGGATTTTTGTTTGTGTGCTTGAATCTTGCCACTCAGCCACTGGTCCATATAAATCAAAGGTCCTACTCGTTAGGTTTCATTACTCTCCTCCTCTATACATCAGGGATAAAAATGCCTTCCTACTAGGACTGTTTTGAGGCTCAAGTTAAATAATGTATACCAATATTCTTCATGAACTATGAAGACTTCATTGATTTGGGGAGGCACTTTGTCCTTAAACCGTTAAAATTTGAAAATGACCCTGGGCCAGTCCTTTTTATAAACATATTTGTTTATACTTAGATAAATTATGTAACCCCAAAGTGGCTAGTTCTTCATTTTAAGCAAGATCATAGGACAAGGCAACAGTGATAGGTGCCAGATACTGGGTAGTGTCTTCAGAAATTGGCAAATGCTGCTGCCTCTGTGGCTGGCAGATAAAAATGACATCAGATGAGTAAGATGCTGCTTGTTAAAATTAAATAAAATGAGCTCATGATTTTCTACTTTATTTTCTCTAAATTCTTTGGCTATACATCCCAGATCCTTTCAGTATTTTTTTTCTTTCACTTTTGGTGTTTCTAATGGTATTTCTTGCTATTTGCTCACATCCGTTCGTCCTCAAACTGAAGGTGAAGAAGCCAGTTGGTACTGACTGTTCACAGCCCTGACCCTGGATCACCTCTGCTTACTTATTATCCAAGACAAAAGTGACATGCTGGGATGCTGCATGGTTTGGACCATGGCCTCCAACCTCTTGAAAGGGGGTAGTTTGGCTCCTTTATCTTTGCCTCTTCTCCCTTTAAGAAATATATAACTCACTACCCAATATGTGCTTTTCACTTCCTGGCTTAAGCAACCTATTTGCTAATTAAAGAGAAAGTGTTCCATTTTAGTACTGGAACTTGGGCATCATCACATCAGTTCCCAGGTAAATCTTCTGAGACCTAAGGATCAACGATGGTTTGAACTAATTTGTATAAGTTTATTAGCAGCAGTAACTAGAGACAGGTGTAATAACAAACATCCATATTAAATTAGTTTGTATAGGTAATGGCACTTTAAATTTGAACACAGTTATTTATATTAGATCATTATACATTTATTTTCCATTTAGTGTGTTTGTGGAAGGCAGTACTTAATATAAGGGATTGGAATTATGAAAACTGTAGTTCTAGCTGAGAGTCATTAAAGAAGCTATTTATTCAAGTCCTTAGTTCATTTCCAAATCAGGCTATTAGATTTTTTTGCTGTTGAGTGGTAGTATATATATCTATATATATCTATATATGATATTGAGTTGTAGGATATATATATATATATATTCAATCCCTTATGAGATATATGGTTTGTAAATATTTTCTCTCATTCTCTAGGTTATCTTTTCACTCTGTTGATTATTTTCTTTGCTTCGCAGAGATTTGTAGTTTTTTTAGTTGAATTATAAATATTATTAGGAGCTTACAATGGGAATTTAAGAGTCATTAATATGTTATGTTCTCTCCTAAGACTGGATCCTTTGAGTTTCCACTTTCTATTGTGCACAGTTTCCTGATAAGATCTTATCTATTTTGGCTTTTGCTGCCTGTGCTTTTGGTGTCATATCCATAAAATAATTGTCAGGACCAATGTCAAGAAGCTTTTCCCTTATGTTTTCTTCTTAGGGTTTTATAGTTTTAAGTCTTCTGTTTAAGTCTTTAATCCATTTTGAGTTGATTTTTGTGTATGGTATAATATTAGGGTCCAATTTCATTATTTTGCATGTGGATATTCACCATTTGTTGAAGGGATCATTCTTTCTCCATTGTGTGTCCTTGACACCTTTGTCAAAGATCAGTTGACCATATATACATTGATTTCTTTCTAGGCTCTGTATTCTGTTCCATTGTTCTAGATGTCTGTCTTTATTCCAGTATGATACTCTGAAGAAGACATGCAAATGAACAACACGTATATGGAAAGATGCTCAGTGTTACTAATCATCAAGGAAATACAAATCAAAGCCGCAATAAAATCACCTCACACATGTTAGGATGGCTAATATATACATAAACAAGACAAGTGTTGTTGGGGATGTGAATAAATTGGAACCCTTGTGTGTGTATACTGTTGGTGGGAATGCTTATACATGTATACTGTTGGTGGGAATGCTTGTACGTGTACACTGTTGGTCCTACTGCTATGGAAAAGAGTATGGAAGTTCCTTAAAAATTAAAAACAGAACTATCATATGATCCAGCAATCCTACTTCTGGACATTTATCCAAAAGAATTGAAATCAGGATCTCAAAGAGATATTAGCACTCCCACATTTTTGCAGCACTATTTACAAGAGCTAAGATGTGGAAACAACCTAAATGTCTATGTGGATAAATGGATAAAGGAAATGTGGTGTACACATACCATGGAATATTATTCATCCTTAATAAAAAAGAAAGTGGCTGGGCATGGTGGCTCATGCCTGTAATCCCAGCACTTTGGGAGGCCGAGGTGGGTGGTTCACTTGAGCTCAGGCATTTGAGACCAGCCTGGGCAAAATGGTGAAACCCCATCTCTACAAAGAGTACAAAAATTAGCTGGGCACGGTGGTGCCTGCCTGTAGTCCCAGCAACCTGGGAGGCTGATGTGGGTGGGAGGATCGCTTGAGCCAGTGAGGTTGAGGCTGCAGTGAGCAGAGACTTCACCACTTCACTCCAGCCTGGGTGACACAGTGAGTCTCTGTCTCAAAAACAAGAATAAGTCCTATAATATTTGACAACAAGGATGAATCTTGAGGACATTATGCTAAGTGAAATAAACCAGTTACAGAAGAAGAAGAAATACTGCATGATTCTACTTATATGCTGTATCTAAAATAGTCAAACTTGTAGAAGCAAAGAATAGCAGAGTGGCTTCCAAAGGCTGTGGGGAGAAGGAAATGGGGAGTAGCTAATCAATAGGTATAAAATTTCAATTATGCAAAAAGAATAATTTCTAAAGAACTACCATACAACATCGTACCTATAGTTAACAATACTGTATTGTACACATAAAAAATCTGTTAAGAGAGTAGTGCTCATGTTAAATACACACACACACACACACACACACACGCACACATTATTTAACTTCTCAAAGCATCAGATTCCTCATTCTTGATCAGGGCTGTCAAGAGGAGAGGAGGATATGAACTACATAGAGAGGGCCCCCTAACTTCTTTCTCTGGTGAGTTCTCACACCTGCCACTCTCTACTGTTTTATTTTATTTTCATTCTTTACAGCACTTATCATAATTGATGTGATTTTCTTTAGTTGACTACCCTTTTTGTTACATAAAGGCAATTTAAGCTCCAAGAGGGCAAACATGTGTTTTGCTTGGCTTGTTAGTGAATCCTCATCTCTGATAACCATGTTGTTGTACAGCAGATGCTCAATAACTATTTGTTGAATGAATGAATGCTGTATCAACACTTAGCTCAATACATTTTACATGGTAAAATGTCATAAATGATCTTTATAACTATAAATATCATGAAGAGTTTATGGTGAGAATTGAGGAGTCATTAATCTATTATATTCTTTCATAAGCTTTGATTGAGTCCTTTGGATTTCCACTTTCTGTTCTGCAGTTTCCTTGTAAGATCTCCTCTGGCCAGTGCCTTGATCATGCCAACAGTTCCCAGTTCTGCATTTCTGGTCTTTACCTCTCTCTGGAATCCCACTTATGGCGTGGTGGCACCTCACATGCAACTTGCCCTCTGAATCCTGCTCATCCCTCTGATCTCCTTCGCTCAGTTAATGGCACCAGTTCTTACCCTGCTGCTTAAACTAGAAACTTTGGAACAACCTTGATCTCTCCCTTCTTGCTGAGCTCATAATTTCTCTTTCAAATTGTTTCTCTTTTCCTCATTTTCCTAGCTCAGACTATCATTGTCTCTCATCTGGGCTTTTGTGATAACTCATAATACAGTTAAATTATATTGAACACAGAGTCAAGACTTTATATGCACTTTTTATATAAAGAAGCCCATGAGGTAAGAGCAATTAATGCTATTTTTATATATTATTTTACTGATGAAGAAAAAACAAAGTTCAGTGAGATTAAGCAGTTTTCTTAAATTCTCATAGCTGTTAAGTGTTAAAGCCAGGCTTTGAACTTAGATCTATCTGATTTCAAAGCCTCTACCCTCTTTTAAATATTTCGAATTGTTACAAGATTCTCCCTTCTCCAGCTCTTGTTCCAATTCACACTGCTTTCCCCTTTCCTCTGAGTGATCTCTTAATTATTCTTCAAGATTCATCTCAAACATAACCTCTTCTCTTTCCAAATTCCACTGGGTAGAGGTAAATGCTTCTGCTGAGATTCCACAGCAGTCTTTACACAGGTCTACCTTGACTACTATTGTTTTGTATTTTAATTATCAGCTTACATGCCCTTGAGAACAGAAACACCACCTAATTAATGTTTGTGTGTACAATATCTATACTCAGTAGGAGCTGGGTAGATTGTTATAAGGAATGCTTCTATAAATACTACTTAATGAGGAATGTAATACTTGCTCTTTTATTTTTATAGAAATCTTATTTTATTCTACTACAATGTATAATTATTAATTTAGAACACCTGATTGTTTAAACTAAGCCCTGTTTTGGTTTTCCATAAGCATCTTAGGGAGATTTTTATAAGCAACCCCTTTCCATTTGTTCCCCAAGTCCTGTTCAGTACCTGATAACCTCTAGTTTCCCTACTATCTTTGTTCACTGAGCCTACATATTTTCCTGTGCTCCCTATATTCCTGCATTCTATTTTTCCAGGTTTTGCTTTCTGCTAGGCAACGGCTAAAGTGTTAACACTAGTGTTTCACTTCTCATGATGCGGATTTTGATGCAATTTTTCACCTATGACAAGAGGTGAAAGTTGCAGCCCTACATGTGGTGAAAATATTTTTAGGCAGTGAGGTGAAGAAAATAATAATTTTCTTCAAATTGCAATGTTGTATGTCTTTGAAGAAAGCTTTATATATCTCTTTTTCACAGTAAATTCTTCTAAAATTCATAAAAAGTTCTTTGCAATTGATGAAATCATGGTGTGACTGATGAATTATAAATAGGGAAGTGTTCATATCTGGCAAGATGCTTGAATTCTGAATTGTACAAATCTCTATCACTATCTTATTTTGGAGAAGGTAAGATTTTATTTCTACACAGGGACAATGGAGGCTTATCTTGCACATTTCCAGAGTCTGGAAGTATATATAAAAAATTTTTTTAAAATCATAAATATATTCAGGTTCTGATCTTGGAAGTCAAAGAATATGATTTTAACTCAAAAATATTAAAGTACTAAGGATAAAACAAATATGTCAAAATGCATTAATATGAATATAGGCATGTAGCCATTTGATAACAATCATTTAAAATTGTTTTAATGAAATAAAATATTTAATAATTTAAAAAAAATCCCAAGGAAAATTAGCAATATTTAGAATATTATTAAGTTAAAATAATCTGAAACTATTTTAACTATTTGTAAAATGAAACACATACTTCCATACAGTATTCTTGGACAGACAGCACTTACGTGCAGATACAATTTAAGTTTAACTTCTCTGTTTCTAAGTCAAATACTTCAGAAGAACTCTTATAATTAGGGGTAAATGCAAAATATAATAAATAGATCATTATTAAACTCCTCATGAAAACTTCAATTTTTGGAGAAATTACTCTTGAAAATGAGTCCAAGTTACAGAAAAGAAAATGATGAACACGTTAGTAATGGGATGTAACAAAACAGGGATAGCACGTGGCTTACTCAATCATCTCATCCTACTTTATTTTATAGATGAGGAAGCTGAAGCCTACTGGTCCTAAAGGTACAAGAACATCAGGTGAATGAACAGATGCTAATCTAATTGCTTTGTACCTCAATCCAAAGCTTTTTGTTTCATGACACCACATGGCATCTTCTTTGTTCACCATGATGTGGAGGTGCTGAGGGAGCAGGACAGAAAGCCTGTATTTAGGAGGTAAAATCAGAATATTAAGCAAAACTGAAAACTCTAGACTTACTCTGTTTTGGAGTACAAATATCCATGTATTCAAGGGGAAAAATAAGTAGTAAAGAATGCTAATTATTCTGATATCATTTACTAGTTATGTCCGTATTAGGCTGATTTTGTATAATTTGAATGAGAAAGACCCATGGTGTTCTGAAAGTGCTTGAAGCATGTGTATTGTGGCCATGCATGTTGTATTAGTTAGTTTTCATGCTGCTGATAAAGACATATCTGAGACTGGGCAATTTACAAGAGAAATAGGTTTATTGGACTTACAGTTCCACGTGGCTGGGGAGGCCTTACAATCATGGTGGAAGGTGAAAGGCACGTCTCACATGGTGGCAGCAAGAGAGAGAATGAGAGCCAAGCAAAACAGGTTTCCCTGTATCAAACCATCAGATCTCATGAGACTTACTCACTACCATGAGAACAGTATGGGGGAACCCGCCCCCATGATTCACTTATCTCCCACCAGGTACCTCCCACAACATATGAGAATTATGGGAGTACAATTCAAGATGAGATTTGGGTGGGGACACAGAGCCAAACCATATGTGTAACATTTCCTACTTGCCCATATATTTATGTGTGTGTGTGTGTGTGTGTGTGTGTGTGTGTGTGTATAGATAGATAGATAGATACTCATTCACTGATGGAGTGAGATGAGGAGAATCTGAAATGTGGAAATACTTTTTTTTCTGCCTATAGTGGCTAGAAATCATCAAGTTTAGATATCTAGGACTTCAACCTGTATTTTTATACTGGTATTTTTAAGAGAAAATAAATAAAATCAAGTGGCTTAGATAAAATTGGACTACTGTGGTAACACCTTCCACAACTAACAACAGTTCACCTTAATCAATCATATACTTTTTAATGAAAATATTCTCTTTTACAGCTGATTCTCTATCTTGGAAATGAATCCCCCAATATTTATTGTGTGGAATATCACAAATAAAATTTCTCATATTTAGATCAATAATAATGGTAGTTTACTTTCAATATGGACAATTTGCCTATAATAATCCTTTTGCTTCTTAGTAGGAATTCTAGTTAATACTCATTTTCATATCATGTAGTTTGTAACCATTTCAAATTAGTAATGACATTTCAGTTGAATTTGAGAGCCAAGAAACATTTTTCATAGTAGAACTAAATACCTTCAACAAAAATTTTCTATATTTAATTCTTTGGAAAAATAATCTTAAATATTTTAGGTATTTTATTTTTCATCAAAAGTATAGAATATTTATCCATTTGTACAGAACATTTATCCTGTGCTATGTGCTGAATAAAGAAAATGAAAAGGATGTGAGTTTTTTCCTCTAAAATATTCTGACAAGTGCTAAGAATCTGCTATGATAATGATGTGAAAAGCTGTCTTTCTGCAATTGATAGAAATATTAAATGGAAGTCAATTAAAATTTAGAAGTTCAGCTTTTAGAAATTATTTTGAAAGAAAATTTGATAAGCACATTTATTCACATATTCATTCAACTCACCTTCCTGACTTAGGAAAAGAAAACCAAGAACTTTTTTGGTTGGAAAAGGAATTAGAAATTGTTAAAAAAAATCAAGGAAAATTTAATATATTTGTTAATAATGAAAACAACCAGAGTTATCACTGCTTTATTGATGAGATAACCGAGCATTGCTTTAAAGCCTGCTCTCCCTTCAACTAGCGAACCATACTCACTAACGTATATATTTTCCTGTCCCTATTTGGCTTGCATTGTCACACTCTTTCTGATATCAACAATATTTAGTAGAACTGATCTTTTGTTTGTCCAGTCTTTCTATGCATTGGATAGAAGATTTGCTCAGTTGTTAAAATTCAGATCATAATGCTCTATTTTTATACATGTATTATCCTGAAATTTTACATTTTTTGAGCAATCCAGGAATTGCTTTTTAAAAGTTGGCAGTGCTGAGTTACAGAGTAAAGGAGATCTGACACCAGATTTATTCATTTCTCACTGATGATGAATTGACTGATTCATTTATTTACTCATTCACTCATTCATTTATCTATTTTTTTGAGTGTCATACTTTCGATGTCCTCTACCTAGCAGTGAGGATATGATGCAAAATAAGATATGGCTGTAGTCTTAAGAAATTTATATTCTTCTGTTACCTTCTGGCCTCCACAGCAGTGAACAATATTACTCAGTGCTCCAAGAATCTTAATGATACCCTATTTTCTCCCATCCATTATAAATCATACAGGTTCTAACACTTTATACATATTATCACTAAAGTTTAAATACAGTAAAGATACAAATACAAAGTTTAAATACAGTGAAGTTTAAATACTGTAAAGAGTATTAATATTGCCCCGGCTTCCAAGACGGCCAAATCAGAACCACTCCGGTCTACAGCTCCCAGTGAGATCGACGCAGAAGATGGGTGATTTCTGCATTTCCAACTGAGGTACCTGGTTCATCTCATTGGGACTGTCTGGACAGTGGGTGCAGCCCATGGAGGGTGAGCTGAAGCAGGGTGGGTTGTCACCTCACCTGGGAAGTGCAAGGGGTTGGGGGATTTCCCTTTCCTAGCCAGGGGAAGTTGTGAGTAACTGTACTGGAGGAATGGTACACTCCTTCCCAAATACTGTGCTTTTCCCACGGTCTTAGCAACTGGCAGACCAGGAGATACCCTCCCGTGCCTGGCTTGGCAGGTCCCATGCTCACGGAGCCTTGCTTGCTGCTAGTGCAGCGGTCTGAGATCAACCTGGGACTCTGGAGCTTGGCAAGGGGTGGGGCATTCACCATTGCTGAGGCTTGAGTAGACAGTTATATGCTCACAGTGTAAACAAAGCAGCAGGGAAGCTTGAACTGGGTGGATCCCAGTGCAGCTCAGCAAGGCTTACTGCCTCTATAGATTCCACCTCTGGGGGCAGGGCATAGCTGAACAAAAGGCAGTAGACAGCTTCTGCAGACTTAAACATCCTGCCTGACAGCTCTGAAGAGAGAAGTGGCTCTCCCAGCATGGCGTTCAAGCTCTGATAATGGACAGACTGCCTCCTCAAGTTGGTCCCTGCCCTCCGTGTAGCCTGACTGGGAGACACCGCCCAGTAGGTGCTGACAGACACCTCATACAGGCAGGTGCCCCTTTGGGACGAAGCTTCCAGAGGTAGGATCAGGCAGCAATATTTGCTGTTCTGCAGCCTCCGCTGGTGATGCCAAGGCTAACAGGGTCTGCAGTGGACCTGCAGCAAACTCCAGCAGACCTGCAGCTGAGGGGCCTGTCAGAAGGAAAACTAAAAAACAGAAAAGAATAGCATCAACATCAACAAAAAGGACATCCACACCAAAACCATCCATAGGTTACCAATATCAAAGACCAAAAGTAGATAAAACCACAAAGATGGGGAGAAACCAGAGCAGAAAGGCTGAAAGTTCCAAAAACCAGAAAGCCTCTTCTCCTCCAAAGGAACCCAACTCCTCGGCAGCAAGGAACAAAACTGGATGGAGAATGAGTTTGACGAGTTGACAAAACTAAGCTTCAGAAGGTTAGTAATAACAAACTTCACCGAGCTAAAGAAGCATGTTCTAACCCATCGCAAGGAAGCTAAAAACCTTGATAAAAGGTTAGATGAATGGCTAACTAGAATAAACAGTGTAGAGAAGAGCTTAAATGACCTGATGGAGCTGAAAACCACAGTATGAGAACTTCATGAAACATACATAAGCTTCAATAGCTTATTCAGTCAAGTGGAAGAAAGGATATCAGTGATTGAAGATTAAATTAATAAAGTGAGAAGACAAGATTAGAGAAAAAAGAGTGAAAAGAAACAAAGTGTGCAAGAAATATGGACTATGTGAAAAGACCAAATCTACATTTGATTGGTGGACCTGAAAGTGATGGGGAGAATGGAACCAAGTTAGATAACACTCTTCAGGATATAATCCAGGAGAACCTCCCCAATCTAGCAAGGCAGGCCAACATTCAAATTCAGGAAATACAGAGAACACCACAAAGATATTCCTCCAGAAGAGCAACCCCAAGACACATAATTGTCAGATTCACCAAGGTTGAAATGAAGGAAAAAATATTAAAGGCAGCCAGAGAGAAAGGTTGGGTTACTCACAAAGGGAAGTCCATCAGACTAACAGTGGATCTCTTGGCAGAAACTTTACAAGCCAGAAGAGAGTGGGGGCCAATATTCAACATTCTCATAGAAAATAATTTTCAACCAGAGTTTTATATCCAGCCAAACTAAGCTTCATAAGTGAAGGAGAAATAAAATCCTTTACAGACAAGCAAATGCTGAGAGTGTTTTTCACCACCAGGCCGGCCTTACAAGAACTCCTGAAGGAAGCATTAAACATGCAAAGGAACAACCAGTACCAGCCACTGCAAAAATATGCCAAATTGTAAAGATCATTGACACTATGAAGAAACTGCATCAATTAACAGGCAAAATAACCAGCTAGGATCATAATGACAGGATCAAATTCACACATAACAATATTAACCTTAAATGTAAATGGGCTAAATGCCCCAATTAAAAGACACAGACTGGCAAATTGGATAAAGAGTCAGAACCCATTGGTGTGCTGTATTCAGGAGACCCATCTCACATGCAAAGATGACATAGGCTCAAAATAAAGGGATGGAGGAAGATCTATCAAGCAAATGGAAAGCAAAAAAATCAGGGGTTGCAATCCTGGTCTCTGATAAAACAGACTTTAAACCAACAAAGATCAAAAGAGACAAAGAAGGCCATTACATAATGGTAAAGGGATCAATTCAAGAAGAGCTAACTGTCCTAAATATATATGCACCCAATACAGGAGCACCCAGATTCATAAAGCAAGCCCTTAGAGACCTACAAAGAGACTTATTCTCCCACACAATAATAATGGGAGACTTTAACACCCCACTGTCAATATTAGATCAACAAGACAGAAAATTAACAAGGATATCCAGGACTTGAACTCAGCTCTGCACCAAGTGGACCTAATAGTCATCTACAGAACTCTCCACCCCAAATCAACAGACTATACATTCTTCTCAACACCACGTCACACTTATTCTAAAATTGACCACATAGTTGGAAGTAAAACACTCCTCAGCAAATATAAAAGAACAGAAATCACAGCAAACTGTCTCTCAGACCACAGTGCAATCAAACTAGAACTCAGGATTAAAAAACTCACTCAAAACCAACCACCTACATGGAAACTGAGCAACCTGCTCCTGAATGACTACTGGGTAAATAAAGAAATGAAGGCAGAAATAAATATGTTCTTTGAAAGCAATATGAGAACAAAGACACAGCATACCAGAATCTCTGGGACACATTTAAAACAGTGTGTGGAGGGAAATTTGTAGCACTAAATGCCCACAAGAGAAAGCAGGAAAGATCTAAAATCGACATCCTAACATCACAATTAAAAGAACTAGAGAAGCAAGAGCAAACAAATTCAAAAGCTAGCAGAAGACAAGAAATAACCAAGATCAGAGCAGAACTGAAGGAGATAGAGACATAAAAAACCCTTCAAAACATCAGTGAATCCAGAAGCTGGTTTTTTGAAAAGATCCACAAAATAAATAGACCACTAGCAAGACTAATAAGAAAAGAGAGAAGAATCAAATAGATGTAATAAAAAATGATAAAGGGGATATCACCAACAATCCCATAGAAATACATACTACCATCAGAGAATACTATAAACACCTCTACGCAAATGAACTAGAAAATCTAGAAGAAATGGATAAATTCCTGGACACATACACCCTCCCAAGACTAAACCAGGAAGAAGTTGAATCTCTGAATAGACCAATAACAGGTTCTGAAATTGAGGCAATAATTAATAGCCTGCCAACCAAAATAAGTCCATGACCAGATGGATTCACAGCCAAATTCTACCAGAGGTACATGGAGGAGCTGGTACCATTCCTTCTGAAACTATTCCAATCAATAGAAAAAGAGGTAATCCTCCCTAATTCATTATATGAGGCCAGCATCATCCTGATACCAAAGCCTGGCAGAGACACAACAAAAAAGAATTTTAGGCCAATATCCCTGATGAACATTGATGTAAAAATCCCCAATAAAATACTGGCAAACCGAATCCAGCAGCTCATCAAAAAGCTTATCCAGCATGATCAAGTTGGCTTCATCCCTGGGATGCAAGGCTGGTTCAACATATGCAAATCAATAAATGTAATCTATCACATAAACAGAATGAACAACAAAAACCACATGATTATCTCAATAGATGCAGTAAAGACCTTTGACAAAATTCAACAGCCTTTCATGCTAAAAACTCTCAATGAACTAGGTATTGATGGAACGTATCTCAAAATAATAAGAGCTATTTGTGACAAACCCATAGCCAATATCATACTGAATGGGAAAAAACTGGAAGCATTCCCTTTGAAAACCAGCACAAGACAAGGATGCCTTCTCTCCCCACTCCTATTTAACATAAGTGTTGGAAGTTCTGGCCATGGCAATCAGGCAAGAGAAAGAAATAAAGGGTATTCAATTAGGAAAAGAGGAAGTCAAATTGTCTCTGTTTGCAGATGACATGATTGTATATTTAGAAAACCCAATCGTCTCAGCCCAAAATCTCCTTAAGCTGATAAGTAACTTCAACAAAGTCTCGGGATACAAAATCAATGTGCCAAAATCACAAGCATTCCTATACACCAATAACAGACAAACAGAGAGCCAAATCATGAGTGAACTCCCATTCACAATTGCTTCAAAGAGAATAAAATACTTAGGAATTCAACTTACAAGGGACGTGAAGGACCTCTTCAAGGAGAACTACAAACCACTGCTCAACGAAATAAAACAGGACACAAACAAATGGAAGAACATTCCATGCTCATGGGTAGGAAGAATCAATATCACTAAAATGGCCATACTGCCCAAGGTAATTTATAGATTCAGTGCTATCCCCATCAAGCTTCCACTGGCTTTCTTCACAGAATTGGAAAAAAACTCCTTTAAATTTCATATGGAACCAAAAAAGAGCCCACATAGCCAAGACAATCCTAAGCCAAAAGAACAAAGCTGGAGGCATCACACTACCTGACTTCAAACTTTACTACAAGGCCACAGTAATCAAAACAGCATAGTACTGGTACCAAAACAGAGATATAGAGCAATGGAAGAGAACAGAGGCCTCATAAATAACACCATACATCTATAACCATCTGAGCTTTGACAAACCTTACAAAAACAAGCAATGGGGGAAGGATTCCCTATTTAATAAATGGTGCTGGGAAAACTGGGTAGCCATACATAGAAAGCTGAAACTGGATCCCTTGTTTACACCATATACAAAAATTAACTCAAGATGGATTAAAGACTTAAATGTAAGACCTAAAACCATAAAAACCTTAGAAGAAAACCCTGGCAATACCCTTCAGGACATAGTCATGGGCAAAGACTTCATGACTAAAACACCAAAAGCAACGGCAACAAAAGTCAAAATAGACAAATGGGATCTAATTAAACTAAAGAGCTTCTGCACAGCAAAAGAAACTATCAGCAGAGTGAACAGTCAACCTACAGAATGGGAGAAAATTTTTGCAATCTATCCATCTGACAAAGGGGCTAATATCCAGAATCTACGAAGAACTTAAACAAATTTACAAGAAAAAACAAACAACCCCACCTAAAAGT
Organism: Homo sapiens; assembly: GCF_000001405.40. Classification (NCBI taxonomy): domain Eukaryota; kingdom Metazoa; phylum Chordata; class Mammalia; order Primates; family Hominidae; genus Homo; species Homo sapiens. The sequence goes on along the minus strand of NC_000001.11, from coordinate 192,663,789 downwards.
GGGCAAAGGATATGAACAGACACTTCTCAAAAGAAGACATTTATGCAGCTGACAGACATATTAAAAAATGCTCATCATCACTGGTCATCAGAGAAATGCAAATCAAAACCACAATTAGATACCATCTCACGCCAGTTAGAAGGGTGATCATTGAACGTCAGGAAACAACAGATGCTGGAGAGGATGGGTAGAAATAGGAATGCTTTTACACTGTTGGTGGGAGTGTAAATTAGTTCAACCATTGTGGAAGACAGTGTGGTGATTCCTCAAGGATCTAGAACTAGAAATACCATTTGACCCAGCAATCCCATTACTGGGTATATACCCAAAGGATTACAAATCATGCTGCTATAAAGACACATGCACACATATATTTATTGTGGCACTATTCACAATAGCAAAGACTTGGAACCAAGCCAAATGTCCATCAATAATAGACTGGATAAAGAAAATGTGGCACATATATACCATGGAATACTATGCAGCCATAAAAAGGATGAGTTCATGTCCTTTGCAGGGACATGGATGAAGATGGAAACTATCATTCTCAGCAAAATATCACAAGGACAGAAAACCAAAAACCGCATGTTCTCACTCATAAGTGGGAATTGATCAATGAGAACACATGGTCACATGGAGGGGAATATCACACACCAAGGCCTGTTGGGGGTGGGGCCTGGGGGAGGGATAGCATTAGGAGAAATACCTAATGTAAATGATGAGTTGATGGGTGCAGCAAACCAACATGGCACATATATACCTATGTAACAAACCTGCACATTGTGCACATGTACCCTAGAACTTAAAGTATAATAATAAAAAAATTAATATTTTATTCTCATGAAACTTTTACATCTTATAATGATAGGATAGTCTATGAAGGCTTCTTTCAACAGCTTTTGAGATATTGATATATAAAAATCGTGTATATTTAAGATGTACAAGTTGCTGTTTTGATATATGTATATATAGTGAAATGACCATCATAATTTAATTAACATATCTATCCCTCCACATAGTTACCATTTGTGTGTGTGCATATGTGTGTTGAGAAGATTTAAAATCTCTTCTCTTAGCAAATTTCAAGTATATAATACAGTATTGTTGACTGTTGTCACCATGCTGTACATTAGATCTCCAAAACCCATTCATCGTGCGTTACTAAAACTTTGTACCCCTTGACCAATATATCTTCATTTCCCTCTCCCTCCAGCCCTTGGCAACTGCCATCCTACTCTGCCTCCATGAGTTTGCCTCCTTAGATCCCACATACAATTTAGATCATGGTGTTTTTTTGTTTTTTTTTTTTTGTTTTTTTTTTTTTTTGAGACGGAGTCTTGCTCAGTCGCCCAGGCTGGAGTGCAATGGTGTGATCTTGGCTTGCTGCAACCTCCACCTCTCAGGTTCAAGCGATTCTCCTGCCCCAGCCTCCTGAGTAGCTGGGACTACAGGCACCCACCACCACGCCTGGCTAATTTTTGTATTTTTGATAGAGACGGGGTTTCACCATATTGGCCACGCTGGTCTCAAACTCCAGACCTTGTGATCTGCCCGCCTTGGCCTCCCAAAGTGCTGGGATTACAGGTGTGAGCCACCACGCCTGGCCCAGATCATGGTGTCTTTTGTGTCTTGCTTACTTGGCTTAGCAAAATGTCTTCCAGCTCCATCCATAGTAGCACAAATGGCAGAATTTCCTTCTTTTTAAGGCTGAATAATAATCCATTGAGTATGTGTGTATAACTTTTTCTTCATCCACTCATTTGCTGAAGGACATGTAGTTTGTGTCTAGTTCTTGGCTGTTATGAATAATGCTGCAGTGAATATGGGGGTATAGATATCTTTTTGAGATCTTGTTTTCAATTCCTTTGAATAAATATGAAAAAATGGGATTACTGGATCATATGGTAGTTTGATTTTTTGAGGAACCTCCATACTGGTTTCTACAATCTCTGAGGGCTTTTCTTGGAGCTAGAACACCAGCTTCAGCAGTGAATGGTGTGGGAAGGCCTAAGTTAAGGGAGCAAGTGGGAAGGCCAGAGATAGTTCCTGATTTACAAACATCTGAAGACATGATCTTAGAAGAGTGTTTTTGTGGCAAAATTCTGTTTTGAATATGTGGCATTGTATTACATTTATGAAATCAGAGGAAAGGCAATGGAATATCACACAAAACCCTTCAGATAATGAAGAACTCAGTAATTTAAAAGTACTTTCTGGCCGGGTGCGGTGGCTCACGCCTGTAATCCCAGCACTTTGGGAGGCTGAGGTGGGCAGATCATGAGGTCAAGAGATCGAGACCATCCTGGCCAACATGGTGAAACCCTGTCTCTACTAAAAATAGGAAAATTAGCTGGGCATGGTGGCACGCACCCATAGTCCCAGGTACTTGGGAGGCTGAGGCAGGAGAATCGCTTGAACCTGGGAGGTGGAGGTTGCAGTGAGCCAAGATCTTGCCACTGCACTCCAGTTTGGTGACAGAGCAAGAGTCTGTCTCAAAAAAAAAAAAAAAAAAGAAGAAGAAGAAAAAAAAGTACTGACGGTAGTCAGGATTTTGAAGCTGGAAAGGAACTAAGGTATTATCTATTTTAATGACCTCATTTAAAAGGTGAGAAAACTGAGAAGCAGGGACAATAAGTAATTTGTATAATTTTCTATAGTTTACCTAGACCTAAAGAAATTTATATAGTTAACCTGGGAAATCTAGAACTGAAACCCAACTTTCTTAACAATGAATTCAGTATTGTTTCCACTGTGCAGAACTGAAGTGTATTTAAATCGTATCAGCAATGCTTCTTTGTTTATTCACTTTTTTAAAAAAAATTTTATTTTTTTACTAGGCTTTTTTGGTTTCAGAGCTGGAGGCAAGGTGGTTTAGTGACTTAGCCCTTCTTAGCACCTGTGCTAAGATTGGCTGTGTAGTTACTCACATTGCTCATCTTTTAAAAGTGGACAGCGCTACGGAAAAACGCCTGTGATTTCATGAACTACAGAAGCATCTGACTCTAACTAAATTTACACTTCTTGGTAACAATAAAATGTAATGACTCATGGAATAAATAATTCAGTAGTAAACCAATTAGTGAATCACTAGAAAGACAGAAAAACTTTGCATCTGCAGAAGGGTAAAATAAGTCTATTTTAAGCCACTTTTCAAAACTAAGAGAAAATATGCATATTTTAAAATAATTCCAAGAGGGAAAAATCATTTTTGAATGTTTTCTTCCTTCAGGAATACAAGACTTGAAATTTCTAATTTGTTCCCTTTTAATTACAAAATGGAACAGATCAACTTTCACACTTGTAAATGTTACGATGAGCTTCTGATTATGGATGTCGAATCTGGATTCTTTTAATATTTTGAAATGATAGGAAGGTAATATCCAATGAATGTGTTAAGTTGTCTCCACTTTCCAGGAAAACTATGGAAAATAAAAATATTATATATTCTCACTGTATACCAACTTTGGCCCTTTTGAAATTTGTACTGGAAAATATATTTATTTTGTCTTTGAGAAAGATAATGTAAGTCTTTAGTTGATATTTGACTTTATTGATTTCCAAGATCACGATGAGTTCACATTGTAAGGAAAAAACATCTCAAAATATAGAAACCACATTTTATATCCTTATAGCAATGTAGATGCAAGAGCAAATGAAGAAATTCATATATTTTTTGTTAAAAAATCATCAGAAATGTTTTACATGTAGAAGATACATGTGATAAAGAAGTTTGTTAATGAACATAATAGTAGGAAAATTTTATAGATAAAATGTCTCTGAAGAACACCTTTTTGATTTTCTCATGGTATAATACAATTGATTGTACTGTGAGTAGCATTTGTCTATAAATTCAAGTTATTTAGAGTACTCTATAGAACATTCATGCTAGAAACACAATTCATATAACAACAATTTTTAAAGAACTAATTTGTAAATTATGACACAAAATTTTATTAACAAGGAAATATCCATTAATTGACTACTACAGTAAAAACTTTATAATGCTTGTATCATGAAGAAAGACCTTCCTTTTCCTTATATATTAATTGAACTACATAGGCTTGCTGTACATTTTGTTATTCATGTTATAAGAATTCTAGATTCCATTGCTTTTGAAATATGTTTCTTTTTAGGAACTAAAAGTCAACTTATAGTTTGATTTCTGTTTTATTTGTACTGTGTTTCTGATTTTGTGGGTTTCTAAATAAAAAGATCAAACCCACCACTTTCAATATACTGTTTTCTATTTAAACTTTTGAGTTGTAGTCAGAAACTGTTGTTGGACTGCATAGTTTTCAAAAGTTTTTGGTACATTTCTGACTTTAGAAATCTGGGGTAGGAATCCCTTTCCATATGCATATAGACTATTTTCTGAGCTTCTTCAAAACATGTTTCAGTGGGTTCCTGAATGTTCCTGATGATAGTCTCTCTTGTCGAACTGTCAATGTTAATCTGAAAAGTGAAATTACATGTACAGCATTAAGTTAGCATAGTTGAAAAAAAGGCACATATAGTAGAAAGGTTTAATTTATTCTCTGCTCTCCTTTTCAGTGGAATAGGGTAATTTTCTTTGTAGTTTTATAGGCATCTAAGAAGATATATAAAAAATAAACATTTTGCTCTTTTAAAAGTAAATATCCAACTCCACATCCAAGAGGAACAAAAAAGAAAAATATGAGGCTCAAGGCCAGGGAAGTTTCCAAAACCATGGCTTACTCAGGAAGATGCAGTGGTTTCTTAGTAGCAGTCTACAAATCAGGAAGTTTGTAAGACAAATGTCTTTTTAAAGAAAAGAGAAATTGGTGCTTTTTAAAAATTTATCTCCCTTAATAGTCACAAATGTTGATTTAACTGAATATGCTCTGAAATGGGAAGAAAATGAAGAGAAGTGGATAAATAGAGGGGAGAAGTGGCTATTTCAATAAACCAAGTATTTTCCAGACAAGAGTTCTAGAATATGTCCACAATGTAGGCTTGCCCTGTACGATAGAAATCTCATATACTGTCCTCTGTCTTTATTCCCTTAACAGACTTTTTATTTCTCATTGCCCAACAACACAGGATTCTCAAATGTCTCTTCATGATATTTATAGTTCCTGCTGGGAAGGCCAATGCTTTCGCCACAGACTCCTTTTTTTCTTTTTAAGTTTCCTAGAAATCAAGATAATTTAATGGGGAGAAGCTTTGGAGCCAGATAGATTTAATTTTGAATCTTAACTTTACCACTTAATGGCTGTGTGACACTGGACAAGTTCTCAGAGTCTCAGGTTTCTTATCTGTAAAATAAGGTTAGCAATACTGAATTTATAGCATTTTAGGAGATACTGGATGTAAAGTGCCTGGCACTTATGGATGCTTGACAGATATTAATGCCCTTGCAGGGATGAACTGATTTCCATTCCTGTCATTGTCAGGTAGTTACCTCTCTAGGGGACTGTGGCTGGATGTAAATCTTATAAAGCTTCTTTGCCCTAGAAATTCTGCTCCACCGTGAGGCAATTTTCTTATAGGTTTCACATGCCATCCAGAATTGAATATTCTCGTCACTGTGCTCCATTTTTAAATATGCTGCATAGACTACTGGACCATCTAAAAGTAGAGGAGAAATCAGTTTATTTTCATGGGTCAAAATCACCAAAAAAATCTAAGCAATACAGTTAAAAAAAAGCCTGATTAAAAACTCACAAATTATTTAACAAGTAAATATTTTATATCTATCTCTATATATCAATTTTCATGTCTATCACACACTTAGAGCGAACATCTGAAGCGTGCTTTGACAATGCTGATCACTGATGATGTCATCCATTTATTCTGAGTCACTCAGAGCAAAATGCCCACCAGTGTGGATGAGTCTAGGACAGATAGGACAGGAGACATCACAGAGCCCAGGAAAAGGACTTAAGCTGCTCAGGAGGACGGGGGCTCTAATCATGAAGCTGACACGAAAAATCTAAGACCTCATGCCAAACTGTAGGGTAAGAGCAGGGTTTTGAATGTAAACTTGTAGGTCAAGGTCAGGAGAAAAATATCCAAGCCATGTAAGAGTGATACTCTAATTAGTTTGTACACCCTGGAGTGTTTCTCAATGTCTAATCAGAGCAGAACACAGATAGATGAAGAATTCAACTTCATATTCATGGTTTATGGTTCAAGCCAGAAATAAGGGACCAGACAAGGAATGAAAAATCAGACGCGATGCTGGAAACTATCTCAGAATCTAGTACAGGACAGGGATTATGTGCAGCGTAACCATCACATAACACTTGATGCCGGAGATTCTTATCTTCAACTCTGATCTTAAACTGCCTTTCTGGAGTGCTTAGATAAGGATAAGCCAAGGAGGAGCTTTTCCAATTGAGACATTACTTTGTAGGTAGTAATATTTGAAAAAGAGGATTAGGTGAGCTCTCACAAATCTAACATATTAATTGGAATCTTTGGGAGGACCAAGTATTCTCAAGGTTCAAGATATTAATTTTTTTTTGACTAGACTAGACTAGAAATTCTCTTCGCATATCCAAGGAATTGGATTGCTATATGATAAAACAACAATGTAACTTTCAATTGATGTTAAAAGAAATGTTTGTGTAGGCACACTGAGTAATAACCACCTAGAGACTGTTAGGATATTTTGTTTACAAAAAGATGTACATAATTTAATACAACTTGATGAATTTGGAGATAAGTATACACCCAAGAAACCATCACCACAATCAATGCCATAAACATATCTATCACCTCCAAAAGCGTAGGATTTTGATTAACACTATCTTGGTCAATATCATTTACTATTATGAGAAATAATGGTAGCCAGATGGAATGGAAATGATGAGTAAGATCATATTTTCCTGGATCTTCATCTAAGAGATCAGATCAAGTTTTCCAGCACTAGAAAGCCAGGCTCCTTGATAGCTTGGCTTTGTTAGCAGTGATATAGGAACAAAGATAACGAAGTATTTTGTCTTCAAGCAAAAGAACTCAAATAGAAGTAGATCTCTTCTAAGGAGGCATTGGAGTTGGGGAAACCGAATGTAAATATTGCATCCTAGGAATACTCAAAATTGAAACATGGACTATTATTATCACGTGAGCAAATGCAGCCTTCAGGACACTGCATGGGATACGGTTCAACAAGGACATAACATGAGATGAGTTAAGAGGACAGTTGAGATAGAGGCATTATATAAATGTAACATAGAAAATGATATAGATTAGATATTCCTATCCAATGTGAGGGGGATATATTTTAACTTAGATTTTAAACAAGAAGTTGATTTTCACACCGACGTGACTCTAAGTTGTGTCTTGTCTCACCATAGGCACAGAAAGGTTGGAACAGAGAACACAGATGCAGGAATTGGTACTCCAGTTCCTAAAGAGACAGCTGAATGGTGGCAAACCAAAAAACAAACAAACAAATGAACAAATAAAAAAAAAAAAACAGAATGTTAAGCTGTTTCTGGCTTAACAAGTAAAGTTGGAAGCCAATATTTATATGGTTTGTACTTAGCTATGGAACAGAAAGAAAATGAGATAGCAGATAAAAATCTATGGCTCATGGAATGAGAGTCTGTCACACAGGCTACTTGGATGGGTTGAGTGGATGAGTAGGTAGGGGTAGGAAAATGATCTGGAAACTAATATTAGATTCTAAGCTAGTATTCTGAATTTGTGTTTATGTTTAGCTTAATTATGTAGTAAAATGTTTATAGGTTATCATTTTAGAACCAACTGTATCTGTATCTGGCTTCTTTAACTTTCTTCCTGATGGATTGGAAGAAGTATCCCTGTTTCTTTTTTGGGCTGGCCAAATGGTTCTACAATTCTTGTCATACCAAAGTCCTTTGCTAATGAAGCCATATATACATTGCCTTATCTATTTGTCTATCTATCTGTCTGTCTATCATCTATCTTTTTTTCTGTCTTCACGATCTGTTTCCATCTATCTATCTCTCCACACATAAATACACATATTATAGATCCAGTTGTATTATTCTATATATACTGCATGGATATATGGTATTCTATATATACTGCATAGATATACAGTATTCTATATATACTATTAAAAATATGGTATATTTCAGATACTTGATGTGGCAGATTGTCGTATTGTTCCTCAGTTATTTCCTGACCTTTGTGTAGGGGGATTATACTTCCATGTCCTGTTTATGTCAGCATTGGCCATTGAACTTGTGTTAGTCAATGAAATACATGCAAAAGTGCTATGGACACGTTCAAGCAGAGGGTTTAAGAACTATCATGTGGTTCTATTTCCTATGTCCCACAGCCACCACAAGAAGAGCATATTCTAGAAAAGAGCTGCTCCTTTAGCCCGAAGGCTGGAATGAAGACATGGAATAGAGCTGGAGCTGACCCTAGCTGTTGTGTATCATGAAAAAGAAGTGAACCTTTATTAATGTAAATCACTAGGATTTTATGTCACTTGTTACCATGTGATGACTAGCGAAAGCTGAACTGGATTTCGCTATATATTTCAGATATAATTCTAGCGTGCAGAATGAGCGGACTCATGTGATTGGCATACTTTACAGAATTCTGTCTGCATCAGGCTAACTTTTGTCTGAATATGCTGCAAGTTACTCAAGCTAGCGGCTGAAAATGCATTTGTGTAAAAGTGTTCCAGGAATCTTAGTAATTATTAAAGTCAGAACTGAATTGCTCTCTTTAGAATTTCGATTGATTCATACCACAAGTGAATTACAAGGTGGAAAAGCCTTTTCTAAATCAGGCAATGTAGGCTGTTCTGAAGTTTTAAATGATACTCATTCCTGAACATTATGCTCAGAAGACTGCGATTCTGCTTGAACAGAGTGAATAAGATGATAAACATCAGAATTGCTCATTTAAATTGGGAGGATGGAAGAAATGGCTTATGTCATACATAGTGTATACTTTTCCCTTAAAAAGTGAGAGTGGTGCCTTTGGGAATCTCTAGCCTGTTCTTTTAAAACTAGTCACTAAAATTAGTATTTCTATGACACACAAGGTGACACATGCCAGTGTTCTTGATGCAGAAGGGAAATGTGGGCTTTCTCATGGCTGAGTCAGAACAGTGGCCCATCTATTCCAGAATTATTTTTTCTGTAAGACTGCAAGGCTTACACCAGGCAGGAAATCCCAAGGGTGCACTACGTTGCAGTACCATTAGAAATGCCTCTAAACCAATTTAAAATCCATTTTATTTTCAATCTGTACCACTGGGGATAATGTACTTCATAATTCTACCATAGTATGTGTGGAGTTTTACAGTGAAGCTTCAGTTTTATTAAAATTCTCTGTTGTGGCTTCTATGCTGTTAATAATTTCTGATTTTTCTTCTACCTTTGTTATTAATATTAATATTACTAATATTATAAACACAGCTTAAAGAGTTGTGGGTCTTTTTTTCAAATTTATGGTCCTTTATTTTAATGTATTTTTTAAATTTCCTATTTAATATTTGTTATTTATGGCTGAAAATAAAATGTGTAAATATATTGTTGTCTTCAGAGGAAAATATTCCATAATGGCATACAGTCAGCCCTCTGAATCCTTGAGTTCCATATCTATGGAATCAGTCCTCTGTGGATCAATAATTTCATTTTTTAATTAAACTTTAATAAAAATTATTGAGAAATACTTAATTTTAATAGCAAAAATATATATATAATGTATATTTTTTATTATACTTTAAGTTCTAGGGTACATGTGCACAATGTGCAGGTTTGTTACATATGTATACATGCGCCATGTTGGTGTGCTGCACCCATTAACTCGTCATTTACATTAGGTATATCTCCTAATGCTATCCCTCCCCGCTCCCCCCACCCCATGACAGGCCCCAGTGTGTGATGTTCCCCTTCCTGTGTCCAACTGTTCTCGTTGTTCAATTCTGTGGGTCGTTTTTAATGCAGAAAACTTCTAGTAAATTAATAACTACTGTTAACAATTTGGTATATTTCCTTTTATTCTTTTAATCCTTTGTTCATGAATAATTGCCTACCTAACTAGAATTCATTCATCTACACAAACACAGATACACACTGGAATGATCCTATGGGCATTATAATATGAAAGCAATTTTGTATCATTCTTATTCTTTCATAGTTAATAGCACATAGGGAACACTTTCTCTTTTTCATTTTTAATGATCATATAATAGTCTGTTGATGGGGTAGGCCATAACATATTTAGCCACTCTATTATTATTGTTTTAGGTTGTTTCCCCTTTTCTTGGTTATAAGTTATCCTACATTGAATATTTTGGCTTATAAACTTTTTCACCTCTATTTTCTTAGGGAAAATAATTGATTTAAAATAGAATTTTTAGATTGAAGATGTAATATTTTTGGAGACTCTTGATACATATTGTAAAATTGCTTTCAGAAGGATTTCATTATTTTTCATTCCCAATGGCAGTGTCAGTGCTGACTTACTCCACGCTCTCCAATCTAATGGGGTGAAGTCAGTAACTTGTAGTTGTTTAAATATGTATTTTTAAAATATAATGCTTAAACAGTTTTGCATTTTTACTGACCATTTCTTTTTTTCCCGTGAATTCCAAATCTTTTGTCTGTTTTTTCTTTGCATTGCTAGTGTTTTCTTAAATTTTTCAGATCTCTTTATATACTGAAGACACTATCTCTGTTACCTTTATTGCGTTACCTTCTGTTCTCTTTTACGTATTATTTTTGTTTATGAATTTTGAGGTATATTTGTAAACCACTGAATCTGAAGAAGCCTTGATTCATCTATCTGATCCTGCTTTCAATTTCCTCTGTACTTTTATTAGAGAAAAATCTTTAAAGCAAAAATCTATTATTTATCCCCCTCAACATTTCCCATTGCCCAAGTGATAAAGGCCACCCCTCTTTGCTGTGGTTTCCTTCCATTATCCTCCCATTCACCTGAGAACCCTTGGAGAATCAGGACTGCAGCTTATTCATCTTCATGTACCCCGTGCCTCAACACTGCTTGCTATATAGCAGGCACTGAATAAACACATGTCAATTTGGGCTTTTGGATCCCTCATGTTTCTGTTTTAAAATGACTCTCTGTGGCTCTTGAAAAGTGAAGAAGCAGACCTTAGTTATTGAACATCTAGGAAGCACTAAAGACGACAGGTTTATATCTGAAATGCTATTGCTTTTTGGTTTTCTGAAAGCAATACCAAAAAAAAAATGTACTAATTGGACAGTGATGTCTATTCTAGGCGAGGTTTTTTTCCCCCTTTGCAAGGTGAAGAAGTGCATGAGAAGTTAAAAAAGACAAAAAGTGCTAAGTGGAAAGGGTAGAGGAAGGCAGTGCAGGTAATATAAGGGTTGATGAAGGGAGCCATGGCAACAGCAGTAGTTAGCAGAGATTAGAATAAGTGATAGTGTAGGAAACTGCCAATCACACTGTGCAGCAAAGGAGCTTGCACAGATGAAAAAAGCTGAGAGAATGACTCTGGGATCAGGATGTACAAAAGGGAGCAACAATAACCATCAGTAACTTCTACTGCCTGCTCTGTGCCATGATGCTGAGGAAGATGCACCAGCCCACACAGATGGTTCATGATATGGAGCGGCCTTCATTGCCTTCAGCAGTATGTCAATCCCACACTGTTTAACTGGCATTTCTAAGGTGGTCTGCATGGGATTGTGGTAATTTAGAAAGGGTGGAAAATAGTACATTCAAAGATGATTTTGATCAAAAGATTGAAGCAAACTCTGTGATTCAGAGCACTTGCTTATCCGGAATGGCTTAATATCTGCTCTGCGTGTGTGCTGGGGCAACCTGAACAAGCCAGAGAAAAATATACAACTGTGGTCTCGCATTTGAAATCATAACTTCAGATTTTAAACAGACACTCAACACTGCCCAGTCAACCAATGAGCCTTCCATAGTATCATGGTTCTCTAAATCTGCAGAAACTATTTTATACCTCCTCCGTTGTTATGTTAAAACATACTAAAACATCCTCTCCTAAGCAATCTACTGGCGACCTTGCCTCAAACTTCACTGAGAGCACAGATTAATCAGACGGATATTCACCGTCTTCTCTCCAGAAATAACCAGAGTACTTCCATCTGTATTCCTCCTTTATAACTTCTCTCCTGAGGGGCAAGTGTCCCTGTTCCTTTTTGGGATGGCCAAACAATTTTTTTTCTGGTTCCCTCCTACTTTTGCTTCTTCCTACTTTGCATTCCTACTTTGCATTCCTCTATTTTTCTTATAAGTATCTCCACTCTCTTCTGTGTCATCAGTTTCTTCCCCATGAATTGTTGCCATCATCCTACAAATATATTGCTGTATTTCCCAAATATAACTAGTAACAACTATTGACTCAAACTTTCGGTATTGACCTCATTCCCGCTTCCAGTCTCTGCTTTTTTCTCTGCAGAACTCCACAGCAAAACTTATGTCAGTGATTCCTTATGCTGTGTATTGCTTCCTCTGGTTTTACCTATCTCCACCATACCCATGAAACTGCTCTTGTTGAGGCACTGTTGACTTCCATATTGCCATGTCTAGTGGTCACTGTTCCTTCCTCACCTCAGCTGACTTCTCAGCAGTCTTTGACAATTCACAGCTTCCTTCCTGAAACACTCTCTTCTTTGGCTTCCACAAGAATGCACTATTTTCGTCATTCTTACCTCACTTTGTGCTCCTTTTCCATCCACTTTGCTGACCTCTCTGGTTACCTGGACTTGGAAGTAGCACACACCTAAGTTTCATCTCTGGGTGTGTTTTCCTCTATCTGAACTCTCCCTCTCAGTGGTCTCACAGCCCTGTGACTTTTGTTAGCATCTATATGCAAATTACCCCCAGCCTTGTCTTCCCTACTGAGTTCCAATTTTATCTGAATTATTGTAGCAGCCTTCTAGCTAGTCTCTCTACTTTAGTTCTATTTGGTTACATTATGTTTCATATAAATAACAAGAAAATCTTTGATATTTAAATATATAAAAAAAATCTTTCATATGTAAAAAATTATTTGCAAATAATGTAGCATTAAATAGCATTATCTAAAAGGTATCTAAGTTGCTAACATTCTTAATTTCTAATTAACTTTTGGATTTTGCCATACTTCTGTTCTCAAACTGATGGTTTTCTTGGATCCCCTTTTCCCACTGAGATGTTGAATTTAATTGTATTTTGATGACTATGACTTAATGGCTCCCTAAAACGTCTCTAAACCAATTTCGGTTCATCTATTGAGACCCAGGCTGATATATTTCTTTTTCATGTGTGTGTCTGAGCTACTGTCCTTAGAAATAATGTTTTAATCTATGTAAAATATGCATCTGCATATCTCAGCTACAGCATGCATTTGACTAATGTCCTTGGTTAATGTAAACACATTTTTATTCTCTGGCACATTTAATATTTGTATTTTTAGTTTTGTCTTACTGGTTGGATCATCCATAGAATGATTCGTTTTATTACTTATTATGTGATTGTTGAATTTTTATGTGAACTTCATAGTAATATGATTTCTGGAAAGGCTCTTACCCTATTTTTGCTGGCTTTTATAAAGAGCAGTATGATGTTTTCCTATTCTCATCTTTGCTAGAGCCTTTGCTTATTCTCATGACACTAGAATTCTAAATTGCTGATTCTAGCAAGGCAGATGACCACTTGAAATCCTTGCCAAATAATTAAGCCTATTCATTTTTTTAATAAGGCTTCCAGGACTGGCACAGAAACTTACATAATATAGCTTGGTGTTTTGAACTTTTCTCACTAATATTTTTCTTGTGTTTATTCATGGAACATTTATTGCATGCTCATTGGGTACAAAGCACATTTTCAGTCTCTCAGGGGTTTGAAAGGTAAATGAGAGGCAAGCTGTGCTCTTAAGGAATTTATAATCTAGGGAGAAAGCCACTATATAAAAAACCCAATACACAAACTGGCTACAATTAAAAGCAGAATAAATGTTAATACTAACAAAATAGAAGATAAAGGAGAAATTACTAAGCAGTTTTCTGGAGAAAGTGGCACTTGAATTTGACTTTCAAACATGAGCAGAGTAACTAGAGATGAAAAGGACTTTGAACAAAAGCCTGGAGGAGAAGAATCATAGATGTACAAGTAGAAAATGAAGTGACCCACATTGGTGGAGGGCATGTTATGTGACAGGTCATAGCTAGAGACAAATTTTAGAAAATGTTTTGGGTTAGGGTGTAGAGAGTACTAAATACCAAGATTTTGGACTTGTTGGTAGGCAGCAGAGAAAAAAGAATGATATTCAAAGACATGTACTTTATTACTATTAAAAGAAACTACCAATTATTGTGTGCTTAATCTATATTAGGCATTGAGCTAGATGTTTTGTATCTCACCTGCACAATAAACCTGAAAGGATAAGTGATACTATTCCCATTTTGTAGATGAAGAGTATGAAACTCCAAGAAAGAGATCAATCTAGCAAGGTGGCAAAATGTGTATTACAGAGGATTGGGACAAAAATTTACAATATAGTTAACTGAATATGCACTTTTGTCTCTTCATCACATTTCAATGTTCTAACACTGACCCAGAAGATATATTTGTTTAAAATTCACATTCATGCTGGCAAATTGGATTATAAACTATGAGGAATACCTGAAAAGTGAAAGCCAGTGGCGATTGCATCAAAGAAAGAAACTATGGCCCCAAATGCCCATTGGAAAGGCATGCTACAAAATATGAGAGCTCAGGTGGTGACCCAAGCCTGTAGAGGTAGATCCAGCCCTAGGGATGAAGCAGAAGTAAGCGCCAGAATGGTTGATTAACGTGTTTCAGCAGGAGTAGCCAAGTGTCTACACCTACTGCCATTACCCTCTGGGCTGGGCAGTGACAACTGAGTCCATACTAAAGAGGGTCTTGAGTCAGAAAGAGCAGGTAGTGCCTCAGGACTATGACAACCCCCATGAGGAACAGGGGGTACCTTGCCCAGAATAGCCACTGGTACACCCCACTAGTTAAAGCATGTAAGTAGCACAGCCAACTCTCCTTCATAGTCCATAGCTCTAAACAGATAAAACATTCACAGAGAGGCTAAAATGGGATCTTAAATAAAAAGATGGTTCTATAGGCAAAAATTAACAAGCATTGAGGGGAACCAACTCCATTTAAAAAAAACTACCAAATTCAACAAGAGAATTTTCTGTGTCTACACCCTACATTTTTTTTCTGTACCTGTCTTCTGGTTTTATCATTTTCTACAACGGACCAGCTTTTCTGACCCCAAACGCAATTGACTATTCTTTTGAATGCACGTCCTCCTTTATTTTTCCTGCACTGAGCCCATGACTTTGTCTCTGTCACATCCATTGCTGGTATCTCTTATTTGTACCATGTTAATGTCGATACTTACCTACAACTATATTCAGACCCATGTATAGTCCCACTTAAATCAGACACTGAAAAAGTTGAAACAAACTTTGGGGAGGAGTTTTAGAACAGCAAGACTCAAATTTATTCTTACTTTTGAAGGCAGCAAGAACAGCGAGTTAAGTGTTTTTGTTTAATACTAACTTTAGAAGGCTATGGTATGCGTTACTACTTAAGCATATTTTCCAAGGGATTTTGTGCATATACTTGTGAAGAATATTCACAGTGACTAATCTTGTTTTAATTAACACCAGAGAAAATAATAGTGGTTGACATAACAAACTATTTTCAGGTTTTCTTTTTTTAACTGTGTCAGTTGCCAGTTAGAAGGCTGTGAGAAGAATAGCATACATTCATCATCTGGCACCCCCACCTTTACCTCTAAGAATGGAACTCGCTAGTTATTCAAAGATGACAGATACGCAATACTCACATTTTGTAGCCATTAAATTTTCAAAAGACTGGGCCCACTGTAATACTTCCTCCAAAGTAAGGCTTTGAAAAGAAACAAAAAGCACTGATTGGGCTAAATATTCTCAAGGTTTTTGTTGAACTAAGTAAAATTATATTATCTTGAAAATGACACCAAAATATATTTACATTCCATTTGTGTGTGGCTTTGGTTGGAAAGTTATTTTCCTGTGATATTTTACATTTTATTTTTACTATTTAAATTTTTTAAATTATAAAAATTGTGCAAATAGTGTAGACTTGAAAATATAATTTAATAAATATTATTCAGAACCATAGTCCTATAATCTCCCTATTAATAAATTACCACTATTAGTATTTTGATGTAGTTTTTTAAAGTCTTTTTGTTATGTTTGTATTTGTGTGTTTTTAATCAAGAAGTAATCACACTATGTGTGTTTATACTTTATGCATTTTATGTCATCATAATTGTATTAATCATTTGTAGTGTTATAATTTATAATTACAAATGTATAATCATTGATAGTCATATTGTTTATGGTGATGGTGAAATATGCTACAAGGGGGGCATTCCATAGTTTACATAATTATTGTCAAACAGCATATTGATTTTCTCTCATTTTTCACCATAAAAACTCAAATGTAGCCCAGCTGTGTTTAAGGCTTGCCATGGCCACATGATTAGAGTAATTCCAGGGCACTAGCAGTAGAATCAAAGTTGGTTAAAAGAGGCAGATTTTTAAGGTTTTTGGTACAGACTGCCAAATTGCTTTTAAAAGGGTTATGCACTGTTTGCCGCTGCCACCAGCCAAGTGTTTACCTATTTATCTATTAGAATCTTAGAGTTAATCCACAAAACCTATTTGCATGCACTCATGTAATACAGTTAGTAACCCTAAAGCTAGTATTTTCTCAGTCTCCTACTTGCTAGAATTTTTTTGTATCAGTTTTAATTTTTATTAAGGTGTATTATGTCAAGTTACATTTTACCTAAACGGTATAAACAAAGCCATTTACCATTTAGAAAATAGTTGTGAAAGATTCCAGAACTCTGTTCATTTTGGTGAGCTTCATGAGGTGAATTGGCAAATGACTGTATTCTCAAATACAAGTAACTTTATACACCATGGAATACTATGCAGCCATAAAAAGAAACAATATCATGTCCTTTGCAGGGACATGAATGGAGCTGGAAGCCCATATCCTCAGCAAACTAATGCAGGAACAGAAAATCAAATACTGCCTGTTCTCACTTATAAGTGGGAACTGAATGATGAGAACATATGGACACATTGGGGAGAACAACACACACTGGGGCCTGTTGTAGGGTGGGGGCGTGGGAGGAGGGAGAGCATCAGGAATAATAGCTATTGGATGCTGGGCTTACTACCTAGGTGATAGGATGATCTGTGCAGCAAACCATCATGGCAGACATTTACCTATGTAACAAACCTGCACATCCTGCGCATGTACCCATGAACTTAGAATAAAGGTTGGAAATAAAACAGAAATAGGCAATGTGTTTATTGCCATTCAGTTTATGGTGCATTCTTAATTGTTCTGCTTTCAACAACTAGATAATTGAAGATGGCTATAGACACGCAAGCACTGTCCATTGGCTATACCTAAAATTAGCAGCCTAAAAATTAGTGCTGCAGGAACAGCCATCAGCATTAGCAGGTTCTTAACACAATGAAGGAGGATTAGTTAAAGAGATTAAAAAATATCCGAGAACATGGAAAAATATTGGGAGTCCTTAAAAGGTCAGATATCTTTTGTTTTCTAAAAATTCAGACGGATCCTGCCAGTTTTGGATGGACTGCTTGCATCAGTACTGAGGCTTAACAGTGTACTGTGTTAAGATTGCTTTCAAAAAACATTTCCATGAAATAGTATCTGAGTCATTGTTCTTTTCTCTTGTTAAAACTTTAGAAAAAGTAACCTAAAATAACCTTTTCAATCTGGTGAAATGGAAAGAGCTAGGCAAGGTTTATTGAATGCCTGTCCGTTCTAATCATTCCCATTATATAGGGAAGAATAAAATCTACAACACGAGTGAAGAGTCATCAATGTGTTGGGTTAGCTTAAAATTAAGTGTCGATGATTGTTGGTAAGAGAGTTCTTTTGTCTCTAAGACTCATGAGATTTATGGGGAGAGATGATTGGAGTAATTACGGTTGGGGGTAAAAATGGGAAATACAATTTGTTTTTAATTGAACCCCATTTTTGCTTATAATTTTTTTTGGAGGTTCTCACAAGTTTAATGCTGGCCCATGGCTATCCAGGTGCCTTTATTAGGATTATTTGAAATACCTTTTTTCCTGATACAAGTTCTCCCTTGTGTCCCCTCCATTCTTCTGGGCGGATGGGCAGTGGATACCAAACGGATATGAAAGCATTTTAAGATACCATGATGTTGCAGACAAAAGAATGAAGAATGTTTGGAGTCTCTGACAGTCCTAGGTTCTAATCCCAGTGCTGTACTTAATTGTCCTTGGTCTTACTTAAAATCTTCAAACCCCAATTTTATTGTCTATATAATAGGGATAATAACGTCTATCGCACAATGTTATAATGAAAATTAAATTAGGTCATGAATGCCAAGTACCTATTAAATAACTGTTATCTGGCAGCTTTCCATGAATGTGATTTTTAATTTTTCTGGTCTTCCCCTTTTCTCATGGTGAGTCTATAAGGCAGATAGAAGAAAGGCGAGCTCTGACAGTGATCCTCTATGGGAATCATTCGAAGAAAGGAGAGCTGTCCCTTAATTAGCAGATTATACCTTTGTCCTTGGATGCACCTGTGCAGTGCAGTAGCATTCACTGTCATTTAAAATGCTGAGCTTTGGGTCTTACTATCTCCTCTGACCACCATTGCAGCATCCTTCTCCTTGCCACACAGTAGCTTGTAAGCCTTTTTGGACATTTTGGTATTTTAGTGAAAGAGCATTCATGCCAGGGGCTCTGACCATACAAAAAGGTGTGGCCAGAACTGAGGGCTGGACATGGACTATGTTAGGCACTCATGGTTAATCTAACAGGGGTTCTCAACTTTTGGGAATTCTTTCAGGTGAGGAAATCCAATGCAATGGTCTGTTACTTTTCTCAGGCATTATTCTTTTCACTGTTCTCATCCAAATGGCAACATTTTGAGTTATAGAAAAGTGTGGAGGAAGAGACTTGGGAGCTTGGTTAACATTTGATTCCTCCTCCAGTCTCACCTTCTTTATCTAGGGATGAAGCTTTCTGGCACTTCGTATGTGGAGGGTTGGAACCAAGAAAATATTTTGGATTGAAGAATCTCATTTTAACACAAACAATATTCTTTGTTTTTTAAAAAGAACAGAGACTATTCATAATAGATTCTAAAGCATTTAACTTGCTGAATTCTCAAGTGTAAACCATGAATAATGAAAACAAGAATCTTAGTAACATATGACTGCTCTTCTGATGAAATGACTCACGTGTAAATGCAAATTTTACTTTCTGAACAAAATATGTTACAATAGCAGTTTAATAAATATGTACCTATTTATCATCTGATAAATATGCTTTACAATTACCATAGAAACTTAAATGCTACTTACTTTGAAGGGGGCCTCTTAGATTCATCTCTGCACATCTTACAAATCCAACAATTCCGCCTGCTCATTTTTCTAAGGAAATACAGTATATATTTGTATAATTTAATCATTTAAAATAATTGTATGTTACAGTCAGTTTCTAAGGAACATACAATATTATAAATCATAAAAAAAAAGATGGGCTCTTGAAGTTAATGGAATACAGTCACTGGGGGAGTTGGGAGGAGAGAGGAGAATAAAATGACTCATCTCTCATAAATATTTTATAAAAATATACGTGCTTAGATTTGTAAATGACTTTACTCAACTGGCCTATTTATTAAACAATGAGGTTCAAAAAATACCAAATCTCTGAAAAAGATCTTTTCATTTAGAACTTACCGATAACGAATTTACCAACTCCCAAGGCTTCCCTTTTGGGACAATTCTTATTTTTATTTTTATTTTTTTGAGACAGGGTCTCACCCTGTCACCCAGCCTGGAGTGCAGTGGCATGATCATGGCTCACTGCAGCCTTGACATCCCCAGTCTTAGGTGACCCTCCCACCTCAACCTCTGGAGTAGCTGGGACTACAGGCATGCGCCACCATGACTGGCTAATTTTTGTGTATTTTTGGTAGAGAAGGGGTTTCACCACATTGCCCAGGTTGGTCTCAAACTCCTGGGCCCAAACAACCTGCCAACCTCAGCTTTCCGAACTGCTGGGACTGTAGGCATGAGCCACTGTGCCCAGCCACAATTCTTGTGTTTAGAAAGCTCTCTCAATGTATTAAAAAAGAGCCTTATTTTAACTGGACAAGTAAAATAGTGTAAATAGCCAAATAAAAAATAAAGCACCTTCTGAGTGAATTTTAAGGGTGCTGCTTATCTGGTTTTATCTACTCTGGGCACAGTAACTTTGACTTTAAAATTCAGTTAGAGTTTATTCATCTCAGGCACCTTTACATAACAATACATATCATAGAAGGTTTTTAACTCAGGACTTTAAAAAAACAACTAACAAATTTGTTAAGAGTCATTAAATCCACATTTTAAAGCTGGAAATGGTTTGTTAAACATATATACATACATATATAATGAATTATTAAGGATAAACAGTGAATTTTTATATCAGTCTTTACGATTCATTCAAAAGTCTTTTGAATACTTGTTATGTGCCAAGTTCTGGCTGCCTGTGATCAATATACATCTTGTCTGTCCTCTTCTGTCCTCACTGACAAGCAATTAAAATACATGTGATGGGCTGGGCACAGTGGCTGATACCTGTAATCTCAGCAATTTGGGAGGCTGAAGCGGGGAGGATTGCTTGAGCCCAGGAGTTCTAGACTAGCCTGGGCAACACGGTAAGATTCTGTCTCTACAAAAAATAAAAAAAATTAGCTGGTCATGTTGACTCATGCCTGTAGTCCCAACTACTTGGGATGCTGTAGTGGGACAATCACTTGAGCCCAGGAGATGGAGGCTGTAGCAAGCTGTAATTGCACCACTGTGCTGTAGCTGGGGCAACAGAGTGAGACCCTATCTCAAAAACAAAAAACAAAAACAAAAAATCCCGAAATGTGATGGGGACTTGGATACAGGAAGTACAGGGGTTGTGAATACACCTAGGAGGAGAACCTAACTAGACTTGAGGGGTTAGTGAAGGCAGCCCAGTTAAGTAACATCTGAGCTGGAACCAGCAGGATATCCACGAGTGTGCTGAGTGAAGGAGGGGCAACTTGAGCAAAGATTAAGAGGCAATGAGTTATGTCCCATTGAGGAAATAAAAGGAATTTAGGCTCAGCACTGTGGCTCAGGCCTATAATCCCAACACTTTGCAAGACTGAGGCAGGAGGCTCTCTTGAGCCCAGGAGTTTGAGACCAACCTGGGCAGCATAGAGAGACCCTGTCTCTCCAACAAAAAGAAAAAAAAAATTAGCTGGGCATAGTGGTGTGCACTTGTAGTCCCAGATACTCAGGAGGCTGAGGTGGGAGGATCACTTGAGCCCAGGGGGTTGAGGCTGCAGTGTGCCGTGATCACACCATTGCACTCCAGTCTGGGTGACAAAGAAAGACCTTATCTCAAAAAAAAAAAAAAAAAGGAATTATGTTCCACATGAATTTAGAGTGTGGCAGACAGAATGAGACAGTGAGCTGAGAGGCTTAGAGAGTTAAGATTGAACCAATAATCATGTTTAAAAATGTTCACTGCAGCAAGAAAGTGGTGGGAGAATTTGTAATGCTAGGCAGAGGCCGAGCACGTTGAGCCACACAGGCCATGGATTTCACAGTAAGAAGCTGGGAAATCATTGCAGGATTTAAAATTCAGAATAGACATGTTAAGATTTGAAATGGGTTTGTGAGTAGAATGAATGGCAGTGTGGCCAGAGTGTCATCAGGGAGCCCAGTTAGGGTGTGACTGCAGGAGTTCAGGTGAGGGATGATTAGGAAGGTGGCAGTGGAGATGGAGGGAAGGAGAGAGATTGTAGACGTTTTGGAGGAAGAACTATTAGAACTTGTTGACCCATTGGATATGTAAGGTGAGACAGAAGAGAACAAGTTGAGGTGAGAGATTTGGCTTCAGGATAAAGGTGGGCTATTTTCATAAAACACATAAGAGGAGCCCCCTCTAACAAAAAAAATGACGAGATCGTCCAGGAAGACGGTGTGAACTGTAAAAAGCAGACAGCCCAATATGAGTTTCTGAACACAAATATTTAAGAGAAAGGCTGTGTAAAAGGAGCTTGCATCAGAATAACACAGTATCACAGAAACCAAGGAATGAGTTTATCAAAAAGGAAAGAGTGGCCAATGGAGTGTTAAAAGCTGGGAAGTGATTAAGAGAGCAAAGGATCAAAAAATGTCAGATGTGTTCACAAGATGCTCATTAATGACATTGCTGAGAGTGGTTTCAGTGGAGCAGGGAGGACAGAAACAAGGAGGAAAGCAAGAGAAAATGAGGCCCAGGACAAATGAAAGCCTGCTTGTAATTTCTGTTTGCCCTCCTTCCCTCTCCTCCTTCCTCCCTGCTTTCCTCTTTCCCTTCCTCCCTCCCTTTTCCCCTCTCTCTCTCTTTCTTTCTCTCCTTCCTTCCTCCCTCCCTCCTTTCTTTCTTTTCTTTCTTTCTTTCTTTCTTTCTTTCTTTCTTTCTTTCTTTCTTTCTTTCTTTTCTTTCTTTTCTTTCTTTCTTTCTTTCTTTCTCTCTTTCTTTCTTTCTTTCCTTTTTTCTTTTTTTTCTTTCTTTTCTTTCTTTCTCTCTCTTTCTTTCCTCTTTCTTTCTTTCCTTCCTTCCATCTTTCCTTCTTTCTCTCTTTCTCTCTCTTTTTCTCTTTCTTCCTTGAAAGCTGTTGATAGAAAGACGTAATAATGACAGAGAGACAGATTCTTGTCATTTGATGATTCTGGCCTGCATGTCTCTCTAGGAGGCATCGTTACAATAAAGTCAAGTTACAATGTGAGTGACATACTCTAAAGTTGGCAAAAGGTACATAGACAGAGTTTGAAAACACAGAAGAAAGAAGGAAAACCAATAGAATTTCAGGTTCCTGAAGAAGAAGGAGGGGCTAGAATTCAGAATGTAGGAGTTAAGACATTGGAGAAGTGAAAATACAGGAAATAGTTACTATTCTCTTGTAACTAGTGAAAATATAGGTATAGATTCAAGTTCATTTGCAGGTTTGGAGATAAGAACATATGAGAAATGTGGTCTGATCAACTTCATTTTCTATGTAAGTCTCTACTATAAGTGAGGAGGACCAAGAAGCAATAAAGTTATTTATATCTATAGGAAGGAAGAAAATGGAAGGGGAATAGATTAATTCACTTATTAGGACTCTTCCGATTGCAAATAGAGATTCACAATACTTAAGCAAAAGGGAGAGTTTATTAAAGGGATATGTTTGTGTGCATAGTTAGGTTCTAGATGACCTTAAATACCAGACTGAAGATGTTAGACTTTATTTTGTTAGTAGAAGTAATCCACTGAGGTCTTTAAACAGCAGTGTGATGAAAATAAAAACCTTTTTCTAGAAAGAAAAATCTGACTGAAAATGAACACTGAAATTAATTGAGACTAAAAAACTGTTACATTGACTGTCAATAGCTGGTCCTGTGTGTAATTGGACCTTGAACTGCATTAGTTCAAATTTCAAGCTACTTAGTTCGAGTTTCAAGATTCCTCATCTCTGTGATCACCTATAAAATGTAGTTACACAATGACTCGCAGCTTATCTTCTAAGTAGGAGGATAGGAAAAAATTTACTTCCTTCACATGTCTTCTCTGTGAATATTATTAGTCTTCCCTATCTTGTACTGAGACTTGACTTCTCCCCTACCCTCTATTTTTAGCAATAGTTTTTCTGTCCCACTGTCTTCTCACTTGATCTATTGGAGCTATGTGTACACATTTTCAGACCTTTTATTGTGGTGATTTCTGTAACTCAAATGTGTGTCTATTAATGGGTTATCATATTTTCTTTTATAAATTTAATGAAATTGGCAAAAGCAGAATGGTCTTAGTATGCAACACTCACTAAGGTCTGAAGTATAGTGAAGGTAAAGTAATTTCTGGATGCACTAGAATTTAGGGGCTTCCCACAGCTCCTGCAAGTTGACAGAGTATATTCAAATAGTTCTGGGGCCTGAAGCCAGACAGACATATGCTCGAGGTCAGGCTCTTATTAGCTGTGTGACCTTGCGCATATTAATTAAACCTCAGATTCTCATTTCCTTTTCCTTTTCTCTAAAATGGAACTGTAAAGATTAGAAAAATGAAATAGTTCCTAAGTTCTTTTGTATGTACCAGGAAACATATATTCTGTTAGACCGCATTTCTTCCTCTTTTTAAATTTCATCTCAGATCTCACAAGTTTTCCCCATTAACTTTATTCATTCTTCAACATGTCAACATATAATCTGCAAATCCTCCTTCTCTTCATTTTTGTTGTTCCCATGTTTCTATATTTCGATTGTTCACACATTATATTAATCACTGAGTCCCAGCTTTAGAATTAGTTGGGTCTACAACAGAGATTTACAGACATCTGGGTGTGTGTATCACCCAGATGGTTGGGGCTGCCAGAAGAGCTCAGGCATGGTTGAGTGTTACAGAAAAAAGGGACAAGAGGACAGCCCAGCCACAGCTTCCCTTTAAATGCAATTATTCAGGTTGTTCTCTCTATGGAGATGCCTGGTCCAAAAGGAGAGACAAGGCTGAGATCCAACCACACTCCCCTTGCCAGGTGTGAAGCCAAGTGGGGCTTCATCCATGTGGTGAAAAGGCTACTTTTTAATAATTCCAGCAAAGACTCTGTGTACACTAATAGTAGCCCTGTGCTCAGCTACATGACTGATTCAGTGAGGGTTCTTTGGTCCAAGCAACTTATTAGTTAGGTGACATTGAAAAAGAAGCAATATATATAGATATAATGTTATTTATATTTCTGATTTATCTACTCCTACTAGACTTTAAGTTTCCTAAATTGTTACATTCGAATGTTATTTGATGATTACATATAAGTAGTTGTTTATATGTTGGTTAGCATTCTAAGTCAAACATTTACAGATTTATTAAATTATGGAATACAAATAGAATATAATGTCATAAAAGCATCAATGATTAAATTGCAGAAAATATTTAGTGACAGAATTGTGTATGACATGTGTTATGCATAGAATAAATAGACCCTAAGAGTTGTTATGCATAGAATAAATAGACTATAAGAAGTTCTCTGGTATTCCTGTCCTTTAGGAAATGGAACTGGAGACTGGACGCTGTTCCAGTGACTAGAGTTCTGCTCCTGTGCCTGGAGCCTGGTGCCTTCCCGCCTGTATTCTAAGATTTCTGGGACTGAAAGTCCATCCACATGTTTGTGTTTCTCTCTATTGATTACTACTGGATTCACACGTACCATGTACCACTATTTTGTTGGAATATCACAGAACCCCCCACCCCCATCCTTATAACACTCTCTACATTGAAACAAAGAGATAAATTAAAAAATACTTAACCCAGCTTCAGGTACAAAAGGTCAGATTGACCACCTGAGTTTATTATCTCTTCCAACCCAAACACTAATAATATTATAGTAAAGGAACATGTACGGCTTAAACTGAAGGAAAAAGGAGATTAACCAAGGGGAAAAATAATGACAAAATATTCCAAAGTAATTTTGGAAGATGGAAGGCAGATGCTCAGAAGTAGAAATTAAAATTCTCATACCTCTAAAATGAGAAGAGAAAAGGCAGCGTTAGAATATCATCTGATAAAATAAGAAAATATAATTCACAGTCTGAGGACAAAGAATTTGCAAAATAACCATTGGTTTAAAAAGAAGTATCTACAATCCTACATTCAACAATATTTATCATTAAATAATACATCTCAATCGACAGTTTAATAGCACCAATATAGAGTGGCAGAATGAAATCCTCTCACATTTACAATTGAGAACTTCTAAGAAATATCCTTGGTAATTCCATAAAGGGAATGTTCTAATTTTTTACAAAAGTAAAGTTCTTTAGGATAAGGATTTGATTAAAACATCCTATTGATAAATTTATTTTGTTAGTTAAATCCAACCAAGGGCATCTTTAGTTGTACCCTTAAAATTAGAGTTCAAGTAGTCAATATGGATAAAAATAAAAAATAACTTTAAATATTTTATAGAACTACAAATCTACTTTGGCAAAAAGAGAATTCCCAGTGAAACAGTGATCTAAATTGGCATGACGTAGAACTGATTTAAATTGTGGATAAACTCACCAAGCTTCAAATAAACAATGATCATTTTTTTCTCATGTTGGTGGTATAATATGTGGAAACATTCCATTGACCTAAAAATAAAATAATAACAAAACCAAACAAAAACAAAAAGATTATTGTGTGCTTCCTGGAGAATGCATATTTGGCAAAGATTACTGTAAATGCTCTTAAGTTTTAAGTAAATACTTTTTCCACCTCGGAAATGCTGGATTATGGTTATTCCCATTTTTATTTATTAACTCTTTATCTAAAATTGTGTTAATATCATGGCTTATTATAAAAATTTCTTTACTGTTTTAATTTGTAATTTTCCATTACTTTTTATTTAAATAATCTATATTTATCTTAATATTGTGTATTAATTTGCTTTCCTTTTTTGTTTTTCAATACCCTCTTGGTAAAACTAGTGTGTACTTTTACAATCGAAACATAGAGTGTTTAGAACAAGTTTAGGTCTCCACGATGATTTTGCCTCCACTGTTTTCTCCTGATAATTATTTGAAAGAAATACATTTCACCGATAGAATCTAATTCTCAGAGTGATTATAAATGCATTGGTAATGGATTGAGTTGTATTAGTAGTATGCCAGAATTAGATTTGTTTCCTCCATTATTTAAATGAAATCTTAAAGTATTATGAAAATAAATAAATTTTCTTAAAGCAATTCTGTCTGTTTACATATATCTGCATTTAAATATGTTTCTTTATTTTATGATATAGCATGTTACATAAAATTTAGTAAAATTTGGAGCAATTTATATTTTAGTGAGCTTTTGTTGACCACAGCACACAAATTTCTTGTCCTTTAAAAAATTCAAGAAATTTGTGCATAGTTGTGCTTAAGCATAACATAAAAGAATAAAAAAATTCTACAAAATCAAGATTAACAATGTTTCAGATAAACCTTATAATAATCCACACCTGGCTTCAGTACAGTTAACAAAGGATGGAACTAATAATTTGGTAATGCATGATTTTTGAAACAAATAATTCAGCTATGTCTGATTTTATAATATGTTTTTATCTAAACATATAAAATGAAAAACATTTAAAATGAAAATATACACAAAAACATAAAATGAAATAATATACTTTAAAACTGTAGCATTTCCTCTGTTGCCCAACTTAGAAGATTTATTTATATAAGGAGTGACTCTAAGTTTTGTTTTAAATATAGAAAGCCAGGCAAAAGAATATGTGTTTGTTAGTTTGTCTTTTTTTCTTAGAAAAACCTCTGTTAACACTCCCAGAAGTTCTACCATTGAAATCAGCATCTGCTAGTGATTTATAGCAAGCCAATAGTCTTGTATTTATCAACTATTTTATAGAATCTCATACTTACAAATATATCCTGTCGAGCAGTCCACCATGCTAAATTTGATCTCCTCTTTGTTATGATCCGTTTGAAATCAGGTTCTGAAATTTTGTGAGACACCCAGCATTTTATTTTTCCCAGAGTAAAAGGATTTTACTGTCTCTATAATTACCTTCGATGGCACTCTGGCCTCAGTATGAATGTTCTGTTTTTACACACACGTATCTATGCAAAGAGAGGTTTTGTTGAATATGGAAAGTAGTGCTGTAGGACTCCAGTGCATTACTGATAAAGAGGTTTTATCTAACATTATCAGACCATCTGAAGTGATCAGATGATTGGAAGCAGCAGCTTCATGAAATCTTCAAAGTAATACTCAAATCTTTTTCTCCAAAATAATTTTTCTAGTTTTAGAAAATGTATAGTCTAAAGTAAAATTCCCTTTTAAAAAAGACAGAGAACTGAGTACAAACACATAGGACATCACTGCAAACACATGTTAGCAAATGGTTGAGAACTATTAAAATCAATCTGTTTGTAATAGATTACTAGGGACTTTTAACAACTGAAGGATCTAAAAAAGTATCTTTTCTAGTTATACCTCTCTAGTTCCTTCAACTGGTCCTCTACAGCAGTTCTGGACTCCGTTGTTCTACAGTTTGTTAACATGCCTTCAAAATCTGAATTGAACACAGTGCTTAAGATAAGGTCTAATGAATACAGAATATGGTAAGATTGTGAATGCCCTTGTCCTGGATTTACTCCAATTGTGTGTGTGTGTGGGGAGGGGTGGGGGAGTTGGGGGGTTTGGGGGGAGAGAGAGAGAGAGAAACAGAGAGGTAGGAGTAAAGAAATGCTAGAATAAAACAGCAGTAAAGAAGATCAAAATGTGGTTGATGGAGTGTTTCTTAAAATATTTAGGGGCCCAATGAGATAGAAGATTAACCTTACTTGTCTTTTATAATTTTGAGATTCAAACCCAAGAAAATTGAATTTCTCAAACCTGAGAGATAAGTTTGGGACTAGAAAAGGAAAGGAAACTTTGGAAAGTCAGAAGCTGCGTAGATGTAGCAATAATGTAGGAAGTGAAGGGCAGGTTAGCCTCAGCTTGGGAGGATCTGGGTTGTTTGTGGATAGCACTCATTTTCTCTGGGTGCTAGGTGTGCGATTTCCTCCCCACTCAGGACATTTTGGATGCTGGATCTCTTCAGGAAATCTTCAGTGTCATAGTCAAGACTTTTCCTCACCCCAAATAATTCATTTTTTTGGGATTTGGAATGTTTGCTCTTTCTCATGGTGTGGATGCAAGGAGCTGGCAGGAAGATTCTGGAAGTAACACCCTGTGCGAGTGTCAGTTTCAAAGCTTGTTTAATGGAGTCAAACATGAGAATCTCCCTACAGAGTAAAACTTAAGTATCGACAGGGACTGAAAAACAAATAAATCATAGAGTGAAGAGTAACAGCACGAGTAGGTGGAAATTCCTGGAGGAATTCAAGAGCAATGTGTAGATATTTGTGGCAGATTTCTAAACATGGTTTTGTTTCTCTGAAAAAGTGTAGTTCAAGTTCAGTTTATGAAATCATAGCAATATAATGCTTTGTACGGCACATAGGTGGATCAGACTAATTCAGAGCTGTCAGGTTAGGGCAGGTAACAGGATTATGCTTTCGTTGGTGCAGCTTGGGAATGCCCTTTCCATTGAAAGGCTGTCCTTCTGATGAACTGATCTGCTTACTCTAGAGCACTTTTACTATATTTCAATTTCAGCCAATGTAAGTCCAAAGTAACACAAGTTCAAATGTGCACAATTAAAAATCTTTAATATTTTTATGTTGAAAGTTCAAAATGAACTTTACAAGAGCAGAAAAATGAAGTATTAGAAATTATAAATTCAGAATTTGCCATTTATGTCTTCTACAAAAAGTGGAGAAATATAATTACTGGTTAATGTTCGTGATGACAGCTTAAGAAATAAGCCTACTATTTTCAGTGCATCCTATTTATACTATATAGTGTTTGCCATTTGTTCAGAGGGTGGCTCTTTTCAATATATTCTAGAAGCAAGATAAACTCTTGGACACTGGGGTGAATTGTCTGGTGAAATGTATCCAGTAGGCAGTGGTTTGTGCCAGTGTTTGGAAGAAGACTGGCTTCTGCTCCTGCTTTCCATGGACGCTGATCTGTCCCTCTTAGCCTTTCAGGTCTGTCCTCTCTGCCTTCATTTTCTTCCAAGCTTCTTTGCAGCGCATTCTCAGTCTGTCTTCATACACTCATTGTCCGCATCTTGGAGTGGACGACTCAGAGACTTGACCAGTCTCCCGTCCCCTCTGGTTTGCTGCCAATTAGAAACAATCTAACTTTGGTTTCTGACTTGTGTGAACCCAAAATATACCGACAACAAAAATTAGGAAGAGATTACTGAGCATTGAACACTATTGTTAGCATAAAATAAACCTCAGTAGCAATTAAAGTTAGTTACCAATTCTGTGTGCATTTATTCAGATGATTTGCTTTAAAGATGTCTTTAATTATAATCATGGTCCTGTTATGCTATAAAGTTTAGTCACTAACTCCCAATCATTCTTAGTTCCCTTTTGGTAGCTGCTTTAAATCCATTCTCTTGGCCCTTCCAGAAAGTCGGCAGTGCTCTCAGGTTTCAGATCTCCAGCATGTAATTGAAAAAACCAGTGGTCCTACTTGGTTTCTATTTTCTTCTGAGCACTTGGTGGATTGTCTTGTCCTTCCTGACTAAATTCTGGGGAATTCATTCAAATCTTATTGTTTCCACCAGTGTATTTGGGGTAACATTAACATAGGAAAGTGTTCTTTTCCCGGAAAAAAAAAAGGAGACACTCCACAGTTGTTTAATTTGCACTGAGATGAGTCTATTAGCTCTTTTGTACTTTCACATTGTTTGATCTGTGAAATTCTCTAAGGATGGGGTTAAGGGCACGTCCCTTTGAAGAGGATTTGCACTGGCTCTGTCAGGCAGCCCAGGCACTTCTCTAACACAAGACTGCTTTGTTATTTTCTTAGCTTGGGTCTCCTGGACCACACAGGTAGGGTAAATTTAAATTACAGACCTGGTTTTATGCTGAAATAGACATGTTCCTGTCATCAATTTTTGTAGGTGACTTGTTTTTTTTCTGTCTGCTGTTTCACTGAAGGTATAGCAGTTCAAGAGCCCCCGGCTCATATTAGGACAGCCTTTGATTTTGTTTCCTGGCTTGCAACAGATCTTAAAAGCCAGATCTCTAGGTTACTGAGATTAGCAAATGCTGAACTCAGCTAAACTTTAAATGCCAGTTTATCACTCTGATTTAGGATTCCCTCTGTTTTTTTCTTGATTTCTCTTAGTTTTGGCAAGCTTGCCTATGCATTTAAATGGGGTTGTTACATATTTTTTTTTAGCATTTCTGGATGTCTGGTAGAGAGAAGATTTTCAAGATATGTCTCGTCTACCATGCTTTCCTTTTATATAAGATAATGTTATATACTCATTTTAGATAAAAGTAAATGCAATAAAATGTCAAGGAAATTGGAACTTTAGCATTTCCTTGTTATCACAGATGGAAAGCATCGTTTGCTTCTTTAGATGCGGAATGCTTTGAACATACAAGGCCCACTGATGTGCAGTTGCAAAGCTGAAGCCTGTTTCCAATCACCTAATCAACTCACTATCCCTTATTGTTTAGATAAGCCTGTCCTGTTCTGCCATGTGCAAAGTATATAAATTTTCTACTATAGAAGTACAGAACAAACATACTTGTGCCACATTTCCGGTTTTTTTTTTCTTATCACAGAAATTAAAATGGTTTTTCTGTAGATCACCATTGAAATACTTTTTGTCTTATTCTTGAAACAAATCTATCCTCAGGACTTACGTGGTGTCTGGTGATTGAGGGCAGTAGATGGCTAGGTAGTGAATCAGAGGCAGGGAACATTTTAAAAGAAATAGGTACCTCAGTCAGCTGATAGGAGAGACTAAAAGAGCGCAGAGCTCAGAATTAGCCTGCATTCCTTCTCCCTGCTTTACCAAAGGAGTCTCCCACTTTTCTCATTCATGCTTCAAATGCATATGTGGACATAGCATTCAGACTGATGTAGTAGATGCTCAATAAATATTCAAAGAATAGATGGATATAGTTTTTTTTTCCCAACAGGATTTATCCAAGCTAAAAACTACCCTAATGTTCATTTTAACCAATTTTCACTTAGATAAAAATTATAGGGTGAAGTTTGGGAAGGATTATATTGTACAAGCTTCCCATATCTCATACTTTCCTAAGAAGTAGTTCTGCCTCTCTGACTGTAACCTTTTTGTAACCTATAATTTGTGTAGTGGTTAATGAGATATATCTGGAGATGCTTTGTAAGTATAATTTACACAAATATATATTTTTATGAGGCATGCAAATTTAAACAATGGTGTCCTTGTGACTTAGTCAAACAAGGAACTAGAATAAAATACAAGGCAAATGTTTTTCTTTAGGATTATGACACTATATCTTAAAACCTCTGAAAGATATGATAATGCAAATAAGATTAGATAAAACAAGTTTAGTTTTGTAGAAAAGGCAAAGAATTTTAAAAATTGCAATCCCAGAAGCTTCAGAAACCTACTTTGGTATGCTTTCCTCCATACAAAAAGTGTTGTTTAATTCCCCCTCAAGTCTGAATATTTGAGGAGTTGCTTTAAGAACTGTAAAACTAGTGCATCAACTACATGCTTTTTGCAGATATGGAAAATATTTTCTTAAAACATTTTTACACAAAGGAAAAGTAATTTTGCCCAAAGAAAATAACATCCAAAGGAAAATGAAGAGTGATTGGTGTTATAAGAAATATAATCCTGGAGGCCTGGAACTACATAAGGCATCCTGAATGTACAGCGTGGGGCCAATAGAGATTACACAAATGATTTTTATAGATGAAGCTGAGCAAAGGGGCAGAATGGGAAGAAGAACAACGGGGACCGAGACACAAGAAGGATGACTTTTGTTTGAAAAAGAAAATGTTCAGGGCATTAAAAACACATGCCCTTTTTTTACCCCATAACATTTTCAAACACTACAGAAAATAATATCTAATAAACCGTGAAGCTTGTTTTAACTCTTTTAAAAACTTCCAAACAAAGGAACTTAGGAAAAATGGCATTCTAGTTATATTTTCCCCCAGATCAGTGGGAATTTATTTCATCTTATTGCTTTTCCAAGTGAGTAGGCAGAAAGTAAATAGAAATGTGAAATTTGTATCGATTGTTTGCTTTCCTTATAACCTTTGCCAAAGAGCTTTGTGAAGGCAACTTTTCTAATAAGGAAGGTATTTTTATATTTAAATGTTGGTTGTCTGTGTAGGAAGTGGAAGAGCTTGTTTCAGAGACTGCTTCTCCAACCCCATTTTAAAGCAGAAGTTCCATCACGGACATTTAGAGGTTAAAGGAAATTTAGATAATCTAGTTCAAAGCTTTCATGTAATGAAGAAAGAAATTGATCTCTTGTGCGTTGCCCTGAGCCACACAGTAGCTGAGATATAGCTGAGTCAAAAACTCAGGCTGCCTAACTCCTGCGTTCTGTGTACTTTAAGGTCCTCATTCCCTTTCTGGCTTACTTCTGGTTGAAAATCAGATAATTGTGTATATCTTACATTCTTATCTCAGTTTAGGTAACAGCCTAAAGTTTTTAGGCCCTTGTGTCTTTGTATCTATCTCCTCTTCTTCTTTCTCTACTAGAAAAACATGTGACAAGATGCTGTGGTTACACGAATTCTCCCCTACTCTTGCTTTATTTTATTCACTGTAATTTATTCCATGTTGAGACTCTGGTCTTTTCTCTTAAGTGGTATTAACATGGTTTCTATTTGAGTTGAGTAAATGGAATATTATGCTTCTGAATCTAATTTTTCTGCCTCAAATGATGCAATTTGAGCATCATTCTTTAAAGACACACGATATATGCTGCCTTCTTATAATGAAATATCTGAAAGAAAATATAGATTAAAGAATGATTATTATCATTGAAAATGATTTATTTTACAAAAGAATTCTATAGGAATTCCATTAGTTAATTCTTCTAGTTTAAATGTCTGAAATTCAGTTTATGCCCAGTATTCAAGTACATGACATAAAGCAAAATACATTGGCTTTATACATTTTATGAATTTGCTTTATGAATTTTATGCATATTGAATTTGATGATAATTAAAAAAACACCCAAGCTTTTCTAAACAAAGAACTCCAGCAGCTCAAAAACACTTGTTTTATCTGATAACATAAATAATAATGTACTTAATAATATATTTCTTATTATTTTATTTTCACTTTCTGCCAAGGCCCGGGGAAACATTTAAATTGCTTATGTGCATGTTTAGAAATACACCGGAAAATCAAACATGCCTAAGAAAAAGGGGTCAAAAAACTATTGTGAAACAGTGGTAACTAAGGAATATTCCACTTAGATCTGTTCCAAGTCAAGCAGTGTTCCAAAGGGACCAAAGGGACCATGTGGCTTTATTTTTAGGCTGCAGTTCATTGACTCAGGCTGTCACTTCTGCTAATTGGCATAGCTGCTCTTAGCCTACAGATGTTTTATAGGGCCTAGATAATGGGAAATTAAACGTTTTATCTGTCACTCTGGAAAAAATAAACTGATTACTCTGTCAAGAAGACCTTGCCCAGGGTCAAGCTTTATTCTAAGGTGGACCACAAGCAAAATTATTTGAAGATACTGAGATTCACACAGTCCACACACACAGGGATTCCCTTGGCCAATAGGTGATGCATTAGTCAATAAAAATGCAACAGAGATTTTGGAGGCCATACTTGAAATGGGAATGTGAGGATTAGAAGACCTTCCAGGTACAATCAGTCTAGTGAATTAATTAGTAGGTAGCTTGGTCTCTGAGAGGTTGAGACATGAGACTATCAAATGGCAACAGCCCATGATATAAACCAATGGAGACAAAGGATTGGCAAAAAATCACTGGAGGTTGCTGTGGGAGAGAGGAAACACTTCATGATTGATGAAGACACCATGGTACACATGTTTAGAAGGGTTTAGAACTCAGGAATAAGAGAGACTGGTCTAGCTTCATGTGCATGTGACATGTCCCATGGTAACACAGGGCCAGAATTTGGTTTTAGGGCTCTGTTGTCACTGTCTTAATATTCTTGATTTTGAAACAAAGGACCTTTCATTTTCATTTTGCATTGGGCATCACAAATTATTTAGCTAGTTTTGCTGGAAGGGGACATAAAGCTAAGGGATAGATACCAGAAGAGAAATTTTGTGTACATTTTAATTTGGGTTGTGGAAAATTGTATTCTCTATTAAAGGGTTTAGAGGAGTGCATTCAAATAATACTCCTAACAGTTGGATAAACTGTCATGAGGGCATTTGGCTGTGAAGTTGCAATGAGTGGAGAGGCATTGACATTGTTGCTGATGGTGACGTTCCTGGGTGAGTAAAGGACAGTGTTGAGATTCACAAGCCAGGAGTAATGAGGTGGTGGTGAGGGAGGCAGAGTCAGGGCTGGGGTCTCAGAAGCCTACTGCACAGCAGTAGCAGCTGGGTGAGAAATCTCTAACAAGGGTCACTGAAGTTGCTTGGGCAATTGCAGTTGATCTAATTAGGAGGCTTGATGAGTAAATAGAATTTAGAGAGTTGCACTGTCCTTGTTCACTGGCACTGAAGACAAAGTCACTTGGCTGTCAGTGTTCCAGATTAGTTATCAGAATGATTTTCCATACTAGCTTTCCTCTAACAACAAACAGCTTTAATGTGATAGTATCTGTCAAGTGCTCTCTGGGTCCCTGAGAGATAGGCTCTTTATCAGTTGCTA
This sequence comes from Homo sapiens, assembly GCF_000001405.40. Taxonomy (NCBI): domain Eukaryota; kingdom Metazoa; phylum Chordata; class Mammalia; order Primates; family Hominidae; genus Homo; species Homo sapiens. The sequence continues at coordinate 192,628,504 of NC_000001.11, read as the reverse complement.
CAGTAGCCTATTCTTTCAACAGAAATAAGTCAATTTGGAGTCCTGCAGAGTTGCCTAGGAAGATATGGTTTGGAGTTTAGGAGTTCAAGTGTTCTAGTTTGTAGTTCTCTAGAGAAATAAATATAGTAGCTCCTCCTCCCCAGAAAAGCTATAGTATATTATCTAGTTATATTTATTTCCTGACAAAATTAAGGATGGATTCAGACGCAAGACATTAGGTCTCTCAGATACTGCAGATGGGCACTGTTTAATCTAGAGGATTCACAAAAATGATAGTTTGTAAGCTCTGGGAGCATTGCAAACAATTTAGGTTGACTCCTTAAATTTTCAAATGACAAAATCGAAAGAGAGAAGGGTTGTGCATGGCCCAGGTTTCACAGCCGAGTATGTAGAGTCATATCTAGTGACCGTGTCAGCTGCTGGGTCAGGGTTTTTGTCTGCTATCATACAGGTTTGTTATGGCTATATTTGAAGAGTTTTGTTTCATTTTGTGTTTATAGATGCACCCAACACTATTATGAAGTATTTATTAGTCAAAGTAATAATAACAATAACTACCGTTTACATAGAGCATGAAATGGGCACAATGAGCTAGGAACTTTACCTAATCTTTTTAACATCCTTGAGAGGCAGATTCTATTATCTTCATTTTTCAGAAGAGGAAATTGAGACTTAATATCATATGGCCTTTAATTAGATAAACTTTAGGAAGTCTTCAACCTTCCAGTAGTTTTTGGCAACTATTCATCTCTGAACAGACTCCAGAACATTAGTGAATGCTGTCCCATTTTATCCTCACTGAGCAAAATCTAGGGCACTAATTACAAAGATATTTATCTTACAACATTAAGGTTTTGTTGTAAGGAATCATTATGAACGCAATCATAGCTATATTGGGTCCTATATTGGCACATTAGAGATAATTTATAATTATTTATATATATATATATATATATATATATATATATATATATATATATGCTACAGCTGTGAATAAGCAGAGGAAAATCAGCGAACTAAAGTGAGAAATTTTTTGTATTATTTAAATTAATTAATGATATTTAATTTTATCTTTTTTTCCAGTTGATGACATAGAAGACTTAATTTCCTCCTCATGATTAATCTCTCAGTTGGAGAGTATACACACTCTTACACAGAATCCAGGTGAGACGAATGGGGAATTAATAAGAGCTAGGAGGGTACCATTTTTATAGAAATATAATAGTAACATATATATCTGCTAACTATCTGGGAGACATACCCAAGAAAAATATTTTGATTATAAGAAAGGACAATATTTGAAATCAACTTAAGCAGAGCTGACTAGAAATGGAAGGACACCTAAGGGAAATAAAAGGTTTTTCTAGGTTACAACTTGCTCAAGTCATGTAACATTCAGGCTAAAGGCAAGCAAAAGTCAGAACATATACATTCACCCCTCTGCTGGGAGCAGAGAAGAGCAGAGTGGAAGTCCAAGGAGTGTGGTGGATGCCAGTCAGGGGAAGTTGCTGTAGCCTGGTGTCACCTTTATCCTGCAGCTCTTTGCCAACCCTCTTCAGAGACAGAGAGCCTATCCCCTGAAATGAACTCAGGGCCCTACTGTCAACTGCTGTCATTTACGTTAAGCAGCAAAGCCATTAGACTTAATTTACCTAAACTCTTCCCCTATAGCATTCTTCCTCTATAACATTCATGGTCTGCTAAGGTTGCTATAAGCAAAGCAAAGTATAAAATAGCACACAAGTTCCTGTTTGACAAGTGAAATACCAGTTTCTTATCTCTCCCCAGGGACCTCTTATAACGAGAAATTGGCCTTGTGAGTTTTGAAACTTTTCCATTCACAACCCTGTATGTCTTTTATTATTTTGTCTTTTAAAATTAGCATGCTATTTTAAAAAATACAGAAACCAGGCTTTAGAAGCACAACAAGGGCATCTGCTTTGCAGAAACTACTTATTAGTCCCTGTCTCTTCACACTGAATTTTCAGTTGCTGCCAAAGTAGAAAAATATGCAAATGCATGACCTGTGTATCGAGTATGTTTTTATCTTGAGGCTTTCCTATATATCTAAAGGATAAATATTTGTTTGTAGATTTGATTGCTGTTTCTCTACAAGAGTGTGCTTGTGGATTCTAGAATGTGGTATAGCCTAGAAGGCATGATAATTCTGTAAGGTGATTATATGGTAGCTGGTACCTTGCATTGTTCCTTCATCACTGAATCATCCAATAGATTTTATTGTTAACAATGACCACAGTTTGTATATACTGAGTTTTTGAATTTAGGTGGCAATTTGAAATTATTGGAAGAATGAGTCTTCTGATTTTAGAGGTGCTCCTCATTTGTACCCTAAAGACACTCTTGTCTTTATTTTTGCATTACTGTGCTTATCACCAGGTACAACATTTGCATGCTGAATTGTCTGTCTCCTTCACTGGACTCTAAGCAATTTGAGAATAGGCCTTGTGTCTGTCTTGTTCATTATTGGGTCCTTGGAACAAATTAGTGCATGGCCTTCAGTGGGTACTTAATAAATATTTGTTTAATAGAATCAATACTTTTAATCCAACTTTTTAAAGTACCTTTAATATGACAGGCACTTTAAAGAGTGCCTTAAACACATTTTCTCACGTGATCTTCACAACAACCATATGAAGTTGTTATTTCAGTCTTTATATTGGAGAAAAGGAACCTAAACTTCAGATGGGGTAAGCAGCATACTTAGGTCTTTCACCTGAGCTGTGTAATTTGGGATTAGGACTATGTGACTTCAAAGCACATATCTTATTTCCTATACCACACTGCTTTGTGTATCAGAAGGTAGAGTGATATAAAAGTCACCACAGATACTGATGGGAACTTGCAAAACATGAGAGATGGGGAAGTTTGTAGATATATTGGCAAAGGAGTATTGGCAGAGAGAGTTAGCCCCTTCAAAATTTTCACAGAGAAATTCTTTTCATTGACTACAAATATTTCTTGCTCCTTAAATAAACCAGAAAAATCTTGTTTGTTCATTATTTCTGCAGTTTGAATTGATACGATATACTTCAATGTTGTAGTTATAAATAAGGATGGCATAACCATTACTATTTGATTTAATTGACATTATCAAGCAAGTACTTTCTGAGAATGATTTTGAGTGGGATTGAGGATTGGGGCAGAACAGTGAATGCAGGTAGTATCATATATCTCTTATTTTCACAAGCTTACAGTATAATCGGTAATAAGATTAATCAAATTACTAGAAAGAGAACATAATAAATGTATTCAAAGTTGTACAATCTATAGAGGATATAAAAGGAATAAGAAATTAGATTTGTTTGTGGATATCAGAAGTATATTACTGCCGAGGTAGCATTGCAAAGGTCCTTGGAAAATGGGCAGCATTTAACAGTTTTATGTGCTGTCTATTTGAAGATGTATAAAGATATGGTCTCTTTCCTTAAGAAAGCCAAGATTCTTTACAATTTGGCATGTTTTTGCGGTGGCTGGTACCAGTTGTTCCTTTCCATGTTTAGTGCTTCCTTCAGGAGCCCTTGTAGGGCAGGCCTGGTGATGCTAGGAAGAAACTGCATCAACTAATGAGCAAAATAACCAGCTAACATCATAGTGACAGGATCAAATTCACACACAACAATATTAACCTTAAATGTCAATGGGCTAAATGCTCCAATTAAAAGACACAGACTGGCAAATTGGATAAAGAGTCAAGATCCATCAGTGTGCTGTATTCAGGAGACCCATCTCACTTGCAGAGACACACATAGGCTCAAAATAAAGGGATGGAGGAAGATCTACCAAGCAAATGGAAAACAAAAAAAAGGCAGAGGTTGCAATCCTAGTCTCTGACAAAACAGACTTTAAACCAACAAAGATCAAAAGAGACAAAGAAGGCCATTACATAATGATAAAGGGATCAATTCAACAACAAGAGCTAACTATCCTAAATATATTTGCACCCAATACAGGAGCATCCAGATTCATAAAGCAAGTCCTTAGAGACCTACAAAGAGACTTAGACTCCACAAAATAATAATGGGAGACTTTAACACCCCGTGTGTCAGCATTAGACACATCAACAAGACAGAAGGTTAAAAAGGATATCTAGGAATTCAACTCAGCTCTGCACCAAGCTCTGCACCAAGGACCTAATAGACAGCTACAGAACTCTCCACCCCAAATCAATAGTATATACATTCTTCTCAGTGCCACATCACACTTATTCCAAAATTGACCACATAGTTGGAAGTAAAGCACTCCTCAGCAAATGTAAAAGAAGAGAAATTATAACAAACTGTCTCTCAGACCACAGTGCAATCAAACTAGAACTCAGGATTAAGAAACTCACTCAAAACCGCACAACTACATGGAAACTGAACAACTTGCTCTGGAATGACTACTGGGTACATAATAAAATGAAGGCAGAAATAAAGATGTTCTTTGAAAACAATGAGAACAAAGACACAACATACCAGAATCTCTGGGACACATTTAAAGCAGTGTGTAGAGGGAAATTTATAGCACCAAATGCCCACAAGAGAAAGCAGGAATGATAAAAAATTGACACCCTAACATCACAATTAAAAGAACTAGAGAAACAAGAGCAAACACATTCAAAAGCTAGCAGAAGGCAAGAAATAACTAAGATCAGAGCAGAAATGAAGGAGATAGAGACACAAAGAAACTCTTCAAAAAATCAGTGAATCCAGGAGCTCATTTTTTGAAAAGATCAACAAAATTGATAGACCGCTAGCAAGACTAATAAAGAAGAAAAGAGAGAAGAATCAAATAGACGCAATAAAAAATGATAAAGGGGTTATCACCACTGATCCCACAGAAATACAAACTGCCATCAGAGAATACTATAAACACCTCTATGCAAATAAACTACAAAATCTAGAAGAAATGGATAAATTCCTGGACACATACACCCTCCCAAGACTAAACCAGGAAGAAATTGAATCCCTGAATAGACCAATAACAGGCTCTGAAATTGAGGCAATAATTAATAGCCTACCAACCAAAAAAGTCCAGGACCAGATGGATTCACAGCCGAATTCTACAGGAGGTACAAAGAGGAGCTGGTACCATTCCTTCTCAAACTATTACAATCAATAGAAAAGAGGTAATCCTCCCTAACTCATTTTATGAGGCCAGCATCATCCTGATACCAAAGCATGGCAGAGACACAACAAAAAAAGAGAATTTTAGACCAATATCCCTGATGAACATCATTGCAAAAATCCACAATAAGATACTGGCAAACCGAATCCAGCAGCATATCAAAAAGCTTATCCATCATGATCAAGTGGGCTTCTTCCCTGGGATCCTGGGATGCAGGGCTGGTTCAACATACACAAATCAATAAACACAATCCATCATATAAACAGAACCAAAGACATAAACCACATGATTATCTCAATAGACGCAGAAAAGGCCTTTGGCAAAATTCAACAGCCCTTCATGCTAAAAACTCTCAATAAATTAGGTATTGATGGAATGTATCTCAAAATAATAAGAGTTTATTATGACAAACCCACAGCCAATATAATACTGAATGGGCAAAAACTGGAAGCATTCCCTTTGAAAACTGGCACAAGACAGGGATGCCATCTCTCACCACTCCTATTCAACATAGTGTTGGAAGTTCTGGCCAGGGCAATCAGGCAAGAGAAAGAAATAAAGGGTATTCAGTTAGGAAAAGAGGAAATCACATTGTCCCTGTTTGCAGATGACATGATTGTATATTTAGAAAACCCCATTGTCTCAGCCCAAAATCTCCTTAAGCTGATAAGCAAATTCAGCAGTCTCAGGATACAAAATCAATGTGCAAAAATCACAAGCATTCTTATACACCAATAACACACAAACAGAGAGCCAAATCATGAGTGAACTCCCATTCACAATGGCTTCAAAGAGAATAAAATACCTAGGAATCCAACTTACAAGGGATGTGAAGGACCTCTTCAAGGAGAACTACAAACTACTGCTCAATGAAATAAAAGAGGACACAAACAAATGGAAGAACATTCCATGCTCATGGATAGGAAGATTCAATATTGTGAAAATGGCCATACTGCCCAAGGTAATTTATAGATTCAATGCCATCCCCATCAAGCTACCAATGACTTCTTCACAGAATTGGAAAAAATTACTTTAAAGTTCATATGGAACCAAAAAAGAGCCCACATTGCCAAGACAATCTTAAGCCAAAAGAACAAAGCTAGAGGCATCACACTACCCAACTTCAAACTATACTACAAGGCTACAGTAACCAAAACAGCATGGTAACGGTACCAAAACAGAGATATAGACCAATGGAACAGAACAGAGCCCTCAGAAATAATACCACACATCTCCTACCATCTGATCTTTGACAAACCTGACAAAAACAAGAAATGGGGAAAGGATTCCCTATTTAATAAATGGTGCTGGGAAAACTGGCTAGCCATAAGTAGAAAGCTGAAACTGGATCCCTTCCTTACACCTTATACAAAAATTAATTCAAGATGGATTAAAGACTTAAATGTTAGACCTAAAACCATAACCCTAGAAAAAAACCTAGGCAATACCATTCAGGACATAGGCATGGGCAAGGACTTCATGTCTAAAACATGAAAAGCAATGGCAACAAAAGCCAAAATTGACAAATGGGATCTAATTAAACTAAAGAGCTTCTGCACAGCAAAAGAAACTACCATCAGAGTGAACAGGCAACCTACAGAATGGGAGAAAATTTTTGCCATCTACCTATCTGACAAAGGGCTAATATCCATCTGACAAAGGGCTAATATCCAACATCTACAAAGAACTCAAACAAATTTACAAGAAGAAAACAACCCCATCAAAAAGGGGGCAAAGGATATGAACAGACACTTCTCAAAACAAGACATTTATGCAACCAACAGACACATGAAAAAATGCTCATCATCACTGGCCATGAGAGAAATGCAAATCAAAACCACAATGAGATACCATCTCACACCAGTTAGAACGGCGATCATTAAAAAGTCAGGAAACAACAGGTGCTGGAGAGGATGTGGAGAAATAGGAACACTTTTACACTGTTGTTGGGATTGTAAACTAGTTCAACCATTGTGGAAGGCAGTGTGGCAATTCCTCAAGGATCTAGAACTAGAAATACCATTTGACTCAGCCAACCCATTACTTGGTATATACCCAAAGGATTATAAATCATGCTGCTATAAAGACACATGCACACGTATGTTTATTGCGGCACTATTCACAATAGCAAAGACTTGGAACCAACCCAAATGTCCAGCAATGATAGACTGGATTAAGACAATGTGGCACATATACACTATGGAATACTATGCAGCCATAAAAAAGGATGAATTCATGTCCTTTGTAGGGACATGGATGAAGCTGGAAACCATCGTTCTCAGTAAACTATCGCAAGGACAAAAAACCAAACACAGCATGTTGTCACTCATAGGTGGAAACTGAACAATGAGAACACTTGGACACAGGAAGGGGAACATCATACACCAGGGCCTGTCATGGAGTGGAGGGAGAGGGGAGGGATAGCGTTAGGAGATATTCCTAATATAAATGATGAGTTAATGGGTGCAGCACACCAACATGGCACATGTATACCTACGTAACAAACCTGCACATTGTGCACATGTACCCTCGAACTTTAAGTATAATAAAAAAAATTTTGCAAGATAATATTGAGAAGGTCACATAGGACTTTGCGTTTTGCTAGAGGAGTAGTAAAAACTTCAAATATAGGTGGCCAGCAGTCCATGAGCCTGGGGATTTAAAGTGTGTTTATCTGGTCCCATAAATGGGTTAAAAGTTTGTTCCAAGAAAGGATCCAAAAGGGCTTGCAAGGATTCATAGGAAACTGCCCCAAATAATTTAAGTTTCTGTTCAGTTGATGTAGTTTTCTTGGGGAGTCAGAATGCTTTGAGTATGGACTCCATGAGGTTTGGAAAGGGAAAGCATTCTCCCCTGAAAAGTGGAGTAGATTGTTGTAATACACACCAAAATTGGCAAAGAAAAATCAGCCAGCATTTGTGTTGGGTTATATTGAAATCATGTCAGAGACTGTGAATAATTAAAACCACTCTCAAGGGAAGTTTGTTTTTCCTTCTTGCAATGCACATATGACTCTGGCACAGAAAATGTTTTACTAGTTAATTTTGCTTCATTTCCCATTTAAGATTTGTCACAGTAAATAATCCTTTCTCAAGTGGCAATATCCTGAACATAAAAGACAGTGAATGCTGTCTGGATATTAGGCAATCAGTCCCATAGTGGGATCAATCAGTTTCTCCTTAGATGAAAACTATAAAACACAATAAAGTAACACACATAATTAAAGAGTAGGAATGTTTCTATGGTGAGGATGTCCAGAGATGGTTTTGCTAATAGAAAAAAAATGGGATGTTAAAGATGTTAATTAGCCGTGCTATGGCAACAGCTTTATCCACAGTGCTAAGCTTCTCTATTTGCCTTACATGTTTACAGCTTCATGATGTTGGCTATGAAAATACAAATAGTATCAATATATATTTTAATGAAAAATTATCAATAAGTCATTTTTAATAGCTTTCATGAGGAGTTATTTACATACCATAAAATCATTCATCCTTCTTGTAGAAATTGAGATTTTATGTGTAAATATATAGTATTTGTGCAACCACCGCCACAATCCAATTTTAGAACATATCCATCACTCCTGTAAGATCCCACATATCCACTTCCACTCTCCACCCTCCCTGAGAGCCAGGCAACCACTAGTCTATTTTCTGTCTCTATAGATTTGCCTTCAACATACAAATATAGGATGGAGGGCATAATTCAACCCATAATATATTATAATAACAACAATTATAATAAATACTCATTTGCCATAGAATATACTAAGCACTGATCTGTAAGCCTTACAAATAATTTAATTAATTCTCATAACAAATCTATAAAATAGATACTGTGATTATCCCTGCATTATAGATGTTTCAAAATTGGGGCATAAAAAGGTCATACAGCTAGCAAATAGTGGATTGTGGATTGGGCGTTAGAATCCAGGCCATCTGGCTTCAATGTGTACACTCTTATACCCCAAAGTATACTGTACCACTCCCTAGGCTTCACAATCTGCCCAAATAGCCTTTACATTATAATGAAATGGAAAAACTCTTTGATGATGGACAGTTGACAACCCTAGTCTCTTAGGATGGCATTATGAAGGAAATTATATTCCTCCTTAACATGGAAATAAAGATTGAGAATGGTCCTTGATTTCTGCTGAAGAGAGAATACATTATGTGAGATGAACTGACTCATAACATAACACTTTTATTAGGTTGAACCATATGAAATTGTGTTTTTATAAGGTAAAAATGGTAGCATATGGATAACTTTATGTGGTTCAAGCTAATATCTTTACTCCTGTTTAAGCCAACTTTTATTGGCTTCCACGACTTGTCTTTTCTTGGTAGATCAAGTAGGCAAATCACTTTCTTTCTCTAAAAATTTCTTTACCTTTCCACACTCTACCACTCCCACCTATCCCAAACATCTGGGCAGCCAGACCTGCAGCTTCCACTGCTTCAGGGAAGGATGATACACAGCGTGCAGGTGATACACAACTACAACAACAAAATAGGATTACTGGGCTTTCAAAGTTCAAATGCCTAAATCAGAATATAAAATATAAATTTTGGGGGCAAGTAGAAATTTTTCCACCTCTGTTCCCAGGTTAAATAAAGAGTTTTAGTATCAGAGAAGGGAAAAAAAGTCTGAGTAGCAGCAAGAAGCTTCTTTCCTGAGAAGATGAGAGCCAGTTACTAAGCAATGGAATGTATTAGTTATTACTAATCCTTATAATAATTTTCCTCAGGAAACTAATATTTGTTACTTAGTTATAACACAGGGTGGCTATACCTTCCTGTCCCAGGCCAATCCTGGAAGTGGAGGAGGGTGAGGGATGACAGAAATGTGTCCTATTTTTTGGTTATTGCCATGGATCACATCAAGATGCCACAGTCCTCCCGGAACTCCATGGCTTAAGTTACATTGTGGTTTATTTCATAGCAAGTCTAAACTTACCGACAGAACATATGTCCACTTTAAAAAAATAAAGATTTTTGCACACTTAAATTTGTTAAATTTCACACACTTATTTTTTTATTTCATATATATATATTTTAAATTATACTTTAAGTTTTAGGGTACATGTGCACAACGTGCAGGTTAGTTACATATGTATACATGTGCCATGTTGGTGTGCTGCACCCATTAACTCGTCATTTAACACTAGGTATATCTCCTAATGCTATCCCTCCCGCCTCCCCCCACCCCACAACAGGCCCCAGTGAAATTTCACACATTTATTACTTGACAGATTATGGTTTTAAATTTTTAAATCTTAAAATTCAGCTGTTCTCTTTTTTTTTGCATAAAATAAATGTTCCAGGTTTTTATAGACATAGTGCTAAGGACTGATGTTTCAATATTTATAAGAAAGATTGTATTTATAATATATTTTATTGTAAGCTATAAGGTACTTTATGAAGCACTTAGATAAATATTTACAATATTAGGAATTAAAGTATTTTCAGATCACTTTGACTTTATGTATTAAAAAGTCATGTACTATGTGAAACAGTAGATTATACAGATAAATAAGACACAGTCTGTATGCTTAATTGCATTTTGCATATTTTTTATGACTTTAATCTCTATTTGCAACAATTTAGGCAGGTTTACAGATTAAATAAGTTCTGCATATACATGCTGATAGACGTGAATATAGCGAACAAGACAAAGATAGAGAGTTTTACTTGGGCAAGCTTGAGTTAAAGAGTTGCTAGATAAACAAATCCCAAATAAGCAACATGAATCATGGTCAATTATGACATATGGAAGCCCTTGATGTACAGATAACCAATTTTGGTGTTAGAAAGAGAAGGACCTATATTCCCAACTGAGTCATCAAACTATGTGCATGATTATGAACAAGTTACTTTATATTATAAATGTTAGTTTTCTGAGGAAAATTATTATAAGGATTAGTAATAACTAATACATCTCAAGTGCTTAATAATTGATAAATTTTATTAATATTATTTTGTTGCTGATAATATTTTCCCATGATAATGCCAATTCACTATATATACCTTTAAAAGATTAGTGATCATGGCCATTATTTGAGAACAGTGTTTTCACTTATAATGGAAAGCAGTATTTTATCTGTAGTTACCCCTAGCTTATGTACACTGTTGCTGTCAATTCAAGGAGATTGTAAATGAATGGGAAAGAAGGTGACTATTTTTATTTCCAGCAATGTTTTGAACCAACCAAGTAACTGAAAATGCTTCCATTACAAAACAAAGAGATTTTCTGGCTAAAATAGTTTTAAAATTATTTTAAATTCATGGTTGCTCTTACTAGTAAGAAAGGAAAATTCTCAATTTCCTATACAAAGTGGGAATTGAAAATCATAATGGTAGGATGGAAAACTGGAATTGTGACTCAGCCTGGCAAATAATCTTTTTTGTTTCTTTCCTGGTTAAGGAAAAAGAAGGAAGCTAGCACCTGGGGTATGATGCATGTACATGTGGGAAGTTTGTATTGAGATCCACCAACCCTCTAATCTGTGTTTTTCAGAGGGATAACCATCAGAAATAGGTTGAACTAGAAAATATCTTTCCAGTGGCATAGGAGACAACAAGAAAGCTTAGCTCTCTTGGCCCTGGGCTGCAGATGAAAAAAATGAAGCCTTCTGTGATAATTTGTAATCATGGTAATGGGATTTAAATTTACCCTATCCATGAGCTCCTAAAACTCTCAAGTGAGGAATCAATGTAAAAATAGTTTGGGCTGGTAATATCCTTGGGGCACCTAGCAGAAAGCAGACAATATATCCCCGGAATGACATCTGTAAACACAGGCCACACAAGACTCCTATGGATAAATCTATGCTGAAGATGAGCTTAATATCCAAAATTTACAAACACACAAGCAAACAAACCCTCATGAAAACATACCAGATTAAAAAAGAAGCGAGATTAGATTCCTAAGACCTTCAGCTAATAGAATTGCTGAATAGAAACTATAAAACAAAAATATTTAAACTGAATAATCTATTTTAAAAAAAGATTCTCAATTTTGAAAACAACAAAACCTTATTTCAAAAGATTAAGCAGATGTGAAAACAAAACAGATGACTTTTGGAGGTAAGAAATATAATCACTAAAAAACAAACTAGTGGACAGATTAAGCAACAGATTAGCTAAAGGAAGAATTTGTGAACTAATAGATGGACCTAAGAACATTATTCAAAAAATAGCATGATGATATAATAAGATTAAGTATGTAAGGTAATTTGGTGAGAATTTTCATATCTAATAAAAGATTAATAAGATTCACTATGTTTAAATCCTGAGCAGAAATCTATCTATCTATCTATCTATCTATCTATCTATCTATCTATCTATCCATCCATCCGTTTATCTATCTATACATCTATCTTTATATCAGTACCTCCACATGTTGATACAGCATGATAAAATTGTAGAATTTTGCCAAAGTAAAAGAGAAAAAATTAATAGTAATTAGACTTAAATAAAAGATTGCTTTGAAATAATAATTGCAGATACCTCAGCAGCAAAAACAGAAACAAGAAAATAATGGAAAATTTTATTCAAATATTAAGAGAAAAAACTACACATTCTGTATATATTTAAAGTTCTATACGTACTATTTGATTCTCAATGAAAGATTCAAATGCATATACTAAAGAAAGAAAAAAATTAGAGCTACAGGGAGATTGAGATGCAAAAAAGAAATGGTGAACAGAGAAAATGGTACACGTGGAGTTTTACATACACAACTATTGTTTGTATGAACAATAATAATAATTTCAGTGATATGAAAAAAGTGGAACTAAAATGCTGCCAACAATAATGAGAAGGTTAAGAGGGGCTTCATGAGAGTTAAACTGTCCTGGCATCCTTGTAGTGGGAATAAAGTAGGTATTATAAAAATAAACTTTATACTTTGCTATGTGTATATTCATGCCATAGTTTTGTGGGTTTTAAGGGTAAGGAAATCCCGCCACTCAATAACACAAAAGCCCAATTAAAAAGAATTGTATAGACATATTTTCAAAGAAGACATAAAAACATGTAACAGATATATGAAAAGCTACTCAGTGTCACTAATCATCAGGGAAATGCAAGTCAAAACCACAATGAAATGTCATCTCACACCTGTTAAGAGGCTACTGTCAAAGAACCAAAGACTAGTATTGGTGAGGATGTAGAACAATCAGAACCCTTGTACACTCTTGATGGGAATGCCAAATGTTGTAGCAACTATGGAAAACAGTAAGGAGTTTCCTCAAAAAATTAAAAAAAACTACCATGAGATCTAGCAAATTTGGTATTTAACCAAAAAAATTGAAATCAGGATTTTAAAGAGATATTAGCATTTCCATGTTCATTTCAGCATTATTCACAATAGCCTATATATAAAAATAACCTAAAGAGCTGAGAAAATGGATAAAGCAAATGTGGTATATACATACAATGGAATGTTATTTAGCCTTAAAAAAGAAGGAAATCCTGCAATATGCAACAAAATGGATGAATCTTAAGGAAATTATGTTAAGGGGAGTAAGCCAGTCACAGGACAAACACTGCATGATTCCACTTCTATGAGAAATAATCTATCTAAAAGAGTCAAACTTCTAAAGGCAGAGAATGGTGTGATGGTTTTCAGAGAGTGAGAGAAGTAAGAAATGGGGAGTTGCTAATCAATGGATACAAAGTTTCGGTTATGCAAGATGAAGAAATTCAGAGATCTGCTATACAACATTGTGCCTATAGCTAACAGTACACTGTATTGTATTGTACTGTACACTTAAAAATCTGTTAAGAGGGTGGATTTCATGTTAAGTGTTTACACCACAATAAAATGTAAAAAATAGAATTTAATCTTCAAAAGATGTCTTAAAAATTCCTCATGCGTTTAGAAACTAAAACAAAATAAAACAAAAACACACTCTAAATAATGAATGGATCAAACAGGGAATCAAAATAGGAACTGGAAAATGTGAATAAAAGATAATAAACATGTCGTGTATCAGAATTTGTGGGAGAATGCTTAAGTGATTTTTTTTTTTTTTAAAGAGACAGGCTGCAGCATAGTGGTGTTATCATAGATCACTGTAACCTTGAACTCCTGGGCTCAAGCAATCCTCCCACCTCAGGCTCCAGAGTAGCTAGGGCATGTACCACATGACTTTTTTTTTTTTTTTTTTTTTTTGACGGAGTCTCGCTCTGTCGCCCAGGCTGGAGTGCAGTGGCCCGATCTCGGCTCACTGCAAGCTCCGCCTCCCGGGTTCACGCCATTCTCCTGCCTCAGCCTCCCAACTAGCTGGGACTACAGGCGCCTGCCACCACACCCTGCTAATTTTTTGTATTTTTAATAGAGACAGGGTTTCACCGTGTTAGCCAGGATGGTCTCAATCTCCTGACTTCGTGATCCACCTGCCTTGGCCTCCCAGTGCTGGGATTACAGGTGTGAGCCACCGGGCCCGGCCCGCCATGACTATTTTTTTTTTTTAAAGTTTTGTACAGATATCGTCTGGCTATGTTGCCCAGGCTGGTCTCGTCCTCCTGGCCTCAAGCAATCCCCCCAGCTTGGCCTCCTAAAGTGCTAGGATTACAGGCATTAATGACTGTGCCAGGCCTAAAATGATTTTTTTAAGGATAATTTATATGACATTAAATGCTTGTATTTTAAAAAGAAAGAAAACTGCAAAATAATGAGCTATGTGATCAACAAAGAAGATAGGAAAACAGTACCAAAAAAACATATAAATCAGAGGGAAAGGAATAGTACACAGGTAAAAGCACAAATTAATGAAATAAAAACAACTGTCATAATTTAATAGAAAAGGAATACAAAAAGGGTTAAGAAACAAATTTGTTTCTACGTAAAAATAAGGAAGTCTTTCTGACAAAAGTGATATAGTAGAAATAGAGAGATGACCTTTAACAATATTAGGGATAAGAAAAGGTCATGGCTACAGATCTACAGTTCTAATAGATATGAAACAGAATCACAGGAGAATACTATGACCAAAAAATAAATGGTCATATTTCTACAAAAATGTCACTTAGCTGACAAAAAATAATTAGAAAATCTGAATAGATCTTTAACTATTATGGGAATTAAATGAAAATTTGAATATTTTCATCTCCTAGTGCATCAGCACACCTCCTCCTATGCCCCTATCTTCATCCACACTCACAAAACCACAAATCCAGCTCCAGCTAATTTTAGAGGAACCTTAATCAACTATGCAAAGGACAGGAAATCCAAATATGACATAAACTTTCCAAAGAATAGAAAATGAGTGTATCTCTAAACACATTTTATGAAACTAGTAAAACCTCTATATCAAAACCGAAGAAAGACAACATGAGAAAGGAAAATTATAGGCTCATCTTTAATATGCAAAAGAATACATTAGAACTAAATTGGGCTTGTTTTAGAATGCAAAGAAGTTTTACTATTATAAAATATTTTAGTGTATTTCATCGCATTAATAGATGAAAGTCATGTGATTATCCCAATAAGTGCAGAAAAAGTATTTGATAAATATGCAATACTGATTTACAATAAAGAAGACTAGGAATAAAGGAGAAATCCCTGAATCCTGTGAAGAGTTTCTACCAAAAACTTACAGCAAATGTCATATTAAGAATAAAACCTTTGAAGTACTGTCCTATTACTGTCATTGTTTCTATTAAATGTTTGCTGGAGGCCACACCTAGTGCAAAGTGCAAACAAGTATAACTATTAGCAGTGAAGAGACAAAATTATTATTGTCATAGGGAAGGCCTATCAGCTTACTAAGAAAATCTAAAAAGAACATATAGGCAAATTACTTGACACTAAAGAAAGTTTAATTACGCTGTTGAAATACAAGATTAACACGTAAAAATAATCTGCTTTTCTTTATATAGCATAAGCAAAGATAAAATATAGCTTAAACCATAGCATTTAAAATTGTGATAAAATTATATGGAACCTAGGAATAAATTTAACAAGAGATGTGCAAGAGTTTCTAGAGAAAACTTAGTAGTTTCATGAAACAGAGAACCTAAATAAATAAGGAGCTATATTATGTTCATGGAGGAAAATATTATAAATATAACTCTGTCTTCATTAACCTATACATTCAATGTAATTCCAAGCAAAATTACAGTAGAGCAATTTCCTTTGACTTTGACAAGTTCTTGCTATAATTCATACCTCAAAAAAGAGTAAAAAATAATTAAGACATTTTCCAAAATGGTGGAGAGAACCGATATCCAGGTTTACTCTAAAATTGTAGAAATTAAAATGGTATAATATCTGTGCAAGTAAAGACAAATAGAAAAATGTACAGCACAGAACAGCCCTACTCATATGGAAAAATAAAATACTACAGAGGTGAAAATCAGAGCACAATATGGATTATTCAATAGATTGATGCTGGGATGACCGATTATCTATATAGAAAAAAAAGCCCATGACCTCAGATACCAGCCTTACATTATACCCAAAACAATGGGTTAAAGGCAAAAATATTAAAGATTTAATTAAAAAATTAGTACAGAACCTGTTATGACCCTGAGCTACAGAAAGATTTCTTAAAGAAAAACTAAGGTATAAAACTTAAAGAAAAAGATTGGTAAATTTTACTACATTGAAATTAACAACTTCTGTACAAACAAATTGCAGAAGAATATTTACTTATATAAACATTTATATAATGTTTTAAAACATGTAAACCCGTACATGTATTGCTCCTGGTTATATGTAATAAAAATATAAAGACATGCAGGTGGATTATAAACTCTAAATATAGATAGTGATTTCTGATAGAGATGGAGGCAGGGGATAGGTATATGGGGTCTTAATTGTCTGTGCAGTATTCCATTTTTACTAAATAAAATATGACAAAATGTTAAGATTACAAAAATAAGTGATAGATCCATGGGTGTTTTACATATTGACTTACAATTTTTTCTATGCTTGAAATATTTAATAATCCACTTTTTTTAAAAAAAGAAAAAAATGAAAACTGAAATATAAGAAGAGAAAGATGGCAAGACAAAGATGGTAAGAATTTACGTGTGTGTGTGTGTGTGTGTGTGTGTGTGTGTGTGTGTGTGTGTTGGGGGTGCCTAGTGCGGAGAGGGAGGGATAACTATAAAATGAGTTCAAACGTTCAAACTATCAGGACTAGAGCTCTTCAGATGTAGACAGTGGAAGTCTGTGAGAAGACTTAATAGAATTATGCAAAATTATAAATTTCTAGAATAAAGTGAAAAATATATGCTTATTAAATATTAAGGAAAGATGCTAGTGGTTCCTTTTTCATTTTAGTGAAGCAACTTGAGGAAGCATTCAAAATTAATATCATTTTGTTCAATAGCTAATGAAATTACCAAACATTTCAAGATTGGGACTATAAATGAATTAAATATTAAGTACATATTATGAATTTATGATCTAAAAGAAAATATATGTGTCAGAAAAGCTGATATATATTAAACCTTGAATTCAGAATGGAGCATTTCATATTCTGTTGTGTTAGGAACAGGTGCCTAGATGAGGAAGGCCATGTGACTGACAGCAATTTGTAGAGTCTCACATAAGAAATTGCTCAAAAGGCCTGTAAATTCTGACCTTCTCATGTTACTAATTATAGAATTGAGGCACAGAGAGATTGCACAATTTGCTCAAGGACACAACTAATTTGAGGCACAATCAGGACTATAAATCTATGATTTCCATCCCAGGAATTTCACGTTAAGTGATTCTGCCTTACATTTTTATAAATTTAGAGGGTTAACTGATTACAATGCCTACATTCACTTTGAACTTGCATAATGTTATTTTCTTCCTTTTTAACTATGATTGATAGCTAATATATTATCTGACGATGTAAGTACAATTTTTAAAAAGTGGTCTTTCTTAATTACAGTTAACTTTTTTCAGAGTTTCTTTGTGACAGGAAAGAGAAATTTGATATATTTATTTTACTTTAAAAATGTGCCAAAATCCACAAAAGGAAACATTATCACTGTATTTATTTTAAAAAAATTAAAAATCATTTATATTGGTCAAATTGGGGATTTCAAAATATGCCCATTAGCCACTAGGTGTCATCATAGGCCATTGTAATTAAAAGCCAGTATGTAATTTCCTTGAAAAGTTAATAGCAAAATTTTTGCCGAAATATTGACCCTTTTATAGATCTAGATACATAACTCTATATTAATATATTTAATAAATATACTAGGGATAAAAAATATATTTAAATAAATATAAATCAAATGTTTTTATATTTGTATTGAATATAGTAATATTCTATATTTAAGCACTAGGTGGAAAGATTAATCAGAAATAGATTTCACATAGTTATTATCATAGCCCATGAATAAGAACTTATGATTATAGTACTGACGATTTTAGTGACGTAAACACTATGTTTAATCAATGTTAACTAAAATGACAACATTTGTCTTACCTTGGGATTCCACTTGCATGTTGCTTTGTCACGAAAGAGAAGGTTGCGGGTAGACACAAGATCAGCCGCTATTGGTTCTGTTTCAGGGTGGTGGAGGAACATCAGAGGCAATAGTTCTGCAGGCTTGAAGGACATTATTGGGCCTGGCTGACTGGAAGCAAATCAGGCATCTATTTACCCCTGTATGCCACTTTGTGATACTATGCTTCCAACTTATACAAAGGTTTGTTTTCTTCAAGTAAGATGTGAACTTGCTGGTTCTTGGCTGAACATGAAGGTGTTAGTTTTTAGAATGGATCTGTCATATTCCCCATGGACTTTGAGTATTTAGTCACTTGTTTCAGAAAAGGAAACAAGGACAGAAAAAGAGGTTTTGGGTTCTCTTCATCTCTACCATGGCATTTTTTGGTTCCTGTTTGTCATTCAATTTTATTTCTCAGTACCGAAACTTCTTGAAGAATCCCCTACCTTATAATATGGAGCCCATCTCCCATTACATAAATAAAAAATTACAAATGTTTCAGCCTTTCTTTTAGCTATGACATGGGCACATGCCATAGTACCTGCCAATCAGATGTGTCTGTGGCAGGATGTGAATCGAAAGTTAGTTACATGAAAAAGAGGAACTGCAGAATGCTGCCGGCGAGAGTGGTGAGGAGGTGACAGCTACAACCCACGTCAGTGCTGTGGGATCCAGTAGCAGCAGATGGTGCTTGGTGTCTGGGGTTTTGGCTCTGAAAGCAGCAGTGTGTGTGCCCAGCGGTGGTGGTGATGCCAATTTGTGGGACAGTTTCGCAGCAGGATTTGGGAGGAGGTTTCCAACTTCTGGGCCTCCTAGAGATGATGAGAACTATCCAATAGTCTTCTAATACATAAATTCCTTTCATGCTTAATTACATTTTTGTCTTGCATTATTTTTGCTGTAATAGTAAAGAATTCCTAACTTATATACTTCCCATTTCCAAAGCAGAAAAACACGATGCCTACATTGTGATAAAATAAGGCCTATCATTCTTTCTTACTTTCCAAATTATCCATAAATTTCCCTCTTTTCTGCCAATGATGAGCTGGATAAAATGGTGGTGGCAGTTGTGGTGGAGGCGGAGGTGGTGGTGGTGGTGGTGTGTGCAATGTATGGTTTATGAGAGTGTGTAAATTTGACAACAGGGAAGATTTCTGCCATTAGGGAGATGTCAAAGACCCAGGTGCTGCCCTTGATATTTATTTTGGGTTTGTTTAAGTGTCATGTCTTTTCTTCATCCCTTAGAGCAGCATACACAAGTTATAGCACCAGTAGCCAGGGAATGTCACAAGTTTTATGTAGAACAGTGGATGAACATAAATAAGGGCTCTGAGTACTTGCCCATCAGCAGTAATAGGTTGCAAATGCCAGCAGATCTGTTGGAGACCTACTCTGTACATTAAAAGCACCTGAACCTCAGACCTTGAATTCAAATATCTCATTATATGTATATTTTTACTATGATGTAGATACCCATTGTCTTATTGTTGGAAATGGGCTGGTTTTTTTTTTTTTTTAGAGCATTTTGGTTAGGAGCATTGGGACCTGATAGAAATGAGTTAAATTCCAGTGTTGGCATTTAGTTGCTGGGTGACTTCCAGCATGAGTTACTTAAACTTATGTAAAAATGAATTTTTAATTACACAAATAAAACACAAAACTATTTTCTTTATGAAATGTAAACAATTGCAGATAAGTCTAAATAAAGCTTGTGACACTTCTTTAGCACCCCAGTGCCTGACGTTCCCCAGAGGCAAACACTATCTCCCTTTTCCTCATCTGTAAAATAACTATAATGATACCTATAATACCTACTTGACAGGCTTGTGGTACGGCTCCCTGACTCAGCAAACCAAATTAGAATGCCTTCCCTGATCTTCCAGACGAGCTCAGATAGCCTTGCTTTATGATCCCATGACAGACACTCTGTACTTCTTGATAGCAAATTTACAACGGTTATTTATGTTTTTAATTACAGTAGAGTATTATTTACCTAGCACATTCAGGATTTGGTGTATACATGATTGATGATATATCCAGAGTTTAGATAACCTTAATCCCAAAGCACAGAAGAATAGGGAATAAAAAGGATGTTTTGGCCTGCAATATATGTATTCCATGCCAAATGTATGTTTGTGTGAGTGTGTGTGTGTGTGTGTGTGTGTGTGTGTATACATATATATATTTGCATTATTGTTGCCCTCAACAGTTGAGGAAATATGAATATCAATTCAATAACCTATGTATCTAAAAAATTAAAATTTCTCATCTCCTCTTACTTAATTTCAAAACCTGGTTGTTCTGGGGTTTCCATATAACTGTGGTATTAAGGCAGGAAGAGATCACCTGGTTGCCATCCTCTGTTTATGCTGGAGTCCCTCCACACCACCTTCTTGTTCTGTTGGTTGAGCTACTTTGATGGCCTTGTCATCTCTGATCCTGTAGAGTCTTCAGTTGCTGGCCCAGTTGGGTCATTGCTGAATGCTCCTTGTCTCTGACGAAAACCCCTTTGAGTCCAGTCCTCTAGCAATTTCCATGCTCTTCCATGGCTCGAGCAGTGGAGCCTTCTACAGCTTCCCAAGTCCAGCTGTCTAGAGACCCCATGTAGTTCTTCTTTCTCTGCTATGCCTGCATTGTGATGGGGTGGAGAATCTCTGCCAAATATGCTGCTTTTTCAGCTCTACCCAGAACTTTCTTATTTATTTATTTATTTTGAGGCAGGATCTCTCTTTGTCACCCAGGCTGGAGTGCAGTGGCACGATCTTGTCTCATTACAGCCTTGACCTCCTGGGCTCAAGCAATCCTCCCCCTTCAGCCTCCCAGAGAGCTGGAACTACAGGTGTGCGCCACCATACCTGGATAATTTTTTGTGTTTTTTGTAGAGACAGAGTTTTGCCATGTTGCCAAGTACCCAGCACTTTCTGTCAGCACCTGGATTCTTAGAACTACCTGGCTGTTTTGTAATATTCCTCCCCTGGGATAAATCCCATTTGGCAGGTTGGGCAATTTGTACTTGTTTTCCATTCTCCTTGAAATGCTCTTCTCATAAAAACACAAAGCTCACCTCTCCAGTTCCTTCAGGTTCCAGCATTGTCTCATCACAGGGACTTTCCCTGAACACACTTATGTAAACCTTCTCCATGTCCATATTCTCTATGCCTTTAACCCCTATTATTTTTATTTTAGTATTTATTGCTGATTGATTTCTATTTCTTTTTTCCTCACTTTCTCTCTATTTTTATTATTATCACTATTATTATCTGTTTCCCCAAGATAATACAAATAATTAAGTTGCAGAAGTTGATAGGATTTGAATGTAGCTCTGTTTGTCTTCAAGTAGATGCTCTATCTGGGACAATACACTGCATGTGTTAAACCCTTTGAATACTCTAAAACACTGTCAAAAACTCATAAACCCACAATAGTAATGACTTTTTAACCAATACAACTGACCAAATATTCATGAGTCTTTGTCACATTTTCTTCATTAATACAGTAAGTAACTAAAGTGGCAAAGTACATGCATCCATTAGAGACACAGTCTAGGTAGGAATTCCAGTATGAAAAATACTGGCCTCCCTGCTTGAGACTGAGTCTAGGGTAGGCAGAATGCCCACCACCCAGATAGACAAGCAATACAGAGATCTCCACTAAGAGGTTTCTGGTCCATGCCGTTTTGCAGCTCCTTCCTTCCTTCCTTCCTTCCCTCCTTCCTTCCTTCCCTCCTTCCTTCCTTCCCTCCTTCCCTCCTTCCTTCCCTCCTTCCCTCCTTCCTTCCTTCCCTCCTTCCCTCCTTCCTTCCTTCCCCCTTCCTTCCTTCCTTCCCTTCTTCCTTCCTCCCTCCTTCTTTTTTCTTTCTTTCTTTCTTTCTCTCTCTCTCTTTCTTTCTCTCTTTCCTTCCTACTTTCCTTTCTTCCTTCCTTCATTCCTCCCTCCCTCCCTCCCTCTTCTTTCTTTCTCTCTATTTCCTTCCTTCCTTCCCTCCCTCTTTCTTTCTTTCTTTCTTTCTTTCTTTCTTTCTTTCTTTCTTTCTGTCTGTCTGTCTGTCTGTCTGTCTGTCTTTCTTTCTTTCTGTCTTTCTTTCTTTCTCTCTTTCCCCCTCCCTCCTCCTCCCTCCCTCTCTCCTCTCTCTTTCTCTCATTCTCTTTCTCCCCCTCCCTCCCTTCCTCCTTCCATCTGTCTCTCTTTCTTTCTGTATTTCATGTAAGACAGGATTTTCTATATTGCTCAGGCTAGTCTCAAACTTCTGGCCTCAAGTAGTCCTTCTGCCTCAGCATCCTGAGTAGCTGGGATTATAGGCATGCACTGCCATGCCCAGCTATGAATTCCAATAGTAGTATTCAATACTATTGTTTAGTTTTTAGTGTTTTTATTTAAAAATTCAATTAAAGTTGAAAATAATAGCAATGAATTTTCATTCCATAAACTTTCTTTGGAAACACTTTTATTAGATTAATGTTAGGCCAAGAACAGCTGGCTACCCAATTTTTATAACAAAACTTTATAGACTTAAGGAAACAGTGGTCTATGCCTGTCTTGATGTTGTAAGGTGACCTGAGTGTTTTCAAGATTACCAAAGTATTATAGAAATGCATGTTAAAATGATAAAGAGAAAAACAACAACACACACACACAAAAAAAAAACACATTGCAATCAAGCACGTCACACACGTCTAGATAAAAATGATGACTCTTTGTGTGGAGTTAGATGTCATTAAAAGCATAGACCATGATTTAAAATAGTTGCTGTGGTCAGACATGTGATACCACAAAGCGGAAGAAGTCTAATCTTGAGCCACATGTATTTTTTAAAAAATATGCCAGTGCCCATTTATTTATAGAAACAAGCTTGGCCATTCATTAGTAACCAAGGCAGGAAGAAGTCATCTGATATTCATGCACAAATTTAGCTATTTCCATTTGAATGAATATAATCTTGAAAGATTTAGTTTTTAAAGGTTCTATTTATTCATAATAATTAAATTTTATGTAAAACATTACTTGTAAAGCATTTTGATATAAGTTTTTTAACACAATTTTTATAATATGATCTTGAGGAAGACAGGGCATTTATTATAGTTATCTGTATAAGTAAATACAGATAAACTAACTAACTAAATAAATAAACTAAATAAATAAAGTAAATAAACTAAAGAAGTTAAATGACTTGTCCTAGGTCACCTATTTTTTTCTTGGTGGAGCCCAGATTCAATTTAGTCCTCTACTCACAAAGACTATAGACTTGGAATAAAGTTAGAAACCATCAAAAAGCATTATCCAGGTCCATTTCTTTGCATACAATCTATACATTATTGAAATGAAATTTATCTCAAGAATCTATTGTCAGCATGATTTGGTATTTCCTGGAATTTTACAATTATAAAACTAGATAGATTCTAGAGATCTAGTCTGGCTATCTCCTTTTATTTTGTATTGTAAACATAGTTCCTTTCTGTTAATCCATCAAAAATTTTTTAATAGTTTATATTTTTAATAAAAAATACTAAATATAGTTCGTTGCAGGTTTGGGCATACGATGCTAAATACTTTTATACTTTTAAAAATGTACAAGAAATTGACAACATCATATATTAGAACAAGCATTGTAACCTCTTGAGAGAGAATATAGCCTAAAGCAGTTCATCCAAAACCTCCCTACATTATATGATTGACATTTGACTCTTTCCAATATGTCTTTAGGTCTTCTTAGCATAGATTCCCTAGAAATACCTCAATAGCAGAATAAAATTTATGTTGGAAGATGATTGAAAGCTTGTGACTAAATTGTTCTACATGGTTGGCATCATGTAAGTGCTCTATCTATCTGTGTATCTATCTCTATCTATTTGGGGTTAAATTTATAGTCCAATACTTTGTAATTTATTTTATAAAAGTCTCACATAACTTTCCTATTTTGAAGTCTCCTGAGTATTAAAATATAATTAATATTTGAATCAAATATATGTTTTGTAACTACCTAGTTGTTAGCAACAATTGCATTATATACCTGAAGTTGAGGGAGTAGAGAAGGATAAAACATTATATAGTGCAGGTTTGAGCTATTATATTGTTCAGAGATGATGCACTAGTTAAAAACTAGAATATTCTTGAAGTGGGACTTGAACTGGGATTTGAAGGATCGATTTGGCTTTGGAGAAAAGAGGTATAGCATTCTAAAAATGGAAGACAGCAAACAAAACAAACAAACAAGCAAAATACATGAGAGTAGAATAAACACCTCTGTGGAGTTTACAATGAGGAGGCTGGGTTTGTCTGTTTACAAGATGAGCCAGACTGCAGAACTTCAGGAGCTACAATCAATGGGCTCTGGTCCGGGTCATCTCTAGGACATGGAATCAAGGTCATCTGGAAAGTGAACACATTGGGCAGCATGTGAAACCAGGATGTTTGACTGTTGGAAGAAAGGAAAGTGGGTAATTCTAATCAAGGGGCCAAAACAAGTACAAGCCAGTTGGTAAAAGGCCACCTATCAGTGGAGCTTGAAGCAACAGTCAATAAACAGACAGTCAGGAGGGCAACAAATTAGTGGAGCTCAGTTAGTGAAGGCCTAGTATCAGTGCCTGGGTACTCAGTAAATTAAGTCCGTATGAGATACTAGTAAGAAGAAAAAAAATGAAAGTTACTCAGTTACAAGGCTGGAATATAAGCAAGCAGCAAGACCAGAGCAACATACTGCCAGTGAAATTATCAACAGAAGAATGTTCATATTCCCCTGTTTCAAGTACAGTGTTGTTCAGAGCCTAGAGACTGGGCTGAACATGTGAATGGGCATACTGAGGCTTCAAAGATAGGGGACATATAGGGATTAGGAGTCAAACGTGCCACTCCTCATGATTTAACTTGAGAGTATATGTTAGATTATGGTGGGGAGTTGAACATGAAAACCTTAGAAAGTGGAAGAAAGTGTTCAGGCTTGATGTGGTTGCTATTCAGTAGGTCCTTGAGCAGAAGAGCAACCACATTAGGTCAGTTCTTAATGCAAATGGTTCTGGCTTATAACATGCAAGATAGCTTGAAAAAGAGAGAAACCAGATATACATGAAGTAGATGAGAGTATTTTGTAGCAAATATTAGTGTGAAATTATGGAGCACTTAACTTCATTTGCCAGGCAGTTTCAGAGAAGATATAAGGATGAGACTTTCAATGCCGTGAGTTGAAAAATGAATACGAAGTGAGTAAATGAAATCAGCAAGGGTAGACTATTGTTTTCAAGAGAGTGTCTGCGTGCAAGGAGAAATAAATAGGAGAGTAGTTAGAAACTCAGGGTATCAATTTTTTTTAAGAGGGAAGATATTGTTTTTATACAAACCCTTTGAAGGAAAACATTTTTTTTGCATTTTGGACTAAGGAGAATGGTACTTCTGAGCAATTCTATGTTTTATGTTAGAAACACTTTTGATTTTGAAATTAATCAGGTTTTTCCATTTTGCCTTGACTGTCTGAAAATGTAAAGTTAACTTTGCTTCGGCTGAAGGAAATTTATAGATCTTCATGCGTTGGATTTTAAACCTCATTCTTGAGTCCATTTTAGGCTTTTGTCTTATTTTTCTCCCATTTGCCAGTTGCTCCTATTTGTATTCCTTTCTTCCTTCCTTCCTTCCATTTCTTTTTTTTGTAACCTTATAATTCACTTACATTACCTTCTGGAATGAGATGGGGGTATAAATAGATTTGTTGTACCCCTATAACAAATGCATGGTAAGATCTTAATTAGTGTTTATTAAATAAATTAAGCCAAGAATATAAAGAAGAATCTTACAACACTTTGTAGAATGACACGACAGGATTTAATAATAGACTGGATAAAGGCAATGAGAACAGGAGTTAGTGAAAGTTTTTGGCTTTAATCGGGAATTCTTATTGGGCTATCTAGAACAAAAGTGGGTATTAAAAAGGTAATGCAGATTTAATGGAAAAATAGCTTAGATTTGAAAAAACTCTTTACTTGGCTATCATCTGTAAAAAAGCTTTAACTTTTCAAAACTATCAGAAGTTGCCACTTGTGTTGATTTGTGTCAGATGATTCATGTCTGTGTCATTACCTTGAGGCTGCTATACATAGAACTGTGCTCACATTCATGCTGGACATAGGGACTATTTTCTCTAAAATTTCAGGTAAATTTTAAAAACTCTGGTTCTGTATTATCAGCATGATCACTTCCTTCAATTCTAGTCCTTTCCAGGGTGTGTATGACACTAACATTGTGGTTAATGTGTGGGAGGGTAGGGGCATCTTGAGAGTGAAATGAGAGTATCAAGAATAAACACTGTTCTTATTAATATGAAATATAAACTGAAAAAGTTAGCAAGAAGAAGTTCAAATCTTATATTTAGTTTCAAACAATGAGGAGAGCATCCTTCAAATAAACTCACGTGAAAGTGAATAGGACCTTAATGCAATATAGTCCAAACAATATTATGTGATTAAATAGGAAAGAGATACAAGCATAAACAGCATTTGTTGGCAGTGAGATGGAATTACAGGAGATAACAGTTTCACTGTATTCTGCTGGAGTCCTCTGTTCTCAATCTTTGTAACACCTTGAAGGGGATTTTGACTAAGTCATATTCTGGAGACAATGACTTCATCAGAGCAGGCTCTGGGACCAGTCAGGTCACAAGTGGCCACAAAATATGGGGTTTTTGATTCTGGAAAAGAGATCTGTTAAATATCATATAACATAAAAAGGGTGTCATGTGAAAAAATGCTTTGATTTATTCTGCAAATCTCTAGGAAATTTACTTAAACTGTTATGCACTGAATCAAGAAATATTTATTAAGCATTGATTGCTAGGCAGTATGTTAGGTGCTGGAGAAAGAGGGAGGAACAAGACAGGTGCATTCTCTGAGTTGAAGGGTGAGATAATAATACTTAAAAAGACAGACAAATGCTGAGAAGGAAGTTATGTGGGATACTGTGGGTGCATACAGCAACGCAACCAAGTGGTAGAAGTTATAGAGGGTCAGATTTCTAAGTAATTATTATTTTACATAAATATATACCCAGTACGTAAATGAAATGAGCTTCCCAACTGCTAGTCCCCATGTCCCATTAAGGAGAGTCTTGTTACTAGATATTTTCTAGTAGCTGCCAGATGGCTTTTTGTGTAGAATTTCATAGAGATTATATTTTCTTCAGGTGAAAGATTGAAGGAGAGACTCTCTTTAGGTATTTTCCAACTCCAAAATTTGTCTACAACCATAAAATGTTCAGTTATGAATTTTTAATCTCTTGGAGTAATTTAAAGTTTCTTAACACATGAAATAATTAAGCAATCACTAGCCTTAGTTACCTCCTTTTATTCAGTGACTAATCTTATTTATAAAAAGTTTTTTTTTTCCTGTGGGTGGAAGTAAAAATAAGAGTGTTTAAGAAGGAAACATGGGTGATTAACACCCTTAAGAAGCTTATTACCATCTTTGGATTATAAATAAACTTGAGGGAAAAAATGCATCATTATGTCTCTTTTTTTTCCCAGAAGTTTACTAAGGGTGGGATCCCCTTCTTACCTCTTGAATAACCACAGAAAAAAAGGAAAGAGTCATACTGTTTATCGTTATGTCATTTAGTGACAAAATTAATGATTGTCATTTTTGGGTGCTGATTTGTGATCTTACCTCTCAAAGCTGCTCTGATGGTTAGTTATCTTTTCATCTGGATCATCCTGTGATGCTTTCAAAATGCTGTCTGGTCCATTATACACCACTGGAAAAAATCATGAAAATTTCTTTTAGATTATTTTAAACAAAAATTATATTTTAATAATCAAAATATAGAAAAGAGGTAAAAACCTTAAAAGCACCAGACTGCACCCCCAGAGAAATGAACTCTAGTTTCCTTTTGTTTTGGGTAAGCTATGTGGGTTTGAGCAACTTTTATTTTCCAAGGTGTATAATCACAGGGCTTGGAAGGATCACGTCTAAAAGTTTCTCCACATTCTACCACTTAGAGGTGGGTGATGGGCTCTGGACAGGAGGGCTTTCCTTTAATACTGAGTGACAGCAATGATCTTGAGTGGTTTGTATCAATCTCAATAAATTGTCTATGAACATTCATTTAAAAATGTAATAAAACCTTATTTTCAAATTCTGCTAGTTATTAGTAACAATATCAGATATTTGCATTGCATTTTATATCTTTCCCATCCATGTCCCAAACATTCTTATTTGGTAGACATAACAGAATAATCCATAAATAAAAGTAAATGAAACCAGTTCCATCATATAAAAAGACACAAAAGTTCATCCAGAGTCACTGTGAAGCCCAAGGTTATATGGCTAATGTGAGGTGGAAGCGAATTTCTGATTTCAATTTCTGTACCCCTTTTCAAATGAACAGCTCTATATAAGTGTTATTTATTGTTGCATTGATGTTACCTATGTATAAGAGAGATGCTCTGCCTGACTCTCATCATTATGCTCTGCAGTAGCCTTCAGTAAGAAAAGATCACTTCATCACACATCTGCCTATTTTCTGTTGGAACTTAGCATACGAAATTTGCAGAGAACTGCTAAAGGCAGTTTGAAGGTACTTGGGCAATGCCATTTCCTTACAGATTTGAACATTTTTATTCCGTTCAGGTCCCACAGGACATTGGGCCCTCCTGTTGGGTGGTTCTGTTTACACCCCAGAGAGGCTGCACTCCTGATTCATCCATCTGCAGGAGCACAAGGCCCAGGGGTGATCCATACCCGCTACTCAGCTGTATCACCACAAAACTCTGGGCTGGTTTCTTCTTTTGGTTTATGTGACTATAATTTCCAATCAACCAGCTAGAGAACCAAGTCTTGCATTCAGCATAATTTTTCATGGATTAGGCAGGGAAGCCTGGACATCAGAATATAAGATATAAGGGAAGAATTTAGCAATCTGTGGTGTCAAGAAACTCTCAATATCTCCGTGGCCTCTGGAGTCAGACAGAATAGCTTTAAATCTTGCTTTCCTACTTGGTAGCAGTGTGAACCTGAACAAATTACCTAACCTCGATAAGCCTTAATTAACCCATATGGACAATATTGAAAATAAAAGCATGCATTTTAAAGGGTTGTGGGTGAGGATTAAATGAGAAAGCATAGGCAGAATCTGGCACATGGTAAACCACAAACGGACTGGCCACTCGCTTACAATCCCCTGTGCCTCTCATGTAGTGAGCAGCATCCTGGAGAGAGAAACTGTTTCTGAAAGTCAGAGTACACAGATGGCTGTGAATAGTATGAGTTATCATAGAGGAAAAAGGATTGTCTTTGTAATTTTTACAGAGACAACTTAAGAATTAGCTATTGTTTTGGGAATTGCATTTACCCCTTTGAAAATAATAATCCTAAAGTATGGAGACAAATTATAGGTAGTAGATTATGGTCTATCTCTAAAACTGATGGGTTGTCTTCACATTACCATTAACTACTTAGGGCCCTTGAAGAGGTTATTTTGCTTTTCTAAATTTTATAAAATGAGACCTAAATGATCTTCAGTATTTCCTCCTGGTCTAACAGTCTATGGTTCTTATGAGTCTATATACATCTATTAATGGTACCTATATTTATTTATTTTTCCTGGAAATTCCTCTTTATAGTGTTTCCATAACATACTGGAGATTTTCTCTTGGAAAAACTAATGGTTTGAGCACGTTCTGAAAGTCACAAGAAGGGAAGTGCCTTTGAACCAGTAACTTTGCTAATGGAATTGTCATCCCAGAGGTTGTGTAGCTTTAAAATGTGAAGTACTGTATCAAATCTAATTACCATTTATTGTTAACTTTCCAAATGCTAGGCATTGAGCTGCTAGGTTTACTCACAGTACTTTATTTGTCACACTATCACACACACATACACACGCAGGCTGGCAGTCAGTTATTGTTCTCATTTTATATTTGGGAACACTGAGGTTCAGATATGTGAAGCAACTAGTCCAAAGTCACATAGCTGGTGGTGATGCTAGGCTTTAGGCTTGGGTCTGTCTGACAACTCTGGCCATGTCCTTATCTCCATATTGTCTCTACAAAATGGTTTAAGTAGATAATAGTTAAGAAAGCAAACTAAATGTTCTGGGAAATAAACTGCTAATTTCTGAGTTTGACATAAATCAGGATAATCTTTTTTTCCTCTTTTTTCACTTTTCTATAAATGTGTTATTTATTGTTGCAGTTATATTACCTATACGTAAAAGAGATGCTCTGCCTGATTCTCATCACTGGACTCTGCAGTAGCCTTGATTAAGAAAAGATCACTTCATCACCCTTTACCCATTTTCTGTTTGAACTTAGCATATCAGATTTGCAGAGAACTGCTAAAGGCAGCAGCCTTTTAATGATACTTGGGCAATACCATCCCTAGGCACCTGTGTCAGTCACCAGGTCAGGTAAGCCACAGCACAATTCCATGAGGGGAGGACTTAATGTGTGTACCACTGTGCTCCCAAAACTTAGCACAGTGCTGGAACATAGGAGGCATTTAGTCAATAGGTGTTGAGTAACTAATACTCAGGATACAAATTTATTCATTTTTTAAATCCAGCAACCATTTATTGTGTACTTACTGTGAGTAAGGCATTCTAAAATGAAGACGTGTTCTTTGCCTTCTAGGAGATTATAATTTAGGGGGGGAAGGAAGACATGTATTTTAATACTAAATGAAGTAGCATATTTTTCTCCAAGATGATTATTGTTCCATACAATCCTAAGATGTAGGCTGGGTAGTAATCAAATTATCTTTAGCATCTTTTCATATTGCTTGACTTCGTGTTTTAATTGGCTTTTATTTTTCTCAGCTCAAGAATATATTTTTATGTGTCTGTTATCTAAAAAACTTAACGATTACATTATTTTGCTAGGATAACCATCTCTCTCACGTCTGTTCTTGTTAGTATTATGCAAGCCTATTGTCAATAGCATTTGTCCACTGTATCAGTCAGAGCTCTCCAGACAAGCAGAACTAGTAGGACACAAACATTATATAAAATATATGATTATATATGTATGATTACATATATATTTATTTATGAAATAAATATATTCAAGGAATTAGCTCCTGTGATTGTGGGGGTTTGCAAGTCCGAATCTGTAGGGCAAGCAAGCACACTGTAAACTCTCAGGCAGAAGCTGATGCTGCAGTCTTCAGCCTGAATTTCTTCTTCCTGAGGGTAACCTCAATTTTGCTGTTAAGGACTTTCAACTGATTGGATGAGTAAGCCTCACCCACATTATTGAGGATGATCTCCTTTATTTAAACTGATTGTAGATGTTAGCCACATCTACAAAGTACCTTTTTAAAACAATGCCTAGATTCCTGTTTGGCTGGGTAACTCTGTGCCATAGTCTAGCTAAGCTTACACCTAAAACTAGCCACCATGATCACCACTTATAATATGAAGAAGGTTTCTAAAATAATAAAATTGACAGTTAAAATTTTTTTTTGGCAGACAATAAAGGACTTCTTTTATGAATTGTTATGTTTAACTTCCAGATTAAATTTTGAGGGTCTGAAATATCCAACAGGAATCATAGAGTTCTGAGAGATTTAAAGTGATGCTTTGATTTCCATGAAGTCAAAAATTGTGTTCTATTATGAAAACCACTTCTAGGAAATCTATACTTCATAAGACACAATTGAGAAAGCCACTTTTGTTGAGATTTAATTCCCACTTCTTTCTGCCACTTCACAATCACTCACTGAAGAAAGAGAACAAATGTTCTTGTCGCAAATGGGATTGAAGTCTAGCCTCTGTCATTCATCACTTGAAACAGTTTCTTGTAAACAACCAGAAACATCTTCAACTTTTCTTAGATACATTTTCTAAGTGTCTTTAAAAGTAAGGAAAACACAGATTGGATATCTAAAGTCAAGGAGAGTTCTGAGTTCAGTTTAGTAAAATTTCTATGCATCGATCTATATGTTTCTCTGGAACCATCTTTTAATAATTGTATTTCAGTTCATATTAGAGAATTTGTTCTTAGGAACTATGTGTAATTCATTTCTCTTGAGGCTTTCTTCTCGCTTACATCCTAGGTAAAAATAACCCTGAAACTTCAATTCATAGCCTGTGTAAATAAAAAACCATACCTAGTGTTCTGTGAATTCTGGGAGGAGGGAGAGCTGGAGAGCTTATATTTCATGGTTTCCACTGCTTCTTAAGTTTCTTTTTCCTGTTTCGTTAGAAGCTTTGCTTAATCGTTAAAACCTTGACATAGACAAGCTTAGTCTCCTCCTCACTTAATTAGCAACAATTAAAAAATGTGTCTCCATCCGCACAAAACATTTCTTAGATAAATAAATAGATGTTATGAAGGGAAATATACCCAACTATGTGTATGTGTGTTGGAAATTGGATGAAATGGAGAGCTTTACAGTATAACAAGACAAATAACCTCAAACGAAGCAATAGACATGCACATGCCCCATCGCTGCACCACCTCCTCCCTCCTCCTCCCTACCCCTCCTCCTCCCTACCTCCTCCTCCTCCCCACCCCTCCTCCTCCCTAACCCCTACTCCTCCCTACCCCTCCTGCTCCCTACCTCCTCCTCCTCCCTACCCCTCCTGCTCCCTACCCCTATTGAGTTTTCTGGCCCCTTTCTCTCCTTTATTCTTTCTTTCTTTTCTCAATTTGTAGCTATCAGTTTCTTTCAAGAACTGCTATAGCAACTTTGTACCCTTTCTTATGCAGAACGTCTTCTCTTTTCCACCCATATTCTTTCTGTCCCCTGTGATTCTAATCTGCTCTGAGGAAAAACTCTTTCTATCGGATATACGATAATTATGGTAAGAGAACAATAAGATTAAACACAAAGTCTCATTAAAAGGGCATACATTTATTGCAAATGATGAAAATAATGCAACCCAAAATAAGACTTTCATCCAGAAAAACATATAATACCTGAGTAAAGATTGCAATGTTTTCTATTCCATGGAAAACTGCTACTGAACCAAAGGAGAATGTTTTTTCCCTTTCTCCTCTGTTTTAGCTACCCACAGGAACTGTTCAGTTTTTGTCTTCCTTTCACATTTCCAACCCAAATATTATAGTAAACACTGTTGTTAAAGGTTATTGATGAATTGAGTGATATTATCATTCATTTTGCAAACACGCATATTTGCCAGGAATGATAGGGAGTTGAGATGCAAAAATGAATATGACATTTTCCCTTCAAAGATATTACAGTCCATTGCAGTATCATTTAAATAAATTATACAAATATATGTTAGCAGTGCTGTGATAAGCCTGTGTTTGGGGAGAGTGGGGGCACAAAAGAAGATCTAGACCATTTTTCACTGCAGTGTTTAGGTGTAGGTCACACAAGTCATTTTGAAAAACAGGTAATGATTAAATGCTCTGAAGGTGGACAATTTAATGCTGTGGAAATGAATAATGCTTTTCTAATGAATCAAAGTAGATATTGATTAAGGGTAAGGGCAGGTAGAGAGAAAGGTGAGAAATGATAGAAAAGCAGAATAAAGATGAGGGAAAAGTAAAAGGGAAGATAAATTTTGCTCAATTCACTTAGTCGATGCAACACATTCAAATTACTGGCAGCAATTTTCTCAGAAATGTCTAGTAGAGTTTCACTTTTTTTCTAGCTTTGAGGATAATAGCTCATCAAATTACACAGATAGACTATGAGATAATTGGAAATATCTAAGTGGTATATCAGTGTATCGGCTATTAGTGACTGTTAACGAGGAGTTGGAATAAAGCAATTTACCTGATGCTGGTATGCAGAAGACTCACTAGCTAGATACACAGTGAGGCTCTGTTAGTTATTGTTCAAAAATTCATATAGTGTTATTGACACGTTCACCTTGAGAACGTTTGTAGGTCATAGCTTTGCTATGGATGTGTAATTCTGAACACAGTAAACTGTTCTGTTCTAGTGTAGTTAATGAAAACAGGCAACGGTCTGCTGCATTGCATTACTGAAATATTACTAGAGCATTGTATTTCCAAAGTATTACTGAAATAGTTACCATGTTACAATTTTCTGTACTAGTTTTAGTCAGTGTTATGATTTGAATGTGTCTTCCCAAAATCATGTGTTGGAAACTTAATCCCCAAAGCAACTGTTTTGGGAAGTGGGGCCTAATGAGAGGTAATTAGGCCATAAGAGCTGAGTGAATGAATTAATATAGATATTGCAAAAGTAGGTTTGTTATAAAAGGGGGAGTTTGACCCTTCTTTATTTTCTGTCTCCCTTGTCCTTGCCCTCTCTTGGCCTTTCTGCCTTCTGCCATGGGATGATGCAGGACGAAAGCCCTCATCAGATGCTTACATCATGATCTTGGACTTCCCAGCCTCCAGACTGGTAAGAAATAAATTTCTGTTCATTATAAATTACCCAGTCTCAGCTACTCTGTTACAGTTACATAAATGGACCAAGAGAGTCAGGGAGACAGCATGGGACAGGTTACGAAACTTTTGCATCTGAGTCAGGCTCCTGTGCTCTGTCTACTCATTTTTAATTTTACCTTTGTGACTTTATTACTAGGGTGTCCTAGAATAAACCATTTAATCTCTTTGCACTGGGGCTTCATAATCTACAAATGGGAAGAGTAGGTTAGACAACTTCTGATCTCCTTTCTAGATATGACATTCTAGGATTCCAGATAGTGGAATACAATAGTGTGGCTTTTTGTTTCCCTCTCCTAGAGTGGATGAGAAATCACTTAGTTAGGCAGAAAGCCCATTTATAATGCTTTCCTGCCTCATATTTCCTCTCAGACACTATTGGTGTAGAACAGATATTTAATAGGTCCTTGTTGACTGAGTAATGTCCTTCCTATGGTCAGGAGCCCTCAGAGGCTTTTGTAAATGTTCTCAATTTAGACTTCAGAGCATTAAAGGAAGATGCTTCATTTTACCAGTGACATTTTTTTAATGATACAACTAAAAGCAAGGATTTAGCTTTTGCTTTATGTGAGTAAACAAAGTTGTTAAAGTCAGGCATCGTCCTGGAATAAATGTGAACTGCTGTAATTAGAAACTGTTTCTGTCATAATTACGTTCTAGAGGCTGAGGCGTGAGTTCATTTTAATAAATGGGAAAAGAAAGTAACCCAGGCCAAGGAGATTCATCTTTGGAAAAGAGCCTAGCAGAAATACAACATCATCCTACCTCAGAAACTGGATAAACAAATGCCCAAATGAGAGAAACAGAAACCACAGCTCCTAGAAAAAACTCTTGAACCATAAGAAGACTGTAAAAGAAAGGGGCTGAATTCTGACCATAGGAGGAGTCACGCAAAAATCTCCCTTTATGTGGTTCCCAGTGAGCTTGTCTGAAAGGGAAATGAGTGGTGAAAGGCTTTTAGTTTTAAATTTTCGTCAAAAGGATGATCTATTCTGTTGCATTATGGCCCATGCAGAAAAGAAGGAAAATCAAAGTAATGCTGAGGAGGCCACTTCAAGGGGGGAAAAAGAATAACTTTCAGTTAGTATTTTCGTTTGTTTCAAAAATAGACAACATTTGGCATAAGGTCACTTGTATATTACTGAGGATGATAGATGATGTGGAGATATAAAGTATGAAAATGAAAATAGTTATTTAAAAAAGCTTAATAATTTGGGGGACATGTTTAGAAAACTCTAAGTCGGTATCTTCCTACCCTTTTCATATCATGGTTCATATTAAGAAATAAAAAAATAAAATGTGTTCATATCACTGTGGTGCATACTGTCAAGGGTGATAGGCCAGCCCTGGGATTTGGGGTACCTCATGCCCAACCTGACCAGGCCTGGGGGCTGAGGGATTAAATACTTTTGCTCACCTGAAACTTATTTTTGGAACACTTGTGAATCCTGTAAGCCATCTAATACTTTTTAGTAGGATATATGGAGAAGGAGACCAGACCTTCCACGTAATATGGAGGATTATCATTATTATTTCTCAAGTCACTGCAAAATACTGGCAAATATTGTTCTAAACTTATCAAATTGTAATGGACATTATTTTAGTAGAATTCAGTTAGTGTTAGCTGTTCAAGTTTGTCCGGCTATGGTCACAGCTACCAGTCATGCACACCAGAATAACTGATTATCAAACATAGGCTAAAACATTATTTTTTTTGGGCTGGAGTCTCACTCTGTTGCCCAGGCTGGAGTGCAGTGGCACAATTTCGGCTCGCTGCTACTTCTGCCTCCCAGATTCAAGCCATATCCTGCCGCAGCCTCCCGAGTAGCTGGGACTATAGGTGTGTGCCACTATGCCCGGCTAATTTTTGTATTTTTAGTAAAGACGGGGTTTTACCATATCGGCCAGGCTGGTCTCAAACTCCTGACCTTGTTCCACCTGCCTCGGCCTCCCAAAGTGCTGGGATTACAGGCATGAACCACTGCACCCGGCCTCATAGGCTAAAACATTCTATTAATTATATGCTTTTCTGGAGTTGCTTTTGCTGGAGTAGTAATAGATTTTTAAAACTCAGTCATCAATATAGGTCCTATTGTCTATCTCTTTCTTAAGTTTTCCTTAGTTAATAGCATGTAAGAAATCAACCAGCTTTATTATTATCTGAAAATTTTCAGCCTCATCTTGAGTGTTTTAATGAAAAAATTTTAAATCACCATCTGCCATGTATTCTAATTAAATGATGTTCTGCCTTGTGGCTATTTTCTGCAATTAGTCCCTGAGATACAGGTTGTTTTGTTTTCTAATATGCAGGGAAAACACAATAATAATAAATATGTTACCATGTTAACTAGAGTAAAGGTTGTAGCAAAGAGACTCCAAAGGCAATGGTGAAACATCTCCTGCCAGTAATAGGACAGGTAGACATCCTCTACTTCCCAAGGTCATCCAGGGACCCAGGCTAGAAGGGCAGCTCTGCCCTCCTCTGGGGCACTGGCATCGTCTGCAAGCTTAAAGCTGGGTGAGTGCGTATCTAGTTTCCAGCTGCCAGCCGTATATTGAGTTTAGTGAGATGTCAGACTAAAAATGAAGTTACACACACACACATACACACACACACACACACACACACACACACACACACACACACACACACGTGTTTTATAAAGCCCAGGTGGCCTAGGCACACACAGAGATAGAAAAAAAGCAGAGAAAAGGAAAACAGTTGTCCATATGTGCTGTTTCATTCACCAGGTTGATTTTGTCCATCTTGCCTTTGACTTTTCATGATGGGGCATTTGCTGGACTTTATTCTTTAATCCTTTTTGGTTCTTCGTCTTCTTTTTTTGATTCCCCTGTTTCAGTTCCTATTCCTTCTCCTTCCCTCACTGTCACTTCAGGAACCAGAGGTTTCCCCTCACCTTTGAGATAAGGCAGTTTTAGGATTTGACAACTTTGCCACAAATCTCTGACCAGAAGTTAAAAGGATGCTTCAAGTGCTCTGTTTCTACAATTTTACATCTCAGATGGCTCCTCGGTGGCAGCGTGCACTTCCCGGCTCATCACTTTCCCCTTTTAGGTATTTCCCATGATCCTGGCCCAGTCTCTGTCTTGCTCATCAGTAATTTTAGCATCCCTTTTGCCTCTTTGCATTGATTCTCCCAGAACTGATCCTTAGCCTATCCACAGATACCCAGGGGAAGTGGATCTCTTCTCGCTGTCAATAATGTCCCACTGGTCAGCTACTTTCTGGTAATTCTCTCTTATCTCAAATCAGCATCAGTTATATTTCTCCTTAGCCTAACTCCAGAATAGACAATCCTCCGGCCATTCTTTTTCTTTCTTTCTTTCTTTTTTCCACTTTGTTTTTATACTCTTTTTAAAATTCTCTTGAGAAGTCAAGTAAACCTTCTCCATTTGATGATTCACCTGCCGCTGCAGGGTCTTCGTCAAAAGCCTAATTTTGCAATTCAATGTTTTGGAAAGAGAATTCTGTGCTCTTTATTTTTAGAGTTGATTACTACTAAACAGACATCCTTCCCTGAAGTCGCAGTTTCAAAATTGTGGAAATACTTAGGGAGTGAGTCTGCAAATAACTAAGTCATCATTCTAATCTATGAAGCTTGAAAGATACATTTAGCAAATTGTATCCAGCATAACCCAGGGACATTGAATATTTTGAAAACATTTGAAAAGATAATTAAGGATATCAAGCAAGATGAATCAAATTCTCAAAATGGTTAGCTGGTATAAAACCCATGTCCTTTAGAGGCTTTTCGATGTTCACTGAGATATTATCTCATCTATTTGGATAACTGGTAACACTCTTACCTCAAATCAGCATCAGTTATATTTCTCCTTAGCCCAACTCCAAATAAATCATCCAAACAAATAATATTTGTCATAATGGAATAAATAAACAATGGATTTAAGGTAAAAAGTACATTTTCTGCTAGTTGGGTAAATTGCTTTACCTTGCTCAACCTTGATTTACTGTCTATAAAGCAGGAATAGTAACACCTTTTTCTATCTAATAGTGCTGTTCTGGAATCAAAGAAAGGATATCTATTACAGTTGTGAATACCGTATGGGCTTTTTCTCTTCTTATGCTATACTTAGCTGTGCACATGCCATCTCTGGATCAAACAGTAGTCATATTGACTGCAGAATATGTGGCTGACTGATCACAGCACCTAACCCAGTGCCCTGTTTGCAGAATAGCCTGAATAAATACTTTTTATAAATAATGAACAAATCTCCATTTTAGATTATTTTGCCTTATTTAATTAACTCTTTTATTATATAATATGCTAAGTTTATAACCTGATAAACTCATGTTTTGGAAGTAGATGCATAATAAATCTTAAATATATGATGTATTCATCAGAGATCTCAAATGATTCTAGCAGAAGCTTTGGAACTGGAATGGCTCTTCAGAACTGACCCAGTTGAGACAAGGGGGCTAGATCTTTGGACTGTGATCTGACCACTCACTGACTACAGGCTGCTATCAAAGAGGAGATGTAAACCTGGTAAGGCAGCGTCCACAAGCCAAAGGCAATTCCTGGAATACAACTAATCAGTGAGATGTTAGCAGTCAAAATTCCCAGATGCTTGGAGGTAGAGCACCTCAGTTCTAAAGGGAGATTGTGTACTGCAGTATACAATACCATCCACTCTTTGTATCTTCTAGATATTATTGCTTTATATAGCGAGTTCAAATCCATCTGGAAACAGCTGTTGTTGGGTTCTGGAGGAACTTTTTTTCTGGGGAAATCTTATGAGAGGTCAGTGGAATGAAGTACTTCACCAACACCACCACTGTGTTTAATCTTGAGGCCACAACTATTACTCATTATCTTTCTCTTCTATTCCCCATTCCAGTTTCCTGTCACACTCAGCCAGGCTCTCTGCCTCCTTCTTCTTCTTAGGAAGAAGCATGATTTTACTTTTCTTCCTCTGCACATGGGAAGCCCCTCAAATGGGAACTCTGCCCCAGTCTAACATTACCTGCCACTGGATAGTGAGTTGGTCTAATTCTACATTAAATGAGCAAGCCCCTTTGACCCTTTCCCAATGCTGTGTTCTTTGACCTACATGTATCAGTAATATTTTGGCTTCCACCTCAATCTTTTAATTTTATTTCTCAAATAATGAGAACCTGGGTAGGAAGAAGGACATTATTCCATGGGAGACCATCCAAGACCACCCTTCTTCCATAAGGAATTAGGCTGCTGTAAATGTTTGCTAATGGTGTTGGTGATATTTAATGAGGCAAACACCTCTTCCAATTCTTCTTTCTAGCTGTAGACTGATCTGATTTTCAATTCAGTGGGCTTGGTTCTATCAGTGTTGAATCCTAACTCCATGTGGGAAGAATGTCTTACCATCTCTTGAATGATACACTGTTCCTATGTGTTCTGGAAGCTTCACAGAATGTTCAGGGAGTTTGCCCTCTTAGTGTTTGTCATACATTTTATTGCTCTCTCCTCTCCCTCAGACTCTGGACCTTCATCAAAGTACAATATGAGTGTCAGGCATCAGCCATAATTAAAGTAGTATTTCTGCTAGCTCTGTCCAACTGTTTGTATGTCAAATTTGTGCATCACAAAACTTTCTCCTCATAGGATGAATTATTTCATAGGTAGCTATGTGGTCCTTTAGGGAAACTGGCTCTGTGAGTTCATGCGTCTATTTTTTCTGGTATGTACTAAATTCACACCTCCTGCCTGAATCCCAGGTAACCACAGGTATGCTTTTTAGAGCTGTACATTATATTTTCTTAGAATTCTGACTAATACTTGATGATTGGCCCATTTTAACCTCAAAGCATTTATGTCTGTATGGGATGTAGCCCTAAATTGAGTCAAAGCAAATGAATGGAAAATACATGTTGCGTGGCCAAATTGATTTCACGAAGTTTTTTTATCCATTGTAAAATTTTCCATCACTTATTCTTTTCCTGCTTCTTGGCCTTCACCTCCCTTTTTCTTGTTGTTTTTGGCATTTCGTCTCCCAAGCTGTGCCTGAAATAAGCTTTTCACATATTGTTCTCATCTATAGCTTATATCTTCTCTTCCAGTCAGCTCTATCTCAAAGAACATCACAGGGTTAGAGAGATAACCTCTGTCTAATATGGGAACTAAGTAAGACTGCATTGTGACGGAGAAATTGCCCTGTTTTTTTTTTTTTCCAGGATGGATCCATATCTCTTTAGAGATGAAATAAGGAACTATTTCTTTTTGAAAGAAATTTAAATTTATATCAGTGTCTTTGTATTCATCAGGATAAAATTTCCTAGGGACTCTAACAAATAATTCCCACATCTCAATGGCTTTTATGATCACTCATAAAAATGCCAGTGTGAGATGCATGGCTCTTCTTGGTAATTCCTTCATGTGCCTTTGCAATGTCAAGTTCTTTTGCTTCCAGCAGTGCTCCTTCTAGAAGGAAGAGGGTGGAGAAGAGAGAACAATTAGGATGTCTTATTGCGAGGCCTAGAACTGGTGGCTATCCTTTCTGCTCACATTTCACCAAGTAGAACTCAGTTTTATGGCTTTAATAATTCAAGGTAAAATATCAAGTTACAATTTGAGATAACGTAGCAAATTTAAGGTAAAAGGGCTAATGGAAAATAAATATCCAGTCAAATATTAACTGTATAGAAACATCCATAGAAGTTTCTATATTTGCCATCTTCTTTAACAAGGGCTGGGAAATGTAGTCTTCTTGGTGCCAGGGAGAGGGCCTAAGACTGGTGAACAGATAGACAGTCTCTACCACATCTCCTAAAACAAACAAAAAGAATAATTTTGGGACAATAACTATAGCTAAAGTAGAAATATATGGATGTGAGCAAAGTAATATTAGTAATTAGTAGGACTGACTTATTCCAGCTCTTCTGGGCCCCAATAATACCAGAGTTTATATTTATTTGTGAGTTACAGAGAATGCAATTCATCCAATGTTCAAGAAGTTCACAAAATAATTTGGCATACTTTGAATTCAATCCACTGTGTTGTGTACCTCTTACTTCTCTGAAGCCATAAACTTCCTTCAGGACAGAACAAACTACTCTCTCCTCTGAGCTCTCATAACACATTTTTCCTGTTTGTCAAGGGAAGGCTGAGATAAACCCCAAGAATTCCACAGGAGCAGAAGGAGAAGGGGCAGGATGTTCATGGTTCTTCAGCTTTACAGCATCCCATGAGGAGGCAGGTGTAGCTTGCCCTCACTGCTCCCCAGTACCTCCCCTTGTTTTTTTAAATAGGATCTTTGGAAGCAAATAGACAGCACCCAGCTGATTTGGTGACAGCAGAGAGAGGGCTTGCAAGAGGAGAAAAACTTGATGTGACTTGATGCCCAGGGAGGTTGCATACAGTGCTGATATGCAAAGTGTCTCCCACTATAGGGAGGAAGAGCCACCAGTCCCATTTGACTTTTTCCTAGGGATCTGAAGAGAACCCCTAGGCAGATCATCTATCAGACAATCTTATTTGTCTCTCCTTTATACCTCTTTTATAATGCTTATAGTCTATTTTACTATAATCCATTTGCCTCCTTCTTCCCAAGAGCGTAGTGAACTTATTTTTGCTTTATTATTTATCATTTCAGTGGGTCTAGCACCTAGTGAGGCTTATGGCACATAGCAGGTGTCATTACTGATAAATATGTTAATTTATCAATTAATAATTAGACTCTTTTCCAGACTACTTTAGCACTTCTTACTACCCCCATAGAAAGTATAAATTGTAATCAATCTAGTCAAAATTATGCCAAAGAAACATTATAGGAAGTATCTTATTTAGCTCTTCCTATGGGAACATGTTCTACGTATTACTTCTTCATAGTGGGTCATTTGTCTCATTAACTGACAGATTTAAGAAAAAAGCACTAGACTTCGAGTACAATCTGTTTTTATCACTAATTCATGCTGAGGGTTACAAGGCAGGGGATAAAAGATGAAACCAGAGCAGAATGTGTTGATCTTACTGACTTAAACCAAGCCTACTGAATTTTTCACTTTCTAGGTTTGACTAGAATAGCAGTACATAGTTTAGGGGGATGGGATAATATCTGAAATTTACATCATTCTGATTCCTTTTCTCTATGTAAAAATAAAGGATAAAAAAATCTTCACTCATTTTGAGGAGTTAAGGCAAAGATGATTGAACTGAAAAATGTGCCGAAAGAGTGACTGGCTACCTTAAGTCTTCAGTCCTATTTTTCTCTCTATTGACAAGAAGTGGGCACTACCATCATCCCATCAGTCAAATAGACCCACTTTCCACAGGAGGAGGGAGAATTCCTGCCCCACTGTTGATTTCAACACAGGCCTCCACGCTGTCTACTGCTGTGGGTCACCATGATGGTTTTGTTTGTGTTTGACAGTTTTTTTTTTTTTTTTTTTTTTTTTGCCCATCTCTTGGCCTGAATCCTAGATTTTGGTTTTGTTTCCTGTCTGTAAAAGGTGCTTTGACCTTACAGCTATTACTTGCTGCAATTCTTTTGAGTTTCTTGATCCTTGTTTTTTGTTCTCAGCCTGGATTGTGTCTTGCAAGCCTCTGCTTTTGTCCAAGTTAAAAGTGAGCTTTGAGAGAAAACATGTGGAATGTTTCATATACATGGTAATTGGAATAAACCATTGTCTACTGAAAATACTGCATAATTTATTTTGCATGTGGAAACTCTTGAAAGTGTGTGCCTTAATCTTCCTCCAGTGCTACCACATTCTATTTCCACATTGTTTAATGAGCATTTGTAATGGAAGGACCTCATCGACAGTATGTTAGAGCAGAGGACATTGCTGTAATTTTGGGAGCCCAGCCGAATCACCTCAAATGTATCCTAAATTCTCTCTATTAATTATTCGTCGAAGCAAATTGCTCACCAAGTATTGCCTATTCGCCCTGTCCTTCCCATTGCCTTGATTACTGCCCTATTTCAGGCTCAGATTCTCATTTGCTGGGCTACAAAACCAGCCTCATATTTGGGTTTCCTTCCTCAATTATGTCTTCTTTTGCAAGTGTCTTTCATAGTTAATCTAGAATTACCCTTTTTAAAACACAAATAAATCATCTCCCTTCCATGAAGAATCATGACATAATGGGGAGTCTTTGGAAAGATACAAACCTAGGTTCAAATCTTAGATCTGCCATTCACTAGTTATATGTTGTTAGATACTTTTTTCCACTTGTTTCTGCATTTGTGGATCAATAAAATGAGCCTAACAATACTCACCTCAAAGAAGTTTAAAGTGGATTAAACAGATAACACATGTATCCAGCACAGTGCCTGCCCCATAGTAGACATTCAGAAACAATTAAGACTTTATTCTTTTGCTTAAAACGTCAGTGGTTACCTATCCTGTAAAAGATAAAAATTCACTCTTTTCGGAGTAGACTATATTTTCTCTCTGAATCTTCTCTAAACTACCTTTTTAGCTTTCCCTCTTATACTTTCTCTTTCCCTATATATTCCAGCCAAACTAAATAAATCACTATTGTTGAACACAGTATTTTTTTTCCTGATTTCCAGACTTTTTAAGACTATTCCCTGAATCTGGAA
The DNA here is from genome assembly GCF_000001405.40 of Homo sapiens. Lineage (NCBI taxonomy): Eukaryota > Metazoa > Chordata > Mammalia > Primates > Hominidae > Homo > Homo sapiens. The sequence continues at coordinate 192,583,990 of NC_000001.11, read as the reverse complement.
TGTTCTCACCTTCTTTCTCCCCTGGTTGGGTTATATTTGTTCTTCAAGATCCACCGTAACATCCCTTCCCTGTAAAAAAAAGAGGACGAAAAAAAGGACAAAAGAAACCAGCTACTATTATGACAAGTAAAAGTAAAAATGCAAGTTAAACATAGAACAAAAGCAAATCCAGTACTTTTCCTGGATGAACAAAGCCCATGTCTATTATAATGTATTATTTGAATAGCTTTTTTACTAAAAAAAATCTTCCAGGAAGTCTTAGAGTTTTTATTTGAGAAGTGAGGAAGCTGGTTTTTCTTTCATTCGAGTGACATAGAGCGTGTTCATTTGAAATGCTCCCTAAAATATTTGAAGTGGTCATACTCAGCTAGGTGGCTCCTAGCTGACATCTGACCCTGCTTATGAGTTCGACAGGAGAGGGAGGGAAGAGGATGTAAACATTAAATTCGAAAACATAATAAACATGACCAACAAAGTTTTCTAAATTAAAACAATTTACTTACAATACACTGTTTCTTCCCATGTAAATAAATCAGCTCCCTAATCCTGCAAGCTTGACTCCTTTCTCAATCATCAAGTGTACCATATGGATCTTCCCTAAATGGGGGCAATATTCCAAATTAAGGCATGGTTCCCATAGGTTTCTAAATTTGGTTCTTTTAGACTTAGATTGACATCCCTGGCCTAATCTATCAGTTATGAAGTTATGGAAGTTTTATAGTAAGTCTATATAGCCAACTCTAAATTACAGCAAAATCCTTTTTGGATTAAAATTTCAATTTGAGAAGGTAAAATATTAAAAGTATGACAGTTCAGTCATTCAGATTATCAAATGAGATACGTTAAGATGCTTCACCAATGCTTTTTCCTTTTCTCTTCTCTTCTTCTCCCTCCCTTCCTCCTGTGCTCCCCCCTCTCTCCCTCCCTCTTCCCATCTCCCTTTTCCTTTCCCTTTCTCCCTCTCTCTTTCTGTCTTTTCTTTTTGTCCTATTTTCATATTCAAAGTAAAGGAGCCACTGAGGAGTATATACCAAGTCAAATATTTACTGCAGAGAAACATCCATAGAAGGTTTTGTATTTTGTCTCTATTTTTTGTAGGAAGGTTTCATTTAGTTTAGGCATGTAGTAAGATATAAAATTTTGCTATTGGGATGATACAGCTTTAGCTTCAAGATACTGTTCTCAACAAAAAGGATAGAGTTATTTCTGTAGCTGACTGTTGATTTTTGTTTTATAGATGTTTTCATCCTAGTCTTGCAAAAATTCTATAGCTATATAAAATAATTTATATTGATGGCATTTTAAACCACCTTTTACTATATTTTTTCCCTCACAAATTTTAGTTTTTTAATTTTCAACAATAGATTGTCAAAGATTCCTACTAGTATAATACAGCCCATGTTTGCACACAGAAACAAAGAAACTTGAACTTCATTCCATGTAAACTAAATGGGTAAATATGTAATTTTTATGAGACGCCATTACCCACATTTTCACCTTCATAGATTCATAGCTTTCTGGGATAGGCATATTTTAAAGTACTGCAAAATAAGCTTGAGAAAAGTAAATTTTAAAAAACATTTTTGGCTTTTAGCCATGCTATTGTTTACTGCCATTGCTTTAGTATTACAAAAGAACATAGCCTGTGAACTGAAAATCAGATTGTCCAGTTGGATCAAATTTTTTAAATAGTAGATATCACTAGCTCTAATTATATTTTGTGAATGATCTAATGAAACAGTCACATCATAACAAAAAGTGACAATAGGCCAGGCGTAGAGGCTAATGCCTGTAATCCCAGCATGTTGGGAGGCAGGTGGATCACTTGAGGTCAGGAGTTTGAGACCAGCCTGACCAACATGGTGAAACCCCATCTCTACTAAAAATACAAAAATTAGCCAGGCATGGTAGTGGGCACCTGTAGCCCCAGCTACTTGGGAGGCTGAGACAGGAGAATCACTTGAACCCGGAAGGTGGAGGTTGCAGTGAGCTGAGATCACACCCTTACACTCCAGCCTGGGTGACAGAGTGAGACTCCATCTCCAAAAAAAAAAAAGTGACAATAAAAATTTATCTTTTCAAGTATTTTACATTATTTTGAATCTATGCAACCAGGATGACTTTTTTTTTTTTTGGTCAAAATGAAGAGGCTTCTTGTTTTGATCTTCTGTCTAAAATCGAATGGTTTTTGGCATTTTGTCAAGAGAAGAACCAGAGCATTTATTGTATGACTGGTGAGTGTGTTAGACAGTTGCACTGCTTGCTCCTCACAGTCTTGAAGGCCTGGACTATAATTAATGTGACAGTCCTTGGAAACTGCTTGGGAAGCTGAGGCAGGGGTATCACTTGAGCCTGGGAGGTTGAGGCTGCAGTGAGCCATGATCACGCCATTGTACTCCAGCCTAGGCAAACTTGTCTCAAAAACCAACACAAAACAAACAAAACCTTGAAGAATTGCTTTAACTTTGAAAACCGGAATGGGTTAGGAAAGGGCATTTTAGAGAGTAGAGCATAACCAAAGGCTGGAGATAGTGAAGGCTTGGAATTATATAAGATAAGGTGAATAATCCAGTGTGACTTCAAGGTAGGAAGGATACCCAGAGTTGAGTAATGAGAGTTATATCATGAAGGTTACACTGGGAGGGTTTTGAAGCCCAGAGGGAGACATGTATACTTCATTTTATATGTCATGGGAAATGATGTGGCCAAATCTGTGTTTCAGAAGATGATGTTTGTAGCTGTTCAGAGGATAAATTAAAGAAAAGACACTGGGAAGACAAAGAACATGTCATGTGAATTGGCAAACTATGAAAGCCTGTACTAGGATGGGGTAATAAAAAAGAGCAAGCGATGTTCTAACCACAGACACTGATTGTAGAAGAATTATTGGCAGAATTTGGTGATGGAATGAGTTGAGAGAGAGATGACTGATGATGATGATGCTTATTATCATTATTATTATTATCACTGGACTCCCAAGTTTCTCTTACTTAAAGCAGGAATAAAGCATAAAGTAGAACCAATTTAAACTCTGTCCCATGACAACTCAAGAATAATTCTGTTTGTACCTGATCTGCATATTGCCCCTTACCATTGCTGTGTGCCTGATGACTGGACCAGTCCATAGTGAGATTATCCATACATTAACCGTATTTCATTGTGATATGTGAGTGACTGATTATTGAATAAAATATAAAGCACAGGTGCGCGGGGAGATAAGAGCTGTACAGGCTATTCAGGAATATGCATCATCTTGATGATTTTTCTTCTCTCTGTAGGTGAGCCCTACTTTGGAGTCTTTTTTCCTGCTTAGGTGACACTTAGGACTGTTGCAGACTTTAGTGATTCAGGAAATGCCTTCTGATCAGTGGGTGGCAGTGTTACATAGAGGAAGGAGAATAGGTTGTAGTAGGAAGACTTCTGGGCAATCCCTGCTAGTATGACTGTCCCTTAATTCCCAGGTTCTGAACTCTGAATTATAAAATCATCTTCAGACTCACTTGGGGCTTTCTTTTAAATATAGATTCCCATATGCTACCCTTTGGAGATTTGGTTCAGTCATTCTGGTATGGGACCCCAAAACAGGGATATGTGTGTGTTTTTTTAACATTCTAGATAATTTTGAGAGTTACCTAAAATTAAGAACTAGTGACTTAATCTTTCTGAGTCTCAGCTTTCATAGGATTGCTATGAATGTTAAATGAGAAAATATGTCTAGATTTTATGAACTTTAACTCACAATAAAATATATGCTGTTAATTAGATTACCTCTTGAAATAAATTTTCTATCCCTTTTTAAAAGACTTCAATTTCTTATTGAACATGAGATCATATTATATTTGTTTGATTTTGTGCCTTGTGATAGCAGAGAGAAAAATTGTGAATTCTGTCCAAACTAATACATAAAATATAGTATTCACTAGATAATAGTTTTAGATGTTAAAAGAGATGGTAGAAAGAAGAATCTTAAATGAATTATTTATTTATTTTTAAAATCTGAGGAATAAATGCAAGTTTTTAAAAGTAGCAAGGACATGTAAACAGAAATTGCTTCTATATATTTTAATACAAAATCCACATTTATTATTAGCACCAATGATTTAACTTACAAATATATTCTGACTCCCTGGTTTTAAGAGCAATAGCTTAAGTTAAATACACAGTTCATCTCTTCCAAAGTCAAAAACAATAAAATAAAATAACACCGACAAGCAATAGTAGCAATGGCAATTTGAAAACATATACTTTAAGTTAATGGGACTTCAATAGCTCAGTACAAACTATATAATAATATGTAGCATAGATGTCAGTTGACTTTGATTCTTACAGTCTGTTGTAATCAGTTTCATAGACTTTAGTCACAGTTTCTGTGTAACTAGAGTTACCTGGCCTTCCCAGTTCTGAGGGGCTTTCTAATACAGAGCTCCACTGTTTTTTATGACAGTACCACAGTATCTTCCTCCTTCTGCGGTCTCTCTGTTTTTGTCTTGCTTATGCTTCTTCAACTCTGCGCCTGGATAACTTTCATGTTAATCCATTCTGAGTCATTTGTTCTTCTTGGCCTGTCAAGACACCCAAAAAAGGCCAAGCTGTTCACCCAGGGAGCCATACTGGCACATTCCTTCTGCGCTTGATACTATCTGTTAATTCCCTTCAGCCAGGGACCAGTCACTTTAGGCTATTAGCCTGCAGGTCATTTAGAAGATTTAAGTAAATATCTGATTTGAGGAACCTGGGATAAGAGTCCTTTTCCATAAGAGTATATATGACTTTTTGTGCTTCATCAAAACACGTGGGGGTTGGTGCTTTAATCTTCTTGGCTGTAGATTCTCGAGTGCGGAAGTCAATATTGATCTAAAAAAGAAAACCTTGTTAGCTAATATATACTTTTCTTTACTGCAAATTTTATGATGTTACTGTTTTTTGAAACACCTCAGAAAGTAATTTTAAGGCCTCATTTAAATCAATTCAAATATCTCTTAAATGCCTTTGTAAAATCAGCTCTATACTAGGTGTGAAGGAGATAAGAAATATTACAAAAATGTCTTTGTTCCAAATTTCCTCATAGTATAGTTAGGAGAGGCAAAAGAAGCAGACATGAAAAATTTAAGTATCCACATAAGATGATCCATGTATCATAAAGAGTGATGTAGGCATTTAAGATTTACAGGAGAAGAAGGCTCTTTTTGTTGATATTTTCTGCTTGGACCAAGAATATTTATCTGGTAATACTGTTAATTGGAAATACTTTTGCTGCTGCAATTGTATACATTATGCTAATCTGCATTTTCTTATCCAAAACAAGAGCACTCATTAAGGACTCCCTGACATGCAGTTCTGGTCAGTAACAATACCCTTAACCCTTCCCTCACCCTCATCATGGCAGCTGGTTTTGTAAAATCAGTCTCTTTATTCTACTGTGCTGAAACCCTCACCAATATAGAAAATTAGATTCTCATTGCACTGAACTATATTTATATGCCTAAGTATGTAGAAGTAAAATTATATACCCCAAAAGGATTTTATCTTGTTGTATATATTAAATGTTATTTCTGCATATAGGGTCTTTTATGGAGAAACTGATGATGATAAGCTTAATACTCACTTGTTTAGCAGCATCTGAATGCACAAATGCTTTATATATCTCTTCTGCTTTACAGGGCAAAAGATCAGACTCTGTTTTCTTATAGTCTTCACAAGCCAGCCAGAACTCAATATTCTCCTCACTGAATTCAGACTTTAGGAAACTTCCAAAGACATTTTGACCAGCTAAAAAGAAACGAGGGGTGGGTGGGGAGATAATTAAATTAAATGAACCAACAAATGAATAATTTGAAGAAGAAATTTGTAAGAAAAATACAATTGCTTCCTATTCATACAAAGGTAAGAGACAGCTACTGCTGAAATAGCTGTGTTATAGATTGTAGAGATGAGAAGTCATTTGAAATTTCTTCATTCATAGAAGAGGAATCTGGGGCCAGACAAACTCATTCATAGTCACATTGCTACTTGATGGTGGCTACCAAACTGTTTTGCTTCTATCCGCGGTTTGAATTGAAATTCTGCTCCACTGAATATAAAACCATCTTTTATATATGCCAAATCTTAGCCAGAGTAGAGAGTATTTTAGGAAAGCAAACACTGACAAAAGGCATTAACATCACAATAATTAGTAAATATAATTTCCCCATCTAATTTATATTAGCCAGAAAATGTTAGGCCTATATATGATCTGTAGGCCTGATGTACTAATTATGTTTGCTAGCATTCACTGAGACTTTTATATGGCACCATTTATGGTCCATATCTATACCATTTATTTGTTTAGCTGAATTATAAACAAAGTCAGCTGAGCTAGAGTGAACAATGTGATTCCCAAGTAAAGCTCCTTAGGGTGTCTGTGGGGAGAAAAGAATAATCTCACTCTTTAGAGATAGAGACCACACTGCTCATCTACACCTCTGAAAAAGGTCCTAATCTCAGTAGAATTGTAATGCCCAAGACAAGGGGATGGCAAGCTGATTTCATTCTTTACCTTCTCTCATCAGAAAATCTCCACAAGACTATATGTGCTTAAAAATCCTTCTATCATATTTATGTCATAAAAACTATCATGTTATAATAATGCAATTATTTATGTTATGTATCTCAACCACCTTCAAGGCAGTAAGAGACTGTCTTTGATTTTGAATCCTTGGTACCTCTACAATGTCCTCTACATAAGGGTGAGATGAATGATGAATGTATGAAAGATAATTTAATTAATTGAATGAATGAATCATACTTGTTACATCCAAGTGTAGAAAAATACATTCTTTAGGCAGATTTCAAAATGGCAATGTACATATTAAAATATTTGGCTTACTTTTAAAATTTTTACATATCAGAATCCCAGCACAATGTTTAATTTTATCTCCATAATGATCTATGAAAATACCTAATTGTCTTGGCAAATTTGTCTAAAAGGAGTTGGCAGAATTGAGTGCTAAGTCAGCATTATTAAGAGGCATACTATGCTGAAGTTATCAGTAACTACAGACAAACTAGAATACAACCTTTTGCATACTATCCTACCCAGAATACTATATTTAGTGAAGCCATTCAATTTTTTAGAGTATTTAGCTGAACCCAGAAACATTCAATAGTTATACTTACTTTGGTTGGCAAGAAGTTTTTCCAGAGATTGAGACCATTGCATTACTTCAGCAGCAGAAAGTCTGCAGGGGACAAAATGTACATACATTAGTCAATTTTTAAAATGTAAGCACAAATGAAATAAGAATGGCTGTTACACTTTGATAACTTCACAAACTGAAACTGTAGTTCTAATAAATATGTTAAAATTTATTCACAAAATGCAAAACTTCCCTTAGAGTTACTATAGTTATGAAAAAAAAAACCTGCCAATAAAATTTGAAAAAATCCAAATAGATAAAGTCCAATATGTGTGTGTACACATTTGTATTCAATTTACATTGGTACTGATAGTCTAATTTTATTTGGCATGTTACTTAAAAGAAATGAAGTCTACTGTGCGCAGTATTTATCCCTTGCTGGGATATAGAGATAATGCATAGGCTTCTCTTGTAAATGATAATGATAGTTTAGTGTATTAGTGTACTTACACATCCTTGGACTTGGAAGATTTCATTCCAGATTCCAGATGTGGGATCATAGATCTCAGGTATGCTTTCATATCCATTCCACTACAAAAGACATAAAAGTGAATATTCATATTTCTTCAGAATTCATTTTATTTGTAAAAAGACATAGAATAAATTTCTCTAAGGAATAAGGCAATACTAAAAATGGTTGATACAACATTTTGCTATAGAACCCATTTTTATGAGCCTGTGTAGAGAAAAACTCCTACCCAATTTAATGCCATATCAAGATTTATTTTTTAATGCAGCTGAATATTACTTATTACTCACAACAGGCAATTAACTCCTCTGATCTGGCTAAACTAAATGCTCACACTCTCTTCCATTCATTCTCAATCCTTCTGCCATTAAAGATAACTTGTTAAAATTCACAAAGTGAGACTCTGAACAAACTTACAAAGTCTTTGGCCTCCTTTTTTGCATTTTGTCGTCTAGAAGTGAATGAGTGGTTCCTTTCAATTCCTTTGGGTTAGCAGAGAAGAACATTCCTGGCATTTTGTCTAACTTTGGAGTGGAGATGGCTGCTGCGCGCATGGTGCTCTTAGCAAATATGCGCTAGTCAACGTCTCTGCTGCTTTATATAGTAGAATGCAGACAGGCACTTGCTGTTTAAAGGAGTCTGTTTATCAAGTGATGTTACCACAGACACTGGAAGTTCCCCTTTTCTTGGTGTGCTGTGACGTGTATCTTGAAAAAAAAAAAGCATACAGTGGTGTCTTGTGGTTGAAACTTAACCAAACGAGAACAGGTCACTTGATTAGAAAGAAAGAAAATTAAACATACAGAGGTACACACACATATGTCACATGTCTAAAGCATTAACAGCATCAGTCTTTGGTTCTGGAGGATGTTTGTTTATTTTAAAAAAGTTGCATGTTTCAATAAACTGTTTCATTTGGCGTATTAATTTATCATATAGAAACTCACATAGAAATTCATCACATAGAGTTGTATCTTACTCCATGCTTTGGATAGTCCTTGACTATAAAATTCATCTGATCAAAATATTTTAAGAGTTCTCTTCTTTTCTGCAGGAAGCAGGGCAAAGTAAACAAATAATTTTTGTTTAATTATTTTGCACATATCTGATAGGAGGGAAAGTTATAAGAGGCTATCTTCACATTTTCCCACTCCAATTCTCATCCCTTATTTCCATGGCAGGAAATTTCCATGTTAATATTTTCCAAGGTGTGTGCTAGACATCGACTGGCAATACATAGGATGATTTTAAGGGGTGCATGGTTTTTAATATTATTTTCATATTTATTAAGAATATAACTAGTATATCAAACTTTGATTTTTGCATATTTTGCATATTAGGAAAAAATAAAGTTTAATTAAAACCAATCATAAATAAATAAATGTTTAATTGTATACAAATATGACATAATTTGTAAACATACTGATACCAAGGTCACAGTATCAGAGGAAAAACTGCTCAAGGTAAAATAAAAGTCTATTTGGATAGACCAATAATGTGTACTTCTTAGGTAATGATCTTTCACATTTTGGCAGTATCTCTGGAGAGATAACAGTTTTAGCTTTAATTGAGATTAAAGTTTAAAACACAAACAAAACTCAAGGAACTAGATGACTAATCATTTATAAGGATAGAGAAGTTAGTAAAATATAAGCTTTCAAAAGTTTATATAACAAGTGTGGCTTATTTATAGAGTACCCAGTTTAACTTAAGCCTCCTTGGATTTTACCCCTGGAAGGACAATACTTTCCTTTAAAAGGACAAAAAAGCATTTACTTAGTGAAGCTTCTGATGGTATTAGGTAAAGCTGATAAAAGGGAGGGGAGTATTAATTTTTCTGTTCTGGTTCTATCGTCAGGATAAAGAATATTTGAAGAAAACACATTTACAATATTATAAAATTCACTTATACACAGTCATTAATTTCATTATAATGAGCTCATTATATTGTATGTAACAAGCATCATTTTATGTTGGGAAGATAACATAAGGCATTAAGAAAGATAACTGGTGAGATGAGCTGGCCACTTTGGAAGTGACCCTAATGAGACCGATGAAACTCAAAGACAGATGACATAAAGGCATTTGGTTGTATACTTCCTGTGGTTCAGTCCATACTTAATTTCCTGTTAAAATCTTCAACATTGCTCATGTTTGTTGATCTAGTATCCTCTCACTCCTCTAAATAATTGTGAGTAAGTTATGTTAGAGTAAAATGATTTAAAAATTATTTTTAACAGCCCACTAGTATTATCATCCAAATATACTGACAGTTTCCAAAGAACAAGAGCAGCAGCAAAAATTATGGGGCCAAGTAAGTTTGGGAAATGTTGGACTCCTAACTTGTTAAAGAACTAAACCCTCTTTAGATAGGGAAAATAGTTTTTTGAAATAATGTGTTTTTTTGACACTATGTTAAGAAACTCTGGTCTGAGATCAAAATAAGTTTTTGCCTGTAGTGTATTTAGGAACTGCTCTGATGCTCCCAACATTTTGCTACCCCTATCCCAATATACATTTTGAAGCGCAAGCATTTACAACTGCATGCTTCCACACTTGAATAGAAATATAAACTCTTGAAAGAGGGAGTCCTTTCAAAATTCCTGTATCACAATTGGCTGATGAGGTCACCTTAGTCATGCAATAAAGCAGCTGCTCTCTCAGAGGCTGTTTGCTCATCCACCCAAAGTCTGTGTGTTCCAGAACAAGGCAAATTTGGTCAAGTTGTATCAGCAAGTGTGACAAGTGCATGGCAGGGCATTGAAAGTTCCCTATTAATTTTAAAGAGAGTGCCACTATCTGGCCCCTCTTTGTAAACTTCACTAAGAAAAGATAAACTGTCAAATTGTAACTTTATTGAATCAATGACTTTGGTTGAAATAGTAGAGGATTTCAAAAACGTCAGTAGAAGAAACAGTGGGTCTCACGATCTGGGTTTCAGTTTTCCCTCTTTGAAACTGTGCTAAAACATCTAGGTTTGAGTTTCTAGGAAAAGGAATACTTCATGTAGTCTTAGTGTTATCTTTTTTTTTAAAGAAAAATTAATGGACTTCATTTTTAGGGAAGTTTTAGGTTTACAGTAAAATTGAGTGGAAAGTACAGAGTTCCCACAACTCCCCACCTTTCACCTTGCCTCCAGCTCCACCTCCAGCACCATACCTCGTTAGTGTGAAATATTTGTTATAATTGATGAACCTACAGTGACACAGCATTATCATCTAAAATCTATAGTTTACATTAGAGTTCACTCTTGGTGCTGTACATTCCATGAGTTTGACAAATGTATCATGATATGTATCCATCATTATAGTACCATACAGAATACTTTTCCTTCCCTAAAAATCCCAGTGTTATATTTTAAAATACCTAGGAGATTGGTTCAGTAAGACATTTCAGATTATGGCTGTTGATATTGATAGGAAAAATAAGGAAAATTTTAATCTTTGCTGAACTGATTTGAATGGAAACATTTGGTTTCAATTACTCCAATTACTGGAATACTAATAGGGAGTGCTTTCCTTAAACCTGATGTTGTTTGAACTTTTAAAATGTTGCTAAAATCTTATTGTGGATATTAGAATTGTGAGACAAGGGGTAATGATGAGTATAATATTCTATTTTAAAATAAAAATGTATCCATACTGGAAAAGTCAGTGACGTGGAAAGATAGCTTGATCCATTGAAACAAAATGTTTCGATTCAACAAAGTTTAATTGCATCCCTACAGTGTATCACACATAAAGCACTGCAGATACAAAGATGAATGAATCTCTGTCTTAAGGGGTTCACTGTGTAGTGGGGCTGACAGATGTTTGTGAGAGGTGCCATCAGAGAGGAATGTACAGAGAAAAGAACACAGAGGAGTAATTACCTCTGGAAGTATGAGAAAGGAAGCAAAGTACTGCTGTCTTTACTGTAAAATCAACATGTATCTATTCTTTGCTTGTTTCTGCATTTGTGTTTAGCATCCCTTGGAAAGTTCAAATGGCTGCAATGGAGAAACTGGTCTCTAGTAAGAGACCAGTTTTATGTTGAAGGATCATGGAAAAATGGATCCCATATGTACTCACAAAGCTTTGCAAACTTTCAAAAGTACTCTGAATGACTTAGTTGAATTAGCATAACCACTCAGAGCTTCCTTGGTCTTCAAGGTTTATAGATAAGGCTACTAAAAGTGTTTCAGCTAAATTTCATAGAGTTTATTTGAAAATTTGAAAAAGCTGCAACAAAAGTGAGTTTAGAAGGATTTTTCTCTGTATGTGTATAGAGGGTTGGTGAAAACTTTATATCGTGTGAATGAAAAGTTTAAACATTTTAGACTTGCTTATGATTTTGTTGTGAAGAAATATGATGGGTTTTAATAAGAGCAAATATATGCAACACACTAAACTTCAATGATCTCAGTAAGTGCAACTGAGCAAGATAAGAATCTAGTTTCTTTTTCTCACTCTGCTCCAATCTTTCAGTCAACACTGACTGCCTCCTTTCTATAATTTGAGAATTTACAAGAAAATAGTATGTGGGACCTTCAGTGAACTGAGCTTATGTGATTCAATAAGCCTCATTCACCCTAAATCTAATTTTACCAGTTAAGTTCTTGATAATAGGCCCGTGTTCCAAGACATTCTTGAAAGCACTGAGGAAATCTTTTGATAATATTATCTCTGGTATACTTATTCCATATTGGATTTATTTTCATTTAATGTCACACTATCACTTATAATCCTTTCAACAAGAGAGAGTAGTTATGTCTGACTCTAGACTGTGCTTTGCAAATAAAATTTCGTAAGTATGGAAGGAGGTGCCTTATTCCCAAACCCAAATAAATGGAGAGCTATGCTAAATGAACACTGACACATTATTTGGAGTTGGGATAGAATGTTCTGTTACATAACAATGACATAAATGCAAAAATGATGGAGGTGCTCAAATATCTGCATGTAGAGGATTTGGAAAGGAAGGTGATATAGTTTGGATTTGTGTTCTCTCTAAATTTCATGTTGAATTGTAATTCCCAATGTTTGAGATGGGGCCTGGTGGGAGGTGATTGGATCATGGGGGAGAATCCCTCATAGCTTGGTGCTGTCTTCACAATGGTGAGTAAGTTCTCTCAAGACCTGATTGTTTAAGAGAGTGTGGCCCCTGTCCCCTACAACTATTTCTCTTGCTCCTGCCATGTGAGACACCTGTTCCCCCTTCATCTTCTGCCATGATTGGAAGCTTCCTGAGACCTCCCCAGAAGCAGATGCCAGCTCTATGCTTCTTGTGCAAGCTACAGAACCGTGAGCCAATGAAACCACTTTTCTTTAAATAAATTACTTAGTCTTAGGTACTTCTTTATAGCAATACAAGAATGGCCTAGTACAGAAAATTGGTACTGAGGAGGGGGGAACTGTTATAAAGTTACTTGAAATGTGGAAGCAGCTTTGGAACTGGGTAACAAGCAGAGGTTGGAAGAGTTTGGAGGGCTCAGAAGAAGACGAGAAGATGATGGAAAATTTAGAATTTATTAGAGACTGGTTAAATGGTCATGATCAAAATGCTGATAGTGATATGGACAATGAAGTCCAGGCTGAGGAGGTCTCAGATGGCAATGAGGATCTTACCGGAAACTGGAGCAAAGGTCATGCATGTTATGCCTTAGCAAAGAGCCTGGCTGTACTATGCCCCTGCCCTAGGGACCTGTGGTAGTTTGAATTTCAGAGTGATGATTTAGAGTATCTGGCAGAAGAAATTTCTAAGCAGCAAAGTGTTCAAGATGGGGCCTGGCTGCTTCTGACAACCTACACTTATATGTAAAAGCAAAGAAATGACTTCAAGTTGGAAGTTCTATTTAAAAGGGAAGCAGAGAAAAAAAGTTTGGAAAATTTCCAGCCTAGCCATGTGATAGGGAATGAAAAAGCTTTTGTGGGAGAGGAATTCAAGCAAGCTGTGGAGCAACCATTTACTAGAGATACTTGGAAAAGGGAGCCAAGTGCTAATATCCCAGACAATGGGGGAAAGGCCTCAAAGGCATTTCGAGGCCTTCAGGGCAATCCCTCCCATCACAGGCCTAGAGGCCTAGGAGGATGGTTTTGTGGGCTTGGCCAAGGGCTCCACTGCTAGGTGCAGCCTCAGGACACTGCTGTCTGCATCCTGGCAGCTCTGGCTCCAGACTCAGCTCAAAGGGTCTTAGATACAGCTAGGGCTGCTGCCTCAGAAGATACAAGCTATAAAACTTGGCAGCTTCCATGTGTGGTTAACCTTGTAGGCACAGAGAGTGCAAGAGTGAATGAGGCTTGGCAGCCTCCACCTAGATTTCAGAGGGTGTGCAAGAAAGCCTGGGTAGCCAGGCAGAAGCCTGCTTCAGGGGCAGAGTCCTCACAGAGAACCTCTACTAGGGCAATGTGGAGAGAAAATGTGGCTTTGGAGCCCCCACACAGAGTCCCCACTGGGGCACTGACGGGTGGAGCTGTGAGGAGGGACCCACCATCCTCCAGATCCCAGAATGGTAGAGCCACTGGCAGCTTGAACCCTGTGCCTGGAAAAACCACAGGCTCTCAGTTCCAACCTGTGAGAGCAGCTACTTGGGCTGCACCCTAAACATCCACAGGGCATTGGGAGTCTACCCCTTGCTCCATTGTGCCTTCCATGTGGGACATGGAGTCAAAGGATATAATTTTGGAGCTTTAAGATTTAAAGACTGCCCTGCTGGGTTCTGGACTTTCATGGAGCATGTAGCCCCCTTTTTCGGCTGATTTTTCCCTTTTGGAGTGAGAATGTTTACCTAATGCTTGTACCCCCATTGTGTCTTAGAAGTAAGTAACTTGTTTTTTATTTTATAGGCTCATAAGGGGAAGGGACTTGCCTTGTCTCGGATGAGACTTTGGACTTTGAATTTCTGAGTTAATGCTGAAATGTCTTAAGACTTTGGGGGACTGTTGGGAAGGGACACTTGTATTTTGCAGTGTGAGAAGAAACTGAGGCTTGAGGGCAAGGGGCAGAATTGATATAGTTTGGATATGTGTCCCCTCTAAATCTCTTGTTGTATTGTAATCTCCAGTGTTGGAGGTGGGACCTGGTAGGAGGTGATTGGCTCATGGGGGAGGATCTTCATGATGGTGAGTGAGTTCTCTCAAGATCTGGTTGTTTAAAAGAGTGTGGCACCTCCCTCCCCACAACCCTCTCTCTCTTGCTCCTGCTGGCACCATGTGAGACACTTGCTCCCCTGTCACCTCCTGCCATGATTGGAAGCTTCCTGAGACCTATCCAGAAGCAGATGCCAGTGCTATGCTTCCTGTATAGCCTGCAGAACCATGAGCCAATTAAATTTCTTTTTTAAAAAAATAAATTACTTAGTACCAGGTATTTCTTTATAGCAATGCAAGAATGGCCTAATACAGAGGTATGTTTTAAATATTAGAGAGCAACTTCAATAAATGACTGTTAACTTTCCAAGTTTCTAATAACACTATTCCAGTGATTTCATTTGCTTTTGTTCTTACTAAACATCGAGGTGGCTAACAATAGAGACTTATTTGCTTTGCTTTTCCTCATTAATTATATAATTTTCTTAGAAAAATCTCTCAAGATTTCCTGACATGTTCTGTTCTTTCCAAAACCATGCCAGTTATTGCTGACAAACACATTAACTCCACTTTCTTCATGTCCTTTCTAATGCTTTGCTTTTATGTCTATTTACATATATCTATATATATAAAGTGTATACATTTATATAATATGTGTATATAATATATATACCTATATATTTTATTATTATTATTTTACTAAATATTGGTGTCAGACTTACCGGACATTTGTTTGTAGTAATAATCTTCCTACTTGAGAAAGTAGCTCTAAGTCAACAGATAGTGTCCATGCTTAGCAGTATACTACTATTATTGTGAGTACAAGTGGTCTGTGGTGTTCCACTGTTTTCTGTGTCTGTTCTGTTTTTTTTTTTTTTATTAAGCCTTGTCTGCCATCTTATTTGTATTCTATTTTAAAAAATAAATGAAAGGCTTTGATTCTGTTGAATCCCAGTGACATGTTCATCTTGCTGCTTTGAAATCTCACATTTCAAAAGACTGTGAGCCAATTCTCACAGCTATACCTTTTCCTGCTGTGTGAGTTTGATCAAATCAGCTAACTTCTTTTCAGTTTTCTTTGTGTAGAAGTCAAAGGCGATCATCAGCAACTTGCAGCTATGGTAGTGGCATGGGAAGATCTCCTTTTGAAATTCTATACCAATCAAAACTAGCCCCAGAGAAATTAAGATTTAGACAGAATTTGCCATAGCTAGGATGTTTTCCATTTTTCTTATGATGTTAGAGTTCTTTGCCTAGACTTCTTCCTAAAATTTAGTAAATTTGGCAATCCACCTGTTCCAAATGCAGGGCTACTCTTACCACTGCAACTCTGCATTCACTGGGCCAGTCTTCCAGATTGCTTCTTTCCCTATCAATATTTACTTGTCTTGGATTTCCTTTTTTATTTAGTTAGTTGATTTCTGTAAATTAATATGTTAATCAAATGTATAAATGTATGTTCAGATGTTAATGTCACAGACTATTCCTTCCAACTTCAATTTAATTTTCCTGCTTTTTCTTAGGTACTTATAGCTGGATATTGATCCCTCCCAACTGCAGATCTTATCCAGCTCCCTCCTGTTGTGGAGGAATATTGAGTTGTCTGTTGTTTTAGATAGGATTTCCATAGCTGCAAGTGTCAGCAGCCCCACATTGACTGTTAATTAGCTTAGGTAAATAGGAAGATAACTGGAATACCCTTGGGTACCTTAAGTAATAAAAGGAAATGTTGAACAACTAACCCCTCAAAGATCAGCTAAGACTGAACTAGGGGGTAGGGGACTTAGAATGCTTGTAAATTGTGAATTTGCTATAGACCAGAGTCAGCTACAAATTGGGGAAACATGACTGTCAGCAACTTGTGAAGCTTATATTTTGCACTTCTAAAGGCAGCAGAATCCTGAAGTGTAAACAATCTCTTCTTACCCATGTTTTTTCCTCCTGTGTGTTTTGTCTTGCCTATTTTTTTTATTGTGTTATGAAAACAGAAAACCAGGGCAATATATTTGGTAGGAACTCAAAGACAGAACAAACTCATAATCTTGTTTTATGTTTTGTTTCAGATGCTATGGAAGATCAGAAAATATAAATTTATGAACTGCTATAAACTGTTATTTTCTTCGTGAAGATCAGGTAACTTTTGTCTTCTCTTTGTAGTCACTGCAACGTTTTAAGTTCTATTTCATCTGAAGTTGATGTTTTATTTGTGACTTTGTGGCTTATCCCCATATTGGTTCTCTTAAGACCAGGCTCTTAGTTGCAACAGGAAGATCTTAACATACCAAAAACAGTGTATAGAAATATTAAGAGGCCTATTTTGTGTGGGAGTTTGTTCCATTTTTCTAGCCTGGGGTTTCTTTTCTCACATTTTGCTTAGGCAAGGTTGAGGCATCTCTGTTGCCCCATGTGAAAGAGTGAGCAATACAGACAAAGTGTGGCAATTAGTAATGCTTGCACTAAATGAGGGCAGGAGGTTGATATGTGCACGAAAGTGGGGAAGTGAGGCCAGAATGGGATAAGGATTGGAAATGTCATGGTGGGGCTGAGAACGTCCGGACAATCTCTGAAACTGATCTGTCCCTCTCCTGACTTCATTGTTCACTGTAGAACAACTGTTGATTGATTCTCAACAAGACTGAAACCACTGCAGAATACAGCACTTGTATCAGGAATTATGTGACCCTCTTCAATCCTGGAAATCACATTCTTTAACCTTGTAGATGGTCACATTTCATAATTTATCTTTCCTATTTTTAGATGAATCATTATACACCATTCATGGAAAATTAAAAGCTGCTGAGAAGACCTAAAAATTATCAGTCCATTAGGATTTTCCCCCTTTATACAGAATTTCCCCGATTTGGGGCAGTTTCCAAGACAGTAGAATAATACCATAGAAAATGTCACAATTTCACTTCTCTTTTATGAGAAAATTTGTGTGTTTTACACAAAAGATCACTTCGGAAGTAATCATGAAATAGATTTGAAACATTGAGGCTTTCTCTCTCTTTGTCTCTCTCTCTGCCTCTTTCTCTCTCTCTTCTTTCTGGCAGAAACCATACCCAACTTTCAAATCAAATATCAGTTGGTCTAGAGAAGGAAGGCCTGGGAAGCTGTGGATAGCTCTAAAACCATTTGATTGCACAACTGCTATGAGATGAGGGTATGACAAAGGTGTTTGTAATCTCATAGAAAGTTGAATAAAAGTACCTATGATTACATCAAATTAAAGTCTATTTTAGCCATGCCTAATCCAATATAACACTTGATATTAACCAATGGTTAACCAATAATTAACCAATGATTAAAACTATGCCCAGCACTATGTAGTAAGAAGGACATTATCCAGGCTTTTTTCTTTCTCAGAAACACTGTTCAGTCTCCTCTTTCTACTTCTTTAATATGCCTTTTCTGCCAAAACCCTTGTATTTTTGTACCTGAACTATTTTTCTTCTTTCCCCTTCCTTCCTTCCCTCCCCCCACCCTTCCTTCCTTCCTTCCTCCCTCTCCACCTCCTCTTTCTTCCTTCCTTCTGCCGCTCTCCCTCCCTCTCTTTCTTTCCTTTCCTAGACAATTTCACTGTGAAACCTTTACCTTTGTTAACAGTTTACCTTTGTGAAATTAGAAGAAAAAAATAGATCACCTCAATGAGTAGTTAAACTCTTGGGGCTTTTGAGGACTGTCTCCCATGGTCAAGTACAATCTATAGTCTTTCAGTCATGATCTACAAACAAAGCAAAATTTTTCTGAACAAATGTTTCACATTATTTTAACAGATCAGAATGAGGAATGACTTTGTTGAGACGTATTTAAGGGAAATTGAAACTAAGGTTAGTTTTTATATGCTAGGAGTTAGAGTTCAGTAGGAAAAAAACTAAGGTGTTTTCAAAACATTTTTAAAGTATATTTTTGAGCAGGGGTCATTTTTGGATATAAATTCAATACCCCAACAGGAGAGGCCTCTCCAAACCGGTTCCAGATGCTAATATCATTGTCTCTTTATTAAGTTAATAGACTATGAAAAAAAATACCTATTTTTAAACATGTGTTTTTGGAAGACCTCTCAATTTTACCCAAAGTAAAAAATCAAAATTCCTATAATGGTCTGTGGGGCCTGACATTATTTAATTCCTGACTCCTCTGGCCTAAACATCATTTACTCTTCTCTCCCCTCATTCACCTCCAGCCTCACTGGCCCCCTGGCTGCTTCTCAACCTGTCAGGCTCATTCTTGCCTTTGGGCTCTTGCACTGGCTATTCCTTTTGCCTGGAATATCCCCAGATATCTACTTGGCCAGTTCCTTCACTTCCTTCACGTTTTTGGTCAGATGCTGTCTTGTCAATGAGGCCTTCTGCAACCACTGTAATTAGAATTGCAATTGGCCCTCTCCTTATCCTGTTACCATCTATCTTCATCTGCTTTCCCCCTCATTCTACTTAATAACTTCTAACCCACTATTTAATTCAATATATTATGTTTATGTTAGTTTTCTGCCTCTTCCCCATTACAATGAAGAATCTATGAGGACAAGGATCTTTCTCTGTTTTGCTCAAATGTCTGAAATAGTACCTGGCCCATAGAAGGTACTAAAAAATCTTGTTGAATAAAGGGGTTAAGGGCTGGGGCTTACATTAATTTGTTCAATGGTTTAACAAACATTTAGTAAATGCTTATTTTCTGCTAGTCACTCTGCTAGATAAAAGAATCCAGAGGTGAGTCTTATTTTGGAGAGAGAAAAATGAATGGAAAAAAACCAAAACAACAACAACAAAAGACATGTATTATGTACAATTCTGGGCATTCTGGGAGGACATAAGGTGGTGCGTAACCCAGTATAGGCAGGGTCATAAAGGATTCATTAATTTTATTTACTCAACAAATAATACTTCCTGTGTGCTAATTATGCTTCCAGGCACTTTAAAAGAGGGCAGGTCCAACCAGCTTGTGTTCTTTGCCCTTTGCCCTTTCCCCTACATCCCTCTGTCTGAGCAGCCATCTCACCTACCATGTGGTTTCAAAAGGGCAAATGCCAGAGGCCAAGGGTAGCCGAACAGAAATATAGAAAGATTTGAGTTCCTGATGAAATCATGAAGCCATAGTTCCAGCTTGATTGGCCGATCTCCAGATTTCTTGTACGTGAGAAAAGAAAGGATCAAACTTTTACCACTATGACTTGACTTACCATCTTTGAGATGTATTGTTTGGCACCCAGCAATAAAAGGGAAGGAAATCAGCATACCTTAAATTATCTCCACTCTTCTCTGTCCAGTTTTAGTTAGTTGGAGCATCATTTCTATATGATTAGAATATGAAGGGTTGAGGCAATGAAAAGCCTGCCCAGGTTTTTTTCTAATTGCTTCCTCCAGCAACTGTGCATGTAGGCTTCTTTCCACAAAGTCAGCAAGGGGCAGCCGAGTGGAGTGACGGAGATTTCATTCAGCTTTTTAAGGCAAGGCCTCTACCCTCCTGTGCAGCAAAAGCACAAAGCAGTTATCCTACATAGAAAGCTCTCTGTGTGTTCGGAACTATTTTGTTTTATTTTATTTTTAGAGACAGGATCTGGCCCTGTCACTCAGGCTGGAGTGCACTGGCATGAACACAGCTGACTATAGCCTTCGACTGGGTTCAAGTGATCCTCCTGCCTCAGCCTTCTGAGTAGCTAGGATTACAGGCACATGCCACCATTCCTTGTTATTTTTTTTTTTAGACTTATATTGATATGGTTTTGATTGTTGCCCAGGCTGGTCTTGAACTCCTGGCCACAAGTGATCCTCCTGCTTCCTTCATCTCCCAAAGTTCTGGGAATACAGGCATGAGCAACCACACCAAGGTAGGACTAGTCTAGATTCTAATACAACATCAACCCATGTGCCCCACGAAGGCTCTGCTGATATCTATTTTCCCTTGTAGAGTTTTATCGGCAGAGTCTGAAACCCCACTTTCTGCCTGTGCCTGCATGTGGCTAATGTTTCCAGAAAAGAAAATGTCAGTGATCTAAGCCCACCAATGAAGGGATCTTCCCTTTTTGAATTTTAATTCATCTAATTTTCTTTGCTTCTCTAGCTGTCTGATGTCCTCAACAATATGACATTTTCGTAATTAGTTTGTTTTAATTTTCCAAGTCCTACCACTTCCTCTTACATCCTTCTCAGAAATAGTATTCTGAACTCATAGATTTAGTGAAAGTTTGGATATATTCTGGGATTCTAAACTGAAGTGATTTTCTCTTGAGCCCCTGGAAGAAGGATATGCAGGCAGCGCTCTGTTGTAGCTCTGACAGGCAATAGTGCCTTTACTATTGTACTGTTATTTTGAAAAAGCACTGCTTACTGTTTTCATATTACTTGCAGTGTTTTTTAAAAAATGTGGAAACAATACAGTCATGCTGAAATAGAACAAATGTAAAAAAGAAGGCAAGCAAAGTCAGCCTGAGTGTCATGTTGAGCTTACCTTTCCATCCACATGCTAAGGACCCAAGTCACATGTGTCTGGCTATTACAATTCACTTTTTTCTTATACACCCCTACCAGATCCAGAGAAAATGGATCATATTGAGCAGTCTGACTAGGAAGACGATAAAACTTCATTTTTAGAGCAATCTTATGAGGTATGCACAATTACTCATATCTTAGATAAGGAAATGGAGGCTCAAAGGGATAAAGAAACTTACTTAAGATCGCATAGCAAATATATGGTGGTTAATAGAGAACAGAGAATTTTCCTCACCCATGATCAGGCTCTGCCTGCTTTTGTTTCTCTGAACCGCAGTATAACCCTGTCTTGAGAAACTGTCTTTCTTCCCTTTGCTAGTGGTCTAATCCATTGTGTCTGCTCCTAGCTCTGACTTCATCCCCCCAACTCTCTGGAGGCCTGGTTGTGCCTTCCCTCCTGCAAGGCCTTATTGGAGGAAAAAGTCACCATTTCCCTTAGTTCCACTTTCATTTGTACCCTTTTCCCCTTTAAAGGAAAACAAAACAAGCAAGTAGAAAAAAATCACCATTAACATTTCAAGAATAAAATAAACCCAAATCTCCTATCTAAAGCACCTCAAGTCATTCAAAACAGAAAGATGGATATCTCTAATAGGAACTATATTGATTAGAGTGCTATGATATCCTGGGCTTGTAACGTAATCAAAAATGAGCCTTGATTCACTCTATAAAATTGGGAAAATATTACCTGACTTTTTTTTCCCTCAGTGATAAAATTAGGAGAAATGGTATCTATGTGGAATTCAACTTTTAAGAGGAACATTTTATGAAAATAGCCTAAGTTGCTAGAATGTGCTATTTATGCATATGCTTATTAAATATATATTTATAAAATGATTATATATATTATTTATGTTTCAGCTTCTTTTAAAAAATAAAACCAAAACTTTCCAGAATTAGATACACTAGTCCTTGTACATTAGTTCCATTTTTCCTCCAACTGTGCAAAAACTTTTCATATTGCTTCATATTGAAGAAGATAAAGAGAAATGCTGCAGTGTGGGTTGACCAGAAGCCAATTCAGGGAAAGAGATTTGTGTGCAGGAAGTTTACTGGGCATGCATTTTGGGTTCAATACCTGTGGAGGATGAAGGTCAGTGAAATAGGGCAGAGAGAGAGATTGGGCTGAGCTGCAGTCACAACGAGGGCCTCAGTCAATCCTGCAGTCATCATCGAACCTAGGCCTGCCCTCAGACTTTATCCAGCTTGAATCAAGGCGACTGTGCCTTTAAATCATTCGCTGACTAGTTATGGGATGCAAGCTGCCCCAACAAAGTTGCTGGGACCTTAGGGGAAGTAGGTCCCTTCAGCTGTGCTTAGCTAAGAGGTGTTGGTTGGCAACACTTTCAGCAACTGGGGAATGAATGCTATAGTCCTGAAGTGGGGGAATCTGGGTGGCACAGCAGAGCAATCACTATGATTAAGACAATCAACAGTGCAGATTGCATTCTTCATTATGTTTATATTTATATCTATTAGATGACTCATGAAATTGCCTTTTTAATTTTTATTTATTTTTATTTATTTATTTTTTTTGAGGTAGAGTCTCGCTCTGTCACCCAGGCTGGAGTGCAATGCCACGATCTCGGCTCACTGCAACCTCCGCCTCCTGGCTTCAAGCGATTCTCCTGTTTCAGCCTCCTGAGTAGCTGGGATTACAGGCGCGCTATTACGCCTGGCTAATATTCTTTTGTTTTTTTAGTAGAGATGGGGTTTCACCATGTTGATCAGGCTGGTCTCAAACTCCTGACATTGTCATCCGCCTGCCTTGGGCTCCCAAAGTGCTGGGATTACAGGCGTGAGCCACTGCGCCCGGCCGGAATTGCCAGTTTTATACTAAAAATTTGTTGAATATTGACAATTTATGTGGTACACAATCTAATTATGTAATTTATTTTCAGGAGTTTGTGTGAAAGCATACAACAATAGAAAAATAATTAGTGAGTAGAGAGTGTAGGAGCAGATAGAATGGTTGGTTTTACTAGTTTATACTGATGCTATTACAGAGCAGTCCATATTTCCAAAAACAAATTTTATCTTTTTAAAGAAGCTTTCAGTTTTCTTGATTTTCTATTTCCTATTTTATTGAGTTCTGGTCTGATTTTTATTCCATTTTTTCTGCTAAGTTTAGGTTTTATGTGCTTTTCTTTTTCTGCTTTCTTGAGGTGAAAGCTGAGATAATTGAATTAAGACATTTCTTGTTTTCTAACATAGATGTTTAGTGCTATGAATTCCCTTTAAGTACTACTTAAGCAGCATCCCATAAATTTTGATATGTTGTGTTTTCATTTTTACTTAGTTCAAAATACACCTTAACTTCCTTTTTGATTTCTTTGACCCATAGATTACTTAGTAATGTGTTAGTTAGTTTCCATATACTTGGAGATTTTTTCAAAGATCTTTTTGTTTCTGAGTTTCAATTTAATCCTATTAAGATACAGAGAACATACTCTGTATGGCTTGGATCTCAATACGTTTAAAACGTATTGATACACTTTATGGCCGAAAATATGTTCTATTTTCATAAATGATCTATGTGCACTTGGAAGGGGTGTGCAGGCCTATCTTCTCTAATTGCACTTCACTTTATTCCACTTCATAGATAGTGTAGATTTACAAACTGAAGGTTTGTGGCAACCCCGCGTTAAACAAGTCTATCTGCACCTTTTTCGAACTGCATGTGTTTACTTCATGTCTCTGTGTTCCGTTTTGGTGATGCTCAAAATATTTTAACATTTCATTATTATTATATCTGTTATGGTGATCTGTGACCAGTGATGTTTGATTTTACCATCATCATTGTTTTGGAATGCTACTAACCTCACCCATATCAGTGAACTTAATTGATAAATGTTGTTTGTGTTCTGGCTGCTGTACTGCTGGCCATTTCCCATCTCTCTCTCTCTCTTCAGGCCTTCCTATTTCCTGACACACAACAATGTTAAAATTAGTCCAGTTAATAACCCTAAAATGGCCGCTAAATGTTCAACTGAAAGGAAGAGTCACATGAGTCTCACCTTAAATTAAAAGTTAGAAATGACTGGGCTTAGTGAGGAAGGAATCATGAGATGCAGCAATTCAGTCATATTTTCAGGCTCCAATTCTATTTCTAGTTCTCCTGCTATTTGCACCACATCCGCAGTGACTCAACTTCTTCCAAACGCCTGTTATTACTGATCTTTTGACCTCCTCTCATGAATC